>NC_000009.12:116970552-117595552 GCF_000001405.40 Homo sapiens
ACTCATTTAAAGCACTGAAATCTTTGTCTTATTTTTATATCTCTATTACTTAGTTTAAAATATGGTAGGTGTTCAGTAAATTCTCAGTACTTGGAATTGAAAGGCCAAAAGAACAAGGAGACATTCCTAATTCTATTCAGAACTAACTCAATGTGAAAACTATCACCAAGTGAGCCATGCCAGCTTGCACTCTGATATCCCATTATTCTTTCAGCGTTGTTCAGGAATTAACAGTATTTCACCATTTCATTTTCGTTGATTTGAGATCACAGAAAAATGACTGAGGCGCTCCAAAAGCTGAGCTTTGTGGGTGATTATTATTCCAACTATAATAGCTATTCTCACATTTATCTTATAAGAACCTGCTCCAGGTGAAATTGTGAAGAAGGCCCAGTATGCAGTAATAAGTGTTGTTTGCCATGCTTCTCCCTCCACAAGCATCTTTTATTCCATCTCTCAAGTTGGTCTCTTGTTTCATGCTCCTTGCTATACCATGAAACTCCTGAAAGCAGAGGTGGGCTGTATTTATCTCTGTATTCCTGTGGTATATGGCATAGTATCTGGTACACAGGAGGGATCCAGCTAAGATTTTTCAGAATTAAAATATATCTGTATGCAATTCAGCTAGAGATTTGCTCTTCCACCTTTGTAGCTGGCATCGTTAGTGTCTCAAATGCTAAAATCTCATTCCCAGCAGCTTCCTGCTAGGATAGGCTGGAGAATGGGAGCTGTCCAGGGGAGAGTTTTATTTTGCCCTTCAACCCCTCACACTTGAAAGCCTTACCCCTCACCTTAGATTGCACAAAGTCAAAGCTTAGCTACAGTTTTTGAAAAATTGGCAATGTTCTCTCTCTTGAAAATATTTGCTTAATTCCCTCAGTCGGATACATCTTCTTTCTTTTCCAATCCTTTCCAGTCCCCTAGGGCACTCTATGTTTACCACACATGTGACTCTTCATTCATTCTGTAACCATGTCCATGTACATAAAGCCACAGACCTAGCATACTGAACTAGAATTTATAGACTCATTTAAGTCTTCCTCAAAGCCCATGACAAAGTGGTTAATATGAATCCTCAACACTGAGCAACTATCGATTTTCAGTTGCACCATAGGTCGTCTTTAGCCTTTCAGCGAAAACATGAGAAAATAATGAAAAGATAAAGAGAACAAAAGCCACTATGTTACAATAATGAGCATGATAACTAATGCTTCTAAAGAGTTCACCAGGTAGCAAACTCACTGCTTTACATGTAATATGTCACTTAATCTTCATCACTCCATATATGATATGAGATTTTTATTTCCATTATTCTGAAGGGGAAACCACAACTCCAGAAAAACTCCTGCAGCAAGCAAGTGATGGAGTTAAGATTTGCACTCAGCCAATTTGCTTGAGGTCCATAGCCTATGCCCTCAGACAATAAACTTTATGTTTAATCAAAATATAGAATACATAGAGAAAAGTGTGAAGCTCAGTGAATTTTCACAGAGTTAAAACACTCATGTAACCACCACCCATAACAATAAATCAAACATTATCAGCATCACATAAGCCCACTTGTAGTTCCCCATGTCACCACCCTTTCCATCACCCAGAAGTAATCTCTATCCTTTCTTCTAACATCATAAATTAGTTTACTCATTAATGAAACTAGTTTTTTTTGTTTTTATATAAACATATGATATTATTTTGTGTCTGGTTTCCAAAATTCTATATCATATTTGTTAGATTCATCCAAGGTGCTATGTATGGTTACTGTGTTCTTTCATATTCATTATTAATGGCATTCCATTGTGTTATTATTCCATAATTTATTTATCTACTTTTTCGCTGATGGGTATTTGTATTTTTTTTTCTAGCTTTCTAGCAGTACAAATGAGTGCTTCTATTCGTATTTTTGTAAGTCCTACTTGTGGCACACATTTACATATTTCTGTTATACATATCCTTATGGGTGAAACTGATGAGCTATAGAAGATATATACCTCCAACTTTAGTACATAACACTCCACAGGTTTACATAGTGGTCATACTTATTTATATTCTCACTATAAAAATATGAAAGCCACAGTTGTTCCATATCCTTCCTAACATTTGTTATCATTAGTTGTTTTAAATTTAGCTGCCTTGGTAAGTCACAGCCTGTACATTTAACTACTAAGTTGTTCTGCCTACTGTAGTGTGAGTTCTCATACTTGTCCAAGAATTTATCACAGATTAGAAATCAAAGAATCAACTTGCAGTGCACGTTCAAGTTTTCCTTTCCAATCCTACTGTAATGCTTACCTTCCGTTTCCCTTTGACTCTGCTTTTCCACGTAGTCTTTCCTCTAATCTCTTTGTTGTGATTCCAGGGCAGTATTATTGGCTATCTATAATTATGATCTATTATTTATTAAATTTCCAACATACCATCTGACTGGAACTTATTAATTCTCTAAATGCCCATGATATGCTTGCCTGGGCAATGTCATGTCAAACAAGGTTTATTAGTGCAGCTTGGAAAACTCAATCTACATAGTGCAGATTCTCTCAAATGGTGATGATTGCAATCTTTTATCCCCTATTGCAGATCAGGGATTGAAATGTGGCTTCATCTCTTACTAGTGAAGGCATTACCTCTATGCCTCAGGTTTGTTTATTTATTTTTGAATCTGAAAAATGAGCATCACCTCATGGAGCTGATGTAAGAATGTAATAATATTAGTGAAGTATTCGGCACTTACTTAGAAAATGATCGATGATATGAACTATTATTATTATTATTATTATTACCCTCTGTGAGGAAGGCACTGTTATTATCCCCATTTTGCAGACAAATAAATGAAAACGTAGAGAATTAAACTTGGCCACCATGATCACACAGTTCACACTTGGTAGAGATGGAATTCTAAAGCAGCCCTATCCAACTCCAGAGTATGTGTTACCATCAGCCAGTCTGAGAGAGCTGCATCATCTGAATCTTCATTGAAATCATGGATGCAATGTCAACAGGACAGAACTATGAGGAAAGCTAGTCAAGACTTTCTTTTCAGCTGATTTCAAACGAGGTAACTGTGTCTTTTTGAGAATAGTCTTTTAAACCAGATGGTCCTTGCTTTATCTTTAAAATATATAATGCAGAGAGAACTTAGCACATGCTTTACTAAAATCTCGTATACTTCAATTCTATCAAAAATGAAAACAATGGTAAATATCGATGAATCAGTATGTGAATGTGTGTGTGAAGCTATTTTAGTTCCTAGTAATCACTATTTCATATCCTAAGTGCCATCTCTTTATAAATCTATTCTTTTTAAAACATCCTCTTTTGGGAAATGCTAATAGCCTAGAAAAGCATGATAAGTTCATCCCTCCCAGTGAAAGCTGACAAGGTGAGAGTAAAAACATCTTAAAGTAAGAGAGTTGGGTTCTAGGAGCTTTCTGTCAAGATGCCATAGAAATACTGATAGCATTGTGATTTAGAATGACCCAAAGGCAACTATGGAGCTGTTGAAAAACAGTCACTGGTAGTTAGGGGGTCCATGATTTAATTCTAGTTCATGAGCCAATAAGCTGTGTACAAATCAGTTTTAGAAGTAAAACTACTCTATTCTTGGTAACATCAGAATTTCTAGAATGCTTCCCCTAATCAAATTGGGAGAAATAAATCCTCCACTGGAAAGCTCCAGAACAGTGCTAAGATCAGATCTAAGACCACAGACTTAATTAAATCAATAAACATTTAATAGATGTCCAATATGTACTAGGAGCTGGGGATTAAAAAGCTAAATAAGTTATTTTCCTTGACCTTGAGAAGTGCACCATAATGGGGCAGAATGATATGTAAGCATCTAATTAGTATGAAGTAGAGTAAGTCTATAATGAAGTTAGCTACAAGCTGCAGGATAATGTAAAGTGAAATGTAGTCTCCGTGGTTTTATAAGTTAAGAACAAAAGATTTAGCCTGGACTTTTTTTTTTTTTTTTTTTTGAGATGGAGTCTCACTCTGTTCCCCAGGCTGGAGTGCAGTGGCTCGATCTCAGCTCACTGCAACTTCCGCCTCCTGGGTTGAAGAGATTCTCCAGCCTCATCCTCCCAAGTAGCTGGGATTATAGGCGTGCACCATCACATCAGGCTAATTTTTGTATTTTTAGTACAGACCAAGTTTCACCATGTTGGCCAGGCTGGTCTCGAACTCCTGACCTCAGGTGAACCACCTGCCTTGGCCTCCCAAAGTGCTGGGATTACAGGCGTGAGCCACCACGCCTGGTCTTTAGCCTGGACATTTAAAATTCATAAATTAGCCCAAAGCACATCCCATGGACTACAACAGAAAACATCCCATTTTCTAAATTTTTGCCTTTGTGACTCTCCAACATACTGTTAAGTAAAGATAAGATCATTAATGATCCCATGATGAGCTAGATAATGCATCAGCCTCTTTTATATTTAATATAACCAAAAAGGAAAGCAATAGTGTTGAAACGTAAGGCATTGAGACACAGTGATGGAGGTCACATCTAAGAGTTTAGGAGCATGGCATATTTGACAGTGTTCTTCACATCAACTAAACAGCAAGAACACTCCTTAGGGGTTCCTGTGGTTCTCCAACAGGGGGACTTCCAAGGTTTTAAGAAGTACCTATGCAGAGTACTGGAGATGATTCCCTACCTGACATCTGCAGGGTCTTCCGTGACGAGCACATCGGTCTTGCAGCTGGCCAGGGGGTTGATGGACAGCTCCACAGGCGGAACCACAAAGCTTTTGCTGACAGGAAGCCAGAGGCCTTGGCCCAAGCTGAAAGTAGACCTGCAATGTAAGAGTTTCCATTGGGGAACTCCCTGGGAAGCAGAGAGCAAACAGAAAAAAGGGGCCCCTGTTCCCATCCCTTCTAGGGCAATTTCCTACTTCTCCATCCATATCCCCAGCATTATTTAAGGAACAATGTTGGCCAACTTTCTCCAGACCTGGATGATCATTTCTCAAATCTGTTAAACATTTAGCTCATGAATTGCTTTGTGTTGCTAAGTTCCTTTTCCTGATTTACTAGTGGACTCTGTGAGGATAGGGACCATTGCCGCTCTGATTTTCCAGCAGTCCTGACATACAGCAGGAGTTCCATAAGCGACTGCTATGTCAGCAGGGACAGTCTGGCACAAAGGTTAAGAGCACGGACTTTGAATCAGTTTGAACTAAAATTTGATTCCCAGTTCTGCCACTTAATTTGCTGTATGTCTTTATCTACATGTTCATTGAAGTTTTACACAAGATTTTGTGGAGGTGGTGGGAAGAGGTTCTATGGTTACAGAGTATTTTTAAACCACTGGACTTAATAATCAGTAATGTCTCCTCCAGTTCAAGTATCTGAGTCTATAAGTCTAGCTGCCAGACAAATGGGAATTAGATTCCCATAGCAACCTGCGCCATGATGGTACATTAGTGCCAGGGAGAGTTCTTTTGTACTCAGTGCAGCTCAGAAGTGCACAGGCTCAATAGTCTAAGGATCCATGACCACATCTTCCTATCAGTCCTTTCTCCATTTCCCAGAATTATGCCCCAACAAGAAAGCCAACTCACCTGAGAATCTTTTCAGGGGCTTGCTCCCCTGTCACCAGATCATAGCCCCTCTCAAGTGTCGTGTAGGGCCAAGGTCTATGGGAAGAAGGAGAGGGGAGAGAAGATGACATTAGTCAGAGGCAGGTAGAATTCACATGTGGACACTGCTCTAGAGTAGCTTTACAAACAACCAAACTCTGCAGAAATAATTATTGGGCAAGACTACTTATATTATAAAAGAATGTCTCCAATTTACAGAAGGATTCAGCACTTTCATAAAGTATGCATGTCCATTCAGGAGTCTGTTTAAAAATGTTCTTCTTTTCTTTGGCAGTCCACTTAAGAAAGTGTTCATTGATTACTTTGTTTGGACAGGTGACTTAAATGTCAGCCTTTGTTCTCTAGAATATTCACCAATCATGTACCTTTAATACTAAAATGTGATTCCATGGGAAAGTAGGATTCACTTCCCATTGGGTTTTGCAGGAACACTACTGTTGCAGAGAAAGAGTCCTCTTTGTGGAGATGCTTGGGGCCTCTGGTAACAGAACAGAGGAGGTAAAAGTGGGTCCTGCACTGTCCTGGACCTGATGCCCTTTGCCACTCACCCTTCACTCTGTCCCCAGTCACTGCGCACACACAGGTGTCTGTGAACAGGGTCAGGGGCATAGCCTTCATGACAGCTGCACTCTCCTGTAAGTGAAAAGAAAAAAGATTATTGTTAAGTAGAGTCTCCCCAAATAGGCTTTTCTCTGGTTTGCTTGTTTTCCTAAGACATAAAGTGAGCTGCTTAGTTTTAGAAAAGGCACATGGAAAGAGGGTAATCTTGTCCATCAACCACTGTGGTTAACAGAGTTTATTCCTTTGTTCATTCACTCATTTATTCCTTCAACAAATCCTGGCCACACTCGTACAGGTGCTCAGCTCAGCACTGGAGATACAGAGGTCAAAGTTGCAACCCAGCCGCTAAAGGAGCTCACAACTTAAGACAGGGAAACAGGAAGTGATCAGGTGGCTACAAATGGAGGTCTTCTTTTCAAATATTAAAATTATGATAAAATGCATTTACTCTAGAGGTATAATCAGAAAATTGAATTATCTCCATCTGAATGAATAGGTCTTCACCATCCATAAATCCCAAGTTAAATGCCGCTATCTCCAAGAAACCTTTGATTTCCCCTTTCAGAAAAACCTGTCTGTAGTCTCCTGGTTTTATTTTGTGTTGCTTTTCATTTTTAAATTATTTTTCCTCTCCTCCCCTTCCTTCTACTGCCATCTCTTCTCTTGTCCTCTTTTCTCCTCTCCCTCTCTCTTGCCATTCTTTTTCATTTCTTTCCCTTCCATCCATTCATTCATGAATCAATCCATCCATCCAACCATCCATTATTTTTTTTTCTGGCCATGCCTTACGCTTGGTTGCATGAATGCTTGCTAGCATTACACACTGCCTTAAGTATATTCTCTCATTGGCCAAGTTCATTTCAAGTGGCCAGCATATGTCCAATTTCCTAGCATATCTTCAGAGTCCAGAATCCTAGAAGTGATTTCAGAATCTCTCTGTCCTACTCCCAGCTGTTGTCATATCTGCTCTACTGTATACTTAAGGTATAGAATTTCTTTTTCTTTTTTTTTTTTTTTTTGAGACTGAGAGTCTCACTCCATCACCCAGACTGGAGTGCAGTGACGTGATCTCGGCTCACTGCAACCTCCACCTCCCAGCTTCAAGTGATTCTCCCGTCTCAGCCTCCCGAGTAGCTGGGATTACAGGCATGCACCACCATGCCCAGGTAATTTTTGTATTTTTGATAGAGATGGGGTTTTGTTATATTGACCAGGCTGGTCTCAAACTCCTGAACCCAAGTGATCTGCCCACCTCAGCCTCCCAAAGTGCCGGGATTACACGTGTGAGCCACCACGCCTGGCCTAGAAATATTTTTTGATTTAATGAGTTACTGCTTTTTTCTCCAAGGTTTATTTGTGAGATGCTTAAAGATGCTGTACCAAAAACAGATTCTATTTAAAAATGTGTTTGGGTAATACCACCCCATTCCTCAAAGCCAGTGTAGTGTGATTCTCCATGAGGGTGATACATACACAATTTTCACCAACTTATTTTTCTTTGGGAGCCTTGTTGGTGGAATGACTCACAGGATTATAATTCTATGGAACACCTCTAGGGAAATGCTAGTAGGAACCGCCCTGACTTTGCTTACTGCCTAGAATAGGGTCAGTGCTTAACAATGTGAGTTGAATGAATAATTAACTATCTGTTATTGCTCTGGTAAATTTCCAGGCTAATGATGTTGGCTTGTCTTCTTTCTCATCTTCTTGTAATCACATTATCTCATTATCTCTCTCTGTATCTCTCTCTGTATGTATCTCTCTCTCTCTCTCTCTCTCACGCACACACACACACACACACACACACACAGAGAGATAAACCTGTCACCCTTGGATCCTACAGTGATTCTGATAGACAGGACCCAAAAGTTTTCAAATCATGTCCATGGAAATGTATTACTTAACAGAGATTTAGGGACTATGCAAATTTTATATTTTAATTTTTCTTAAAAGTTTTATTTTTTAAATTGTTAAAAATATAAAAACAAGAATAAACACTCAGATATCACATGCCAGAATTTAGGATACTGAAGAAAGTATCAGTTGCCAGATAAACTTATTTTATGCAGGCTTCAGGGAAAAAAAAAATCTCCTCTCATCTTTGTTTCATCTAAAAAGATACTGAGGATGAGTCAAGATGCCAACAACCTCATGCTATTTGCAACTACATATTTTGGGAATCAGGATTTTCTCAACTTTATACAACTAAAACAAAATATTGTAGTAAATAGAATACTAGGGTAACACGGGTTCTACAACTATCACCCTTAATTCTGGATTTTGAAATGTATGCATTCATCAAGTAAACTTATTGTTATCTCTGATGAACTGTAAGTGTTATATATTTGACCTTATATGAAGCATTCTGAGTGTTTAAAAACACTGTAACTTGTTTTATAGATGACACTGCTGCTTAATCTTTGTATTCCCAGCACCCATTGACAAATAGCCTGGGCTTCATGAACGCTGCCTGAACAAAAATGGTAGTAAGACAGAGTATGGAGTGAAGAATGGGTCAGAGATAGTATTCAAAATATTCAGAATGAGGTTGTTGAAAGATACAAGGAGAGACAGAAGACATGTCCTTTTCCTCTCATCTGCTTACCTGAAAAATAAGGAGGGCTTGCTCACAGGTAGGAATGCTCTCTGTACTCCTTCCCTGCAACATCATGCCTGGGGTCTTCCACCAAGAGGAAGTGCTGTAAGTAGTGCTACCTAATGAACTGATTGTTGCCAGAGGTAAGAGGAATGGAAGGAAAAGGCTAAGAGCCTTGAATGTGGATGTAAATAATTTACCAAAGCGAGGAGGGGCAGGAGTCACTAAAGAAGTGTTAAAATGCAACAGTCCCTTCATGAAATATTCACCACTTTAAACACGTCTAATATTAAAGATTAAAAGTCCTGGGATTTGTCCTCCAGACTCCCAGGACTGATTTATGATCTGCTACAAGCCACAGGCCTCATGATTCATAATGGGAGAGGTAAAATGGTTACCTCTGGCAAAGGAGCAGGAAGTCAGGCTGGGGTGGATGAGGAGGGGCCAACAAGGAGGATCCCTCTTGTTTATGGAAAGGGCAAAGGCTGAGGTCCCTATCTCTCCTGCAGTGACTCTGCAGGAAATACCACAGTTCACTTCTTTCCTCTTTCTCTCATTTTTGGAAATATTGGTGACATTGAGAAATTTATTCAGAAAAAGGGTGCTGCTATGTTTTTCTCTCCTCCTTGTGCACTTACCAGGCAAGTTTTCCCTGACTCAGAATGGATCATTAATTACTGATGCTCATTATACAACAAATATATATTTTGCAATTAAGAGGCATTCACCCTGGAGACCCCCATGAGGCTTCCTGGAGAACGGAAAGTAGGCAGAGGGAAAAGCCCCCGAGTGCTAGCAGCAGATGGACCCGGTCCCATCCTCTTGTTCTCTCCCTAGTTGTGTGGCCTTAGGGAAGTCGCCTTTTTGGTTTCAGCTTTCATTTACAGAATAGGGATGATAGCAATGTCCATCTCCTAGAGCTGATGTAAGAAGTAATTGAAATAGTGAAGAATGAAGCTAGTGGTTGAGGTGACAATTAGCTGATGGTCATACTACCCAGAAACTATGCACACTACATGGGTGCAATATATCCATGTAACAAACCTGCAAATGTACCCCCTATATAAATAAAAGTTGAATTAAAAAAAAAAAAGAAAAGTGTTTCCTTCCCTTTAATTCCAAGCTGGCCACTGGGTTCTGGTATATGTTTACATTTAGACAAAACTATCACCCCTAACTCCTTACATATTAGACATGTAGAGACACAAATTACCTCCTTTTGGGGCCTTAGTTTCTCCTTCTGTAAAATGGAAGGTTGGAGTAGATCACTCATCACTTCTGAGCACCAAGACTCTGCTGTTTGCATTGCCTTTCCAAATCCCTAACCTCTGCTTTCTGGATACTGTTTGTTTTAGTTTCAGCTGCAATCATTCTTAGCAGCAGCCTGGGTGTCTCTAGCAAGATCTCCATCAATGCCATAGGTATTGGCTTTATTGACTCCTGTTTCCTATTTTGCTGGCTCAGCTAAATCTCCACTATTTGCAACCAGGCATTTCCTTCTTGACAGATGAAAAGCCTCTGACAGCCAGAGCTGAGGGTAATTAACCTCTTCCCTGGGTGACTCCTTTCTTCAACTCTGCTTCTGCACACCCAGAGCAGCAAGGCCATCAAATGACAGCTCTCTAGGGATGCATGTAACCATGCTGACTGTGAACTCCTGTATAGGGATAGGGAACTCCCTATCCCTATAACTCTAGTACCTTCCTTGCTCACCACTGCATCTCAGCACCTCCTGCATTGCCTGGTACAGAGTAGGGATTCAGTAAATAAATGCTAAATAGATGAAGGGATATATTTCACAATAGTGATGCCTATGCCAATGGAATAGGACAATAATTTTTTACTTGCCTGTTCCCCCACTAAGCTGGGAATTTCTTGATTGCAAAAACATTTTCTTAATCATCCTGTATTCTAATAATTAGTATAATGCCTGATAAAGGGTAGGCAACTCAATTATTGAATGAATGAATGAATGAGTGAATTCATACATATATCATGATTACCATGAATTTAGGCTGAGTTCATTTAGAATAATGATGACTCTGCTGAGGACTGGAAGAAACTTTCTACATCCAAGATAGGTATTTGCCAAGGAAACAAAGAGTGCAAACACAAGTGCTGATGAAATGTCAAAAATAGAATTCTATTTTACATCAGAGCAGAAAAGACCCTTAAAGATCAGCTAGTTCAAACTTTCCCAGTTTCATTATTCAGAAGAGGAAACTCAAGCTAAGAGAGTAAAGGAGTTTGTCCAAATCACTGGCCTAGCCTCTGGGCCAGCCAGGATGGAAACCCAGGGCTCTTGGCCACCACTTCAGTGTCCTTTTGCTGCATTGGTGGTATCAATAGTTCAATGCATCCTGAAGTCTTTTGCATCAATTTTTCTGTACATTTTTGACATTACCAAGTTTTCTAAAAATGAGAGCATTGACAAACAGGTATTATTTAAACAGTAAAATGAATTTGAAATACCCTTAAGTACATTAAAAACATACATGTATATGTTGTTAGTAATGGAGACCTAAAAAAAAGAATTTACTCTCTTCACTATATTGGTTCTCATAAGGGAATTCAATTGGATGGTTTTCTATCTGGCTATTTACCAGAACTGTGTTATCAGCAGTAGATGAGTTGTGTTGGTTTTAAAAGATTTACTCTTCATGTCTCCTGGCTGCCATTTGTTGAGGTCTTTTTCTATGTTATATGCATTCTCAGTCCAGAAACTCTTGGGTAAAAACAACAAAACACCTTGATCATGAACAATCTGTGTTCATCTCCTGTGAGGCTCTTCCAAACAGGACAATGCTTTCTTGCCAACCACATAAGGCCAGTAGGCTGGTGAAATAGTTCAGAGTGTGGGTGGGCCTTGAAATCATCATGTACTGCATTCAAATCCTGGATCTGCCTGCCACTTCAAATTTGCAAGAACCTGATAAATTGATTCTTCTCTCCCTGAGCCTGTTTCCTTTACCTATAATGGAGCTGACACCATATGCCTGTGGGAAGGATCAAGTGCTGTACTTGAAAAATCCTCAGCACAGTCTTTGGCACATTTCTTCTTGCTGAGAACACAAAACAGCTGTTTGGGTTCATATAATTATTGTTCTTGGGTAGGAAAGGCCCATCCAGTATGTTGTTTTAGCAGAAAGGAAAGGTGCTTAGAATGAAAGATGGTCAAAAATCCAAGATGTGCCCTTTGCAAAACCCAAAAGACCACAGTTTCTTTATCTGTAATTTGGGATTTTTTTTTTAAATTATCATTATTATTTTTTTAGAGACAGGGTGTTGCTCTGTTGCCCAAGCTGGAGTTCAGTGGTGCAATCATGGCTCACCGCAGCCTTGAGCTTTTGGGCTCAAGAGATCCTCTTGCCCCAGCCTCCCAAGTAGCTAGGACTATAGGCACGTGCCATCATTCCCAGCTAATTTTTAATTTTTTTTGGTGAAATGAGACCTAACTATGTTGCAGAGGCTGAGATCTTGTTCAAATTCCAGCAGTTTGAATGAGATAATCCCCGAAGCTGTTCCTGTGTTTCCAGAGCTACGAAGACATGTTGCCTGTGTCCATGGCAGCCCCTGCTGAAGGAGGTATGGGCACGGACAAGGCATAAGCCAGAGGCCGCTGCCTCCTCCACCCCAGCAGCACAGAGGAGCTCATGGCTTGCCCATGAGAGTGCAAAGCCTCCTTCATAAGCCATCCTGGCTGTCTGACTCCCCTCCCCAAACCCTGTCATTCTATGATTCCATTTTCACTTGCTTCTAACTCAGTCATCACTTATCATCACCGGCCAGGGATGCTGCCTGCTGTTCACTTTCTTATTTGCTCTTCTTGTCACTGTGGTTTGAAAAGACATCTCTCTGGGCCCTCAGAGCAATAAACATGGATCCCTTCCCCATGTTGACTCCAAGTGAGCCACCTTGGGACTCTTCACCTCTGTAGCTCTGTAACTCAACTCAGGGCCAGGCACGTAGTGGGAAAAGTATGGGTTGGGCATAACATTATGAGAGCCTGCTTTGTGCTAAAAGTGGTATGTGACATTTGACATGTGTCATTGCATGTCACAGCCATGACTAGTACAAGGAGGAAGGTACTGATGCCCTCCTTGTAAAATAAGGAAACTGAAGCTAACACTCGACTAGTCAGTTGCCCTAGGTCATAGGGCCAGGTCTCCAAAGCTCATGCTTGCTTACACCACCACAAACATCACAACAATAAACATAACCACAAGGACAATAACAAGGACAGCTGCCTTTGACAATGATCATGTGTGAGACACTGAGGGTCATTTCTCTGTAGTACTTAATTATGCATTCGCTTCTTTGCAGTGGTTAATTGTGGGAAGAGTAAATTTTCTTTCCTTCCCTTTGTCTTCAGGCTTGGCATATGACTTGCTTTGATCAATGGGATGATGAGAGCCAGGACTTAAATAATCAAAGTTGGAAATATATTTATGTGGATAGGCTTTCCCTCTTGTACTCCTGCCTCTTGCCATTAGAAAAAACATCTACAGGCTGTGGCTGGTCCATGAAGGATGAGAGATGTGTGGAATAGATCTGGATTCATCCTCAGCTTAGAGCCAAGGGCAGCTGAGTCCTGGCTAGATCAGTCCACCCAGATGTGTGACAAAGGAGAAAAAGATGCTTACTTATAGTTGTGGACAATAAAATGTGATTGATATGCAGCGTTATTTTGGCAAAAGTTTCTGATGTACTTTAAACCTAGATGTCTACATCTCTATAAGTAATGGTACCAGTTTCTTTCCTAATTGGAAACTTCAGAAAAACTTCTAATGGGGCCCTATTTTGTACTCTCAGCATCTGAGTGATATCTGAATCCCACTGATTCTACCGCTTTGGTTTTATCCAGACCCATTTATTCCCATCTCTCTTCTCTGCCACTGGCCTGGTTCAGGCCCTCAGCATTGTCCATGTGCTATGAACCTATTTTCTGTGTCCCTACATCTGATCTGACTGTTGGCCAGTTATCTTTTCAAAGAACAGCTGCACCCATGGCCCTCCCCAAAAACTCTCAGTGGTTTTCAGTTGCCTTCAGGGTAGAAGTCACATATCCCAGTCAAAGCCTTTCATTACTGGCCCAGCCAATTTTTCCAACCTTATCAATAACTCTGCCTCCCTGTGACTTTTATGCTCCAATTTTTTCTGAGTCTATTGGTAAGAGCAGGGTCACTTGAGACCAACGTTCAGACCCTTTGAAGCTTCTTTCAGCAGGTCTGCCTTGGTTCTACCCAGGGGTCCCACTCAGAGATCCCACTCAAGCAAAGCCTGAGCCCTGGAGAGAGACAAAGTCAATGAAGGAGAGACTAAAGTAAGAGGGAGAGGAGAAAAGGGAAAATTAAGTGGCAAACAATTATTTTGTAAAAGAATGAGATAATTTGGGCACTGTTGAGTATAAGTAATGTCATCAGGGGATACATTTTACAGCCCTGAATCCTCTGCAAATCATTCTACCTTTCTGGACCTCAGCCTTCCCATCTGTAAAATGAGTGGGTAGTACTTGGATCTCCCACTTTTCCAAATCTTGTTAAAATTCCAGCCCTTGATTCTTCCTCTAATATATTCTGGTCTGGTTTCTTGAAATCAGCATCTCTCTTGTAATTCAGGAAGCAGGATAAGTTTGGGGGCTTGGGGGAACAGAGGGTTGGTAGGCAAAGAAACATGATTCGCGTGAAATAACAAGAGGATATAATTAGAAGCTTTATGAAATGAGGAAGATTCTTTATAAGTCTACTCAGCCAAATGTATTGTGTGACCTGAGGTAGTTCCCTCCCTCTCTGGGGCTCAGTTTCTCTATCTGTACAGTGAGGAGGCTGGTCTTGACATCTGAGCAACTTCACATGGGTGTCTCTGATATCCCTTTCTTCCTTATACTGCTGGTGTGAGACTTTCCAACCTTGTTCTTCCCAAAGCACTGAGACAAATGTGGACTCCGCATTGTAGCTGCCGGCCCCTTATTGTTATTCATCAGCACGCCTCTGAGAGCACAAAGTAAAAATAATCAGAGGCTGAAAGGTTCTGGTGGCACAGGCTGGTGATCAGGTCTGATAAGAGATTAGATTCCTTAATCAACGCTACATGGGGGCTAATTATTGTTGGCTCAGCTCATGTGGACAGTCCATACGGGGTGGTCAGGCTGCTGAGAGGCTGCCAGCCAGGCCCCATCAGGGCCCCTGCTCCAGGTTCTCAGCCAGGGTAACCCTTTCCACTGGCCCTATTCCCTTTCTTTCTAGCCTCTTCCACCTCTGAGTGCACCACAGACATGATTATATATTATTAGTGTCTAGGAGAAAAGCATGTGGCAAAGAGCTTCCCGCAAAATCATGGCTGATTAAGTATGGAGTGGGGTGAAGAAATCTCACTAACAGCCTGGAATGGACACAGAGCATGTATTTCCAACAATCCAGAAGGATCTGGCTTCAGCTGATGAACACAGGACGCTTAACATGGATGCACAGAGCTGAGCCTGCCGGTGAGAGGCTGGCTTCTCCTCACCCTCACTGCACGCCAGAGCCCTGCAACCTCTAAGCTTCTCAGATGCACCAGGAAGGCATGGAGAGCAGAGGGACACAGCCTGGTAAGGGGAAAGGTGTCAGCCTGGCAACCAAGGCCATTGGAGGCTGAATCCTCTGTGGCCTGCATCAATCACTGCACCTCTGGGCCTCATCAGAAAACGGGCATCTTAAACCCAATTTTTAAAATTGTCACAAGGATTGCAGACAATATATTAAAAACAGTTACTGCATCGCCAGACGTGTAGGCAGCACTTGGTATGTTGCAGTGTCGTTATCGTGATTGCTGCCAGCACTGCTGTCCTTGCTGTGCTGTTGTCCAGGCTGCCCCCCCCCACCCCCCTGCAGTCACGTTTCCTCCTTGATTTGGTGTCCTTGCCCCTCTGGGCTGCAGCTGCCCTTCCAGGCTTCCTGCTGTGTTAGTTCCTCCTTTTCTCCTCCCGACCGGATTCATCTCTGGTCCAGATCTTACTGCTGCAGACCAGCTACCCTTCTCTGGATAATTCCTCTATACCTGGCACAGGGGAGATGGAGGCAGAGAGATGAATCCATCCTATTTTTTCTACCTTCAAGCAGCTGGCATTAGCGTAGGAAGACTTGGAGGAAAATACATCACTGCACAAGGTGTGATTCAGGCTAGAAGAGGAGTGTGCAGGAGGTATAGGAGCCTGAAAGAGGATTGCTGAGCTCTGCCCAGGATGGGGGCTCACCAGTGAAAAGGGAGGGTAACAATAAGAGAAAACCCAGAGGGATAACTACCTGCCAGGCAGTGTGGGAAGTTCTTTGTTTAGATTAACTCACATGATCCTTCCAACAAACCAAGGTGGGCTCTATTACTAACCCCATCTTGCAGACGAGCAGACAGAGGCCCAGAGGGGTAGTACCCTGCTTGCTGAAGGTCACAAAGTCAAGTGTGCCAGAGCCAGAACTGGAATCCATCCAGCAACTGTGCTGCTTCAGAGATGGTTCTGCTGTCCCCAGGCTGCACTGACTCCCTTTCCAGGAGAATTAAGTGTTTTACAGAGAGAACAACAGGGATGAAAGCAGGCCACAGTGTGCTTGGAAAATGGTGGGCCCTTTTGCTTTGCTGGATCAGTGGGGAATACTGCAGGCACAGCCAGAAGGCTTAATGTGCACTGAGGAATCCTGCCCTGGTTCTGCAGGTATGAAGAAGCAGTCCCTGGAAACTGCCACAACCCCTCTGCAAAAATACAGTTGTGCCCCCTTATCTACAAGATGAGTTCCAACCCACCCAGTGGATGCCTGACACTGTGGATAGTACTGAACCCTACTGATGTGGTTTGGCTCTGTGTCCTCAACCAAATCTCATATTGAGTTGTAATCCCCAGTGCTGGGGGAAGGATCCAGAGGGAGGTGATTGGATTATGGAGACAGACTTCCCCCTTGCTGTTCTCATGATAGTGAGTAAGTTCTTATGAGATCTGGTTGTTTAAAAGCGTGTAGCCTTAAACAAGGATAAATGGGGACTAATTGGTGTTGGCTCAGCTCATGTGGGCAACCCATGTGGGGTGGCCAGGCTGCTGAGAGGCTGCCAGCCAGGTCCCATGAGGGCCCCTGCTCCAGACTCTCAGCCAGGGCAACCCTTTCCACTGGCCCCCTTCACTCTCTCTCTCTCCTGATCTGCCATGTGAAGATTGTGCTTGTTTTCCCTTCACCTTCTGCCATAACTGTAAGTTTCCTGAGGTCTGCCAGCCATGCTTCCTGTACAGCCTGTGGAACTGTGAGTCAATTAAAGCTCTTTTCTTCATAAATTACCCAGTCTCAGGTAGTTCTTTATAGCAGTGTGAGAACAGATTAATGAACCCATATTTACTATGTTTTTTCCTATATGTACATACCCATGATAACATTTAATTTATAAATTAGGCACAGCAAGAGATTAAGAACAATAAATAAAAACAAAATAGAACAAGCATAACAATACGCTGGTATCACTACTCTTGCACTTGGGGCCATAATTAAGTAAAATAACGATTATCCAAACACAAGCACTGTGACACCTTGACAGATCTGATAACTGAGATGGCTACTAAGTGATGACCAGCAATTAGCATATACAGCGTGGATACTATGGACAAGGGAATGATTCATATCCTGGTGGCATGGAGCAAAATTGTGTGAGATTTCATCACACTACTCAGAATGCAGCCCAATTTAAAAGTTATAAATTGTTTACTTCTGGTATTTTCCATTTAATATTTTCAGACCGCAGTTGACTGTGGGTAACGGATACTGTAGAAAGGAAACTGTGGATGAGGGGGAACTACTATAGCCATTCTCAAATGCTGAATTCAGTTGTTAGGGTGGTGAGAGACAAATTTAAAAGTAGAGAAGACAGGCAATGGAGTCAGAATGGAATTAGAGATATGCATTTGCCAATCAATAGCTCAGTGACTTTGTAAAACTTCCTGTCTCCACCCAAGACTCAGCTTCCTTATTTCTAAGTTAATCATGCCCACTCTTCTCATTGAGCAACATGAAAAATGGGCTCCATAAGTATCACCTGCTATTGCTATGACTACTATTAGGGAGCTGGTGGCTTTCCTGACCATGGCTCTTATTCCAGACCTCTTGGTTATCACTTAGAAAAAGGAAAATACCAAGAGATGCTCATGAAGTTTGTTAATCATGACCACTTTTGATCCACCTTTTTGCCTTCAATCCACTTAACCACCCTGTGAAGCGGGTGCTCATGTCCTGATTTTATACAGGAGGAAACTGAAGCCGCAAAGTGTTAAATGACTTGACCTCAGTTCATATAGCAAGAAAGCAACAGGGTCAAGATTGGAACCCTGACCTGCTTGACTCTGAAGTCAGAGCCCCTCACCTCAACTGTACCATATAAAATGAATGAACTCAGCACAACCCGGTGTCTCATCAAAATGCCCTTTGTGACCCTACTTGGCCATCTACCATACTTCTATAGGAGCTTAAAGGAATGTAGATGAGATCTTGCTATGTGGTTGTCCACTTCATGGGATCCTGGAGCTCTCTTTTCCTGCAAATTGCTGGGTGGCCTTACTCAAGTCATCTCATCTCTCTGAGTTTCATCATTTTGACCTGAAAGATGGGGAACACAACTCTGTTCTCCCTTATTCATGAGAATGCCATGAGGATAAAATATATGCTTAAACCATTCAGAACACATGATGATTAATAATTCAATTCCCCACCTGAACAAAACCTGAAACAGCAAAGTGAAATACACAAAATAAATTAAGCCAAGAGTAATTATTCATTTTGCAAAAGGGTTCTTCACTCCACAGAAGAGACTCATTGACATTTTTTTTTCCAAGCAGCAGCTATCTTTGGGAATTTAAAATTAAATTCCATTTATACAATTATAGCAAAAATACTAATGATTTTCCAGAGTGCACTTTGAGTGCAATGGGCCATACCTGTGTGTCCTGCCCATGGCATCAGACAAGGCAGTCTAGAGATCCAGAAGGGGTCAGAGAGGAGAGGGACCTTTGCTTTTCTCTAGTTAGGAATTTGAGAAAAAAGAAGAGAAGCTGGATTGTGTGCTCTTTCTGAGGGGTTCCTTTCTCAGAGTGACCTCAGCCTCAATTGCAGGCAGATGGTCAGGGTCACAGCTAGCTTCCCCAGGAAACAAGAGGATTGCCATTTCCAGTCCCTTCCATCTGGAATATTATACCATTTTACGTAATGTGTACATTCAGCTGAACCCAGCTAATTTTCACTTTGCTAATCTCATTTCTGATTATATTTGGGTTTTTTTTTTTTTTTTGATGAAGTTTTGCTTTTGTCACCCAGATTGGAATGCAATTGTGCAATCTCGGCTCACTGCAACCTCCACCTCCTGGGTTCAAGTGATTCTCCTGTCTCAGCCTCCCTAGTAGCTGGGATTACAGGCACCCGCCACCAGGCCCAGCTAATTTTTGTAATTTTAGTAGAGACAGGGTTTCATCATGTTGGCCAGGTTAGTCTCAAACACCTGACCTCAGGTGATCCGCCTGCCTCGGCCTCCCAAAGTGCTGGGATTACAGGCTTCTGCTTTATGTTTTCTCTCTTTTGCTTCATCTCTGTCTCTCTTTCTGTTTCTCAACGTTGTTTTTGTCACAGCCTCGGTTTCTCTCTTTGGTCTCTGCTTCTGTTTTTTCTTTCTCACTGTGTGTCTATGTTCTTTACTATTTGTCTTTCTCTATGTCTCCTTTTCTTTTAGAATGCTCTGCAGTAAAAATAACTTGAGTTTAGAGTCAGAGAGGTCCAAGTAAAATCCCCAAATCCACTTTAATTTCCTTATCCACAAATATAAAAAAGTATGGTCTGCCTTCTTTAAGGTTCAATATGAAGATGAAATAAGACATGGCACATAAAGGTGCCACCAAAAAAGAGTACAGTCATTTCCTGTTAAATCAATTTCCCCCTTCCTTTCTTCTTAAAAGTTCTTTTGTTTGTTTGTTTGCTTTTAAGACAAAGTCTCGCTCTGTCACCCAGGCTGGAATGCAGTTGCACGATCTCAGCTCCTGCAACCTCTGCCTCTTGGGTTCAAGCGATTCTCCTGCCTCCGCCTCCCGAGTAGCTGGGACTACAGGCATGCACCACCATGCTCGGCTAGTTTTCTATTTTTTAGTAGAAATGAGGTCTCACCATGCTGGCCAAGCTGGTCTCTAACTCCTGGCCTCAAGTGATTGATCTGCCTCCTCCAGCCTCCCAAAGTGTTTGGATAACGTGCATAAGCCACCACACCCAGCCTTTCTTAGAGTTCTTTAATTTTCCTTCTTTCTCTTCCCTTGTCTTCCCTTCCATTCACTCCACTGCCTTTGCACCACTCTCAAACAAACAAGCACACTACAGCCCCCACTTTCTGGCAATGATTTAATTGCAGAACAGTGCAGGTTCCCATTACCAAGGCTCTCATTCTTTTACAAAACATTTTTACAGTACATTTCCTGGGATATAATGGAGAATCATTGTGAGTCATTAAAATTAAGCAACGTGTGTCTAAGCAGCCTGCATCAGGCTTCACTACAGAGTCAGGTTTCATTGTTAGGTTCACTTCTGGCCATTGGAGAGTGTGATGGGCTGTTCACACCACACTGGGTAAGGTCACCTGAACTTACCTGAGTTGTGTGGGACATTTTGAATTCTGGATGCCCTGTCCAAAGGAAGAGTCCTGGTGTTAGCAACGTAAATCCATACTCCAACTGCCCATCACATACTCCCATTTTCTGGTAGAAACTCAAACCATCTAGTGAAATTTTAATTAAGAGACCATTCAACATCGTAGCCAAAAGGCAGGGACATAACAGACCATTCATCACGGTAGCCAAAAGGTGGGGACACACACACACACATACACACAGAAACACATACTCCTCCTTCTATTCAGAGGCCTTTAGTCATCCACACTGAATCAAATGCTGCCTTCAGTCTAGCAAAAGGAGAGAGGATAGTGTGCTGCAATGGGCAGACTCCCTACAGGCAGTATCAAATAACCAGAAAAGGCAAGTGCTACTGCTAAGTGCTGCATTTCAAATGGTTTCCTAGAGGTCCCTTCTGCACAGAAATCTGTCATCATGCCTTCCATTTCATCATGATTAAGTCTTTTGTGTGTTAAGTATTGCCAGCATTGGGGGGTTCTTTTTGTCCCTGATTCAATAATTCCCATATGTTGAACACATATCTTTTCCATATAATGTAGCAGATACTTCGTACCGATAATAATCGTCACAATAACTTACCAAAGGTGAATACTTCTCCCTCTTATTAAAAAAAAAAAAAAAAGCAGAAAATTGAGGCTTGGAGAAATTAAGTGAATTGCTCAAAATTATACCAATAGTCAGGGGCAGAGTCAGGGGCAGAGCCCCTGCTCAGCCTCCACCAGTGGTTCCCCCTTGCATTCAGGACAAGATTTCAGCCCTGGTCTGTCTGATTTCAGTCCTAGGCTCTTTCCATGTTGCCCTGACTGCCTCTCTAAAAAACAAAACAGAGCCCAGCATTCATGCAGCTTGATCATGAGCTCTTGGAAGGGGCCAGTGGTGTCTCTTTTGCTTCTCTCCCTGGTGACTGACTCAATCTTCAGGCTCAGTCAATGTCTATGAAACAAAGACATTAATGAAGCTTATGAGGAACACACATGCCCCAGATCCTCTGCACTGAAACACTTATTTATATGAATGAGCGTACCTGAGCACATCCCTTCAAGACAAGCCCAGAAAAGCAATGCCAGAAACCAGCACCACCTTCACATGTGGCAAGAGGCCATGCAAAATGTAATGGCTCAAGTTTGGAGCTGGGAGGATGGGGGCTTACATCCCAAGGATAAAATATTTTGACTGCTTAATATGTTCTCAAGAGGAAGAAAATTAAGCACCATTATGGTAGTGTTGCAGCCTCCTCTCTGCCACTAAGTTACTGAATTACTAAATGAACCCTCCCAAAACCTCAAGCTAATCAGGTGTAGAAGGAAGCCTTGGGCCAGATAATCTGTAGGGCTCCTCCCACCCCTGGAGCCTTTTGTTATATGCCTCCACAGTGCCCAATCCTACTTGTTATCTCAGCAGAGTCTTTAAAGGCTTCTCAGGAGAAGGGGTAGAGGCAAGGGTCATTAATTAATATTTTTCCCTCCACATTTAAGAGGGCATGTAGAATTGTGTAAGGACAGGGTTATCACCTAAAAATGAGTGCCTCCTTGAAGTTTTTGCCTGAGGTGCCTCATTCAGTTCATTCTGGTCCCAGCCCTGCTTGACAAAAGGATCAGCAAAGCTCTATTCACCCTCTCACTTGTATCACATACCTGCTTCAGTGTTTCTCTTCTCCTTTCACCCTGAGTTGGTGTTGTCATCTCCTAGGTCCTATCTTTAGAGATGGTATAAAAACTGGGTCTTGGGCTCAAACACATGGGGGACACACAACGAGCAGGTTCCTCAACTCTGATGTCAAAGCATGAAATCAGTTCACCAGAACCTCCCTGGGGCATAGACAGCAGCTTCTTTTGCTAACTACCTCCAATACTGAGCACAATGCCTGGCACATAAGTGATGCACACTAAATAATAGCAATGAATGAAATGCAATATCTGGATTCTGAATGCTTCTTTCTGCCTTGGCTTTTCCCACCCTGATCCAAGCCACCACCATCTCTGGCATCACATCAGTCTTCCCCATCAGTCTCCCTTCCAACATGTTTACCTCTGTTCCTACAGATGTTTCCTCAATAGAGATGCCAGAGTGATACTCTTAAAATAGAAGTTAGATGACGTCACCCCTCTGCTCAGACTTCTCCAGTGGTTCCCCATTGCATTCAGGGCAAATGAAAATGCTAATGTTTTTACAATGTTCTGCAAGGCCAACCCAGGGGTTCTGGCCCTCTGAACGCTCTGGGATCCCATCTCCTAATATCCTTCTAGTACCCAGTTCAACCCAGCACATTAGCCTCTATGATCTTCCTCAAATATGCAAGGCACAATCACCCCTGTGAGCCTTTGCACAGCCTGTTCCCTTTACCTACACTATGCTTTCCCCAGATATCCACAAGGCATGCTTTGCTCCCACACCTTTTCGGTTGTGCCTGTCTTGAACAGTCTGCTCAAATTTGCAACCATTTCTGCAACATGTACAGCCCCCTCTTTCTACAGGCTTCACACACACACACACACACACCCCTCATCTTCTAACATGTGATACACTTTATCACGTTATTCACTATAATTTTATTACTATATATAGTATATACAGCAATACAATTTCATTACTATAGATACTATATATAGGAATAAAGTACATAAGTTACTATATACAGTATCTATATATAGTAATAAAATATATAAATTACTATATTTCATATATAGTAACGAAATATATTTAGTAAATAGCATGATAAAGTGTATCATATATTATATATAGTACATTATATATTTCTACATATTCATATACTCTATATATGTATATACAGTATATATATAGCACTTTATATATGTATGTATGTACTATATATAACATACTATATATAGTATACTTTATATAGTATGTACATGATATATATATATATATATATATATTTTAACTATATTACTATATATATTTTAGCTCTGTGCCTGTCCCCTGCCCCGCAAGAATGTAAGTTACATGGTGGCAGGGATTTTTTTGTTTTGTTTTGTTTTCTTTCTTCTGTCAGAGCCTCACATCCTGGTTAAATTGGGTGCTTGATAAATATATACTGAACGTTCAGTGAACAAATACATGAATGAATGAATAAATACCAAAGCCATTTTTTTCAACTTGGACATCAAAACATTAAATGAATTCAATAGACCAGGAATTGGCAAAATTTTTCTGTAAAGAGCCAAATGACAAATATGTTCAGGTTTACAAGCCATAGGGTTGTGACTGCTCAATTCTGATGTTGTAGCACAAAAGCTGTCATGGGCAATATGTAAGCTAATGAGCATGGCTGTGTTTAAATAAAAACTAATTTACAAAAAAACAGCAGTTGGCCTATAGGCTATAGTTTGCTGACTCCTGCACTGGACTAAACACTATTAGGTAAGGCAGTGGATCTGAATTTTCTTCCTGTTGAATATCAGTACATAAACACAGCACAGTGTCTAACACAGCATTGCCACTCAATAAATATTTTGAATGAAATGAAATATATATGAAATATAGTTCTGCTCTTTACTCTGTCACAGCACTGTCTAATTGAGCTTGTTGCAACAATGGAAATGCTCTATATCTCTCCAATATGAAAGCCACCAGCCAGATGTGACTGCTGAATATTTCAAATATGGTGAATGTGACTGAGGAGCTAAATTTAACATTTTATTTCATTTTAATTAATTTACATTTTAATTTAAATGGCCAATAATGGCTAACAGCTACTGGATTGGACAGTGGAGTTCTATCACAATAATTCTCTTGCTTCATGATTCAGTTCTATTATCTTCCACCCCCACCAGAGGAAGCCTTCCCTGATTGCTAAGGCTCACAATAACTTTTTTAGGATATATTCATTTCACTCAATCCATGTTTTAGTCACAGCTATAATAATACCAAATGTTTGTTGAGCTTTAAGTACCAAGTATTGTGCTCAGTGCATAATACACTTTATCTAGCTCAGTCCTCATAATTACCCTCCAAGGATTGCCATGTTGATATTCTTACCACTATTTTACCTCTGAGAAAAACAGAAGTGTAGGAAGGGTCAGCAAAGTGTCCAAACTTGTGCAGGACCCAAGTGGGCTGGGATTTGAATCTTCATCCATTTGAATCCAGAGTGCAAGCTCTTGACCACCACAAGATGCTTATTAAGTGTAAACACTTGTGTTAGTACAAGTTTCATGTGTTCACATGTTATCTATCCTTCAAGAGATCAGGAATCAGTGGTCTTCTTCATTCTACATATTTCAAAGCCAGAACACTGGCTTTCAATAAAGATTTTCAGTATACAGAACTTCAGAGCTGGAGAGTACTCAGGGAAAATCTAATGGAAATGCTCTTTGTATTATAAATAAAGAATATGAGGCCCATAGAGAAAAGGGGACTTGTCAAAGGTCATACTATGGGTAAATTACAAAGCTGGGATTAGAGGCCATGGAGTTTTTCTCTGAATTCAATATTTCATCTTTCATGTACTAATTCCACCATTCATTTTTAAACATCAACAGTGTGTTAGACAATGGGTTGGGTATGAGGAAAAAGCAGTGGATAATGCAGACACAATCTTTGCCTTTATAAGGCACACAGTTTTTTAGATAGCTAGCAATTGAACAAAGAATGACACAAATAAATGTATCATTCAAGGTTGTAATTATGTGCTGATAGCATAGGCTTGTGGTTTAGAGGGTAAATTCTGAGGCCAGACTTCTAGGTTTCAAATCTAGACACCATCACTTCCTAAATGACTTTGGAAAAAATCCATTAACTGTGATTTAGTTTCCTCACTTGTAAAATGAGACGATAACACTATTTCATTACATTAATTCTAAGGCATGCAACTTCTGACATTTTATTTTTATTTCCATTTTTATTTATTTATTTTTAGATATAGAGTCTCACTCTGTAACCCAGGTTGGATTGCAGTGGTGTGATCATAGCTCACTGACACTTTGAACTCCTAGGCTCAAGCACTCTGCTCACCTCAGCCTCCAAGTGGCTAGGACTACAGGTGCATGCCACCATGCCCAGCTAATTTTCTCAGATTTTTTTAGAGACAGCGTCTCACTATGTTTCCCAAGCTGGTCTTGAACTCCTTGTGATCCTCCCACCTTGAACTCAAGTTCACTTGATCTCAAGTTCACTTGAACTCAAGTGATCCTCCCACCTTGGCCTCCCAAAGTGCTGGATTACAAGTGTGAGCCACCACACCCAGCCCCCATATTTTAATATTCCTAAATTGAGGACTTATCTGATAATTATTAGTATAGTATGGTATAGTATGATTATTATTATTGGCAGTATTTTTTCTTAGTGGTACATAAACTATATACATATGTGTATGTGTCTTAATTTATTTAAAATATAATCACATCTACCTCATATAATTATTGAGAGATTAAATGAGATAATATATGTGAAGGCTTTGAAGAGTGGCTGACAGTTATCACTGTATAAATGTGCACCATTATTACTATTTACTATAAAGGAAAAATAGCACCAATGGAGCATAATGCATTGGGGAAATAAACTAGTACAGAAAGTCACTTCCTTGAGGAAGTGACATTTTAAGTTGAAACAAGAAAGATAAGGAGGAGTGAACCAACTAAAGAATACAGTTTATAAGAAGTGGGGCTGGATGAGGAACAGATTGTCCCATGCAGAAGAAACAGCACCATCACTAACTCTATTACATTGGCTAGAAGAAATGACTCCCCATTAACAAATATGGAACTCTTTACAACATGGCTTTATATCCTAATAACACTCTCAATTCCAACCTAGGCTTCATTATTATCTTTTTTTCCATACATTTGTTTATTGATAATATATTTATTGTAAGGTTTTGCATATATATTTAGAACCTTCCTGGATTTATTTTTTAAATAGTAGGACATATGCCATTTTTAGAAGACCAATATATTTTTTAACACATTTTTTAGATAAAATTAAATATAGTCTCTAATTTAAATGTCAGTAGATTATATTTATGATGTTAAAATCTGGTCTTAAAAGCTGAGCACTTCCCCTTTTTGGTACCTATAATCATCAGAAATACCTGAGGCTACCTTCTTCCTATATGCAGCTTTGTGGTGTGAGATTTCAGATCTCTGACAACCTTTTTTCTTTCAAGTTCAGAAGCAAAGGTTGCCTTGGACTTTCAATGGGACTGGCAAGTTCCCAATAAGAAAAAGTTTTCATAGTCTCTTTTGTAGTTTACCCTAACCTTCTTGACCTTCTAAATTTTTGAACAGTCAGGCCTGGTGCTTGCTTTGCAGGCTCCCTGAAATTTTATGACCTCATCCTAGACACAGATTGTCCTTTCTTAAAAGACCTTAAACATCTTCTACAACATAACATTTTACAACACATTTAAACCAAATATATCAAGACTACCAAACAGAGATAAAAAGTAGTTTCCCTACAACCCATACATGCTGTCACAGTTCCTTCTACCTCTCAGTTCTGTATTGTTTCCCTGCCCTCAATTCAATTCAGTATTTTTGTTTTTTTCAAGTCAACTTATTCAGTAAATTCTTTGTCCAAAGGATTCATGCCTGCCTCTGAGAATTCTATACAAATACCTATCAAAGGGGGAATCCCAGAATGCCTCTCTTTTCTCAATGCTAAGCAAATTTCCTCACATGCTAACTCCTTAAAACAGTAGCTTGGCCAAATCCCAGCAGTAATACTTAGTAAATATATGAACTTGAGAATGTCAATCAACTACTTTAAGACATAGCTACTTGTATTGAAGCAAAAATAACTACCTAGAAGTGTTATTATAATAACTGAGAATAGCTATATAAAGTCTTTGCATGGTGTTTGGTACACAATAAGTGCCTAATAATTTTAGATGTTGTTATTGTCACTTCAATGTTCATGTACTTCTTGATATCTCACCAAAATTCCATTGTACCTCTTTTAACTATTGGCTGTATTTGGCTGTTGTCTAACACTCCATCTGCTATATATAGATAATGAATCTGCATTGAATGGATTAATCTGATGAGAGAAATGGGATTTATGAGTTACTGACTTGTTTCATGGAATGTAAGCAGAAAACTTTGGTTTCTTGTCATTTCAATTACTTTTGTTGGAAAATATTTTAAAAAGCTTAATTCCATTATCTTTCATGCCTGAATAACAAAGTATCATGTTCGTTAATCGATAATAAGTTCAGATGACTTCTGTTTAATTCAGGTTCTAGTAAAATTCATGACAAATGAGTGGTGAGGTGGAGAGCAATATGGGTTCTGAGGATCAGAGGGACTCGTTTCATGGAGGATATCCCCAGTTGAGGCTCTCTGGACTCATTTGTATATGACTAATTCTGAACATATAAAGGACAGAATTTACCTTATTTGAGTTCAGAAAAGACCAGTGCTGCCCAAGTCAGGGGAAAAGGTGAGTTTCAGAAAAGGATTAGGTATCTCTGAGCAAGTCTTTATTTAGCAAACACACACTTTAGCCAGAGTGTTGTCAGCACCCTGAGAACTCTCCATGGTGCTGACACAAGAAGCCTACACCTTACTCATTGAACAAGCCTTGACACTTTAGCAGCTGAAATTTGATTTTCATCCATCCATCCATCCATCCATACATCCATCCATACATCCATGCATCCATGCATCCAAGAAAAGATGTATTGATACAGGAACTGTTTCATTTCCAGATACAGCAATAAACAAGGTGAGCAAAGACCAAGACTTTTATAATGTATATACCCATATACAAATGTCCCCTCTACAGTCTGCCAGAAAGTTGGTTCTCTATAAACAAATATCAGCATATCTTACTGTGGATTTTACCTACTTATTGCCATACTTCAATATATATGCTCTACCACATAGAAAGCCCTAAAGATACCACTTCCTTCAAAACAGGGAATTTCTCCATCACTGTAGATTCTTGGAATTTATAGCTTCATAAAAATCCTGTATCCCTTTAAACTTTAGTAACACAGAGCTCAGCAAATACTAGAAACAATCTGTAAACATTAGAAATATTTAGTACAATATAAGATTGCTATATGACATAACCACATACAGTGTATTCTCATTTCATATCCTACTACAAATGAAAAGTGGCTGCTGAAGACATGGAAATAAACTGAATGTAATGGTGAACATGACTGAAGTTCATATCAATTGTGGAAAGAAAATTCAATTTGCTATAAATGCCATTTACAAATTGTTTCAATCATACTTACATGCTAAGTTATTAGTGCTTAAAAGGTCATAGAAACATGGATTTTGAGCGGAGAATATCCTAGAAATTATTTAGACTTTTAATTTGTATCTTGCCACTAATTTACGGTGTGACACAGGGCAATGTGCTTAGCCTTGGTGGGTCTTGGTCTCCTCATTTGATTACACTAGATGATGGCTAGGAACTCTTCTTGCACTAAAAGTATGTCCCCACTCATTGCTTTGTTGAAGAGAAGGAATCTGAAGTTCACGGTATGTAACATACTCAAGGTCGACTGGCAAATTTGTGGCAAAGTTGACATGAGGGTTGAAGATTGAAGGTTAGTAATTATTTTCTTTCTTTCCTCTTTCTTTCTTTCTCTCTTTCTTTTTTTTTTTTTTTTTTTTTTTTTTTTTTGGACAGAGTCTCACTCTGTCACCCAGGCTGGAGTGCACTGGTGAAATCTCAGCTCACTGCAACCTTCGCCTCTCAGGCTCAAGCAAATCTTGTGCCTCAACCTCCCAAGTAGCTGAGATTATGGGCATGTACCACCACGCTCAGCTAATTTTTGTATTTTTAGTAGAGACAGAGTTTCACAGTGTGGGCCAGGCTGGTCTCGAACTCCTGGCCTCAAGTGATCCACCTGCCTTAGCGTCCCAAAGTTCTGGGATTACAGGAACGAGCCACCATGCCTGGCCAGTAATTTTTTTCATTGCAAAAGTTCAGAAGTCACACAAGGACTAAATAAAAGTTCAGCAGATAGAAATGTCTAGCTTACTCTAAATTCCTCCTTCAGCTGGTTAGCTACTAGCTGGTTAGCAGAGATGATATCATATTTTCTTCTCACATAATCTAATGTTATGCACATTGTTGGATTAAACGTCTCATGAAATATTTATTGAATTAATAAGTGAAGATACACATGACTGAATAAATGATTATAGAAATAAGAGAAAACCTTGTATTGGGTTTCCACCATATATTATCCACTGCACCAGTGCATTTTAAATTTTATTTTTCATCTCATCCTTATGACAACTCTAAAAAGTTGAAATTATTCTTCTCATTTTTAGTTATAAAAAATAAGGCTTGAATATGTTAAATGACTTACCAAGCTCCCTACAACCAGGAAACAGAGAAGAGAGAATTTAAACCTGGCTGTGTCTGACTCAGGAAGATATCCCAATTCTACTGTGGTTCACTACATGCTTGAATGAATGAATAAACATATGAAAGAATGAGTTAGTGTTCCGCTGTCATTTGCTTTATGTGTTGTAGACCATATTGTCAAAGGTTTTATTTACAGAACTTGGTGTGATGCCACAGATGTGCAGAACTTTAATAAAGCTGTTTCGCAATAAGACATTACCCACATTGATATTCTTGAGAGTCAAAGCCTAATGATTTAAACTGTGTGGTGTTGCATTTTACTGGACCAGAGCAAGTAGTCCTTGGATGTTCACTTTCTGTCCTCAGAGAGATGAAGATAATGGTAGTCTGTCCTGGGAAGGAGCATAATGTCACTCTGGTGACATGTTCAAGCCTCCACTAGCCACTTTTTTGCCTTGGTCTTTCATTGGTTTGTTCTCATCTCATCCAGTGTTGTGCTGGTAAATGTTTAATGATTGTCTTTCTGAAAAAAATAAACTCTGATTTTGTTGCATTTACCAATTGTGTTGGTGTAAACATCCTCACCATAGCATATTTTCAGGCTATCAACATGCCATCACTGAACAAAGAGTTGGGAAAAGATGTTAACAGTCAACTCTCATGATGCCATGTGAGCTGGCTCCAGCACATCACAGATCTAATTCCAGAGTCATCCCTGTGGGTGGCACTAATTGTTGAAATCCCTGGAAAAACACACTGGAAATGGGCTGTGGCATGCAGCCAGGAAAACTTGGCCAGGTTCATCTGTGCACCAAGACAATTATATATATGTTTCAGCTGTAGCATCTTCTCCACTTTCCTTCTCCTTCCCTGTCACTTGGGAGAAAAAATTTTTCTTATCAACACATCCAGAAAAGCTTTAAGGAATGATAACCAGTGCTTTGACTCCATGACTCTGTCCAGCTCTACAGATTTGACTCACAAAGGAGAGACTTCTTTAAAAGAAGCTAAGCCACTTTTGACATATCAAGACCTAAATATACATAGGGCTTCAGGGTTTAGTTTTTCCATGACTTTCCCCAAATTCTAATTCCTGATGGGAAGCAAAGAGTGGAGAAAGTTCTAGCTGTTCTTTTAGGGAGTTAGATGCTCTCCAAAACAGGTGGACTCATCTGCTTGTGAGAACAGATGTTCTCAAAGTCTTTGGATCCTTACCTTTTAATGACCTCTCTTCATATTACCTTCCCAACCTCATCCCCTGCCACTCTCCCAGTGCTCTGCCTGCACCTCATTCTCCAGAGGGTGCAGTACAACTAAACTGACCTCTGAGTCCTAGAATCATTATAAACTTTTCTGTTTTTCAAAAAATCAAGTTCCCTCTGCTAAAGCACCCTCCATACTCATAGTCCCTATTGATTTTACAAAGCTGAGCTGAAAGGTCATCTTCTTCATGATGTATCTCCTGAAATCCCCATCTAGAATACATTTCTCCCTGTTCTTCAGGCATGGGGCACTTTGTTAATGCATTGCTCTTGATTTATACTACACTGTGTTTTTGATAATAGCTATATATGAGCAGATTATTTTTATACCTGTGAGAATGTAAAATCCATGAAGGTAAGAATATTGTGCAATTTGTCTGTGATTTCCCATAACACTCAACACACCGACTTATGAGTTGCAGAATTAAGAAAATCTTGCTTGAATTGAATCTAATGAATTGAACTAAATTTTACAAAGTGGATCTGAGTTAAGCCCCATGAAAATATATTTAGGGATCTTATGTTCCTATTTCAATTTTCTACCTGTAGACAGTCCTATCCATTTATGCCTTGAGTGACTTAGAGCAAGGTGCTTTGCTGGGCATTGCGGTGGAAAGAATATAGGAATAAATATGATCTCTGGCCCTAAGGAGTTGACTTTCTAGCAGGGGAGATAAACTTTCAAACAGTAACTCAAGTTTTAATCTGGTTTTTAGTCAACAAAGAACTCTGATGATTCTGTAGAAGAAGTAATCCATTCTACTGAGAAGAAGTAAGAAGAAATTAAATGAGTAGGATTGTGGAAGGTAGATGATTAAAGGGTGGAAGACATTTCAGGTGGAGAGACGAGTTGAACTCTAGTCAGAAGGTGAAACTACATGGGAATGTTTGGGGAATAATTGTGAGTATGAGCAGAGTAAGCAATGGAAAGAGGGATGATGTTGGAGATGTGTTGGAATAAGAGAGTAAGACCAGGGTATCCTAGAATTCAGATACATGGATGCTGCACAGTTGTTGGCGACCCAGTTTTTCTAGATCTGCAAAATATTTAACTTGAGTTCTTATGTAAATGGATAAAAGGGGAAAAACTAGAATTGGTATATACAATTGTTTCAAGAAGCATCAGGAGGAAAATTCCGTTCTTCCTTCCTGCTTGTATTATTCTTTGTCTCTTAATTACATGTCAGGCATTATGCTGAATTTTAAAGATAGCAAGAAAAGTGAAACAGACATCTTGAACCTCCCGCCTTGCTCCAGCAAAGTTTACAGTCTGGTGATAGTTCCAGACAAGGAAAGAACAATGACTCCATAGAGGAACAAAGCCATGACATATGGAAGCACAGAAGGCTATGACAGTAGGTGGGAGGGCCCCTTCATCTGTTCAGGGCTAGAGAGAGGGGTTCAGGAATGCCACCTGTAGGAGGAAAAGTGTTTGGGCTGAACGTGTAGGAAATAAAAAGAAGCCCTTGCTCTCCCATTAAAAGGAAAAAGACATTTTTCTTTTTCTGTGAAAGGGACAGAGGCATGCGAGGGCATGGTGCCTTCAGGAAACTGCACATGGGTAGTGTACCTAGAACCCAGGACACAAGGCAAATACAGGCAGAAGATGAGGTGAAAGAAACAGACACAGTTTTGTCAAGATAATTAAACTAACAAATTTGGCAACTGAGTCATCCCCTGTGAGTGCAGAACACGGGTGGACTATTTGGGAGTGTTCAGAGCCTTGCTGCAACAGGGTAGTCCTTGAGCCAGAAGCATCAGCAACAGCTCCCAGCTTGTTAGAAATGCAGAACCTCAGGCTTAACTCCAGACCTGCTGAGGTTTCAGAAGCACTGGTTGAAGGCATGGAAACCTGGCTTTATATCCTGGCTTTGCAGTTTGCCAGCTGTGTGATCTTCGTCCTGTCCCCTGTCTTCTCTGGGCGGCAGTAGAATCAGCCATGAAGTTGAGGAGGTGGACCTAGTGGATTCCAGTGATATTTCCAGCTCTAAAGAGTGGTGTGTGTGTGTGTGTGTGTGTGTATTTAAATCTAGAGGCTATTGGTGGAAGAGTGCCTTATTTTTCAAACTGGCTAACACACACCTTGGATGACCCGCTGTTTAGAATTATGCCCTCAAGCCTGTGTCTAATGGAGAACAGCATTAGAAACCACAAACTTGCACCTGAAAGCAGATCAGCTGGGGAGCTAGAAGGTCAGACCCACAGGCACTCACCACTTGTCTACTGGGCTTCACAGATGGAGGCAAAGAAGGGGACCCCTTCTGTTCCTTCCACCAATAATCTTGCTTCCTTTTCAAGGAAAAATAATGGAAAAAAAAATCTAAGGGGCCAGATGCAGAGATATATAATCCCACAAGGGCTTACCTGGCTTTTGGGTAAGAATATCCTAGAATTTGTGTTTCTTTCACGCGCGCGCGCGCGTGTGTGTGTGTGTGTGTGTGTGTTTTGCGTGTTGGGGTACTGGTTAGGGTGGCAGTGACTTAAAGCTTAAATATCTTGATTAAAAAAAAGAAGCTTGGCTGTCTGGTCATATGATGCATAAGAGCTGTGTTACATTTTCACATAGCTTCTCCAGTTGGGCTATTTATTTATTGATTGATTTTTGGGACAAGGTCTCACTCTGTTGCTCAGGCTACAGTGCAGTAGCATGATCATGGCTAACTGTAGCCTCGACTTCCAGGACTCAAGCAACCCTCCCACCTCAGCTTCTAGAGTAGCTGGGACTATGGGCATGTGTCACCATGCCTGGCTAATTTTCGTATTTTTTTGTAGAAACAAGATTTCACTATGTTGCCCAGGCTGGTCTTGGACTCCTGGGCTCAAGCGATCCACTTGCTTCAGCCTCTCAGTGCTGGGATTACAGGTGTGAGGCATCGCACCTGGCCCAGTTGGCCTATATAGAGGCTACAAAAAATATGCTGAAACAGGCTCCTGACTAAACAATTAGAGGGAATGGCGGTTATAAAGCCAAATCATGGCCCTACCTGGCAGAGACACAAAAGTTAACCTGGAGAAGTCGTCTCCTTACTTCTGAACAGGTGTCCCATTGAGAGGTGAAGAAATCCTCAAATAGAGGGAGGAGATCCTTGACCTGGACTACTACACTGAGCACTGAGACCTCTGACCTCTGCACAGAGGCTGTTGTCATGGTATTCACGTAACCAGTTTTTCGTGCAAGCCAGCCAGACTCTTGTGAATGGAGAGAAAGATGAAGTTCCAGAGAAAACAGACCAATAACAATTATAGGGGGAAGCAGAAGACTGAAAGTAAGGAAACCTGAGGTTCTAATCCTGGCTTCACTTGTAACTTGCTTTGAAACCTTGGTAAGTTCCTTTTTCTTTCTGGCTCCTGTTCTCTATTTGAGGACAATAAGAACATCATTTATTGAGTATCAACTATGAATAAGATACTACCCATTTAATGAGCATTTAGTATAAATAAGATAGTGTCTCATGGGTTTAAATGTCATCTAGATGCTGTAGACTAGCAAATTTCTATCCCCAGCTAAGACTTCTTCTTTGAATTTGAGTTGTGGACCTGTAGTCGATTTTTTTTTTTTTTTTTTTTTTTTGAGACACAGTCTTGCTCTGTCACCAGGCTGGAGTGCAGTGGCATGATCTCAGTTCACTATAACCTTCACCTCCTGGGTTCAAACAATTCCCTTGCCTCAACCTCTGAGTAGCTAGGACTACAAGCATGTGCCACCAAGCCCAGCTATTTTTTTTTTTTTGTATTTTAGTAGACAGGGTTTCACCATGTTGGCCAGGATGGTCTTGATCTCCTGACCTAGTGATCCACCTGTCTTGGCCTCCCAAAGTGCTGGGATTACAGGCGAGAGTTCTTATAATTTTATGTTGTCTTGGCACCCATTTAAAATACAAGTTTAATTTTTTCCATCAGAAGTAGGGCTCAGTCATCCTTGACAAAATTTATAGTTGTACACTTCCTTCCAGTTCCTCAATGTGGTCAATCCAGGTACGTGCCTGCAATGGAAATGACACAGCAAAGGTGGCTGCCTGGACAACAGAAGCAGACCACCACACCAAAATGGCCCAAGCCAGTGGCCAGAGATAAGAACTTAGAGGCATCTTTCCCACCTAGCAGATGGGCTTCCTGCTTTCTTGTCACTTCCTTTACAGGTATCATTCAGACATTTGCTCATGAACTTAAAGTGACCCATATCCTATTCCCCAGTACATACTTCTCTCTCTCTCTCTCTCTCTCTGTCTCTCTCTCTGCCTGATTCTTCACTCCTGTCTTGCTTCCTGTGACCCAGGGACAGAAGATTGCCTTCCTGACTCAGGATCTGTAAGTAATTAATCCTTGAACTTGTTTCCCATTGTGGTGTTTAATTGAATCTGTGCCTTCTGTTTGAAGAAGCAGGGGCTATCCTAGGCCCTGGATGTTGGGGAGAACACAAGTGCAGGCTCCCAGCACCAGACTGATGGTCAGGCAGGCATTAACTGCACACAGGTTAGAAAAACCACCAAGGGTGGCAGCCAGTGTAATCAAACTTCCTGTGTGAGGGACTCCTGGGTCACCATCAGACAACCAGATCTTAGGGTGCCCACCAGGTAAAAGAAGTATCCCATGAAGGGCACACTGTAAACACCCACACCCAGCCCCACTTTATTTCCCATTTTGGCAGGGTTGCTAGAGGTTCTACTACTGGAACCCCAATTTAGCAGGGGGCTCTTAGATCAGGACCCAAATGCCCATTCTCCATTGATGTTTAGTAGTCATCTTGAACTTACACCCAAAACAACACTCTTTATCTTCCTCACCCAACCCTGACCTTCCCACTGCATCCCCTGACTCAGTAAATAGTAACTCAATGTGTCCCATTGTTCAGACTGAAAAATTTGGGATAATCTTTGACTCCACTCTATTTCTTGCATTCTATTCTCAGTAATAAATTCTGTTGAGGGTATACTCTTAAATGTATCCAGAATCTGATCACTGTTCACCATCTTCTTCTCTTACCTCCATGGTCCAAGCCACTACCAACTCTTGCCTAGATTAGAGTAATAGGGCCTTTGAACACCCCTGAATCAACTTACCACACAGCAGCCAGAATGGTCCTATTCAAATGCAGGTCATAGCATGTTGCTTCTTTACTGAGAATCTCCCAAGGACTGTCCATCTTCCTCAGAGTAGAATCTGAAGTCCATATTATAGTATACAAGGCCCTGAGGACCACCATGCCCCCAAACTTCTTCTTCTCAGCTTTCTTCTCCTACTCCCCCTCTTTCTCACTCCCCATCCTGGCCCCACTACTAGTGCTAAATAAACAGCACATTAGGCTGGGCGTGATGGCTCACACGTGTAATCCCAGCACTTTGGGAGGCCGAGGTGGGCGGATCATGAAGTCAGGAGTTCAAGACTAGCCTGACCAACATGGTGAAACCCCCCATCTCTACTAAAAATACAAAAATTAGCGACGTGTGGTGATGCGTGCCTGTAATCCCCGCTACTCAGGAGGCTGAGGCAGGAGAATCACTTGAACCTGGGAGGCGGAGGTTGCAGTGAGTCGAGATCACGCCACTGACTCTTTTACCTCCTTCTGCCTGGAACACGTCCCTCGGATATTGACATGGTTTATTCTCCCATCTTGAGGTGTGTGCTCAAATGTCATCTTCTCAGAGAGGCCTCCCCTGACCACTTTCTGTATAATGAAACTCCACCCAAACTCCCAGCTTAGCACTCCACATGCTTTGTACATCATTCTTTTCCCCTACACCGGCATCTATCATCACCTAACAGAGTCATATAATTTACCTGCTTGTTTGACCACTGCAGCACTGTCCCATAGAAATTTTCAGAGTGATGAAGATATTCTATATCTATGTTGTGCAACAATGTAGCTGCTAGTGTGTGGCTATGGAACACTTGAAATCTGGGTGGTATGACTGGGAAAATGAATGTTTACTTTTATTTAATTTCAATTAATTTAAAATAAAATGCCACATGTAGCTAGTGGCTACCATATTCCACAGTGCATGTTTAGTGTCTACCCCACTAGCATGTAAGCTTCATGAGGGTGGAGATTTTGCATATTTTGATCACTGCTGTCTTCCCAATACCTAAAAATATGCCTGGCTACTAAAGAAATACCTGTTGAGTGAATTAATGAATATGCTGTGAGATTTCCACACAGCTTCTCATTCAATCCTAATGACAGTTTTGTGGGTTGGTGCTATTTTCATTCTCTTGTACTGAAAGGTAGGCAGTGTCTTGCTCAAGATCACCCAGCTAGTACCAAGAAGATAGGCTCTGAATGCAGGGATATCTGAAGTGCAGACATTTTGCTTGTCTGGAGCTAGGCCAGATGTTCTCTGTGGTCCTTTCTTACTCTGAGAGTCTGTGGCTCTCTAAGAATTTCCCCCCTTGAAAGGCAATGGCAGCACATACATTAGTGTTTATTAGATTGATGGGCCTTCTTATTCAGCCACTTGTCAATGGCTCAGAATCCATGGTTCTTTAGGTAGAGGGAGCACAATGCCTCTTTCAACCCAGCCTCTCCCACCTTCTATCCCCATCCCGGCTCCCATGGCTCACCGGTTTCTGGGTCGCAGAGCTGCTCACAGGCATCTGTCGTCCTTTGTCCACAGAGGTCCCTCACCCATGGGGAGGTGGCATTGATCTGGTAATACAGGGAAAGCTTGGCCGGGTTTAACCAGTCGGAGATGTCCAGGTAGCTCCCTTCACTCACCACGAAGCTGCTTCCTATGGGTGAACGGAGAGACAGATACTTTCTTACTGATTTTAAGGTCTTAGCTGATGCTACAGAACACAGAAAGGTGTGTACAAGCCACGTTCCCCAGGTCATCTGATCTCATTTGTCTAAGTGCACTTGCAATGTGCCCGTCATGGTGTTGCAAGCCCATAGGGAGATAGAGGCAAATCAAACATGGGAGATAATTCAACCTAGTGATGAAAGATAGGCCCTTAGGACTGAGAGGGAAGTAGGGTCAAATTCAGAATCTGCCCTTACTAGGCATTGACTTTGGGCAAGTCACAAAGTGCCCCTGGGTCTTGGTTACTTCCTCTGTAAAGGAGAATATTAATGGAATGTACCTCATGGAGTTGATAGGGGAATGAAATAAATTCATGTAGATAAAATGCTGAGCTGGCACCTGACTTATTATAGGAAATAATGATTAAACATTAAATTTCAAAGGAAAAGAAAAAAGCTAATGTCCCTGTCACTCAGATGTCTCCTCTGGAACAGGGGTCATTGATGTCCACAGGGGCCAGGTGGCTAACATCAATAGGAAAGACTGGCTGAGTGTGAGGGAAATAGCATCCAGGCCTCCTCACCTAGCTTGTGTTGTTTGTTTTTGTTTTATTATAAGAAAGACAGAAAGATATAGAGAGACAGACTGAGATAGAGAAAACGGAGACAAAGTGAGATTTCCAAAGAAATCCCCAGCACCTCTAAGGAAAAGAGCAGCACTCACCCAAGAAAAAAATGCCCTGATGTGGCAAAACAATAGGGAGAAGGAGAAGGTGGGGTTTGGGACACAATAAACACTGTAGGCTCCATTAAAATGGAGCAGCTATGACTCAGCTCCAGCAGCTCTTGCCACATGGAACTAAAGGCTAGTGGCACTAGATCTTCAGATTTTCTTCAGGAGAAGCTAAATATTAACATTTTTATTATTATCAACCAATTTTTCAACATTTCTGATGGCTAACATTTCTTCTTGAATACTTGCGTAGGCCAATATTTGCTCTAAAATGTTCCTTATCCCACATATATGTGGAAACATACATATATTATATAGTACTATATTACATATAAATGTATAATAATAATCTATGTAGATATTCCACATACATGCACATGTTCACACACATATACATACACACACACTTTTTTTGGGAGGCAAGAAACAGAAGCCCATTCAGGATGGCTGCATGTAAGTTGCAAATGGTGAGTGTATGCATGTATAGCAATAAAACAAAACAAAGATAGAATTTCACAGGGGGAAAAATATGTACCCAAACAGAACCAGGCTTCACAAAGCTGGACAGGGAGCGTGAGTCTAGACTGATGGCAGATCTAGAGACTGCAGCAGCAGGAGACTTTAAATTGTATTTTATAATTAACATGACTCAGCTTCTCTCCTTGTTTCTACCTCACTGTCAAGTAAAAACAAAGAAACACATCTTTGTGTATGCAATTCAAGTTCTCCAAAGACAGACTCAGTTAATAAGAATCATATGGGTTCTATGGAGGTCTATCTGTCAGGTCACATCTTACTCTGCTGGCTGACCTATGGTTGGACTCCTCTTGGCTCTGGTGCACAGCTGTGGTCCAATGAGCAATGGCCAGGGAGGTGGGATCACATCAGACCACACCTGGCTGTCTGAGCATCTAAGACTGTGGGAGGAGAAGTTTCCCTGGAAATAGTAAGGGTATGATTGGCAATGATTATCTTCTCTAATTCACACACATCATATGATTTCTGTCATCCTATGCAATAAATCCCTAAGTAAAGGCACAGTGGACAACATAATTTTGGTGCAAAAGAAAGAGGGGTCTTTGTGAAGTAGGAGGAATAGACAGTATCAGGACTGAGGTAAGGAAATGACCACATTTCAAGTTGGCCCTAAAGTCCTTGGCAGCTAAAGCAAAAATGGAAGGAGTTTGTTGGATTCCATATTTCAAATTTCTGGCAGGAGAAGATATGCAAATCTATCTGCAAAGCCATATTTCCCCCCTGGAAATAAGCCCAAGCAGAAACATGTCACATGGGTCCTTGAGGAAGGCACAGAACATCAGTACCAACTACAGATTTTTCTTTAAAAAAGCACAGTCATGCTGTTTAAATGGATAATTCTTGTATTTATTCTCACTAAAGACTGAAAGATGGATATTGAATTGTGTCCCAGGGCTGAGTTTGGTTAAACCCTCTACTTCAGGAAAGCTACACAGTGCAGTGATAAAGAGAATAGAATCAGCAAGGTAAGAGTTCATATCCTCACTTTTTAACTTACCAGCTCTGCAAACTTGGGCAAAAAAACAAACCCTCAGTTATCATATATGAAAAGTGTGATACCAATTCCCTTTTCATAGCTTGATATAAAGATTACATAAGACAATGCATTTGTCTTAGGTCAGAATCATCAGAAAACAGACTCAGAGGCAGACACAGGCATTCAGGATGTTTTGGGGTACATATTCTTGTAAGAGGATGAGCAAAGTGGGATTGGGCAAAAGGAGAGGTCAAACTGACATACAGCAAATCCCTCAGCTGATCCCATGGGGAGATCTGGGGCTGGGATGGTCCTTCAGTGATGTTCCAAATCAAGACAAAGATGTCAGGACTTTCTATCCTCACATTGGCCAGTCATAAGCTGTGAGCTATCCCTGGAGAGGGGACATAATCTTGTGTGAAGTGGTCCCTTTCAAAGGAAGGCATTTCTCAAAAAAGGACTCAGCTGAGAGTGGTCAACCATCCACATTTCTGGCAGCTGGGGAATAAGTGCCTAGGTGCTGACTGGAAACCTGAGTGCAGCATCATGATGTCCACTACAAGCTCTGTGAAATCTCAAGGAACAGGAGCTATTTTGGTTATTATTTTGAATTCTTATGAACTTAGAAGCTCTAAATGCAATACCAGTAAACAGATTTCTCTCAATTATGAGAAATATGGGTTTCCATGAAAGAGATTGGCTTGAAAGCAGGTACAATAAATGGAAAGTTTGTGTCCTCCCAAATCCCTATGTTGAAACCTAATCCCCAATGTGGTGATATTTGGAAGTGGAGTCTTTGGGAGGTGATTACATGGGTGGAGCCCCTAAATGGGATGAGTGTCCTTATCAAAGAGACTCCAGAGAGTTCCCTCACTCCTTCCACCATGTGAGAACACAGGGAGAAGTGGCCATTTGTGAATAAGGAAATGGACCCTTATCAAACACTTAATATTTTAGCACCTTGATCTTGGAATCTGCAGTCTCCAGAACTGTAAGAAATAAATTTCTGTTGTTTATAAACCAACTGCTATAGTAGACTGAACAAACTAAGACAGCAGTTTATCCTTAATGTCTTTAAAAAGATATTATGCAGAGTTATACATTTGGTTTAATGGCAGAAGGGAGTTACTATCCTTTGAATGTCCTCTGCTCATTCGTGGCATGAATGTGATATGTATTCTGCTCATTTAATCCTTACAACAGCCTTTCAGGATAGGTATTTCTTCCAATTGAACATGAGGTTCAGAGAGAAATTGACATGGTCAAATTTGCACAACCAGTAAGTGGCCAAAGTGGAACTTAAACCAAGATTTTTCAGCCTTCGAAGCTGGAACATTTGCCTTTCTTCAAGCTATCTTGAGGCTCAGGGGTTTTGGTCAGTTGCTTTTTATGGTCCTTTTCCTCTGTCTAGAGTAGTCTGTGAATTCCTCTTTAGTGCATATCATGTAGAGTTGGAGGGCTTTTGCTTTCTCTCATAGACCGTGATTTCCTACAGAGAAGAGGTCATGACTCGTTAGTCCTTATCAATCCAACTCTCAGTAAAATGCCTGGCACATACTAGGACTTTAGTGAATGTCAAGTGCATTAATGAAATCAGAGTTCCATGCTTGACTAGAGGGAAGTTCAATTCACTTCATCATGGAATTGTGAAGCAGAAATGCCTCCACGTTGATCTCACAGTTTAATTTTTCCATCCTGTGAGAGCCAGAATACAAGACTAGCCCTTCAGAACCTCCCCAGTTCCAAACTAAATGTCGAACATCACTATCGTGGCTCCTGAGCTCTTATTCACCCAATGGGCTCATGATGCATATGGCAAAAGTAGAGAGGCAGGTAGAGAAACTCAGTGACAAGGGTCAAGGGAGGTGCCATATCAGAGCCTGAAAAGAAGTAACTTTGTGCCAAATTTAATGTAACCATTTACCCAACGTTGATTAAACTCCTTCCTGCGTAAGAAATAGACATAGAGACTAAGAAATGGGCTTAATCCATTGAGAAAGTTAGGGATAAAACAAGAGAGATCAAATATCTGCCCAGATATCTTTAATACAACCTACAGTGTGGTAAGAATTGCCTGAAAAATATAGGCATTGTCTTTGGATATAAGGGAGAGGAAAAAGGGGACTCAAAGAGGAACATTGAAGAGTTGGCCTTTAAGCTATACCTTGAAGGATGCAAAGGAGACCATGACATAATGAACTGTTCCCTCCAGAGTAAGTGGGAGTAAGTGGCCACCTGTGTGGCATTTACCCCTTAAGGCTAGACTCCATAACTGGCCTGCACTACTCTTAATCTCTTTATTATTTGCAAGGCACTCCACTCAAGTAGCACCTATATGTGCTGTGCTAGAGTGTCATTCATTCACTCAGATATGGCTATGCGCCAAGCCCTGCAGCAGGCTCTGGTTGAGTAAAATATGGCGTCTGCCTACTGAGAACTTATAGCCCAGAAAGGAAGATCAGATATGAAAAATCTAAGGCAAAGCATGACTGTCTGCTCCCCTCCCCCCATCCCTCACTTTCCTTACTTATTTGCCCATCAGATTGTGCATTTCTTGAAGGCAAAGCCCGGCTTCATTTAACTCTACAATCACTGCCATGCTTAGGGTGAAGTTGAGGTTCAGTGTGGGCATGTGAGAGAGAACAAGAGAGAAAGAGAGCACTAAGTTTAAGGAATGTCTAGCAGAGCTCTCTGAATAAATTCCATTTATTTGGGAATACAAACTACACAGAAAAGGAATAAAAGGCACTATTCCATGTGTCTCATGTTTTTCTAGTTTTTCTTTGGACCCTTGTTTTATTTTTTGGCTTTCAATTAAAAGTGTCCTCCCCACTTTACTGACTGTTCTGAGTTCCTCTCTACACTCATATAGATCTCCCCAGAGAGCAATGACTCTGAAATAAATCTCTGCCAAAATCTCAACTTCAAAATGTCATGTTTCCTTATTTTTAAATATATATATATATATATATTTTTTTTTTTCTCCCACTTACTTGTGGGAATATACATCATCTAATTAGCTAAATGGATTTTCAGTTCAGCCCAATCATTTCGTTATCTAGCATCTGAAGCCCAGTGTTGCTCAGGGGACTGCACGGGCACGGAGGTCCTCATTAACTCTGATCTTCAATTACATTGATTATCAGCCTGCTTCTGTAATTGTGCAGCATAGATCAGGGGTGAGCTGGGGAGCTCAGGCCACTCTGTAGCATACTCTGAAAAGCCAGAGGCACATCAGCCACCAAAGAAACAGAAGGCTACAGATGAGAACTAAAAATACCACGGAAGGAGGTATCACCAGACAAAATTGCCTGGAGAGCCAGACAGCAGCTGCAAATCCCTTTCATTACACCTCACATCATGAAATAGACCTCTGAGAACCATGGATAGATTTCAAAAGAAGGCTCTGGTCACAGTGGCAAATGGTGAGCAGAATAATGAAAGATGTGTGGCTAAAAGATGGTCTTTACAAATGAAGTGTAGAGACTGTTTTGGTCAAAAGTTTTCATTTTTATTTTCCCTCTTTCTTTGGGTAAAAATAATTAAAGATTCCCTCCCTTCTGTTACATCATGAATACCACGGGTCCTAGCTGTCTTGGACCTGGGAGAAATGTCTTCCTGGAAACAAGATGAAAAACAAACTGTGTGATGAAGCAGGAATGAAGATCATATCTACTATCAGCCCGACAGACCCAAGAAGAATGTATCACTTTTACCCTTCTCCCAGGTCCACAGAGCCCCAAGTCAGGCTTTAATACATTCCACCACCTACCATCAACAGAAAACTATTTACGGGGTGGGTGATAGAACTGCAAAAATGTGGTTAAAAACAAGCTTGAGGGTTTTTGAGTATGGGTAAAGGCAACCTGGATACCTGGGAGAAAACAGTCTCTGAGAGCAACCACTCTGGAGGAACATTATCGTGGGGGTGGTTCTCCTACAAGGATCTTCAAGAGTCCTCCTCCGGTTATCTCTGTCTTCACTTCCTGACCTTCCACTCCCAGCTCTTTCCTCTGTCATCTTCTTTCCTTTTGCCTTGGATCAACCCCAGCCTTCTTCTATTCTTCTCTATGGTTCCTACTTGTTATGGGTTGGACTGTGTTCTGCCCCAAATTCATATGCTGCAGTTCTAACCTCTAGTGTCTCAGAATGTGACTGTCCTTGAAGACAGGGTCTTCAAAGAGGTAATTCAGGTTAAATGAGGTCATTAGGGCGGGTCCTATTTCAATACGACTGATGTCCTTATAAGAAGAGGATATTGGGGCCCAGGTACACATAGAGGAATGACCATCTGAGGACACAGGGAGAGGACAGCCATCTACAAGCCAAGGAGAGAGGCCCCAGAAGAAACCAGCTCTGCTGACACCATGATCTCAAACTTCTAACCTCCAGAAATATGAGAAAATAAATTTCTGTTGCTTAAGCAACTCAGGCTATGAAACTTTTTTCTTTATGGCAGCCCTAGCAAATTACCTCTATCTTATTTCTTTTTGTTTGTTGTTTGTTGTTGTTGTTGTTGTTGAAACAGCTCTAACTCACCCAGGCTAGAGTGCAGTGGTGCGATGACTCACTGCAGCCTCGACCTCCCTGGCTCAGGTGATCCTCCCACCTTAGCCTCCCAGGTAGCTAGGACTACAGAGACACTACAGGACCATCACACCTGACTAATTTTTTGTGTTTTTTTGTAGAGACAGGATTTTGACATGTTGCCCAAGCTGGTCTCAAACTCCTGGGCTCAAGCGATCCACCTGCCTTGGCCTCTCAAAGTGTTGGGATTACAGGTGTGAACCCCTGCCCTTGGCCACCTCTGACTTCTTTGACAGCAAATATCTCAAGCTTGCCATTTGCTCCACTTAGTAACCTTTATTTTGTGCTTGGGATACCTATGAATCACTTCTCAGAATAAAGCTTTCAAATGTATAAAACCAAATTTATAGTATAACAAATGTCATGAATAAGTGAAGCACAGTTCTATCAATGGACCCCCTGGAGGTTCATGGAGCTCAGGATAAAAACCCAAGTCTGAACTAAGCTATTTTCATCCACTCCCCAGATACCAAGTCTGGTGTCTTTTCTGGTTCCAAACACTTCCAACATCACTGGATGGACAGAGGGATTATTATAATACCCATAAAGTGTGTGAATCAGATGGAAATGACAAAGCGAAGAAAGAAGCTAAGAAAATGCTGAGATGTTCCAGTGGTTATTTTAAGGACAGTCAACCTCTTTCTGTTAATTTTACATGAAAGTACTTTTTTTTTCATGCTCTGAAGAAGATAGCAACTTGGTTAAGATTGGGGTTTCCTGGAATCATTATACAACAGATTAGAAGTTTATGGTGTTATGCTAGTTATATATCTAATTTTACAGACTATCAGAAAAATTTGAGTCTTTCTAGTCCAGAATCTCTCAACTTTTAATATTTTTATCAAGTGTTTTTAGACATTTTTCCTTAACCACCTCCCACCCATGAAATTTTAATACCAGAGATATATTGTATATCTGCTTATACACTGTATGTACTGTTTATATACTATGCTTTCACTGTACATAGATTAAATATTTTCACTCCCTCCCCAAGATCAATTTTTACTTCTTTGGGGATGTTATGTCCTTATTGAGAATGTATGTTATAATCAGACCCTTTTGCAGAGATAAGGAAACTGAGGGTCAAGGCAAGGGGCAGGGGAGGTGCCCAAGATCCCCTCTGGGATTAGTGAAGTAGCCACAGCTAGAACATGGACTTTGTGACTCTCAACCTCTTCTGGTCATGAGGGAGGTGGGAGTGAGAGAAGTCAACTGACTCTCCAAGAGCCACAGGTGTCAGGGCTAGACCAGAATCTAAGTGCCATAACTTCTAAGAGCTCAGAGTCTGTGCCAGTATCTTCCACTGACAATCAAGAACCGTCCTGGTGGAGGGAAACTGTCACTGGGCTAGAGCCCAGTGGGAGTAGGAAATGCTAATAACTGTGAGAGGACCACTTCATAGAAGAGACATTGAGATCTCATCACTGCATATCCCAGAAAAAAGACCATGGAGATGAACAGTCCACTGGGATTTGGGGTATTCTAGGTTTTATATATATATCTATATCTATATCTATCTATCTATATATATATATATATATATATATATATATAACCTATATATATGTTACATATATATAGGTTATATATATATGTTACATATATATAGGTTATATATATATGTTATATATATAGGTTATATATAGGTTTTATATATAGGTTATATATAGGTTTTATATATATAGGTTATATATAGGTTATATATATGTTTTATATATATATATATGTTTTTCCAAATAAAGCTGTATCAAAATACACCTATTTCCAAATAGACATCTTCCTGAAGTGCTGTGCCCAAATTTGCTCCAGGCAAATGTGTGTCTACTGTTTTCTGTCTTCCCTACCTCAGACTTGTGATCAAAGTCTGGCTGAAAACACGTTGCCACAGAATTCTGCATGCCTTTATGTATCTACGGTCTTGCTTCAAAGTTGAGTTAGGGGTGTTTGAGTCTGGACAAAAAAGGTTTGAAGTTTTGACGTTTCAAAAAAGTATCTTTTCCCCCAAGAATACAGCAGTTTGGTACCAAACTAGGCAATGGGAAAAGAATAAAGTCATGACATGTTTTCTCATTTTTCTTTAATCATTTAAATTTTTAAAGAAGAATTTTGGCTGAAGGTTGAAAGCAACTCTTTTCTTTTAATTTAATTCTTTCTTTATTTTTTGAACTCTTTTTATGACTTCATTGGGAATTTAGGCATCAGACCCAATTTTAGTGTTGGATTTCTTTTTTAACTAAGATCTGTGCTGTTTGAATGAACATGGTTGACGACTACTCCCCAAACCCAAAGGTGATTTAGCTCTGAATTCCTAATACTGAAAAATCTCTCTCCATGTCAGTTGCTCAAGTAAGACACGAACTTAGATGGAAACTTTGATAGGAGTCTAACGGGAACAGATTAAATCTGGCCCAGCCACTGAGTTGCTGTACGATTCTAGAACAAATCACATAGTCTTGGTAAGCCTCCTGCATTTCTTAATCTGTACCATGTGAATAATGCTTACTTCATAGAGCTTCTATGGAAATTAAATAAGATTCATTTGGATTTCCTATGGATAGTAAAGTTCCTGGCTAAGGCCTTCATGTTTTTTTATTGTAGGGACAAAATGTACATGATAAATTACACATTCCATTTACAATTGTATATCTGTCTGTATATACAATACATATTACTATATATTTTGCATGTGTATATACAATTGGTAATTGTGTATGTCCATGTTTATGTGCATACACACTTGTACATACACATAAGCACAGATAATTCTGTCAATAATGTGTCCTATATAGATGGTGTCTTCTGAAATTGTGCAACATGGTGATCCTCCTTGGGACACAGCCAGATATCAGTCTCATTAAAAAAAAAAAAAAGTCACCTTGCTCTCACTTACCCAGGCTAGACTCATTTTTTCTAGGCTGACTTATCCTAGCAGCTTTTCCCCTGATTGTCACAATACCCTGGGATGATCGGCGTAGGGTGGGAATGAGGGACCCTACTTGAAGACATGTTGCGAGAGTGAGGAACCACTGTGGGGTCCTAGAAGTATGCCTGGCATATATTAGGTGCAATACCTTTGGAATGAAAATTTATGGTAAGACATGAATAGCTGAGTAAATTAACAAATGAATGAGTGCACCTTGTGGCCTACAGGACCCACCAGCTTCACTATGCTCCCTGCAGCCTGTTTCCACTTCTTAGGGTCTACCCTTTTGTATGAGATGTGCTTCCTTCTGCCTTTCCCAAGAAATCTGCAGAAACATCAGGAGCTGTTTGGAAAAGACAGCTCACAACTGTGAGCACTAAGAATAACCATATTAGCAATTCTTCCCCAAATCTCTTTCATTACTACACTGTGGGTTCGATGCCAACTGACCAAATTAGGCATAGGCACCTGCCTGCTTGTGTCTCTTGTGTCAGTGTGTGTATGTTTGTAAGTGTTCCTTTTTCTCTAGATCTCTTCCTTTCTACTCTCTTCTGTCTGGAATTGGCTTCACTGGAAAAAGCATAGACCTTGAAGTGGGCAGGCACATCTGGATTCAAATGGTGCCTTGACAGTTCATCATTTGAGTGACCCTGGGAAATGCTTGATATTTCTTTTCTCTGCTTGCTCATCTAAAAGAGGGTGAATAGCACTTATCTTGCAGTATTTGCAAGGTAAATGTAAGTCTGTGTCTGTGCCTCACTCATTGAATGCACATGGAAAATGGGATTTTTTTTTACTACTGCTATTGCTTAGAAATACCAGTAGAGGGTAGGTGTTACTTTTATTCCCATTGTACAGACAAGGAAATTGGAGCTAAAAGAGGTTAACTGTACATGTCCTAAATTGCACAGCTAGGAAACTGATGATTCAAAATTAGAATGCAGGCTACCTGACTCTGACTCCAGAGCTCTGTTAACACATGGCTGCCTCGCATTCTGCTTGCTTCAAGGAAAACCTATCCACATCACTAAGATTTCTGGTTGTTGTATTTTTCTTTTTCGCTTCTGTCAACATACATCTCTCATTACTTCTGTAAATACTGAGCTTCTCATGGTGGTAGCTGGAACATAAATCATACCATGTTGAAAGAGAGGGAGAAAAAAAAACAAAGAAGTCAGGGAGAAGGTGACATAATATTGTAATTCAATACTTAATATCTCCAAAGACATGTAATACATCGTCATGACATTTTCAGGAGATATTTTCTGGAAATTGGACAATAATTCAAATTAATGCTAAGCCTAAATCTAATTATTTTATGATGCTACAAAGGACTACATGGGGCCAAGCATCCAAAAATCAGCGGTTTCAACAGTCATGTTGATGAAACAAATTTCACTGCCAGGCACGGATGAGAACAGCTGCCTAAATATACAATATTAATACCTGGGGCAATGTAATAACAGGGAACTGCAGCCTAGCCACACTGTAGCCTTCTCAGCAACCAGCCTTTCACCAGCCAAGTCCTACTATGAATTCTGGGAAAGGTAAGGAGATAAAAAAATAAGGTTTTTATTCGAGGGCCAAATGAAGGCCCTGGGGATCAAATAGGACCCAGGGTGGCTGAGGTCCACGTTTCTGGTATATGTCGCATGAAAGGTGAATTCCCGTCTTCTGTTCCTGGAGGCAGCTGGTGAAATGTAGTCTGAAGGAGCCAGTCCCTGGAGCCAGAGAAGACTGGTTGGAACACCAGCCTTGCCATTTACCACCTGAAGGACTTTATGCCTATGATTCACTCTGTGAACCTTGCGGATTCTCTTCTGTAAAATGGGACAACAATACCTAACATATAACTCCTGTGTGTAATGGCACATTGAGATGTCCATGGTTCATGAAGGAAGCAAGTTGCCCGAAAATAGATAAAGTATCATCTCAGATTTGAAATAAACAAACATAAAAATAGCCATTCAGGGTTTCTGTGTGTGTGTGTGTGTGTGTGTGTGTGTGTGTGTGTGTGTGTATGTGTGTGTGTGTAGCAAAAATTCTAGAAGGAAATACATCAAAAGGGTAATCAACTGGGCAGACTAGGATTGGAAATATCCTAGGAATAGGAAAGAGGGTATATTTAATATGTGCTTCATTTACACCTATATTACCTTTGTAATAAGGATACTGATGATGGTACTATTACTAGTACTTCTATGATATTGAAAACAGCAATAACACCAACTTCAGAAGATTTGGGAAGGAAGAAAGGGTAGAATATATACAAATTGTAGTAGTGAGTCAAACACATAGAAGGTGATGAAAAATTGCTTTTTTTTTTTTGGTCTCTAGCTAATTGCCAAGAATATGTTCTCCCTCTGTTGGAAGAGTCTGAGGCACTGGGCCAAGATAGGTGGAAATTGACTAAATAATGCCACTTTCTTCTTCTCACTCTTGCCTTTGTCCTCATATCCTGAAGTTTCCTCCTTACTACCCGTATCTTCCCAGATTATACTCATTTATCTTCCTTCCCTGGTCCCATCACCTGGAAGTAGCCTGTCCTTCCTCTGTCCTGAAGCCTGCTACACGCATCTCTTTTCTTATATCGGTATCACCACTGATGCATTTGAATTTAGCCCACACTTTCAGAGGAGTCAGCATGTGGCAAGATTTAGGGCATGCTGGTGTCTCATCTACCTAGGGAGAGAGTGAGTTTTCTAAGGAAGAATCCATATCTAATTCATCTTTAAAATGGCATCTCTAAGCACAGCGTTTGGCCCTTAGCGTGCAATCAGTAAAGCATTTTGAATGAATGAATGAATGGAGTGACAAATGGTGCTTTAAGGCAACTATTTGCAGAATATTGCCATAGATGTTATCAAACGGAAACAAAAGAGACAAACCCCACAGTTCCCTCCCCACACTCTCCAGTGGCGCTTCAGGTTGGGGTGCAGTGGAGCAATCATCTCTCAATGCAGCCTTGAACTCCTGGGCTTAAGCAACTGTCCCACCTCAGCCTCCTTAGTAGCTGGGACTACAGGTACATGCAACAATGCCTGGCTAACTTTTAAATTTTTTGTAGAGATGAGGTATTCCTATGTTGCCCAGGTTGGTCTTGAACACCTGAACTCAAGCAATCCTCCTGTCTTGGCCTCCTAAAGTGTTGGGATTGCAGGTGTGAGCCACCATGCTGAGCCTTTTTTTAAATGTGAAGTTTCTGACATAGAAAATAGGTTGGGTTCTATTTTCAGTTGGAACCAATGGTCTAGCAAATGATGAGCTAAACTATGGGATACATAGGACATTTGGAGTGTATTTATGCTTTTGCTATCAAACCTAATTGTCCTTTCTGAGGTGCTAATATCTGGAAGAGCACAGCTAAATAGCCAAACCATGGTTTATGAATCCAGACCAAACCCCATGGGGCATTCTTGGGGTTTACACAACAGGAATGGGCATGCGCAGAGACCCTATAAAAGATCAAACAAAGTTAACATCATCTCGCTCTTTCAAAAAACTAGTCAACTGCTATTCTTTGTTGTTGTCAAATTCATTTAGATGAGGAAGTCTTTCTGTTTTTTATAAACAGAGAGTCCAGGGTAATGTTTAATAGCAGAAATACAGAGCGAGGCAGCTGGTATTCACGTTCTGGCCATGCCACTAACTAACCAAATGATAATGATCCAGTTAAATGGGCCTTGGTTCCTCAGCTATAAAAATTTGGATAACAATCTCACAGGAATGTGGGAGGTAATACATGTAAATTAAATTTCCCTTGTTTCAGATTACTCACTTTTAGTATAAACGAGGTAATAGATGTAAAGTGCTTAAAACTGCACCCGACACATAATAAATGCTGGATAAATATTAGCTATTCTTACACTATTTCTACCTACATATATTTGATAGTTCTACTGTGAAATAAAAGAAAATGTTGCCTTGTTCAAATACAGTTTCGCAAAAACAAACACAATAACCAAGACTCCTGCTTGAACAACATATTAGCTTTGGATATAGCAGTGTAATCAAAAGCCCATTCTGTGACTCATTTCTACTTTCCTAATTGCCTGTTCCTGCTCTGGTCCTCAGCCAGGAGTCAGTCTTTAGCCACACATGGATATATACACATCAGATTGTGTGTGTGCATAAACAAGAACACACAACTCCTGCTGCCTCTGAGGACTGCAAAGAAATGACATTAAAAGTGAGTGATTTGAAACAACTGAAATTTAATTAAAAACAAAATTAAAAGTTGTTCCAAGCCTGGCGCTTCAGCCAGCAAGACTCAGAGGAAATTAGTAAGTGCTACTAATAGCTGGATCCAATTCACAACCTCTATGAGAAGACAGTCAGAGCAAAGAAGATGCATACCCTTTAGATGAAACAATTAAAGATCACTTCTGAGAAATAGTCATGTACAGTATCCCAGGGCAAAAAAAAAAAACAAAAAAACAAAAAACAAAAAAACAACATCATTTGCTGATGTGTTCCTCTTTGAATTCCTCATTTCTATTAAGGGAAAGTGCCCTGAGATTCTCCTAGTAGCATCTTCAATGGCAACGCACTGATTTTGAAAACTAGACTTAACACGGGAGGTGGGGGCAAATTCCTTTAAAAAATGTTGTCATCCACTGTCCTGAAATTTCACCTTGCAAATTTATTCATCCTTTGAAATTCCAAATAGTCAAGGTGCTTAGTAAAATGGATTCTCCTCAAATAATGAAGACGATTGTCAGCTGGGAGTTGGGGACTCAGCAGCAGGATAGTTAAATGTGCTGGCTGCAAGAGTGCTATGGTGGATGGAATCAGAGTGGGCAGTGGGCAGTGGGCAGAGGGGCTGCGTCTGAGATGAATGCTCAGAGGCAGGTCTGAGAAGACCACCTGTCCCGGGTTCTCAGGGTAGCATGGAGAGAGGTACAGGAGAAACAGCAAAAACTATGACAGTAAACAGGAAGATAGTGAAAACAAATCAAACAAACATACGACAACAACAACAACAAAACTGAAGACAATAAATGAGAGGGGTGGGGTAAAGGAAGGGGGAGGAATGACTAAAGCTGTGGCATTGAAAGTCTTCATGAGCATTAACTGGCCAGGAGTGGAATGAACCAGCTTAGCCTAAATACACAAAATTGGAGCAGACAGTACAGGTCCCTGAATCAAAGAATACTGCTCAGAGCTCTACCTTGCTCTACTTTCCTCCGTGTCCTTGTCCACAGAAAGGAAAGAGAATGCCCATTCCACAGAAAAGCTTTCCTGTGCTCACTTCTACAACTCATCACCCAGTCTGCCCCAACCACATTGACCTTGTTCCACCTTGTTCAAGTCACCCAAATGGTTTTGACTGTGTTGTTTCCTCTGCCTGGAACACACTTTCCTCTACCACACAACTTCACATGTTCCTTTAAATGTCGTTTTCTCAGAGAGATCTTCCCTGACCAGCATATCTGAGCCTTCTATCCCAACTCTCCTCTATTTTAATTATTTTACACCATTTTAATTATCCTCACAGCCACTCTCACCTGTTGCCAATGCTTACTTACTTTATTTTGCTAATTTGCTTTGGTGTTCGTCTCCTGCTGAGAATGAAAGCATGCTGCAGGCAGGGGCTGTGTCTTTTCCAGCACAGCATCTTGACTGCCCCATGACACATAAGAAACAGGAAATAAATATTTGTTCAATGAATGAATAAATTCTGTAAAGATTAAAAAAGGTATTATAGGTAGAATACCTAGCATACTGCCTGGCACATGATGAATTCTAGCTGTTATTTTCATAAGGATCTAATATTATATGGATTTGCATTCTAGTGGTGAGGTTGTTTCCGGAAGGAGAGAAGGATGGGGACTGAAATAGGACTGGAGGCCTCTAGATGCCAACTTGCTGTCCTCACACTGTGTTTGGAACATGCAATATGGCATAAGCACGCACCTGTTGTCTAGATGGATCTTACTGAGGGTGCGAGGTTGGGGAGGGGATGGGACTGGGCGCTACTGAGGGCTGATGCTGCAGGTCAACTAGGGAGAGAGGAGAAGCTGAGGCCAATTTCCTTTTGCACAAACCAGTCTCATCCCATCCTCAAACGAGTTCTTCAAGGTGGACAATGAATCTGTCCAAGCCCAACTTACCCTTTTATGCTCATCTCAGCTTCTACCTTCTCTAAGAATCTTTTGATGTCTACCTCAGTGAGAATTACCTTCTCTATCTTCTACCCAACTCCTCATGTAGCTTTGAGAGCAATGCAGCTTATGTTTACTGGGCTCAAGACTGGTTTTGAAGAGTCTACCTCATTGTCAAATCTTGTGACGTAATTTTGGGTTTCAAAATAAAATTGCAACCAATAATTCAATAACAGGAATCATAATTACAGGAACGGTATTAGATGTCTCAGAATTGTTTTTTTTTAAAAAGTTATTGTTAAAAGTATCCTGAATAGGGAACAGATCTAAATATACTGAGCTCCCACTCTATGTTGAATACCGTGACAAAAGGGGGTGGTTATAAAAGTGGAAGAAAGAGTCCCTGCCCGAAAGTAGTGTATGGTTCAATTGAGAGATGACAAGATAGACCATTATAATAGAACATAATCAGTGTAGTGATAAAGATAAAACAGGAAGCTTTGGGCACACAGAGCAGGGATGCTCACCTCCTCTGCAAAGTCAGAGAATGCTTCCTACAAACGGTCACACTTGAGCTGTCACACTTCCTTATATTGAGTTCAATATAAGAAAGCAGCTAAATGGAGTAGAGGGGTGCTATGCTTTGGCTGTGTCCACACCCAAATCTCATCTTGAACTGTAGCTCCCATAATTCCCATATGTTGTGGGAGGGACCTGGTGGGAGATAATTGAATTATGGGCAGTTTCCCCCATACTGTTCTCATGGTAGTGAATAAGTCTCATGAGATCTGATGGTTATAAGGGGAAAGCCCTTTCATTTAGTTCTCATTCTCTTTCCTGCCACCATGTAAGATGTGACTTGCTCCTCCTTGCCTTCTGCCATGATTGTGAGGCCTCCCCAGCCATGTGGAACTGTGAGTCAAACCTCCTTCCTCTAGGATTACCGAGTCTCGGGTATATCTTTATTAGTAGCGTGAGAACAGACTAATACAAGCGGCAAAGGGATTTAGGCAAAAGGAAAGAAATGCTGCAAAGAAACAAAACAGAGTCTGGGCCTTCAGGAAATAGCTATTTCATTTGGCCTGAGGATGAGATGCCCAAGGAGGAGAATGGGCTAAGATTAGGCTCAAAATAGTTTCTGGCTCTAACATTCTACACTTTAGAAAACTGCCAACTAGCTACTTGGCAATATGCCCACAATGTGCCCTCACCCCTGTACTCATGCCCCCCCTTTTGGGGTAGCAGAAGCTGCCATCTTTAATTGATTCCACATTTCAAGTGTGACACCAGCTCCCATCACCAGGCCTCTGTATCTTTTTTCAGGCCTCTGCTTCCATAGAAAGTCCACTGCCCAGCACATTAATGCTTCATTTGAGTCTTTGCAGGGAATGGCTGGCCCTGGAACCTTGAAACTCATAGGTCATGTTAACACTCATGTGGGTGCCACAGACTGATCACTCTCTCATCCTCCACCCTGGTTCAAATACTGCAGTGAGATGTCACCTGAGATATTACTCCAGTGATTCAAACCTTCAGGGGAGCAGCCTTCAGAGATCCGGCAAATTAATTTTACTCGCAGGACACAGTGACATCTCCTACTAATAACTTTTATCCAGGCAGCATTTGTAAAGGTTCTAATATTGTGGTTTTTCTTTTTTCTTTTCTTTTCTTTTTTTTTTTTTGACAGAGTCTCGCTCTGTTGCCCAGGCTGGAGTGCAGTCGCGTGATCTTGGCTCACTGCACCCTCCACCTCCCAGGTTCAAGTGATTCTCCTGCCTCAGCCTCCTGAGTAGCTGGACTATTTTTTGTATTTTTAGTAGAGACAGGGTTTCACTGTGTTGGTCAGGCTGGTCTCGAACTCCTGACCTCAAGTATTCTGCCCACCTCAGCCTCCCAAAGTGTTGGGATTACAGGCATGAGCCACCATGCCCAGCCTATTGTGTGTTCTTTAAAGTTGCTTGTATTTTTTTCTTTTCTTTCTTTTTTTTTTAAATCTAAATATGTAGCCAAGAAGTAGGCATCTGATCTTTGGTCTCACATCGGGATGCTGGTGCTTCAGCGGAATTGTAACAGTCCCTAGTTTTTGAGTGTGGTTACCATGGGCCAGGCCCTTGAAATGAACAACCATTTAGTTCTCACAATAACAGTCTAATTTCTGGTGTTTTAGCATCCCCATTTTTCAGAAGATGAAGCTTAGTTAGGATTTGAACCCATGTACTCTGGCATTGGTGTTGAAGCTCATAACCACCACACCTCACAGCTTTACAAAAAGGGGATTATTCTTACAAGGCTTCCTCAACTCAATTGGGCTTCTTATGTTGATTGATGTCTGGGGTCATCAACCTTTCAGGGATCCCAGGTGGCAGATGCCACATCATCTTTGACTCTTCCTCTTCCTTGGTCTCTACTTGTAGTTAGTTGCTATATTTCCTTTTTCTAGCTCTACAGGAACTCTTTTTTCTTTATTTTCACATTTAATGCCCTTGTTCAGGCATTATCTTATGAACTCAATATGGCAGCGCCTATCAGGTTCCTTGTCGCCAGCTTAGGCAACCTCAGATTCACCTTTCACATTGTGATCAGTCATTAAACAAATCTTTATTGAACACTGATTGTGTACTGGGGATTACAAAGGAACAAGACAGCTACACTCTCTGCCAATAAGGGCCTTAAAGTAGCTTTGGAAGGGGCTATTGTTTTCCAAGTATGGAATATGTGCTACGCAAGATCACCCTTTAAGGTGGTTTACTGTGACATTCCCCATTTCACAGATGCACAAACGAGGCTTAGAGAGGTTAAATAACTTAAGGCTACATAGCTACAAAATATCAGAGGCAGGTATCAAACTCTGGCAGTGAGATTCTGTAGCCCAGACTCTTAACCAAATTAGACATTGAAGAAGTAATTGCAAATGTACTGAATGCAAAAAGTAGTAGTTCAGGACCATTTAACAAGGAGACTCGACTTAGACTGAAAGGACGGTGATGGCAATTCCAATAAAAATGAACATTACCAAGTACTTTAGAAATATAATCTCATTTGATTCTCCCAACCCTACAGATTAAGAAATAACCCAGAAGGGTTAAGTAACACTGGTAGCATCTATTATCTATTATTTCATGCAGCTAGCATTTGAACCTAGGTATGTCTGACTCCACAGCCTGAACTCTGAATTAACAAGCTGCCTTGCCCTTTGTAAAAGCAACTGTGACTCTTCCACTCCTTTTATTAAAATCCTTCAGTGCTTCCATAACTCCCAACCTCCAGGATAAAATCCCAACTGCTCTTCCTGGGTAAACCCTCCCATTAGATCCATTCATGCCCCCATGGAGCCCCAGCCTTGCTGGGTGCTACCTGCTCCTGCCACACCTTTGCTCATGCTGTTCTCTTTACCTGGAAGATTGCCCTTCTTGTCCTCCCTCTCTCCCCCCACCTCCAACAGAAGTGCACATTCTCACTCCCAATCCCTGCCCATCCAGTTTCCTCAAATGGGAAAAGATGCTAGCAGAATCCTCTTGCTCCTTGAAGCTTTACCCAGATCTGCCCAGTGGAAAAGACTCCAAGCTTCCCTGACAACCTGGCTGACTCCTGTCTATATGTCCTGATGGTTCAGATTATCATCTACCTTCCATAGTAGCCTTTTGCTATATAGTTATCCTAACATTTTAAATGACACATGTGATCCCTGTGAGGGTGTGATTGGCATTTTCTAACCACCTATTTTTGGCTATTGTTATGCCACTCTCTATTTCACCCTCACCACCACCCTGTGAAGTAGGGGCTTATAGCTTCACTTTAATAGATGGTAAAATTGGTGGTTCTGAGAAGTACAGTGACTCGTCCAAGATCCATAATTAGTAAGTGGAGGAGTGTAGATTTAAACCTGAGGATTTAAGATTCCAAATCCCATGTTCTTTCCCCCACCTCACCCACCTTTAATGCTGACTGTGCCTGAGTTAATCCCAGAATCTAAGTCTGGCCCTGAGCAGGCACTCAGCAAATGTCAGCTGAAAGTTTGAATGTACAGACTCACTGATAAAGTTTAAATGGAAGCCAGAGTTAAAGCCAGGGAGTGAATAAACAGAAGGTTCAAGGATGGTCCAGGCTCTGGGGATCACTCCAGCTGATGATGAGATGCCCCAGCCATTAGCTGAGGTTCAGAAAGTTGCCAAGAGCTTCTGGAAAACCCAAGGCTGAGCAGCTGCAGATATATTTGGCTTACATAATCCAGAGGAATGTGCTGGGGAGAAAAGCCAAATAGCAAGGCTTTGCTGGGTAGCAGCGCTGGGGAAGGGGGAGCAGGATGCACAGGTGTTAATTATTCCTCCCATCTTATCCTTTCCCATGTGAATACAATGCATTCTTCCCCTCCCAGACTCCCACTGGCATCAGAGATGCTCAAGGTCCCTCTTCAGCTGGGGCTGAGAGGGGAAGCTGCGGAGGGGCCAGGCTTCCCACTACTTTATTTTTCATCCAGGCAGCCTTGGGAGCCTGAAGTCCCTCCACAAGCTTGGATGTGATCCTTCTAAGCTGTCTTCAAATGGCAACTTGTGGGCTCAGCTGTTTGCTCAGCTGTCTCTGCTCCCTACCTCCCTGTTCAGGGGGCTGCATGACAGCAGTTTGGCCCAAAGCAGTCTGAAGACAGAGTACCTGGGACACTAATGTGATGGCTGCATAAGGACTTGGAAGGTCATGTCCATCATGAGATAAGTAAAAAGGGACTTTGAACCCCAGTATTTCTCCCTCTCCATTTAAGATACTGGGGCAGGGAAGAATCTTAAGTACCACCTTGTTCCCCTCCTACATTTTACAATGAAGAAACTGAGGCCTGAAGAAGTAGAGATTTGTCCAAAGATGGAGTGAATTCATAGAGGAGCTGGAGGATGATCTTAGTCATCAAATTCTCTATCACATTCTGTGGATGTTGATTCAAAATAATTCTGTTCAACCTCTTCCCACCTGTGTAACACTAAGATGGTCATATAACCTCCCTAGGCATACATGACCTTTCAATTTTTATGTGTCCCTTAAATTTGAGGATAATAACTGGATCTACTTCATGAGGTAATAGAATGAAACAAGGTAATACCTTGCAAAGTACTTAGCACAGGACCTGGCACTTAGCAACTCTTCCGTAAACATTTCTAATCATTACCAGTGTTATTGCAACCATTGGGAGGTTTGAAAAACAGGATCTATAGGATGCACTGACATGTGTCCATGCCCCTCCCTGGGAAGCCTGCAATCATCCATTGCCCTTCTCCAGATAAGTGTCAATGGCTCTAAGATGTAGCTCAAGTAGCACCTCCTTAAGACACCTTCTTCCCATCTCCAGCTTGGGATACTTGTGTGCCCATCGGTGTCTCCACAGCATCTAGGACAATCCCATTATGAATCATTCACACTGAGTCATCATTTATTGACTTGGCATGTCCCACCACCACTAAGCTGGAGAAGGCCGGAGATGGTGTTTTATCTGTCTCTCCACCCCAGTATCTGAGCATGCCACAGAGAGTATGGTATGCAAACGTTTGTTGACCATGGGAGGAAAAAAAAATGAAGGAGAAAAGGAAGGAAGAAAGGGAAGAAGCAGAACACTATATAAGAATAAAAGAGTGGTGTTATTAATGCATTTTAACTATCTATCTTCCTTCTTCTAGCCAAGGGAGGCCAACCCCCCTAATATTCTACCTTTTCCTTACCTAGCCTTACCTGCCAAGACCCTATTCCAACCCTAAGGTTTTCTTTATACATATTAAAGCTGCAAACAGTGAGGAAAAGTCACAACATTCTCATAATCATAACTACCCTCACAGTTGACAAAATACTTTTAAATGAATCAGCCCACTAATACTCTTTGAAGGAGGGAGTATTAGCATGTTTTTAGATTTAAAAAAAACGCTGAAGTTTAGGAGGGGAATTAATATACCCAAGGTCACAAAACTAGAAAGCAGATGAACAGGTCTGGAATGCACATCTCCTGGGCCACAGATCAATCCACTTAATGTCTTTACCATACTACCTTCTTTCTCCTGTGGATTACTCCACTGCCTCATTATACACTATTTGGCAAACCTTAAGCCAATAATTATGGAACAACTAACTCTATAGACTTGAAGTCAATCTCATCAAAGCTCCCACCCAGCATTCTCTCTTTCCGTTCTAAAAGTCAAAGTGGCCTTCTGTTCACAACAACAGAACGGAATTATTAATGAGAGAAAATTGAGTTTGCCTACTCCTTGCAACAACCCTCTGCCCCAGTTCCTGGGAACATATTTTTGGACTCAATCTGCTATCAAAACACAGAAATTAGTCTCCAATTTTGGACGTCAAACTCAGTTATCTCTTTTGTTATGAAGGAAAATTAGTAATGATTCATTCTGGTTGGAAGCCAAGCTAACATCTTAGCACAGAGTGTCATTAAAAATCCCAGTCCCACTGGCTGCTGTGGTATCTTTAAAAGCTTGAACATGTTCAGCTGCTTAGAATGGTTTTTCTGGGTTTGTTCTCCCCCAAGCCACTTGTCATTTTAACCTGGGGATCAGTTACTATTTAAGGCAGAAAATGGCTTAAATTTTTTTTCTTCCATGGTTTTATGGATTTAGACATTCCTAATGAAGAGATTTGAAGAAAAAAAAAAAAGAATTCTACTCTAGGGGGTATCCACAGCTCCCAGCCATTGCCGAGCAAGTTGGCCATTAAGTACAAGAAAAAGAAGAAGTGAAAAAAAGTTTTCACAGTTTATAATTATATTACCAATTTCATTACAGATCTCATTTTAATTCTGACTGAAGCCTAGCCTTGCCTTCTCCCTGTACTCTCTCACGTATAGTTATTAAGTCTGGGTTGGAGTTCAAGCTATTCTCCCTGATTTCAGCATATTAATATGGTTTATTGGTATTTCATTGCCACCTCCCCTATGGGGGTTCTGAATCTCAGCCCAATTTATATTTCCCCTCTTTCTGGGCTCTGGGATGAAGCTTGTTTCATTTTGGTGTTGAGGAGGGGTGTGTGAATTTGATTGGAGTTTATTTTTGGGGATGGGAGCAACATCCTTGGGGAGTGAAGTCAATCATAGAAGAAGAGGCAGCCTCAGACCTCCTGCACTGTCATTCTTTTTGATGTATCTTCTTAGGGCTTCTGGGTCCACCGTCGGTCCTCCCTTACTTCGTTTTTTACAGACACAATTTCTTATATGCCTACTGAGTCAGAATCCCTGTTAGGCATCACAATAAGTTAGAACATGAATAAGCTGTGGTCCTTGCCCTTGAAAAAATTTAAGTCTAACCATTGAATTAACTTTACAAAAAAATTCAGTGAAAGCCTTTTAGCGGGCATCAAGTATGTTTTGGATCCTGTCCAAGGTTCTGAACATAATGTGCAAAACAAATGTAATCTCTATCCTTATGGAACTTGAAACCTAGCAAGAGAGAACAACATTAACTAGATAAATTTAAAATTATACATTGAAATAAATATAATACAGAAAAAAAGCAGGGCTCAAGGAGAATGATTCATAAGGGAGCTAACAGAGGCATTACCCTAGGGTAAATGAGAGAAACTAGAGATGTGGGAAGAAGTTTTCAGGCAAAGAAAACACCATGTGCAAAGGGCCTGAGGCAGGAGGCAACAGAGAAATTTAAGAGCCAATATATGGAGAGGTGGTGTGACGTAAGACTGGAAAGGCGGGCAGGGGCCTGACCTTGCAAGGATGCAAAGGCCACAATAAGAAGTTCAGTCTTCAAAACAAGTAAAAAAGAAGACAATAAACAGATTTATGGAAAGTATGACACGTATGTAATACATGTATGCGATGTTTTGATATTTTCATTGTAAAAGATGGCTCTGTTTGCATTGTTAATAAAAGATAGGAGAGAGCCTAGACTTAAAGCAGGAGGCCAGTTTTCAGGACTGTGGCAGTTGTCTCAATGACACATATGTAACAGTAACAGTAACAGTAATAGGAGTTAGACTGAAGTCATTAGAAAGGCACAAATATAATTCTAGGTAATGTTCATGAGAGGTGATATTATTTGTCTCTAAGGATTCATTGAAGAAGGTTTTCTAGAGGAGGGAGCAAACTAAGTTATGCCTTAGAGATGGGTGAGACTGCCATATATGGAAATATATGATGGAGAGGAATGTACAAGCAAAGGTATATAGAGAGGCAGATACCAGGTAGGACAGTCTATTTGTCTAAACAGCATCAAGGCTGTGCAAATGAGTTAACAAAGAAAAAGACAGAAGCCATATTGTACAGAACTTCCACCCATAAGCATGTTCCACAGTATTCAAAGATCTGCAGTCAACATGGAGCATTTTAAAACAAAGCCTGGGATGATTTCATAGAGCAGGATGTCCAAGGAACTACTCGTTTTAAATAAAGTGCTTGGCAGTTTGTGGCTAAGGATCCACTTACAATGTGGTGTCATTTTCCCTTCTAAGAATTGAAAATACTCCTTCCATGTATTCAAATCACTGCAAACTAGTTCTGAAGCCAATTATGGACCTCTTTCCTCTCTAACAGCACAAAGTCATGCATTAGCTCACTCTTCTGGGATGGAGGACATCAAGTAGGGATGAGAGCAAATAAATGTAGACAAGTGTTATTATTCACAATTTTATGCTCAAAACCAGCTACATGTGTGGCATATTAGTGAACCATGCCATCCCAATGTGTGGGCATTTATACTTGATGATTTCATGGGCTAAGAAGCCATACTCAGATCCCAAATATCTCAGTCATAGGGAACAGAGAAGACTTGGATATCAACTTAGTTCAACCTAAAAGATGATGTTAACCATTTAAAATAACCTGAATAAAAAGACATTTTAGCATAGGTATTTTGATGCAACAATCATATCAATATATAAAATTGTGTGTGTCTGTGAGTTTAGCTAAGTAACATATTCAAGAGACACAGACATCCCTTGTTTTCACCCATTTCTGAGCCTACGCAAAGAATTGGTGACACTCTGTGTGAAGTACTAAGGAATAAAGAAACATATTCTAAAAGTCCTAAAAAATTAAGTGGTTTTAAAATTTACAGTTTGATAATATGGCTCCAAAACAAAATATCATGATTCAAACCAAACGCTTCTCTTCCCCTCTCTTCTACAGCTTTGTAAAAATGTGGTCATCTATTCTCAGGAGATTTTCTATGATGGGGAACTCATTACCCTGCAATGACCCCCTTCCAATATTAAGAAAATATTATTACTACTTCTAACATTTATATAATTTATTGAACCATTACTAGGTCTTAGGTATTGAGCTAAAAGCTTTATGAGCATTATTTCACTTATTCTTAGCAATAACTTTATAAGTACTGCTATTATCCCCAATTTATAGATAATGTAACTGAAGCTTAAAATGTTTAAGTAACTAGCACAAGTCACACAGTCAACAGTAGAGGAAGACGTTTCCAAACCAAGGCTTCATCTTCTCCCATCCCTGACCATACTCATTACCCATATATCTGTCTAGTTTTGCTTCCTTAGGACTTCCAGAACTAGCCTGCTCTCTTCAAAATAAATAATAATTATCCTGGTCTCCTCTCTGGAAGCTTAGAGCATAGAAGAACCTTAGACTGGGGGCTCAGGTAGGCTTAAGTTTTCATACCACGTCATCTATGTGTTAATCTCGTAAAACCACCTAGCATCCCTGAGCCCCACTTTTCACGTACGCAAAATGAGGATACTAAATCCAGACTCTCAATTTTGCTATGAGAACTGAAGGAAGAACCCTGTGTAAAGTGCTTTGTGTGCTACTCAATAGATAACAGACATGCTCAATAATAGTAGGTTCCCTTCCTGTCTAGGTTCCTTCAACGCTTGTTATTGAATGAATGTCTTCCATCCTTTCCTTAAGAGGTCATTAGGTATCTACAGTGCTTTTTCAATCTTGTGGCTGCCAAATCCTCTCACTTGAATAACTTCCAATGTATAACAAGTCTTGGAACAAAACAGGGAATTCTAGGTGGACTGTTACCTGCCTACACTGGAGTGGAACCATCTCACCTACTTCACCTAGATAGCTTGTTCCTTTAAAAGCAGACTCTTCTATTGGCTGACCACATTGGGTGAATATATGCCCACTTACATTGGGAACCTCAGTAGATGCATAAACTAGCATCTCAGCTAAGATAGGTGTTTAATATTAACCAATAACTATTTCTCAATGAGGCTAACTGCATGGCAATTTTGATGAGGTCCAAACCTGTGTGATCAGGGTTAGTATGTTATAAACCTTAAGAATAGACCACTCACATTATATCCAATGCTAATGATAGTTACTGGAGTTATGCTATGAGGCAGCTCCATTAGTAGGGCATTGATAAAGTCAAAGGTGGAGGAAACCAAAGACCCTTATTAAAGATGCTTATAATGATTCCAAGGAGTCTGAAGAAGTGATCACATATGTTAGATGGAAAAAAAGTAACACTTAAAGAATTATTGACACAGCTCTCGAAGCCTTGATAAGTGACCACCTAGAGAGTTCTTGTAAAGAATATTAATATGTGGGCTCTACCCTCAGAGAATCTGACTCACTGGTTCTGGGAATTATCTCCCCAGATAACCTAAATGCAGACGATTTGTAGTTCACAGCTGGATAAACAACACTAGCTTAAGTCTGTTTAGATGCAAACATGTTCCATTTCTTCAGTGTGTGCTTAGGAGGGCAAAAAGCCACTGATGGCTTTGAAGAAGCCCAGATAAAAGAAGGGGTGAGATTTGCCAAGGGTTTGGATAGGAACTGTGTCAGAACTCTTGCCAGCTGGGCTCTGGACAAGTGCTATGTCATAATGACCTTTTCTTTATAATCGACAGTAAACATTGAGTATAACTATGCAGTAACACAAGGGCAGAATTCATTTTCTCCTGGAAGACAGGACCCATTACTCAGCCCCATCCAATGATCCAGCACCACGGACAGCTCAATGTGTAATGGTAGCTGAGAGCTCTCTCTACTAAGAAGGGCCAGCACCTGGGCAGCTTGGAACTCATGGGGGTGACTGAAAAAGGATGAAAGCTGCTCTGGCTTTGGTCCCTGGGAGACCTGGTCTCAAATGGAGCTTCTTGCACTTGACATGAGCTGCCCTCATCCTGACAGACCTCATTGAGACTTTGTTTTTCTTGTTTTTTAAAACTTTGCCAGTTTTAAGGGGCCAGTATTATGATGTGGGTGAATACATATATGTAAAATATCATAGAATTGTGCACTTTCCATCTGTGTTTGTCACCACATTTATGTTAGGTTGTAACACATTTATAAATATCAATGCTAACGGATGACATGGGTTCAAGAAAATAGGCACTATTATCGCTTTCCCTCTCATCCCCCTATGTAATACCCTCATATCTCCAGAAATCAGAGCTGGAAACTCCAGTAGTACAATTTATAAAATCAATTTTCTAGATCCTTCTCTACTCCTACAGAAGATTTGATTCTACTCCCCTTCATATCCCAGTTTCTGTATCTGCCAAAGGTGGATAATAAAGACCACTTTGGAGAGCTGTTGGAGGAATGAGATGAGCAGCACTGATAGAGTTTCTGCCAAAGGAGGCATTGGGATCATGCTGGGGAAGGTGAGCTTGATTGGGATTACCAGACAGCCATCCACCTGGCTTCAAATGCTGGATGCTCCCAGGATTCCTGCCAAGCCCCAGAGATGGAGGAGTTTCAAGTGTTAACGTCTTCAAGTGGGAAAGTCACTTTTGGCTGGAACAGAGCATATAATGTATTCCCTTTTCCATTCACCTCACTGAGAGTAGCTAAATTCACCTATTTAGTTTTCTATATTTTCTTGCCTTGCCATATTCCAGCTTCTGAAGTCTCTTTCTCTACAAACTGTTTTAATAATAAGAGTAATAACAGCTACCATTTGTTGGGCTATCACAATGTTTTAGACACTCTACTAGGCACTTTATACACATTATAACGTTCAATCATCCCATAATAATCCTTATTTTACAGATAGGTGAGAAAAATGAGACTCAGATAGCTAACTTGACTCTTCTATGTTTCACAGTAACTAAGCAACAAAATTGAGATCCAAACCAAAACTTACTTCATTTGAAAGGACACATTCCTACCAAGATATTATGGCATGTAAGGGATGGAGATTCCATTATGCCTGGAGACTAAGATACTGTGGACAAGGTCTTCCCAATGCTGTCTTCTAAGCTTGCTCCATCGCATCTCCAGGATGTGTATACTCCGTAGTTATTTCTCTTTTTCTTTTGTATTAATTATATTTTCTTATTTTCTGGATGCTTGATGCTCTGGCATCTGAGCCTCCTGACTGGGGAGAACCCTCCCCTCCAAGGATAGTCATATCTTACAGAAAGCAAAAGACTTGTCCAGGGAGCATCCCTTTCATATGAAAATTAACCAATCCAGAACCTACACTCCAATCATCTCCTCTATATGGCTTATACACATTGGGAAGGAATATTCTCTCCCTTCATCCCCCCAGGGCCAGATACCAGGCAATCAGGAGCAGTTCTGAAACCCCAGAGCCTGCTAAAGTTATTCAAATTGGCCAATCTCAAATCTGTCTATCCTGCTTACACTGCCTCACCCATTTCTTCCTGCAATAACCATAATACAGGCTCTTTCCCCTGCTTTCCACTTGGTCCCTCTGCCTGCTGATAGATACGGGTGCTTTCCCACATGGTCTGCATGGTGTGCTGTGCATTGTGTATCTGAGATCTGTTAGTATGAAAACTGCTTGTTTCACAACAGTCCTTTCGGCATCTGCAGACAAATCCTGGGTACATTTTAAAACTTCACAGGTATATTTTAAAACATCTTGATTTCTATGCATCATCTGCCTTAGTTTTCCTTGATTCAGTATCTGTTGTGTGCTTAGAGATCTACCAGAAGGATTCTATAGAACAATGAACAACTCAGCTTTAATTCAGGCAACATTCATCCACTGGACACATATTTGCTGAATATCCATTATGGACAAGGCACTGTGCTTATCAATGGGAATATAATATTTCTCCCCAAAGACATAATTCCTGCCCTCACAGAGATTCCAGTCTAGAGGCAGAAACAGACAATTCCACAGGCTGCTATAAAATTTTAAGTTTATGACATTGGGCACACCGAGAAAGGGCACCTTTTAATTCACCACATTTTGGTCTATCCTTCCAAATCATCAAGACGGTTTGCCGCTGTCTCGGGTAATCCCTTGATTTTGCTATTTCCCAGCTGTTCACCATTTCTCAGCCACATGCTGTCTGAAAATCTGATGACCATGATAAAAAAGTAGGTGTTGTAGTCTTCAGAATACTCCTATGAGGTAGGTACTACTATTATCCACATTTTATAGATGGAGAGACAGAGGCTCAGAGAGGGGAATTCACTTGGCTATCGAAGAGGCAGACAAAGGAGCAAGTATTTAGATTAATGTTTGTAGTATTCCAAAGCCTGTGCTCTTAGCCATTAAACTGTTTCATCTTGAGCAAGTTATTTTCTCAGGGATTCCATTTCTACATGTATGAAAATAAATATGTAAAACTTGAAAGCCTTTAAGGCTTAACATTCTACAATTAATGTGTAGTGACAGCTGAGAGATGAAGGGTGGGGACATGCATTCTGTAGAATTTAATACTTGCTCTGTTGTTTTTTTCCACCTCAGTGTTCATCACTCCTACTCCTCCATTGCCATTTTCTGGCCACTTCCAGGTTCTGACAATTCTTCTAGCTGCGTAATCCATCAAACTATTTGCTTCTGTAAATTTTGTTCCTTCTGATTTCCTACAGCTTTCCCTGCCATCTCCCCCACCACACATTTACTTGTCTTATGTGCACATATGACTCACTAAAGATGAGCCAAAGTCTTGTACATAGGTCTGAAAATCAACTGAATGTAAATGAAATAAGAGATATAAGTTCTGAATGTATATGAACTGATTTGCAGTCCAAGTGAAAAACAAGTAGGGGCTTCTGCACTACGGTGAAGTGGGAACAATCAGGATGCATTAATAGAAGTTTGAGTGTTTCAGAGAATGGTGGTAAAATTCCACTTTTCTCTGGTCAAAATATACTGAAGGGATGGTGCTAAGTTCTGAATACCGAAACTTAACGGAAATAAAATCAAATTTCACTGAAGAAAGACTGGCAAATAGAGGGTAAGGATCTCAAAAACGTTCTATACATATCAAAATGCAAAATTTTTTTAAAGAATTAATGGTACTAATATGGTGCTACAAGTCAGAAAGTTTATTGCGTCTACAGAGCACTAACTGGAAGGAGGCACAAGGAAACCATATGAGGTGCTGGAAATATTCTATGATTTTATCTGTGTAGATTCATATGGAATCTTGTTACATGTCCTTATCACAAAAAAATTATAGTGAGAAGACACTTTTAGAGGTGATGGCTACGTTTATGGCATTCCTTATGGTGATGATTTCATGGGTATTTACTTATCTTCAAACTCATCGAGACATATATATTTTAAAAAGTGTAAAATGTATACAATTTTTAAAGGGTAAAAAGTTCTAAAACTAAAAATTTATTAAGTTGCACAGTTAAGGTATGCCTTCTTTATTATAATTATGCCAAACTTCAATACAGCTAAAGACGGTGATGGCATGTGAGAAGTGTTTGAGAAACAGACGCCAACATATCCTGGAATGTGTAAACTGGGACAACTTTTCTGGAGGGCACTTTAGCAATAGATAGTAACCACCTTAATCAGGGTCTTGGACCATGCTTTGCTAATGACTATGGTGGCAACAGTGTCTCATTAATTCAATTTAATTGGGTGAAAAGTAAATGCTAGAATATAAGACACTTGTATATTTACAGGGAATGAGCATATGAATATTATCCAAGACATTCAGGAAATTCCAATAAAACTCATACAGTCTTCCTTGTCATATGATTCTAATTAGCAAATACTCTTTGGGGGGCATTTTTATTTTGAAATGGATCCACAGTCATAAATGTCAGTAGGTTCTCTGAAGTAGCTCAATCTTTCTGTATTCACATTTGAATTCTTCCTTTATTTTTAAAACTTTATCGTTGCTCATAAGTTAAAAGTAGTCTTTACTGGATAAAGAAAATGTGGTACACACACACCATGGAATACTATGAAGCCATAAAAAGGAATGAGTTCATGTCCTTTGTAGGGACATGGATAAAACTGGAAACCATCATCCTCAACAAACTAACACAGGAACAGAAAACCAAACACCACATGTTCTCACTCATAAGTGGGAGCTGAACAATGAGAACACATGGACACAGGGAGGGGAACATCACACATTGGGGCCTGTTGGGGGTTGGGGAGAAAGGGGATGGAGAGCATTAGCACAAATACCTGAAGCATGCGGGGCTTAAAAGCTAGATGATGGGTTGATAGGTGCAGCAAACCACCATGGCACATGTATACCTGTGCAACAAACCTGCATGTTCAGCACATGTATCCCCAAACTTAGAGTAAAAGGAAAAAAAAATTAAAAAAAATAAAAGCAGTCTTTAATTTAATTCAAATAATCCAGATTACAAAGGATAAGATCCTCTTCCAAGGTCTTTAGATGCTCCTTTTTTTCCTCCTGTAATATATGTAATAGTAATTCTAAGGTTTGGCCATACACAGAAACCTTTGACCAGTCAGGGGTGCAAGGTGCTGAGTGGGTGTGGAGCATCTGCAATGCTCGGCTCTTACCATCTGCTATGAAGTGCTCGGGCACATGCAGAGTCACCTTCACAGTGAGTGGACAAGACATCTGGCTGCCACACACCATGGCCAGGATGCAGGAACTCACAGCAATCAGTGTCAGGGCTGTCTTGTTCACTGGGCTTTTCAGCAAACCTGGTAACAAGAACATACACAAAGACACAAAATTCCATGAGGTGAGGAAATGGGATTGGCATCAAGTTTGGGAATTCTATTATTTTCCAGTTGGGAATCTGAAAAAAGAAAAGAAAAGAAAAAAGACATGTTTTCTAACCTTTGTGCCTGCTATGACACCTCAGTGGGCCTTCTTTGGGCCTTGATTTAACACTCCGCAAAATGGGCTTCTTATGATTCCTTTGGGTAAGCATAAAAGAAACAGGCTTTCTGAAACTCATGGCAATTTTCACTCCTCCCTTCCCAATTCGGTTGGTCATTCTTGATAACAATTAGATGATATTAAGCCCTCCATTCTCCTTAGAGGCAAGTGAGAAGATACCATGCTGTTAAATTCAGTAGAGTCTAGTGAAATAAGCATGGGCTTTGGAGTTAGATCATTCTGGATTCAAATTTGGGCTTTGGCCCTCATTGGCTCTGTGATCTCCATTTTCCAAACCTCAGTTTCTTTCTTTCTTTTTCTTTTTTGTTTGAGGCGGAGTCTCGCTTTGTCGCCCAGGCTAGAGTGCAGTGGCACAATCTCGGCTCACTGTAACCTCCGCCACACGGGTTCAAGTGATTCTCCCACTTCAGCCTCCTGAGTAGCTGGGATTACAGGCACCCACCACCAAGCCCAGCTAATTTTTGTATTTTTAGTAGAGACGGGTTTTCACCATGTTGGCCAGGCTGGTCTGGAACTCCTGACCACAGGTGATCCACCCGCCTCAGCCTCCCAAAGTGCTGGGATTACAGGCATAAGCCACCACTTCAGTTTCTTTATATATAACACGAAGATAATAAATATCTCACAGGGTTCTTGTGACAATTACACAGCATGATTTGTATATCATGCCTGTCATTTAGAAGAGTTTCACGGTTAGAAGCTGATCAGTTCAAATGAATTTCACAAGCGTTTACTGAGCAGCTACTATGTGAGACACATACAGAGCAGAAGAATAATCTTTCCTCTTCAGGATTTTATAGGCTAGGGGGAAAAGTCAAGCTTATCCATAGCTAATTAGATTCTAACACAAATTGTGTTACGACCTAGAAGAGAGGGCAGAGAGTACGGGGGGTGGTTTTGCCTCTGAAAATTAAAGACAATTTTATGGATATAATACGAAAAGTAGATTGGATCTGCACAGCTAGACGACACTGGGCCAACAAAGAAATTCTATGGAGGCTGTCTTGAGTCCCCGTTTGTTTCTCATTCTTTAGGCTTTGTTCTTCAAGGTTTTGCTTACCAGTTTTAGAGCAATGCCTCCACAATTTTTTTTTTTACTGCTAGGCTCTTCTTTTAAGCAAACCTTGTCTCTCATCTCCTGGATATCTTTCTGTGGCTATCCAATTAGAATGTCAAATATATTAATAACACGTTCAAAACAGGGTACATTATCTTCTCCTTAAAGCCTCCCCCTCCTGAGATCCTCAGCTTATTGAAAGCACTGCCATTTAGACTGGCCAGAAACTGAGATGTCACCTTTGAGTTTCTGTCTTCCTCCTTTACAGCATCTGAAGAGTTGTGTAGTGCTATTTATTCTATGTCCTCAGCATTTTCACCTCTTCCCTTCATCTCTTCTATTGTATGTTTGCTTGTGGGATAAGGGAGGTGCACGCATATCTGTTCACTGCACTCCCTGCTGAAACCTCTCAAGCTGTTTTACAGCATCTGGTTGCAGGATGTGATCCATATTCATTAGACTGGCATCCAAGGCCTTTCATGAAGACTCCCAACACTCATACCTCCTGTGCTCTGGCCTAAAGACTAGCAGGGCTGAATTACTGCAGTGCTCCTACCATTAACACTCTTCATCATGTTAACATTAGTGCAGGTGTTTTTCCTTTTGGATAGAAATCCACTTGTTTCCTTGTCACCCCATCACTCTTTGAGACTCACCATATATAAAGATTTCATATGCTCTTGGTAGATAAACTACCCATATTCATTGTGTTTCCCCTCATACCTTATTCCAAACACTAGAGTCTAGTAAATAGACAGCCAACTCCTTGAAGGCAAGCAGCGTCTTTTGCTTACCATTATGTCCCAGTAAATAGCACAGTGACTGGCTCATTGCAGAATCTCAGTAAGTGCATGATGACTCCCATAAATGACAGTAACAATATTAAAAACCAACATAACATAGATGCTGACCAACCAAAAAGCATGCTAGCCAACATCCAACACTGGCCATACAACAGAACATCGGCTATTATTCTGTTGTAACATTGGATTACAACAGAACAAGAACCGTTACAACAGCCCGTTGGGGTATTGCCTGTATGGAAATCTATTTTTCTTAATAAACAGTGACCTGCTTGAAGGAGAAGATCCCACCTTCATCATCTTTGTGTTTCTTATGCCAAAATCACCACCTGGAACCCAGAAGTTACTTAATTTAAGAACAAGACCCTTGTCTTTTTTCTCAGTCCTAGGACAATGCATGGCTTATGGTAGGAACTATACATGAGATTGTGGTTATTGTAGTTTTAGAATAAATGTTAAATAGAAGAGTAAATTAAATTACATAAAAAGGTGATTCCAGTGTCCAAAGATGGGGAATCTCTAAAACCTAAAATAACTACAGAGAAAAATGAACATGATTATCTCTTATTCGAGTGCTGCAAGAAGCTGTTTCATACATATTTATAATATTTATAAATATAAATAGATAAAATATGTATAGTATAAATCTTTTAGCAACTAAATAGCATAAACAATCTAACATCAACGTTATCTACTAAAAAGAATATGGACCAGGGGTTGGCACCTTGCATTGACCTCACCTTAAAACGTCAACCTATTACCCCACCCTAATCATTTAGCAAAACCCCTACAATAACACTTAACAGCAGCACTGGAGTTTTTTGTTGTTGTTGTTTTTTGTTTTGCTTGTTTGCTTGTTTTGAGATGGAGTCTCCCTTTGTTGCCCAGGCTGGAGTGTGGTGGCGCAATCTCAGCTCATTGCAATTTCCGCCTCCTGGGTTCAAGTGATTCTCCTGCCTCAGCCTCCCAAGTAGCTAGGGTTATAGGCACACACCACCACACCCAGCTAATTTTTGTATTTTTAGTAGAGACAGTGTTTCACCATGTTGGCCAGGCTGGTCTTGAACTCCTGACCTCAGGTGATCCACCGACCTCAGCCTCCCAAACTGCTGGGATTACAGGCACGAACCACCATGCCTGGCCAGCATTGAGTTTTTTATCTAGATTTTATGGAGTCTATTCTGGGGGAAAAATATGTAATGATAAGTCTAGCATGAATAAATGCTTGGGAAGATGAGACAGGTCCAGAGGACAAGATGTGAAAGGTAGTGAGAGGCCCCTGGCATTGGGAAATGGACACTCTGGACAGTGAGTCATGGATAATAGCACCCTGTGGATCCCTTAGAAGGCATATCTCATTCCTGGCCCACACAGCAGCAACCAGCCTATGTGGCCAAGATCTTTCTTTCACTAATTAACAAACTACCAGAAATACACTACCCCGGCTCCACAGGGCTAATTTTTGGTCTGGGGAAAGAAGGCTGAGGGGCACAGGTAGAATGGCTCATACTCTCTCCCTGGGCCCTGCTGGACTAAATTGTGTCTCCTATGTCATTTAAAACATCACAGTAACCCACGGCCTTTAAGAGTCAACATGATGGCTGGGCACAGTGGCTCACGCCTATAATCCCAGCACTTTGGGAGACAAGGCAGGCAGATCACCTGAGATCAGGAGTTCAAGACCAGCCTGGCCAACACGGCAAAACCCCGTCTCTACTAAAAATACAAAAATGAGCCGGGCATGGTGGCAGGTGCCTGTAGTCCCAGCTACTCCAGAGGCTGAGGCACGAGAATCGCTTGAACCCAGGAGGTGGAGGTTGCAATGAGCTGAGATCGCACCATTGCACTCCAGCTTGGGCCACAGAGCAAGACTCTGTCTCAAAAAAAAAAAAAAAAGAAAAGAAAAGAAAAAAGAAAAAACAAAGAGTCAACATGGGAAGTGAATTCACATTAGTTTATTGGCTGTTAGTTTTCTCACCTAGAAAATAGTAACACAACTTAGCCATCAGGGGTGTTGTAAGAACAAAATGGGTCAATATGTGTCTAATGCCAAGCAAAGATTTGGCACATAGTAGGCCCTTGGTAAATAATTTCCAAAAGAAATAGTGGTGTTTGTCTCATCATTGATGACAGAAACTAGGAATCATCTATTTGTCCAACACATTCTCAGAACATATTAGGAACTCAATTATTCTTATAGAAGCAGAAGACAAAAAGAGTAAAAAGTGTAGAGAAGGACATAAGAAGGAGAAAGTGGGAGTTGGGGTGAGAATGAACAGCATTGTGGGGCCCCATTTACTCGGCGAATGCCTGAATCACCACAGTTGTTTCCGAAGTCCAGGAGGATGAAAGCATGCAGGTCAAGCCTTCACTAAGCCAGATGCCCATGGAGCAGCAGAGGGGTGTGGGGAGTTGCCATGGCAACCGGACCTGGCAGAAACTTCACAGTGGGACTCAAATCAAGGTAACTTCCTAAGAGTTCCTGGCTCAGGGAGGTGAGCATAGCATTTAGTAAGTAAGGGTTGTAGACAGCCCTGAGGTGGAAACTATCTCTCCCATAATACTCACACCCTCCCAAAGCAGGCTTCTTACTGCACTGCTGTTGTAAGATGCAGAGACAGAAAAGGGAACCTCCACTTGCTGAGTGATTACTATGATCCAGGCACTGTGCCTAGCACTTATCCTTCTTTCCATCCATCCATTCATTTACGAATCCAGCCGATTTTTATTGAACATCAAGTCTTTTGAGGCACACTGGTCTGGGCATGGGGAAAATAATACTAAACAAAACAGCGAAAGCCCTTGAAGCTTACATGTTAGTGGCAAAGAATTATCTCATTGAATCCTCTCAGCTAAGTGTCTCCATCATTTCCATTTTACAGAGAGTAGAAGTGTAGAGCAATTAAATGACTTGTGTAAGGATCACCCAATTTTGTATGTTACAGAGATTGGATGAGAACTAGTCCTGTTCCAGCCTTTCCCCTGTATCACTACAACTTCCCACTTTATCATGGAATAAGGTCCCAGGATACCCTCATGTAGAAAGTGTGGCCTTTGGGGTCAGGCATATCTATGTTCAAATCCTGGCTTACCCACAAAATCTCTGTGTGACACTAGCCAACTGATCCATAAGTCTAATAAGAAAAAAATATTTCCATCTGAAAAATGGGAACAGTGGTCTTTTTTCAGAGCTGATGTGAGGACAGAATAAGATATCCCATGTAATTAGCAAAAAAAAAAAAAAAAAGAGCTAAATAAATTAAATGATAGCTGCAGATCATATTGCCTGAGTATTTTTTTTTTTCCAGAAGGCTGAGGTCACAGTTCTCCCTGATTCACATCCCCATTTGCAGTTCCTTCCCCATTACTTGCAGGGGAATAAGCTGTGCTGTAGGAATAGCATTCCACCCGGGCATATTGATTGCTGGGACTGGAGAAAATTAATAATCTAATTTTCCTTCCATTTTCCCTCCCTCTTACACCTCAGCTCCTCTCATGGCAGCAGAGAATGGCATAAAATGCATTGCTTAAGAAATTCGACCGGAAATAACTCAGTGTTGTTGATCCACACATTGCCTATAATTTGGGGTTTGATTGATTCTTGCTTTGGAAATGCCAGGTTGAGAGGAGAAAATGAAATTTAAGTTAAATTTGGAATTGAATCAATCACATTTTATAATGAAAAAATAGATCTAACCCCATCAGACCCTTGTGTGTGGAAAACTTAAAGCTGGTACACTCCCATTGACTTCCTCCTGAGATCCCCAAAGCATGAGAGACCAGGTCCTAGGCTGAGAAGTAATTTATTTCTTAGAGTGGCAAATGGTGTTGTGGTGGGGGAAAGGGATTCTAGAAACTGGAGACATTAGGGTGAAGAAGCCCAGCAGGTAGAAAGGCCACTTAGGATGGGGAAAGAGGCTGGGCTTTTGTATGTATGTATGTATGTATGTATGTACGTACGTACGTATGTATGTATGTATGTATGTATGTATGTATGTAGTCTCACTCTGTCACCCAGGCTGGAGTGCAGTGGTGTGATCTTGGCTCACTGCAACCTCTGCCTCCCAGGTTCAAGCAATTCTCCTGTCTCAGCCTCCCAAGTGGCTGGGACTATAGGCAAACGCCACCACACCTGGCTAATTTTTGTATTTTTAGTAGAGGCAGGGTTTCACCATGTTGGCCAGGCTAGTCTTGAACTCCTGACCTCAGGTGATCTGCCTGCCTCAGCCTCCCAATGTGCTAGGATTATAGGCATGAGCCACCGTGCCCGGACTGAGCTTTGGTTTTAGATGTGGATATCTAAATCCAAAGTCTTCCATTTGATACCTGCCTAAGTTCTGGCAAGTGATGTAAGCTCTCAGAGCTTCAGTTTTCCTAATCTAAAAAAGGGTAGTGATAATCCCTAACTGATAAAGAAGCTGTGTGTTTTAAATAGGAGATCATAATTACAGCACTAAGCACCATGTCTGACATATACTTAGGGCTCTGTAAGCTCTCAATATATTTCCTTCCATCTCATTTCCTTTAAACCTCCCTTTCTAATACTTGGCACCTACATGGGCATCAGCAGGATATGTGATACTGTTGCTCATGCTGAAATCCTAACTTTCACACTTAGCTGCTGGCCCCCGTGGACAAGTCATGTCACATCTGAGACTCAATGCCTTTAATTGGGAATTAGTTCATCCAATAAATAGCTATTTAAGGTGCAAGTACTGTATGCCAGACCTCATATTTTATGCTCTCCTATTTCCAGTGCCTATAGCATGCCTGAATATAGTAGGTGCTCAATAAACATCTATTGAATGAATGAATGAGTGAATGCTTAAATGTTGTTTCCCTTTCTACCAACAGATGTCAGTATTGGAATGCTGCTATTGGTATTTTTTTCTAGCAAACTGATTCACTCACTTTTCCTGGCAAGGTTTGGTTCCTGCCTGGTCAGAAATCATACAAAAACACCCTTGCAGAGGCCGCCAATCTGCCTGCATATCAGGGTGACCACTGTAGATTGCTGAGTGCCTCATTAACCTCACTGAGTGCCCCATGGGATTCCCACAGCACCTGAGCTCTGGTGTCTCTGCTTCTCTGCCATATTTCTGGAAACTGAAATTGGGACACGTCATCTGACAAGTGCAAGTGTCATACTGGAGGCAGAAAGAAAGAATATTTTAAACTGGGGCTTTCTCAGAAACTGTAGGGTATATGGCCCCATATCCTCAGCGTGTCTCTTATATCAGGGGTTTCCATGCACTGCTTTAGTGTGATGTCTCAATATGGGACATATTTTCCTTTATCTTGCACACCTTGGTCCTTGTCTCTCCCCATTTCTCCCTCTCTATCTTTGTCATGAACTAATCTCTTGTGCTGTCTGACTACGGCACTCTCAAATCTATGGTATCCTTTAAATGATATGTTATTTCCCCAATATCTTATCATCTATAGATTTGTCCTTAATAAGATCTAGGCAAGTGTTCATCCACTCTTATTTTCATACTTCCAGAGAAAGAAAACTCAACCCCTACTAAGCATCAGTTCTATTCTCAGATAGTTTAATGTCTAAACAGCCTTTGAATCTCACTCTATGAGTGAACTTCTGCTGTCCAAATTAAATAGGATATATTTAATATCTCCTTCCCAGGGCAGCTATTTTGTTAAAGGTGGAAATTAGGTTGCCTTGAGCTTTCTTTCTTCAAACCAAACACTAATAACTTTATTTTGTTTCTCTAAAGTCATATTTTGAGTCCTTTTATTGTACTTTGTATAGATTTGTTTTGCTTAAGATTACTTTCTTAGTAAAGGATGCCATAATAATAATTGTTATTATTATTATCATCATCATCACTACCACTATCACTAGTAACATAGCCACTAACTTAGGTGCCAGACAATAGAACTAAATTTTTGCATGCAGTATCTCATCTAATCTTTACAGAAACTTCATGATATTGTTTCTACTATCACTCACATTTTTCGCTATGAGGAAACTGAGGCCATCACTTGCCAAAGAACATGCAGCTTAAAGGTAATAGGGCTGAAATGAAAAACCATTTGATGTCAGGGTCCAAGCTCTTAACCATCATCCTTCACAATATCTCTATCAACCTGCTAGATGTAGCCTGGGCAGAGCAGAAGCAACAAATTTAACTGCTGAGCTGCTATCCGACTTTAGCTTGCCCTGTGGACCTGTGATGACTCTAGGTGAATTTGTGGTGGCCTCATTGTCCCACCTGATACCGACCACATGTCTTCAAGAGAACCTCTCCCCATCACAAGGACAAAGTTTAAAATGATGGAAGAAAATGAGAAGGGCTGTCGCTCCTCCTTTCTCAGCCCCAGAAAATACTATGGGCCTGAAGCAGCTCACTGTGCTACTTGGAGCCAAATGATTATTGACAAAGCCACTGGGGAACACCTTTGGCTAGCTCTGGTCCTGGGACAAAGACCGTTTCTATAGTGCAGGCCTAGATTGTGGCTGCCTGGTGAAGTTAAAGCCACTGGCAGCTGACATGGAATGGGGCTACAAACGGCTGGCTATTTGAATTTCTCTGTGGCAACTGCAGGTAGCTGGGCTTGCAAGTGCAAAGGTCACTACAAGGTGTTGACAATGGTGTTAGAGATGAAGATGATAGAGATGGTACCGTATTATTTTAGCTTTTATTAGGTTACAGATTATTCTCAAATATCTCATTACCTCTTCAAAATCCTATGTAGTTGGCATTGCTGTTATCCCCAATAGACAAATGAGAAGTGACAGTCTTAAAGGTGAACTCATGTTCAAACAACAGAAGAATAATGGGCCTATAAGCCATGTCTCCTGACACACAGCTGAGTGATCTTTTCATGTCACTATGTTGCTAGTGTGCAGCCTAAGTCCCACTAGCTGGATATGAAAACAGAAATAGAATCTGTGCGCTCTGATTCTTCATCCATTGCTTTTTTTTTTTTTTTTTGAGACGGAGTCTTGCTCTGTTGCCCTGGCTGGAGTGGAGTGCAATGGTGCAATCTCAGCACACTGCAACCTCTACCTCCCAGGCTCAAGTGATTCTCCTCCCTCAGCCTCCTGAGTAGCTGGGATTATAGGCATGCGCCACTGTGCACAGTTAATTTTTATATTTTTAGTAGAGGCAGAGTTTCACCATGTTGCACAGGATGGTTATTGCTCTTATAAATGTATCCAAATGCCTCAAAGAGCTAGTGTAGTATTTCCCACAAAACCAGATGTATCTTGAAAAGAAAATATTTCTATGTTCACAAAATTTTGAGACATGCTATATTCTGCATGTCCCTCTTAAAGCACCCAAGTATATATCTGGTATTAAAATCCCTAAAAGTCTTTGCATTACATTCTGTTTAACAGGATTCAGCCGAATGTTTCCCTAAAGTATTAAGACATTGCAGAACCACCATTCTGTGGAACAAGGTACGGAAAAAACGATCTAGTTTAATAATTTATACAAAGGTTGTAAATAATATTAGCAGAGCCCAATAATCAACTGGTGCCCTTATGCCAGGCACTGTGTTAAAGATTGTATGTACATTATCCTATTTAAACTTCTCAACTACCTTGTAAGGCAGGGGTTACCCTTCATTTACAAATAGGAAAACCAGATTTAACTGGTCACTGGGAAGAGGAAGAGGAAGGTTTTCATGGTCAGTCTGGTCTGAAACCAATGTCTGTATCCTTCTTCTTCCCAAGTGTTAGAAGAAAATAGAATTTTAAAGTCACAGAGAATACATGCAAGAATGAAAAAGGTAGGCACAACAGATCAGTTCAGGAGGCTAAAGACTATTCAACGTATATTTAGCAGGCTGACGAAATGCATTAGTGGAAGGAAAAAGATGCTGTACTCAATAGATTAAATTGCAGTGTGTAGATGAGAAATAGTAGAGAAGATAATTCAAAGATCTAAAGCTCTAGAATGGCTCAGAAATAAATGAGAAAGAAGGAGAAAGGAAAGGTGGTGGGGGGTTTCTGATTCATAGGTGACTATCAATCGACTGGTGCTGACTTACCCAAAATGTTAATTTTTAAGATACTGTTGTCTGATACCCATATTAGCCCTGTTAGTCTACAGGCTGTTTAGATGCACCACCACATTCAGCCCACACCACCGATGAATTGGAGGGTGGCAAAGAAGAGCTAAGGCCAAGCAGTGAGTGCTGAGGAACAGAGCAAAAGAGCAGCCACAGTTTCCATGGCTACCAAGGACGATCAGGACCAGTCACCTCCCATTTCCATGAAAGGTTCATTTCTAGCTCCTTTGAAAGTCCCTGTTCCATTATCTTGGAAGATGTCAGTGGACTTTGGCCCACACTTTGTGAAAATAGGAGCAGGAGAATAACATTGATTGTGTATTTAGTATTTACTAGGCCTCCTGTGATGGCCTAGTAAATACTGAATACACAACCAACGTTATTCCCCTACTCCTGCTTCCTCCCCTGCTCCCAGCTTCCATGACAATGTTCCTTTACCTACAGAACTTCCTTTATCCCAAAAGCCCACCGTAAGCACCAGGCAAAGCTGTCCTTACTTGACATTGGGGGAAATGGAAGATCAAAGGGTTTAATTGACTAGTAAGGAACAGAGCTAGAATATGAACAGAGCTAGAATATGAACCGAGACCTATTGATACTCAAAGTTCTTTAAAAGCTTCCTCAGCTGATCCTGACCCTGTGAATGTATGGTGTCTAATGGTGGTCACACTGCTTCTAAAAATAGGGGGCATTTTCACATCTCTGTGCTCCCTCCTCCTCACCTCTTTTTCCTGACAGTGACACTGTGTCATATTCCTAAGAAACAATAGAAATGAGGCTTTTCCTGATGGCCCACAAACCCCCTACTGCAGTTAGATTTGCCTGTCTCTTTCCTTGTGACAGGTCATATGCATTCCCCTCCCCCATATGTTGTCCTTTCTACTTTTCCAACATATCTAAGCAGACCAACTTTCAAGATCAAAGAGAACTCCCATCTCATAGAAGTCTGCCTTCACCATTGCAACTCACAAGAACCCATTATTTCTCTTAACCCTATCTCATATATTTTCTGTTCTAATTTGAGCCACAAGACCTCAGAATGGCAAGGAACTAAAAGAGATTTAACTACAACAAGTCACACAATGCATTGTTGTGTGACTGACTCCCTCTATAATCATTCAGCCTGCATTTGAGTGTCACCTAAACTTGGAGCTTATTAACTAAAAAAAAAATGATGATGATAACCCTTTCTCTTTTTTTGAGCACTTACTATGCCGGATACATTGTGCTAAATATTTTACAGATATTATTTTATTTGATTAATCATAAAAGCTTGCTAGTTCCTAGTTTTGCAAATCAAAAAAATTGACTCTAACTCAGAGTTAGAAAGCTATTGAGAGGCAAACCAGGATTCAAATCCAGATCTAGATATCAGAGCTCCTAACAGTATTACTATGTAGTCTCTCTTCCCTGGTAGCAATCAGCATAAGAACTACATCAATGCCAAAAGAAAATCTATTCCTACAACTATAACCAGCTGAACATATTCCTGTCCTCAAGAGTTCTAAAAACTGGCCCCCACCCCTTCTCTCCAAGGTACCCCTTTGGTTCTAAAAATGGAAAATATGTTGCCCATCATTCTTTTATTTCAAAGACAGATTCTGTCATTTGACTCTCACATGAGGAAAATAGACACAGAGCCAGGAAAAACGGAGCTGGAAGAACCCCTTTTGATTAGTTGGCCTAATCCACCATGCTGAAGGTTAGGAAGAGGGCAGGAGGACAGCCACGTTCACAGTCAGATTGCCCAGAGCCAGTCCTGGGTTCCATCTACCCCAGCTTCCATGACAATGTTCACCATTTGGGGTAGTTGTTGCTGTTTTTGTTGTTTCCTACCTTAACCAATACCTCCTGGAAAAAAGAGGTATTGGTATAAAAATAAACCATACCCAAACATTCCCACAACATGACCTTAATAAGCTGGTGCACAGTAGATTATGGCAGAGGAAAGAAAATTGACTTTAGAATTAGAGAAACTTAGGTTCAAATCTCAGCTCTGTCATGCTTTGGTTGACCTTCAGTAAGTCCCATTTTCTTCATCTGTAAAATGGGAATAACATCTACTCCACAGCATCATTAGAAAGATTAAATAGTGGCTGGGCATGGTGGCTCATGCCTGTAATCCCAGCACTTTGGGAGGCTGAGGTGGGCGGATCATGAGGTCAGGAGATTGAGACCGTCCTGGCTAACGTGGTGAAACCCCGTCTTTACTAAAAATACAAAAAATTAGCCAGGCGTGGTGGTGGGCACCTGTAGTCCCAGCCTCTCAGGAGCCTGAGGCAGGAGAATGGTGTGAACCCAGGAGGCGGAGCTTGCAGTGAGCTATCACACCACTGCACTCCAGCCTGGGCGAGAGAGAGACTCCATCTTAAAAAAAAAAAAAAAAAGAAAGAAAGATTAAATAATTAAATAGCATGACATGCACTGCATAGCAGAAGCTCAGTGAATAGTAAATTTCATCGTCATCATCATCAACAAATTTAAGACCAATACATATAAATTCTGTTGTTTGCACTCAAGAGACCACTTATAAAAACTCAGGATGGGTCAGAAATAGGAGACAGACCATGTAGACTGGAGGATAGTGAGTTTACAGTAAGGAAAGGTCCAAACACATGCAGAGCACCTACTATATGCGAAGCCTCTGCTGGGTTTTTGCACCTGTTATTTACATTGTTTCTCATAGCAACCTTTAGGTCTTCATTTTATAAATCAGAAAACCAGCTCAGGGAAGAGAAGTGCTTTGCTCAAGGTCATACGCCTAGTAAGCTGTAGAGCTGGTCATGCGATTCAAAACTGTGTGATGTTCTAAACAGAATATAGACAGGTGGACCATGTTCCAAAGAGAATAACCAGGATTGGACTGGATATCATGCCAGGAGAGGACACCAGATGAAGGATTTGGGGATTTTAGCTTTGAAGCAAGAAAGGCTCAGTCAGAGAGGCCTCTTGATAGGGTTGTCTTCAAAGACATCCAAATATAGAAAGAGAAAAAGGAAACACATATTCTATATGAGAAGCTATTGTGAACCAAGCCTCAAAACCTAGGCACTTGATGTGCACTGTTTCACTTGCTCCTTAAAACAATCCTCTGTGTAGGTAGTGGATTGTGCATGGTGACTCAAGCCTGCAATCCCAGTGCTTTGTGAGGCCGAGGCAGGAAGATTGTTAGAGGTCAGGAGTTTGAGACTAGCCTGGGCAACATAGCAAGACCCCATCTCTACATAAAACTTAAAAACTAGCTGGATGTGGTTGTGCATACCTGCAGTCCCAGGTACTCAAGAGGCTGAGGTAGGAAGATCGCTTGAGCCCAGGAGTTTGAGGCTGCAGTACGCTATGATCGTGCCACTGTACTCCAGCCTGGGTGATAGAGAGAGACCCTGTCTCTTGAAAAAAAAACTAATGATCTTCTGGGGGTAAATAGCATTATGCTCATTTTAGAAATGAGAAAAATGAAGCCTGGGGAGATCAGACACTTGGTTCAAGTTGCACAAGCCATCAGGAGCACTGGATTCAAGCCAGGTCTGTTTCACCCCAGCAACATCCTGGCTCTTCTCAGTTCTCACTGGAGTTTGTTGACCATCAAGGGCCCTTGCAGGTTTAAGCAACTCTAAGGAGGTCTGGCCTAAGGAAGCGGGACCCAAGGTTCTTGCTCAGCACCCAAACCCTCATTCTGGTAAAGAAAAGAATTGGGGCCTTGCAGGCCAAAGAAGACTCTGTCCTTTCCTGGATGTAGAGGTTCAGCTGCAAACCACCTGGAGATTTTATTAGAATAAACACACCCATCTCCAGATCCTTAAATCAAGGGGTCTTTTGTTTTTATTTTTTATTTTTGCTTTCTGATCTATTGCCTACTCTTCAGACCACTAACATTTTAGCAAAACCATGTATGCATTGTGTTTAAATAGTCATCTGGAGATAAATAGCTTTGCCTTTAGTGGGGGAATATAAGAGAGGATAAAAAAAGAAAAAAAAAAAACAAAAGAGGAGAAAATGTTCTGTGAAGCCTTTTTGCTCAAACACATTTCCACATGGAAATCTCTACCCATTTCAGGCTGACACTCTGGTCTAAACCTTTCAAGCCTGCTGGTTTAAATATGTCACTTCCAAAAGAACAATGGCAGTCTTAGCCCAAGGGCCATTCTAGACCCACTTTCTGTCTTGGTTTTTAGTGTCAAGGAAGTGCCTGAAGGCTGTGCTAAGAGGACTATCTATTCTGGGAGTCTGAAGCCCAAACTTGAATATAGGCTCTGCCATTACTCACTGTGCCACCTGGAGCAAATCCCTTCCCCTGGCTGGACTTCTGTCCCCTGTTCATCATAGGAAGAAATCCATTCATTCAACAAATATATATTAAGGACCCACTCTGCTGTGAGCTAGGGATACAGAGCTCAGAGCCATTAAATGTTTCAATGTCCAGTGAGGTAGTGGGCCAATAAACAGAGGTAGCAGAGATCAGTGCAGAGCAGCAAATCCTTAATCCAGATTCAGGGGTCATAGAATGATTACCAAGAGCTGAAGCTTGTAATGTGTGTAAGAGTTAGCTGATGGGAAAAATGGGGAATGTGCAGTTCAGCAGAAGGAAACAGCAGGGCACTGTACATAGACTGGAGTGGTGGGAATTTCAGGTACATGCTGTGCAGTGTGGGCAGAAGAAGCCAGAGAGATAGGCAGGGAACAGCTCATAAAATGTCGTAGTTCATTGCAAGGAAAGTGGACTTTCTCCTAGATCAGTGGTCCCCAACCTTTTTGGCACCAGGGATCAGTTTCATGGAACACAATTTTTCCATGGACTGCAGGAGGTGGGGGAGTATGATTTCAGAATGAAACTGTTCCACCTCAGATCAAGTATTAGTTAGATTGTCATAAGGAGCACAACCTAGACCCCTTGCATGCACAGGTTACAATAGGGTTGGTGCTCCTATGAGAATCTAACGCTGCAGCTGATCTGAAAAGAGGCGGAGCTTAGGCTGTATTGCTCACTTGCCCACCGCTCACCTTCTGCTATGTGGCCAGGTTCCTAACAGGCTGCTGACCAGTACCAGTCTGCAGCCTGGGGGACCCCTGTCCTAGATGATATCTCCAGTCCTTTCAGGCCAGCTCTGCCAGCACTGTGCAAACCTGAAACACATCTTCATTCATTTACTTTGACAACAAAAATGTAAGTAAGTACCTAAAAGTGCCAGACATTGTGTTGGGTGCTGGGGATATAGCAGGTACTTCATAATCCCAAAGCGTGAACCATTAGGTATATCAAGATCTGAAGACTGGGCCAGGTGTAGAGGCTCATGCCTGTAATCCCAACACTTTGGGAGGCCGAGGTGAGAGGACCACTTGAGCCCAGGAATTTGAGATCAACCTGAGCAACATAGTAACACACATATTTTATTTAACATGCAGAATATATTTAGTCTCTATATTTAAAAAACATAAAAAAAGATCTGAAGACCTATGAAGGATGAGATCTACAATATCTACCTCCAGAATGGAGGACAAAGAAAGAAATCTCGTTGAGCAAAGGCAATCTATAAGAATATCAGAGGATATTTACACGAGAGGAGGCTGAAGAACATCCTGGCTAGAATTAGAGAACATGAAACCTGGTGATAAATCAGTCTTCGAGTACATGGACGTGAACGAGCACATGTCACCTGAAATGAAAGAAGGATTAGATTTGGAGAAAAGGAAAGAGGGCAAGGGGACTGAGGGAGGTAGTTTCCAAATTGTTCCCAATGGTCTTTGCTTCCTGGTATCCTTGTCCTTGTGTAAACCCTAGTGACTTGCATATATCCAATGCAAGAAGGTAAATGTTATGCAATGCCACTTCCAAGGTTAGGTTATGAAAGACTGACTTCCATTTAGCTCACACTCTCTTTGGCTCTTTTTACTTTCTTGCTCTGGTGAAGCCAAATGCCATGTTGAGAGTGGCCCTATGGCCCACATGAGAAGAGCTGAGGATGGCCTCTGGCTCACGGCTCTCAAGGAACAAAATCCTGACAACAACCATGTAAGTAAGCTGGGAACAGATCCCTCCCCAGTTGAAGCTTGAGGTGATTGCAGCTCTGGTTGACAACTTCACTGCAGTCTCCTTCGAAGCCCTGAGCTGGGGGACTGATGATATTGTGCCTGATCCCTGCCCCACAGAAACTGTTAGATAATGAATGTTTGTTGTTTTAAATTCCAATTTGAGGGTGATTTCTTACACAGCAATAGATAACTACTACCAGTACCTACTTAAATGGATAGCTGAAAGAGGCTGATGAGCCTCCATTCCTAGCAGGATATCAGAAACCTTCAAGTTTAGAAGAGACTTCCATTCATCTAGAAAACATTTCCCACACACATGGTATGTGCCAGACCCTGGGCAACTCATAGAACTTGCAAAAGAGCCAGGCACAGCTCTGCCTTGAAGGAGCCACAGAGAGACAAGTGAGAAGGTCAGGTGGAGACATCATAATTACACTGTGTCAGGATACATGCTTGGCTATTTTACTGAAGACTTCACAAGCTTATTAAGAGCTGAGAGAAAAGAGCCACTGAAGTTTGCTTAATGAAATCCAGGTCAGCTTCACACAGGAGGCAGCAGGCAAGCTGATTCCTTGTTATCTTTACCAAGGCACCTCTCCCTGGAAGCCCCTATGTTCACACATCAACCCTGGAAGTTGGTGAAATGAAAGGCTTGTGAGCTCTACAATCAGACAAATAAAGTTTGAAACTCAGCTCAATAATTTCTTAACACTGTGAATTTAGGAAGTCAATAAGAAGGAACAGCTAAGAACATGATTAGAGTCGCACAGGGCTAAGAGTAAGCAACAGAGCTATCCATTACTAGTTGAGAATGCTGATACAAGGAATCACGTCTTTCAAAGCCTCATATCCCCATATGTAAAACAGAACTAATAAAATATTGACTTCACAAGATTACTTAAGTTAAAGCAAGAAGTTTTTAACATAGTGGATGATAATAAGAAAGGCTTGATAATTATCAGCTCTTTTTGTTGGAACAGTTACTTAATTTCTTTATGCATGTAAAGCCTTTTAGTATATTGCTTAATATAGAGTTCTCAGTGACTGTTAGTTGCTATGATTATTAACAGCAGAGACCATAGACCCAGTGAATTATCATGGTTCCTCCTAGCCTAAGGGCTGGCCAGCAATGATACATCTAAGTTATATATCCCTGTGCATTTATAAAAATGCTTCCTACCCCACCCCCAGGGACTCTCAGCTCCTTGCGCTGAAATGGAAGGCCACAGATTATTTCTGCAGCAGGAGCTGTGCCAAGGCATCATTAAGGTAGAGATGACAGAGACAGGGTAGTGGTGGTTCCCTAAGTAACTATAACTCAGGTGCTACACACACCTGGCGCTTCCTGCATATGCTGTTAAATTTATGGGACAGCAATAATAGTAACAACATTAGCACAAATTTATTTGTAAAATGCCCACACCTGAACAGCTTGAAGAGCTAAAATAGAAACCCTACTAAATTTTATAGAAATCTATGTATATATGTGAAGATGTGAAGATGTGTGTAAGTGTATAAGAATTGAGATCAGGATGTAGCTGTGCTTAGAGTAGAAGTAACAGCAGCCCTGGGAATCATAACTATGATTTTCTTCTTCCATTTCGATCATCGACTAGACCAGTATTATTAGCCATGTTGCTGCCTTCTTGGTTTTCCAGTAGTCAGCAGCTCGAGGCAAGAAAAAGTGCCATTGCAAAAGCCAGCAGGATTCAAATTCCCAAATTTATCAGTCTCTGGTTACACGAACTTAGGCTGGTCATTTCTGTTTTTGTAGTATCAGGTTCCTCCAAAGATAAAATAGGCATAACTATAACTTAGTCCTACTCCATGTCTAGTGTGGAAGAGAGGCACTCCCTCCCACCTCTCTTTCTTCATAAAGGGCAAAACATATGAAAGTATGTTGTTTTTATAGTCTAATTTCCCAGTTGATTATTTGTAAAGTTTATTTAGCAAAGTATTATAACCAGGTAGAGAGGGATACAGAACTTGCCCCCCTGCCATGTTACTCCACGTTCCTCAGGGGCATGGACCCTTATTATTTTCTCTAACACCAAACCTGGTATTGAGTATCAGCTAAATTAATATTTGATAAAAGAATAAATGGATAAATGAATGAATGGACAGAGGCTTTAACCAATTCCTTATTTGAGAAAAAGGGAACAGGCTTCATGGGATCATCCTAAGGCAGGAAAATAAAATCCAGTCATTACCTTCTCAGTGCAGAGAACAAGATGGGCAAGAGTTTCAGCTGAAGTATTCCCTTGTTTCACAATAAAAATAATGACAGCTACCATATTTAAGCACTTACTCTGCCCTGAGCCCTGGATTAAGTCCTTTGCAGGGAATATTATCATTTCATATTTACATCAAACCTATGGAGTTATAGTTACTATGCCCATTTTACAGAGGAGAAACTTAAGTTAATATAAATGAAATTTGTGTCTGTTATCACACAACTAATAAAATTTTAACCCAAGATATCTGACCCCAAGGTATAGCCTCTGAAACTGTATCTATACTGCCTCCTAGGTGACTGCAGAGATGCATCTTTCTGAGCATTGGAGACTTCCAGATGTAACAGAAATTGAGCCAGATACTGCTAGGCACAGGGAGCTGAAACAGAAACAGACATGGACGCCATCCTCATGAAGTTTCCAGTCTGGTGGGGATGGGAGATCAGACATGAAAATGCTAGTGTACAGAAGAATAGGGGGACATGAGTGAGTATACCAGAAAGACCTTTTTCAGAAAGGGGCATTTAAGCCCTGTCCTGGTGGGAGAAAGGATATTCCAATGTAAAATGCACTGAAAAAGGCAGTGAGTGACATGAGATGGGGCTGGAGAGGTAAGCAAAGGCATGCAAAACGTTGAAGGCCAGTTAATGAGTTTGATCTTAATTATGAAAGAGCAGAGAAATCAGTGAAGGTGGCATAATGAGGCAACGTGTTATAATGCCCGGTCTATCTGCTAAGGGAGAAGGGTATCCTGCCAGAGTGATGGTAAGGAACAAGGAGTCATGGCTTGAATAGTGGTGACACTGGGGATGGAGAGAGTCATCAAATGCAGAGTACAGTTGGGGATGGAATTGCTGGACTTGTGATGAATCAGATCTTCTAGGAAGTAGAAAAGGGAGAGGATAGGTGGTGTCTTGACATCTGTATCCAAACTTTACTCCCAGACAGAATGTCTTCAACAGGTCATCTTACTGCCATGGGGAAGTACAGATAAAAACACAGAATAGGCCAGGCGTGGTGGCTCATGCCTGTAATCCCAGCACTTTGGGAGGCCAAGGTGGGCGAATCACGAGGTCAGGAGTTCGAGAGCAGCCTGACCAACATGGTGAAACCCCATCTCTACTAAAAATACAAAAAATTAGCTGGGCATGGTGATGCACGCCTGTAATCCCAGCTACTAAGTAGGCTGAGGCAGGATAATTGCTTGAACCTGGGAGGTGGAGGTTGCAGTGAGCCGAGATCATGCCACTGCACTCCAGCTTGGGTGACAAAGAGAGATTATGTTTTTTTATTATTACTATTAAAAAAACAAACAAACAAAAACCCCACCACCACCACCAACAAAAAAACACAGACTAACCTAGTAAGATAATTTTGTGTCCTTCTTAATTCAGGGCTGAAGACAGTATTTCCCATTCTTCACTCCAGTTTTGATTAGTCATTATCATTCAATTGTTTACTTATTCTCTAATCAACAAATACTTATAAAGTTTCCATATTTCCTGTATGGGCCAAACTGGGCATTGGAGATACAGGGAAAGACAAGACCGCAATTCCTAAGTGATGCATCCTGGTTTATCTTTGGGATGGGAACAGTGGTTTCCTAGAACTGACTCCAGCTGGCTCACAAGATCCAATTGTTAAATATTTAGGGATGTTGCATGGCAGTTGTTAAATGCAGTGGCTTGAAATTAGACGTGATAGGTCAGGCGTGGTGGCTCATGCCTGTAATCCCAGCACTTTGCGAGGCCAAGGCGAGCAGATGGCTTGAGGACAGAAGTTTGAGACCAGCCTGGCTAACATGGTGAAACCCCATCTCTACTAAAAATACAAAAATTAGCCAGGCATGGTGGTGTGCACTTGCAGTTCCAGCTACCTGGGAGGCTGAGGCACAAGAATTGCTTGAACCTGGGAGGTGGAGTTTACAGTGGGCCAAGATTGTGCCACTGCACTCCAACCTGGGCAAAAGAGCAAGACTCTGTCAAAAAAGAAAAAAGAAAGAAAGAAAGAAAGAAAGAGAGAAAGAAAGAAAGAAAGAAAGAAAGAAAGAAAGAAAGAAAGAAAGAAAGAAAGAAAGAAAGAAAGAAGGAAAGGAAGGAAGGAAGGAAGAGAGAGAGAGAAAGAAAGAAAGAAAGGAAGGAAGGAAGGAAGGAAGGAAGGAATGAAAGAAAGAAAGAAAGAAAGAAAGGAAGGAAGGAAGGAAGGAAGGAAAGAAAGAAAGAAAGAAAAAGAAAGAAAGAGGGAGGGAGGGAAAGAAGGCAGGAAGGAAGGAAGGAAGGAAGGGCGGGCCAGGGGCAGTGGCTCACACCTGTAATCTCAGCACTTTGGGAGGCTGAGGTGGGCGGATCACGAGGTCAGGAGATCGAGATCATCCTGGCTAACATGGTGAAACCCCGTCTCCACTAAAAATACAAAAAAAATTAGCCGGGTGTGATGGCAGGCACCTGTAGTCCCAGCTACTCGGGAGGCTGAGGCAGAAGAATAGCATGAACCCAGGAGGTGGAGCTTGCAGTGAGCCAAGATTGTGCCACTGCACTCCAGACTGGGTGACAGAGCGAGAGTCCGTCAAAAAGAAAGGGAAAAGAAAAGAAAAAAAAGAAAGAAAAAATAAAGTAGACACGATAGAATTTACACTAGGAAAATTGGCAAATACTACAAATCAGGTTTTTTGTTTTGTTTTTCAGAGTCAGTTTACCAGCATACCACTGGGTTGGAATCATGGGGCTGAAAGCCTAATGGTTTGTCTTCCAAGTTCAAGGAAGGCAGAAATACAAACAGAAAGTTAGGTCACAGTTACAAACTATACACCAGTCTTTTATTTATTTATTTATTTATTTATTTATTTATTTATTTATTTATTTTAAAGAATGCCAAGAATTGCAGGGGCAGGTTGTAGACTTTGGAGTCAGACAGATCTGGGTTTGTATCCTGTGGCCAGCACTCAATGATGATCCAAATTGGGCAATTCACTTTACCATTCTTATCCTAATTTTTTTGCCTTTGACATGGAGATAATGTTTACAAATCATGATGTAAGTGCTTTGCACAGTGCCTATTATTAATGTTGCTCTTTTTTTCCTCCATTTTTTTTAATGGAAAGATATGCCTTCAAAAATCTGCTTTGCTGATGTGTAGTTCAGTTTTATTATATCAAACTTTTACATAGGCTCATCAGGAAGAGGACTCCTGTCTGTTTCCAGGTGCTCTTTTAGCACACAGATAATTTAGACTCATCTTTAAACGTCCAGCTTAAGCCCTCAACACGTGGGAGGGAGTCAAATCCTGAAGTTAGTGGGAGGCCATAAATCGTGTATAACAAATGCACAATATCTTTGTTATACAAGTTATTAATGTCAGTCTGGGCTGTGGCCTGTTTACATTCTCTGAACAAGGAGATAAATCATCACCCTTGAACTTTCAATGGGAGACTGAAGAGGGAGAGAAGGCTCTCAATTCAGTTCTTCAAAGACTTTCTAATCCTCATACAAGGAGAGAAGGAGGAAGAAAAGGGGAGAGTTGGAAAAAAATCAAGAAAGGAAGAGAGGAGGGAAGGAAATACTTGGAAACCTACCATATGCCACATAGTATAGTCATTTGTTGCCCACATTATTTTGTTTAAACCTCATTACAACACTGTCCATACTTCTACAGATCAAGATAAGGTGCTCAAGGAAACTGAGTTACCTGCCCAAGGCCATATAGCTGGTAAGTGGTGGAGCTGGGATCTCACGCAAGGTTTGAATTTGAAGGATGGGTCTTCTCCTGTACCACACGATGAATTATGTACAACGAGGGGCATGACTTTATTTGAGGGGCCAACTCCAGCAGGATTGGCCCTAAATTGAGGCAGCCAAGTGGGCCGGCCTGCCCTCAACACTGTAACCATGGATTTATCAAGGTCAGCCACCTCAGCCAAACTACCTGATCCAGTCACCATTAGAGGATCTTCTCACCTCACACAAGAATAGGGCCACAACTATCTCTAGACAGCCACCACTCACAACACTTAGGACCTAAAAAGGAGCTTTTTCCCCCAATAGCCCCTTAACCTTATTGAGCAAGTGCAACTTTCTGTTGCTCCCTGGCTCAGAATTCCCTATGAGACATGTTAAAAATACAGTGCTTTGGGCCCTGTGTAAGACCTACTGAACAGGAATCTCTGGGAGTGGGGTTTAGAAATCTGATTTTTAAACATTTTTTTTCCTGGAAATGTTAACTATTATTCCTGCAGATGGAGAATCAGAGAAAGGTTTTTTAAAAACCACAGTGATAATCCATGCATTCAATACAATCTGCAACAAGCCCTTAGCCATGCCCTTGAGTGCCTATGGGTGCTGATGCCTTCAGAGCAATGGTAATGGTGTAAGTGAGTGTGTGTACACACTCATGTATGTGTGCACTTTTCTAGCATACTATATAGAAATACAGAAGACATTTCTTTAAAATTAAGTGTAAAGCACATATTTATGTCTAGTGAAAGGAATACTGTTCATATTTCTTATATATAGCAGGTTAATTAGGCTTGTAGATAAGACTAGAAACTTATTCATAACCATATCAATACGCAGGAAGACTAAGGATACAGAAAACTTTTTAAGGGGCTAGCCTTGGCTCCAGACTACCACTTTTACTGTTGCCATACCTCCACCAGAGCAGAGATTAGGTAGAATATTGTGTGCTAGCCTCGGAAGCTAACCAACCTGTTGTATTCTCTTACTTCAAGTGCATTCCAGATTAAGGACAACTTTTTCTGGAACAGTCTTGGAATCCAACCACATTAATGTAGATTTTCATTATATACTTACTATGTCAGGTATAGTTACAGTTAAAATATATTCCATGGTAATATGTTAACTAGAGCAATTCTTAGACACAGTTTATAATTTTGTCCTTCATAAGGTACATTTCTTCAGGGTAAAGAACCATTTGGGGCTCATCTGAACACCTGGTGATATGGTTTGACTCTGTGTCCCCACCCAAATCTCACTTGAACTGTACTCCCATAATTCCCATGTATTACGGGAGGGACCCAGTGGGAGATAATTGAATCACGGGGGTGATTTCTCCCATGTTGTCTTCATGCTAGTGAATAAATCTCATGAGATCTGATGGTTTGATAAGGGGAAACCCATTTCGCTTGGCTCTCATTCTCTCTCTTGCCTGCTGCAATATAAGACGTGCCTTTCACCTTCCACCATGACTGTGAGGCCTCCCCAGCCACATGGAACTGTAAGTCCAATTAAACCCTTTTTCCTGTATAAATTACCAAGTCTAGGGTATATCTTTATCAGCAGTGTGAAAACAGACTAATACACCTGGTTATCTAGGACAGTATTGCAATGCTTTTAGTCCACTAGAAGGTAAATCAACTTTTGTGGGCTAGCCTGGGAACACTGCCCTTGAGCATATGTTTGCTTTTATAAGAAAGCACAGCCTATATGCCAAATGGTCTTACAAATAAATTGCTAGCAAGCCAGTGGGCTCCTAGGTTGGGGTCCTAAGGGTTGTAGCAAAACCTTACTGGGGTGTTGTGAGCCACAGGACCACAAGTGCTAGATGAAAGCAGAGCTAGCCGAGAGCTATAAATAGTGTGCCAAGTGACCCTAACAAGCTCTCCTATCCACTGGGGCTGCTCCAACAGCTTTCTCTTTTGGATACATGAAAGCAGCTGAAAGATTGTTTTCCCGAGAGCTTTTTGGCTGCCCTGAGCATGTCAAGGGACTTTGCTGTTTCTAATTATCTCCCTTTATGTTCTGGCCGAGACTTGTTAATACAATAAACCGGTGTTTCCAGGACGCGCTCACAACGCAGAAACATCTCAAGGTGTTTTACAAGCAGAAGATCATGTTAAATCAAATCAAATACCAATTAAAGATTAACAGTGGTGTTAGAGAGCTGTTATCACGGTCCAGCCAGGGCCGCTGGGATGGCCAGTGCTTCCTCCAAGCTGCTGCAGTCCAGCTTCCAGCCAGATTGCTATTTTGGTATCTACTGGGTGTCACAGTCTTTGCCTCAGCTCCAGGATTCCAGAATATCAACACTGGAAAAATGTTAAAGGTCTTCGCAGATGATCCCTGTTGTATCAAATGGGGAAACTGGGATTTGGAGAGAAGGGATGACCCAACATCACCCAATGTTAAGAATCCAAACTTCTCAACATAGAATGCCTTTGGCAGCAACGTAAATGGAACTGGAGGCCATTATCCTAAATGAAATAACGCAGAAATAGAAAGTCAAATACTTCCTCTTCTCACTTATAAGTGGGAGCTAAACAATGTGTACCCATGGACATATAGAGTGGAATAATAGACATTGGAGACTCCAAAAAGTAGGAGGGTCGGGGGGAAGGGATGAGAAATTACATGTTGGGTACAATGCACATGATCCAGGTGATGCATACACTAAAAGCTTAAGCTTTACCACAATCTATCCATGTCATAAAACTGTACATGTAACCCCTAGATCTATATACTTAAAAAAAAAAATCCAAGATTTTTGAGCTACTCTCAAGCACGCCTAGTCACTGGCCCCACCTAGATGCTTTCAACTGCTGTTTCTCTGCTGTCTGCTTGTGGTGGGTTGAATTGTGGCTATTACAAGACATGTCTACCTGGAACCTCAGAATTGACCTTACATGGAAAAAAGGGTCTTTGCAGATGCATTTAAGTTCAGGATCTCTAGATGAGATCATACTCTGTTTAGGATAGGCCCTAAAGCCAATGATTGGTGTCCTTATAAGAGAAAAACAGAGGAGGATGTGAGGAAAACAGGGATTGGAGCAATGCACATACAGGACTAGGAACTTCGAGGATTGCTGACAGCTCCAGGAGGCTAGGAGGAAGCCACGGAACAGAACAGATTCTCCCTCCGTGCTTCCAGAAGAAACCCACACTGGAATACCTTGATTTTGGAATTCTGGCCTCAAAAACTGAGAGAGAATAACTTTCTGTTATTTTAAGCCACCAAGTTTTGGTAATTTGTTACAGCAGCCACAGAAAACTAATATCCCCCTCCTGGAGTGCCTTTCCTCACATCCTGCACATGGTGAGAACTTACCTTTTTTTCGAGACTCAGTATTAGTATAGCCTCCAGCCTGTGTGGAAGCACTCTTGACTGAACCCATGAGCTGGATTTGCACAAACCTCTTTGATGTTCTTAAGTGTGTATATCTCCATCAAGTTCATTTCAGCATCTGTAACTCATTTTTTAGTTACCTGTCTCTCTCCCCTACCAGAATTTAGAGTTTGCCTGGAGTGTAGACCATCTGTGACTCAGTTCAGAGTACTAGAGCCAATCATACATTTGGTCCATACAGGTGTTGAGGAAATGTCTGTTGAATAAACATGAGTATAAACAAGTGACCTAATCCTTGTACTCTTACTTCTTTGTCAATTATAGAACCCACAGCCACTGCATCTCTATGCCTATCTATCAACCTTTCCTTTCCCCTAACTTGAAGTCTATTAAAGAGACTCAGGTTTTCAGGCCCAGATGTGAGGTGGTATAATATCAAAAATAAAAGCACCAGCTTTGGGGTCAAATAGGCATATGCTCTGATTCTGTCACTTTCTTCGTAAGTATCTTAATGTCTTTGAACCTCATCTTTAAAATGTAGGTAGAAGATTAAATGAGATAATGCATGTAATATGGTCAATTACTCCTCTCAGAAGTACCATCACTCCCATTTTATCTTTTTTTTTTTTTTATTATACTTTAAGTTTTAGGGTACATGTGCACATTGTGCAGGTTAGTTACATATGTATACATGTGCCATGCTGGTGCACTGCACCCACTAACTCGTCATCTAGCATTAGGTATATCTCCCAATGCTATCCCTCCCCCCTCCCCCCACCCCACCACAGTCCCCAGAGTGTGATATTCCCCTTCCTGTGTCCATGTGATCTCATTGTTCAATTCCCACCTATGAGTGAGAATATGCGGTGTTTGGTTTTTTGTTCTTGTGATAGTTTACTGAGAATGATGATTTCCAATTTCATACATGTCCCTACAAAGGACATGAACTCAACATTTCTTATGGCTGCATAGTATTCCATGGTGTATATGTGCCACATTTTCTTAATCCAGTCTATCATTGTTGGACATTTGGGTTGGTTCCAAGTCTTTGCTATTGTGAATAATGCTGCAATAAACATACGTGTGCATGTGTCTTTATACTAGCATGACTTATAGTCATTTGGGTATATACCCAGTAATGGGATGGCTGGGTCAAATGGTATTTCTAGTTCTAGATCCCTGAGGAATTGCCACACTGACTTCCACAATGGTTGAACTAGTTTACAGTACCACCAACAGTATAAAAGTGTTCCTATTTCTCCACATCCTCTCCAGCACCTGTTGTTTCCTGACTTTTTAATGATTGCCATTCTAACTGGTGTGAGATGGTTTTGATTTGCATTTCTCTGATAGCCAGTGATGATGAGCATTTTTTCATGTGTTTTTTGGCTGCATAAATGTCTTCTTTTGAGAAGTGTCTGTTCATGTCCTTCGCCCACTTTTTGATGGGGTTGTTTGTTTTTTTCTTGTAAATTTGTTTGAGTTCATTGTAGATTCTGGATATTAGCCCTTTGTCAGATGAGTAGGTTGCGAAAATTTTCTCCCATTTTGTAGGTTGCCTGTTCACTCTGATGGTAGTTTCTTTTGCTGTGCAGAAGCTCTTTAGTTTAATTAGATCCCATTTGTCAATTTTGTCTTTTGTTGCCATTGCTTTTGGTGTTTTAGACATGAAGTCCTTGCCCATGCCTATGTCCTGAATGGTAATGCCTAGGTTTTCTTCTAGGGTTTTTATGGTTTTAGGTCTAACGTTTAAATCTTTAATCCATCTTGAATTGATTTTTGTATAAGGTGTAAGGAAGGGATCCAGTTTCAGCTTTCTACATATGGCTAGCCAGTTTTCCCAGCACCATTTATTAAATAGGGAATCCTTTCCCCATTTCTTGTTTTTCTCAGGTTTGTCAAAGATCAGACAGTTGTAGGTATGCGGCATTATTTCTGAGGGCTCTGTTCTGTTCCATTGATCTATATCTCTGTTTTGGTACCAGTACCATGCTGTTTTGGTTACTGTAGCCTTGTAGTATAGTTTGAAGTCAGGTAGTGTGATGCCTCCAGCTTTGTTCTTTTGGCTTAGGATTGACTTGGCGATGCGGGCTCTTTTTTGGTTCCATATGAACTTTAAAGTAGTTTTTTCCAATTCTGTGAAGAAAGGCATTGGTAGCTTGATGGGGATGGCATTGAATCTGTAAATTACCTTGGGCAGTATGGCCATTTTCATGATGTTGATTCTTCCTACTCATGAGCATGGAATGTTCTTCCATTTGTTTGTATCCTCTTTTATTTCCTTGAGCAGTGGTTTGTAGTTCTCCTTGAAGAGGTCCTTCACATCCCTTGTAAGTTGGATTCCTAGGTATTTTATTCTCTTTGAAGCAATTGTGAATGGGAGTTCACTCATGATTTGGCTCTCTGTTTGTCTGTTGTTGGTGTATAAGAATGCTTGTGATTTTTGTACATTGATTTTGTATGCTGAGACTTTGCTGAAGTTGCTTATCAGCTTAAGGAGATTTTGGGCTGAGACAGTGGGGTTTTCTAGATATACAATCATGTCGTCTGCAAACAGGGACAATTTGACTTCCTCTTTTCCTAATTGAAGACCCTTTATTTCCTTCTCCTGCCTAATTGCCCTGGCCAGAACTTCCAACACTATGTTGAATAGGAGTGGTGAGAGAGGGCATCCCTGTCTTGTGCCAGTTTTCAAAGGGAATGCTTCCAGTTTTTGCCCATTCAGTATGATATTGGCTGTGGGTTTGTCATAGATAGCTCTTATTATTTTGAAATACGTCCCATCAATACCTAATTTATTGAGAGTTTTTCGCATGAAGGGTTGTTGAATTTTGTCAAAGGCTTTTTCTGCATCTATTGAGATAATCATGTGGTTTTTGTCTTTGGCTCTGTTTATATGCTGGATTACATTTATTGATTTGCATATATTGAACCAGCCTTGCATCCCAGGGATGAAGCCCACTTGATCATGGTGGATAAGCTTTTTGATGTGCTGCTGGATTCGGTTTGCCAGTATTTTATTGAGGATTTTTGCATCAATGTTCATCAAGGATATTGGTCGAAAATTCTCTTTTTTGGTTGTGCCTCTGCCTGGCTTTGGTATCAGAATGATGCTGGCCTCATAAAATGCGTTAGGGAGGATTCCCTCTTTTTCTATTGATTGGAATAGTTTCAGAAGGAATGGTACCAGTTCCTCCTTGTACCTCTGGTAGAATTCGGCTGTGAATCCATCTGGTCCTGGACTCTTTTTGGTTGGTAAAGTATTGATTATTGCCACAATTTCAGCTCCTGTTATTGGTCTATTCAGAGATTCAACTTCTTCCTGGTTTAGTCTTGGGAGAGTGTATGTGTCGAGGAATTTATCCATTTCTTCTAGATTTTCTAGTTTATTTGCGTACAGGTGTTTGTAGTATTCTCTGATGGTAGTTTGTATTTCTGTGGGATCGGTGGTGATATCCCCTTTATCATTTCTTATTGTGTCTATTTGATTCTTCTCTCTTTTTTTCTTTATTAGTCTTGCTAGCGGTCTATCAATTTTGTTGATCCTTTCAAAAAACCAGCTCCTGGATTCATTGATTTTTTGAAGGGTTTTTTGTGTCTCTATTTCCTTGAGTTCTGCTCTGATTTTAGTTATTTCTTGCCTTCTGCTAGCTTTTGAATGTGTTTGCTCTTGCTTTTCTAGTTCTTTTAATTGTGATGTTAGGGTGTCAATTTTGGATCTTTCCTGCTTTCTCTTGTGGGCATTTAGTGCTATAAATTTCCCTCTACACACTGCTTTGAATGCGTCCCAGAGATTCTGGTATGTTGTGTCTTTGTTCTCGTTGGTTTCAAAGAACATCTTTATTTCTGCCTTCATTTCGTTATGTACCCAGTAGTCACTCAGGAGCAGGTTGTTCAGTTTCCATGTAGTTGAGCGGCTTTGAGTGAGATTCTTAATCCTGAGTTCTAGTTTGATTGCCCTGTGGTCTGAGAGATAGTTTGTTATAATTTCTGTTCTTTTACATTTGCTGAGGAGAGCTTTACTTCCAAGTATGTGATCAATTTTGGAATAGGTGTGGTGTGGTGCTGAAAAAAATGTATATTCTGTTGATTTGGGGTGGAGAGTTCTGTAGATGTCTATTAGGTCCGCTTGGTGCAGAGATGAGTTCAATTCCTGGGTATCCTTGTTGACTTTCTGTCTCGTTGATCTGTCTAATGTTGACAGTGGGGTGTTAAAGTCTCCCATTATTATTGTGTGGGAGTCTAAGTCTCTTTGTAGGTCACTCAGGACTTGCTTTATGAATCTGGGTGCTCCTGTATTGGGTGCATATATATTTAGGATAGTTAGCTCTTCTTGTTGAATTGATCCCTTTACCATTATGTAATGGCCTTCTTTGTCTCTTTTGATCTTTGTTGGTTTAAAGTCTGTTTTATCAGAGACTAGGATTGCAACCCCTGCCTTTTTTTGTTTTCCATTTGCTTGGTAGATCTTCCTCCATCCTTTTATTTTGAGCCTATGTGTGTCTCTGCATGTGAGATGGGTTTCCTGAATACAGCACACTGATGGGTCTTGACTCTTTATCCAATTTGCCAGTCTGTGTCTTTTAATTGGAGAATTTAGTCCATTTACACTTAAAGTTAATATTGTTATGTGTGAGTTTGATCCTGTCATTATGATGTTAGCTGGTGATTTTGCTCGTTAGTTGATGCAGTTTCTTCCTAGTCTCGATGGTCTTTACATTTTGGCATGATTTTGCAGCGGCTGGTACCGGTTGTTCCTTTCCGTGTTTAGTGCTTCCTTCAGGAGCTCTTTTAGGGCAGGTCTGGTGGTGACAAAATCTCTCAGCATTTGCTTGTCTGTAAAGTATTTTATTTCTCCTTCACTTATGAAGCTTAGCTTGGCTGGATATGAAATTCTGGGTTGAAAATTCTTTTCTTTAAGAATGTTGAATATTGGCCCCCACTCTCTTCTGGCTTGTAGGGTTTCTGCCGAGAGATCCGCTGTTAGTCTGATGGGCTTCCCTTTGAGGGTAACCCGACCTTTCTCTCTGGCTGCCCTTAACATTTTTTCCTTCATTTCAACTTTGGTGAATCTGACAATTATGTGTCTTGGAGTTGCTCTTCTCGAGGAGTATCTTTGTGGCGTTCTCTGTATTTCCTGAATCTGAACGATGGCCTGCCTTGCTAGATTGGGGAAGTTCTCCTGGATAATATCCTGCAGAGTGTTTTCCAACTTGGTTCCATTCTCCCCATCACTTTCAGGTACACCAATGAGACGTAGATTTGGTCTTTTCACATAGTCCCATATTTCTTGGAGGCTTTGCTCATTTCTTTTTATTCTTTTTTCTCTAAACTTCCCTTCTCACTTCATTTCATTCATTTCATCTTCCATTGCTGACACCCTTTCTTCCAGTTGATCGCATCGGCTCCTGAGGCTTCTGCATTCTTCACGTAGCTCTCGAGCCTTGGTTTTCAGCTCCATCAGCTCCTTTAAGCACTTCTCTGTATTGGTTATTCTAGTTATACATTCTTCTAAATTTTTTTCAAAGTTTTCAACTTCTTTGCCTTTGGTTTGAATGTCCTCCCGTAGCTCAGAGTAATTTGATCATCTGAAGCCTTCTTCTCTCAGCTCGTCAAAGTCATTCTCCATCCAGCTTTGTTCTGTTGCTGGTGAGGAGCTGCGTTCCTTTGGAGGAGGAGAGGCGCTCTGATTTTTAGAGCTTCCAGTTTTTCTGTTCTGTTTTTTTCCCCATCTTTGTGGTTTTATCTACTTTTGGTGTTTGATGATGGTGATGTACAGATGGGTTTTTGGTGTGGATGTCCTTTCTGTTTGTTAGTTTTCCTTCTAATAGACAGGACCCTCAGCTGCAGGTCTGTTGGAATACCCTGCCGTGTGAGGTGTCAGTGTGCCCCTGCTGGGGGGTGCCTCCCAGTTAGGCTGCTCGGGGGTCAGGGGTCAGGGACCCACTTGAAGAGGCAGTCTGCGGGTTCTCAGATCTCCAGCTGCGTGCTGGGAGAACCACTGCTCCCTTCAAAGCTGTCAGACAGGGACATTTAAGTCTGCAGAGGTTACTGCTGTCTTTTTGTTTGTCTGTGCCCTGCCCCCAGAGGTGGAGCCTACAGAGGCAGGCAGGCCTCCTTGAGCTGTGGTGGGCTCCACCCAGTTCGAGCTTCCCAGCTGCTTTGTTTACCTAAGCAAGCCTGGGCAATGGCGGGCGCCCCTCCCCCAGCCTCGCTGCCGCCTTGCAGTTTGATCTCAGACTGCTGTGCTAGCAATCAGCGAGATTCCGTGGGCGTAGGACCCTCTGAGCCAGGTGTGGGATATAGTCTCATGGTGCGCCGTTTCTTAAGCCGGTCTGAAAAGCGCAATACTCGGGTGGGAGTGACCCGATTTTCCAGGTGCGTCCGTCACCCCTTTCTTTGACTCGGAAAGGGAACTCCCTGACCCCTTGCGCTTCCCAGGTGAGGCAATGCCTAGCCCTGCTTCGGCTCGCGCACCGTGCGCGCACCCACTGGCCTGCGCCCACTGTCTGGCACTCCCTAGTGAGATGAACCCGGTACCTCAGATGGAAATGCAGAAATCACCCGTCTTCTGAGTCAGTCACGCTGGGAGCTGAGACCGGAGCTGTTCCTATTCGGCCATCTTGGCTCCTCCCCCACTCCCATTTTACAGATTAAGACATTGAATCCAATTGCACAGGTAGTAAGTCACATTGCAGGACTTGAAATTCATACACTTCAAGTCCATGCTCTTAAACACTACATTATGCAGAATTATGGGGCCTCCTACAAGATACCCCCTAGTCCGTTTGCTGAGTAATAAATTATTCTATCGTTTCCAAGAATGAAGCCTCTTTGGAATAGCACACATCCTTGAATTTATCTTGTTTGGTATTCCAGCTCCTTGGGAGGCCTCTAAATTCATATCTAATACAGACTTCTCTAGTCTCAGCTGGTTTGAGACACTGTGGATCGTAATGCTGAGAGTATGAAAACAAATGCCTTCTGCCCAAACCATCATCTTTCAATTACAAATCACTCTGTCAATTTGCAAGTGTTTTGGATGCGAACATCTTGCAGTCTGGCACTAGTTAGAGCTGAGAAGAAATTGAGAGAGGATACATGGGGAGAGGAAGAGATGAAAAGAAGAATGAATCAAGGATAGAGGAAGGAGAAAGACAATGGAATCGTCAATTTGAACAGATGTTTAGAACTCATCTAAGTCAGGGCCCTTTGTAGCATAGTTCCAGGGGCCCTGATCTCATGGATCTATGAATTGGAATCCAAGGAGTGGAATGGTGGCTCCTGGAGTTGTGAAATATCATGACACAAAGTCCAACTTTATTTATTTATTTATTTTTTTAGCAGTGGGTGAAACTAAGGTATATAGAATTTAAGTGGCTCCTCTAACAAGTGTCAGCAAAGTAATGGCAGAACTAAAACCTTTGACTTCTAATTCAGTGCTCTGTAGCATACAAAGGGTTAGGTATCCAAACATAAAAGAAAACATGGAGGTATGGACAAAGAGTGATTTGCAGGTAAGGCAAAAGAGTTAAGACTTCAAAGAGGAAAAACAAGACGAAGAAGGAATAGAGATGAAGAGAGATCAAGAAGATATCTACAAAAGAGAAAAGGAGGGATGGAGAACAAAAAGACAGGGGCAGAGAATCTGTAAAAAACAGAGAAAGTCAAAGATGATATAGTGCAGCACAAATTCAAACAAAATGAAAGAGAAAGACTGCCGAAATAAAAATGCAGGGTTAGATAACTGGTTAGTCGCTCTCCGATGAAAATATCTAATGCACCCCCCTTGCTGGTATGCATGAGGTCCTGGCCTCTTAATGAGTCCCCAGGCTTCCTATGACCAGGCCTGGCTGACCTCCCCCACAACTCATTCCGCTCAGCTTCCTGCCTCTAGGGGTGTCTTCTGCAGGGACTGTCCTGCTTCTCCACTCCACTCCTGGATATTGCTTGGTTCATTCCACCTAATCCTTTGCAATATCATCTATTTCAGGGAATCTTCCCATCCCCTCTTCCTACTGTCCACCCTCCAGTCCAGGCAGGGTTGTGAGACCCTCTTCTGGATCCCACAACAGCCCACAAACTCCCATTATATTATTTATCACAATGGACGGCTAATCTCTGTTTTAATGTTACCATTTTTCTCCCAACAGACTGTAGATTTCCTAGGGCCAGGAATTAGGTTGGATTCATCTTGTATCTCCAGCAATTACTGCAGGGTGAAAAATATACTGTTACACTCAATGCATGACTGATGAATGAATGAAGGGACAAACCACTCCTTCTCTCAGGAGTGACAAATTATGTCGACAACCACTGGGGGGTGCTCTTGGGTAACTCCAGCAATGGGCCTGGGGGAGCAGGCGGTGGAATTTCTCTGTTACAAACACCTCAGCAAAGCAGAGAAGGCAAAAGTGATACCAAACTGGAGAGATCCTTCTAGACTTCACCAGGTGAGGCTGAGAATGGAACAAAGCCTGCCCTAGTGGATGAAAGAATAAAATGAAAGTCAGAGAAAATGGACTCGAGTCTATGGAACTGGTTAGCTCTGTGGTCTGGGGGAGTCACTCATCACTGAAGGGCAGCAGTTCACTTGATTCACACAAGCCCAGGCGATGGCCATTATTATCCCCGGCCCTCACCTGCCGGGAATAGAAGGATGAATGAGCAAGACAGCGTTCTGTTCTATTGAGGAAAAAAAAAAAGACCTTAATAGTACAGGAATGGGGTTATCTGGGATTCTTATTCTAATTGCCAACATTTATTGCATATTTTCTATGTCAAACATGATTCCGAGCACTAGCAATGCAGGTCTGAGCAAGTCACTGCCCCATGTTGCCCGTTCTCTAGAGGAGGAGGAGGAGGAGGAATAGAGACGTGCAAGACTAACCACAATTTTAAGAAAGGAACGAGGGTTTGATGACAAAAGAGATATAGGTAACATGCCACCACAGTGACATTTGGTCTGAGGGATCAGGGAAAGCTTCAGAAAGGTGGTAACATTTTTCCCAACCAGACCTGCTGGGACATTTAGGTTTTATTAGACAGAGCTGAGTCAACATGATACTCTAGGCTGATGGAACAGCCCAGCATATACTAGCAGGCGAAGATGTGCAGGGTGTGTTTGTGGAAGTGTGAGCAGAAGATGGAATGGAAGTAAAGGCTAGAGAGGTGGATTTGGCTAATATTAACAGCAGGCAGGATGCGCTGTCAGAACAGCAGAAGTGGCAATCGTTGGGGTGGAAGTGGCTGCAGCTACAGGGACCACAGTAGCAGCTGCTTTGATGGTGCAGGGTGCCAAGAACTATACTAAGGGCTGTGTATACAATACCTCTTTCAATCCTAACTATCTACGTATCTATCTATATATTATGTAAATACACATACATATGTATATGCATGCATGTGTATATTTATGTATATGCATAGGAATGTCTATTTTATCAACATGTAGTTTTTATTTCCATTTCCTAAGTGAAGACCATGAGACACAGAGGGGTTAAATAACATATCCAAGGTGAGTAAGCAGCGAAGTCATGATCTACACCGAGGTCTGTAAATTTCCAGAGGCAATGCTTTTAAATGCTATACTACACCTCACCCACTGTCAGGCTAAGAAGTTGAGAATTTATCATGTAGGCCAAGAGGGAGACACCAAAGGTATCTAAGGGAATAACACAATCTAACAAATGTTTTCAGAAGATGACTCTAGGGCCACTCCTGCCCCAACATCCTTGGGCGATCCCTGCCCTCCTATTTTTAATGGAGCCCCTTCTGGGGCAAGAAGGGGTGGACATGGTCCATTTGTAGCAGTCCCCAAATCTCCCAAAGGAGTCCAGGATGAGCCCAGCCCCTCTGACAAATGCTCCAGCCTCCCCTAGCCCCAGGGAGTGATTTATCAGCACAGCGTCAGCGCCTCTGCCCAGCAGCCTGTGATCCAAGGCTGGCGGCCCAGGCTGGGGTTTTTAATTAGCTGAGAGAGGGAAGAGTCAAGCCCTCTCAGATGGAAAGAAAGAGACACACCAAGAAGGCTCATGAATCCTGAACCAAGGACCCATCGACTAGAGTCTGGCAGTGGTGGGCAGATGGAGGGGAAGGGGGAGGGGGAGGAGGAGGAGGGGGCAGGCTGATTGTCTTTTTGGCAATTTCATGGTCTCCCTTGTTTTCTGGTCCAGACACTACAGGGAGAATGGGAATTCAGACTACCTTTCACACAGGAAACCCTGGAGTACACCCTTTTCTAGTGTGACTTTGTGACCAGAAGTCAGAGAGCCTAATATTTAGCTCCATCTTTGCCACTGACCTTCTATATAATTTGAGGTAAAAATTACAACTTAAAAGCTTTCAGGCTTTGGAGTTAGACACAAGCTTAATTCTCTTTTCCATGCTGTTTACTAAAACTGTGACTCAGTCAAGTTGCTTTTCCTCTCTGTGCCTCAGTTTTCTCATCCATCAAGTCAGGACAAGATCTCATATTGTAAGGGCTAAATGAGACAGCACAGGTAAATTACCTGTATTAAGAAGAGAGGTTCCTCCAGTCTCCTGAAGAGACCTTCAGCAGGCATCCCACCATTTAACTCCAGGGTCATTTCAGATCACAAGAATCATACTGAAAGCCTGCTCCATAGGCCCTGGGGATACAGAGCTGAGTGAAGTAGTCTCTGCCCTTGCAGGCTTCACAGTCTGGTTGGAACAGACAATGAGATGGGCAGTTACAGAGAATATGAGAGAGAGCTGTGATTGGGGGTAGTAGTGAATTCCATGCTGGCATAAAGGAAGGGCACCTGCTGAGCTTCGTGGACACCTGGTAAGCACGCTGGAGTGGGGAATAGCTGAACTGATTTTTAAAGAACAAGATGTCACTGTTGAGGGTGAAAAGGCAAGAGAAGATTATCCCAGACAGAGGGGACTGCGTGATTAGAATAAGATGGAGCAGAATGCCTGGCACACTGTAGGTCTTCAAAATAATTTCTGTCGAATAAAGGAAGGAAAGAAGGAAGGAGAAAAAGAGGGGGGGATAGAAGAAGGGAGGGATTCATCTCATTGAAAGTTTGAGGGGCAGAGAGTTGAGATGACACTGGCTAAGTGATTTGAACTTTATTATAATGACAAGGAGAAACCATCAGAAGGTTTCAACAAAAAAGTGATGTTTTCAGACGTGTGTGGTAGAAAGGTCACTTTTGGAAGTTGGGATGAAGAGGACAAGAGTGGGGTGAAGGAGACCAGTTAGGAGGCTGTTACAATAATTCAGGTGAAAATGACACCAACTTGTCTAAGGCAGGGGCAGCGGGGGTGGAGGGAGAGAGCATCTCCTTTAATACAGGATGTAGTCACAGACCACACCTACCTACCTGCCTCATGTGGTCCAGCCCCATCACCATGACAACAGCCTCTTTAACATCCCTGGCCATAAAGAGATAACAACTCTTACATCTGTTCCTGGAGGTCCTGCCTCTATATTTTTTTCCTTTCTTTTTCTTCTTTTTTCCCCTTTGATTGTATCTGATCCAGCCTTACTGGGTAATTGAGTGTTTGAGAGTGAAAAATTATCTCAGCAGCTTGGCCCTTATCTTGACAGTGAAGCAGCACTTTTAATTTAATTTTGTTCAGAGACGCATGGGTAACAAATTTCACTAATCGCCCGGCTGTTGCCCTCTGCATGGTAACGAGCCGTTTGTTACCAGGCAGCCCAGCATAAATACATGTGGGAGAGCAGGCAGGGGAGAGAGACAGAGGTTGGGAGGAAACAAGGGACAGACACAATCAATATGAACCAGGCTTGGGCTCTGCCATCAGGTGGAGAAACAGAGATGGAAGGCCAACTGCATTAGCACAGAGAGGAGTTTTGGCGCGAGACTCAATGGAGCTCCTGTCCTTGTTCTGTCTCCTATCTGGGTGAAGTTCTGAGCAAGTGATTTAAACTTTCCATATTTTAGGGTTCTTATCTGTGAGGTGAGGTGGGGATGTTCACAATCTCTACTTCTCTGGGTTGTTGTAAGAGTTAAATGAGGAGCTATAAAGTAAGTAAGCTATAAGGTAAGTAAGCTATAAAGTAAGTAAGGAGCTGGCCGGGTGCGGTAGCTCATGCTTGTAATCCCAGCACTTTGGGAGGCTGAGGCGGGTAAATCACTTAAGCCCAGGAGTTCAAGACCAGCCTGGGCAACATGGTGAAAGCCCATCTCTACTTAAAATACAAAAATTAGGAAGCCATGGTGGCAAGCACCTGTAATTCCAGCTACTTGGGAGGCTGAGGCAAGAGAATCGCTTGAACCTGGCAGATGGAGGCTGCAGTGAGCTAAGATAGTGCCACTGCACTCCAGCCTGGGTGACAGAGCAAGACTCTGTCTAAATAACAACAACAACAACAAAACAAAAACAGTATCCCTAAAAACAATGTCATGATATTCTTGAGGCTGCTAAGGACCTTAAAGGAAAAAAAACCCTGGCCCTTCATCCAATGTTTGGATTTCTTTCAGAACATCCTCCACAGGTTATTGTTCAAATTTTGCTTGCATTCATCTAATGATGGGGAACTCACTGTGGAAGCAGACAAGAACTCTGACACTCAGAATTGTCTTGCTTATGCTGACCTGTAATATGCACCCTTCAAGTCCCAGCCTATGTTAGCACAGCCCTGCCTTCTTGACTTCTGTAAAGAGTCAATGCGCACCCTCCTTCCCAGGTGAGCTCCTCCCTTAGACTTGTATATAGAAATAATATTGTTTCTCACCACACCCAAGTCTTCTTGTATCCAGCTAAAAATATCCTGTAGAGCATCAGAGCTAGAATAGCCTTTATAAGTCATGTAACACAACATTCCACTTTATATATTAGGAAACTGAGGTCCAAAAAGAGGAAGAAAATTTTAAAAAATAAGTTGTTATTTTTTGAGTGCCCATTATGTTTTCTCCCTGTTTCCAGTTTTCCACCATTATTTCGTCAGGCATCTGTCTCTATATTTTTATCCATTGAAGAGCCATCCTTGATTTATGGTCTTTTGTATCCCAAAGCCATTACTCCAAAGCACCTCAGCCATGGACATATGACTCACACTGCATTATCTTACTTTGGTTAAAAAATAAAAACAAAAATACCATGTTATTAGAAGCACCGAATTGGAGAATCAGGAAAGACATTACAGAATTGTAGTTTATTTAACCAGAGAAGAACCGAGGCCACAGAATTTAATTGATCTGATATTCTCTATTATTTATTATACCCTCTATAGCTTGAAAATGGCTGGAGGGCAGAGACCACTAGTCTTAACCATCTATGCCTTGGTTCCTTAAGGCAATGATTCTCAACTATGGCTGTTCCTGGAGAGCTTTTTATTTTATTTTTATTTTTATTTTTTGAGATGGAGTCTCACTCTGCTCCTCAGTCTGTAGTGCAGTGGCACGACTTTGGCTCACTGCAACCTCCACCTCCCAGGTTCAAGTGATTCTCCTGCCTCGGCCTCCCAAGTAGCTGGGATTACAGGTATGGGCCACCATGCCCTGCTAATTTTTGTATTTTTAGTAGAGAGGGGGTTTCACCATATTGGGCAGGCTGGTCTTGAACTCCTGACCTCAGGCGATCTGCCTGCCTCGGCCTCCCAAAGTGCTGAGATTACAGGCTTGAGCCACTGCACCCGGCCATCAACTATGGTTGCTCCTGAAGAGCTTTTAAAAAGATGGTCGGGTGCAGTGAATCACACCTGTAATCCCAGTACATTGAGAGGCCATGGCAGGAGGTTCACTTGAGTCCAGGAGTTTGAGACCAGCCTGGGCAACATAGTAAGATCCTGCCTCTACAAATAATTAAAAAATTAGCCACGTGTGGTGGTGCGTGACTGTGGTCCTAGCTTCTTGGGGGGCTGGGGAAGGAGGATTGCCTGAGGCTGGGAGGTCAAGTCTGGTGTGAGCTGCGATGGCACCACTGCACTCCAACCTGAGTGACAGAATGAGACCCTGTCGAGAGAGAGTGAGAGAGAGACAGGCAGACCGACCGACCAACCAGCATGCCCAGTCTCCACCTAAACCTATTAAATCAAACTCTGGACTGAGGTCCAAAGTTAGGTATTTATTATTTAAACCTAAGTGTGTTTACCATGCAGATAGGGTTGGGAACCATGATACAAGGGGAAAGAGCCCTTTACTCACAACATCATGCTTCATGGACAGAGAAAAAGGTCAGGAACCTTCTCATGGTCTAGAACCCTTTTCAACTGGATATTTACTTTTGATTTTTCTTTCTCTTTCTTCTTTGTTTTTCACAATTAAGTAAAAGTGAGATATATTCATTCCTCCAGGGATTCCAAGACCAGATACATGATGGCTTGAATAAATAATAAAAGGGATGAACACTGTTTTTCAAGATTTCAGGTCAATCTAATTGTATCATAGACAATTGAGAGCAGCTGCCCTAGTTATAGAAACACAGTCTCCTCCTGTATAAGTTAAAGTAGTCAGATCTAAGGCTACAATTGTTCATCACTTACCATCTTCTCCAGGACCTGTGCTAAGTTTGTTGCTTTTATTATTTCATTACAATCTTGAAACCACTCATAGAAGAAAGAGCTACAAGAATGGCCATTACACAGCTGAGAAAATCGTGGGTTGGTTAGAGTGACTTACCAAGGTTCACACCGCGAGGACACATAACTATGTGTGTCTGGCTCCAAAGACCACAAATTAAACACTGCACATTAAACTACCTCCAGCAAATCCACCCACCTCAAATCCCTTTCAGGAACAGGCAGAGTATAAATAATAAACAGAAGGGTAAATACATGCATAATATATAACATTGTGATTCACCTACATATTTCTTTTTTAAATGAGTTGATTTGTTTGTCCTTAAAAGTAATTATTGTGGTTTGTAAATTCTGCCCTCCTTCAAAAACTCATGCTTCATTCACACTTATCTGGCTGTATAATATTCTCTCAAGTGGATGCATCATCATTTACTTAGCCATCCTCCTATTGTTGGACATTTGGGCTCATTCTAATTTTTCAGTATTAGAGATTATGCTACAATGACTATGTTTAGGTTTAGCACTTCAAGAAAAATGTACAGTGTCACAGAAAAAATATGGTAATATAATGCCGAGTGAAAAAAAACAGGAGTGCAAATGTGTGAAGATTATGGTTGCAAGGATAAGAAAGAGTGTGCAGGAAATGGGGATGGGGAAAAAATGAAATGAGCTCTCGAAGGTTTTCATTTATTTCTATTTTTCTATGTCCCTTTAGTAGAATTATTACATTATTTTACATTGGTTGAAGAAAAGGTAAAAACAATGAGCATACCACCACCAATAAGGTTGAAACAGCTCAGGTCCACAGATATCCTTAGAGCAGAGAGATGAGCTTAGGAATCAGTGGTCTTGACTTCTTCCACAGACAGAAGCCTAGGAAGGAGCTTCCTAAGGGCTGGAGTCATGTCTTGCTAACCCCTGACACCCCAGAGAACCACACTGTTCCTAGAATCTACAATGTGTATTAAATGAATAAAAGCATAAAATTTCAGAGCTTTAAGAGGCCTCTGATGCAATTTCTTCAAACATCACACCCAAATGTAATGGATAGAGAGCCAAGGGGACTTTCCCAAAGCTCTCCAGCATTTTAGCTCCTGAACCAGAGTAGAGGCCACTTTTTCTAAAGTCTACTCCAATTAGAAAAGGCATATGGCAAATTTGCCCAATGGGAGCTGTGGAAGAAAAATCCTTCGCCAGTGAAACACAGAATGGGTTTGACTGAGTGACTTGGGGTACTGCACATTGTTATGCATGCTGAATGCCTTGCATTGTTAGTTACAAATCTCCCCTGAATCCACTTGTCCTGCAGTCTCTCAGCTGTTCTCATGACAAATGCCCCTGGGCTGTGGCATCTGTTTTCTTCACGTGGAGCACTAGTTTTATTTGCACCAAAGATGTTGAGGGAAGGACATGTTCTACCCAGAATCCATAAATAAGAAACATACCCTCAGCCCCTTCACTTTCCAGTCTACACCCTCTCCTACAACAGTTTCCTACTGTCATGCCTTTATTTACCTCCAGGTAGGAGGCAGAATTTTAAAATAGCCTCCAACATTCCCACCCCCTGCACACTGTCTGTATACTCCCCTTAATGTGGGTGCCACTGTGACTATGATAGGATATCACTCCATAATTAGATTACATTATATGACAAGGGTGAAAGGATTTTTCAAATGTACTAAAGGTCTCAAATAAGTTGACAATGAGTTTATCAGAAAGAAGTTCATCTTGGGTAGGCCTGGCTGAATCAAGTGAGCCCTTAAAAGAGAATCGGGCCTTGAAGGAGGGGAGTCAAAGTGTGATGATCTCCTGCTGGCCTTGAATAAACATGTTGTGAACCGCCTACAGGGGAGACATGTGGCAAGGGCTTCAGAGCGGCCTCTAAAATCTGAGAACGGTCCCTGCTGACAGCTGGCAGGAAAACAGGCACATCACTCATACAGCTACAAGGAAATGAATTCTGCCAACAACCACATAAGCTTGGAAGAGGATTCTACATGTCAGCTGCAATGGCAGTCCACTGACCCCTTGACTTCAGCCTCTTACATGATCTTGAGTAAAGAACCCAGTTATGCCATGACTGGACTTTCACCTACAAAACTGGGAGTTAATAAATGCATGTTCTTTGAAGCTGCTATGTTTCTGTCAACTGGTTACTCATAGAAACTAATACACGACCACAGAGTGCTGACATCCACACTCTCCCCTCAACTAGAACACTCCTGAGCTCAGATCTGGTTGGCAAATGTCCCCATCTGGATGGCTCACAGGCACCTCAAAGGCAGCAGCTCCAAAATCCAACTAGTCTCTTTCTCTCCTGAACACTTACCCTTCCTTCCTTGCCTGGCTGTGTGATTCTCCCAGTCCCTATGCTGGAAACCAATGCTCACTTTCAGCAATCTTCAGTGGCTCACCTTCTTGGAGTCAGTCAGTCATTGGGTTCCTCTAACTGTATTTTTAACATGTTCCTGTATCTAAACCTTCCCATGCTCACCCAGAGTGTTCCCATTCTACCCCAATAACCTCCTAACTAGTCTCCCTACCTTCAGTCTCACTCTCTTCCAGTTCTTTCTCTTCTGTAGAAAGTGTGATCTTCCTAAAACAGAAATGAAATAATAGATCCCTTCCTTCAACAGTAAATGCCTTCCTGGCCGAGGCAGGCAGATCACCTGAGGTCAGGAATTCAAGACCAGCCTGGCCAACATGGTGAAACCCCATCCCTACTAAAAACACAAAAAATTAGCTGGGCATGGTGGCACATGCCTGTGGTTCCAGCTACTCGGGAGGCTGAGGCACGAGAATCACTTGAACCTGAGAGGCAGAGGTTGCAGTGAGCTGAGATTGTGCCACTGCACTCTATCCTGGGTGACAGAGTGAGACTCTCTCAAAAAACAAAACAAAGCAAACAAAAAACACCCTTCATAGACTCGTCATTTCATGGAGGTTCAAGTGCAGGCTCTTTCCTGCTCACACAGACATGCCATTTTTTAGAGCTTGGCCACCTCTCGTCCATATTTCAGGTATAAGCTATAATATTGGCTTCTTAAAGGTATAGTTCATGAGTCTCCTGATTACATTAGTTCCTCTTTTCTTTTCATCAGAGGCAGTCCTCACAGTTTGGAATAATATATTTATTCATGTGTCTATTTGTGAAATACACTCTCCCTTCCCTTTTTCCTCTGGCATGACTAGAAATTTCATAAGGAAATCCATCCTATTGGTCTATTTCCCACCATATTCCTGGTCTTCAGCAAAGAGTCTCAGTGGAATTAGATATTCAGTAAACATTAGTTGATTATGCAAATAAAAAAAAATGAATGAACTTGGCATTCAAAGCGTTTCTCAATCTGGCTAAATTTATCCTTCCCAGACTTTTTCTCACTGTCTTCCTTCACATACCTTATATTTTAATAACGCATGACACTATTTAACCATCACAAAAACCCTGTGAGATAGGATTATCATTTCCAATTTTGAGAGGAGGAAATCCAGGCCTGGGAATGTACATTTACTTGCCCAAAATCTCCCAAACTGACAGTCAGGATTAAATAAGGTTATGCATGCAAGCATCTCACACAGCTGGTGACATACAGAGGGTGCCCATGACCAGTGGCATGGTCTGTTTATCTGGAAAAGAGTTTTTCAGGGGTAAGAGAACACTGGCCGTCTCACAGCGTTGGGAAGAAAGGGGATGACAGAGTATTCTTGCTTGGGGCGGGAAGCAAAGAGTCACAGTCTCTCATTCTAAGGAAAGGCGGGTGGGGGAATCCTGCTGAGCCTAGTTGAAAAACAAGAAAGCAAGAGAGACTGATTATTCCTTCTCGCTAGTGTAAGCAACTAAAATGACATGTTTGCTTTATCGCCTTTGGTCTCCCATTTGATTCCTGACAGCCATCTCCCTCCCTTCGATGGCGGGCTGTCAGGTGCTGAGCTGGCTGGCATTGCACAGGAAGAGGAGTACAGAGAACAATTTAAACAATATTTCAGGGACCATCATGGGCTGGAGGAGGGAGTTTTTATAGTTAGCTGGCTTTCTTTCTGCATTCAAGGAACCCTCATTTGCCAAGACTGCTTGACGTTTCTGTGGGTTTGGGTAGAAGTAGTCCAGAAGGGATCTTTAAGAAAAAAAAAAAAAAAAGCCAATGTCTATTTTCTTTGAGGTTTGAAGGAAGGGAGAGAATAGAGACAGATAGGAGCTTTTTAAGCCCATAACAATTTCTGAATACATAATTTTCTCTTCTCTAATGTCTCGTTAAATAGGGCCAAATGCAGATGTAGATCAAAGCTAGGTTTCTGTATTTTACTGCATTTTACTGTGCTTGCAAGTAAAGGGAATCCAAACTCCCAGTTTCTCTGTCCGTGAGAGAAACTAGAATCTCTCCAGAAAGCCTGTATAAACTACCAGAACCTTCTGGAGGAAGGAGTCCACTCCCACAAACCACAAACAGCTGAACATTTGAGCAAGAGTTACGGTAAGCAAAAATGAGCAAAAACCTACAAAGTTCTCTTAGGGGACAGTTCTGGGGGATTGTGACCATGAACAGTCTTTGGAGCCAACCGAAACCCAATTCAAGCCACAGCTACGCAACTTATTGGTTCCATTATCTTGAAGAAGCTACTCTGTTTAGTTTCAGTTTTGTTCTTTTAAATAGACACAAGGACAACAATTGATTGCTAGGAAGATTAATGAATGTGCAATAGACCTGATACAAAAGTGACACTTAATACATAGTTGCTATAAGTAGTTATTCCCCTTATAATGGTTATCTAAGTTCCAGGCTTGGGAAATGGGGGGATACACTCCATAGGGGCCCAAAGCCAGGATGGGAATTGGAATGTGTTGTTGGCTGATATATCAAGGAAGCTTGAGAGTGGTGGTTCTCGATGCTGGCTAATATTAAATGATTAGAATCTGAAAAGGATTTCATACTTATATCCAGACTTTTGGCCAGACAGTCCTATGAAATGGGTTGATTCTTGGAATTGGCATTTTAAAAAGTGATTCTGAGATTTATTTAGGCTAAAGAACTACCCAGCCCTGACAGCTCTTCTTCCCACACAGCCTAGGACACCTGCCTTGATCTAGGTCCTAGAACTCACGATTCTCTCAAGTAGGAAGCACCAGAGTGCCCAGCCTCCTATGCAGGCCCTAAATATTCAGCTTCTCCAGCTGACCTTGTTGTCTTCTGTTTCTGAAAAGGAATCCTCTTCCTTGGGCCTTGGATGTTGTAGTTTGCTTTGTGCCTGCCCTCCATGCCCCCCACAACCCTTCATCATCTAGTGCATCATCCTCGGGGAAGATTCTGGATTGCTTAGACTATTTCTAGAAAATGGTCTTTGAATCCTAGCCTGTGGCTAAGTTCTTACTTCTTACTGACAGTTCTCCCCAGTGGTGTGCTGGTAATTGTTTAACAATGGGCTCTCCCAGCAAGAGCAAGCAGCTCTTTTAAAATATTTTAAGTATTTTCCAGTTTCCATAGTTTGAATCTTTCTCCTATGGCTGATTACAAGCTCCCAATGTGGCATCACTCACAGCAGAGTTGGGAAGAGATGAGTACAATAGGCTCTCGATAAACTGGGATGGGCTGGTCCCTGCACAGCACTGGAAGTCATCCTTGTCATACGTTTTCCTACCTGACCAAATACCAGGCCCCCTTTGTTGGTGGTGCCCTGGGACGGCTGGTCCTACGGATGCTGCCTTTTGTCCTCCATACTGAACTAACTTTTCAGTGCCTGAGCTGGTTCTGACCACGACTATTTCTGGTCCCAGCCCCTCCCAGGCTACCTTTCCCCAACATCTCAGGGGTTACAGAGCTGATACCAGGAAGTTCTCAGGGATATGATCAGGTTTGCTGTATCAGACACAGACATGGGTATCCTCTTCCTGTCTCTTTTTGAGTATATACCTTGTGTCAGGCACTGTTGTATGCACTTTACATGATTTATCTCATTCATCCTTATAATGGCCTGACCAGATTTTGAAATCAAATAGCTTAAATACAAATTCAAGCTTCCCTTAACTCATGGCAGCCTCAGGAAAGTGAACCCTCTCAATTCTTAGTTTCTTCATCTGTAAAATGGAGAGAAGAATAATCCCTTCTCCTGGTATTGTTTAGAATAATATGAAATCATGCATTTAGACAGGACAGAACAGCATAGAGATAATTCAATAAAACTAATACAGTTTCTTCTGTTCTTTTCCTCTATCTCCCTTCTTGTTGAACCCATTTCTATTATGGACCCTAGAATGGTTTTATTGTGAACTCAGAGAGGGTCATATTCTACCTTGCTGGTCTACAGATAGGAAACTGAGGCCCAAAGCCTTGCTCAAAGCCTCTTAACCAAACAAGAGACACCTAGGATTAAAACTCAAGTCTTGGCCGGGTGCGGTGGCTCACGCCTGTAATCCCAGCACTTTGGGAAGCCGAGGCAGGCGGATCACAAGGTCATGAAATCGAGACCATCCTGGCTAACATGGTGAAACCCCATCTCTACTAAAAATACAAAAAATTAGCCAAACATGGTGGCACGTGCCTGTAGTCCCAGCTACTTGGGAGGCTGAGGCAGGAGAATCGCTTGAACACAGGAGGTGGAGGTTGCAGTGAGCTGAGATCGTACCATTGCACTCCAGCTTGGGCAACAAGAGCAAAACTCCATCTCAAAAACAAACAAACAAAAACAAAACACCCAAGTCTTAGGACTTCCAGTGATTTCATGACATCCTCTTGCTTGGCTCTTCCTCCTCCTGTCCCTCACCCAGCGCTTTCTCCCCTGGCTTTCCACCCTGTCTTCACTTCTCCCGGCTTTCCCTGTACCCATGTCCAGGCCCTGTAATAACCAGATAAACCCACCCCATGAAGGCGCTGATGCATTCACCTGTGGGTCCTCTAGCTAACCCTTTTTCTTGAGCCTCTAGTCATGTCTTCAGTGGGAATCCCTGCAGGGTAGGGAGTAGCAGGCTGATCTGCCCCATATCTTGGACACCATTTCCTCTCCTTAAAGCCTAGCCCTCTCTCCCATGTTACTCTGGCTACAATGACTTAGAGGCTGATAGAATACTGCTTGATCTGTCTTCAGTGTTTACTCTGTTCTGAGTAGCAGGTCCTGGGGGCGTTCTCTGCAGGTTGGCAAAGGGCAGCCAGTAGATCTGCCCATGAGCAAGGCTACCTAAATTTAGGCAAGAAGCAGAGGATGGTGACGTGAAAAGCTGCATCACAATATCCCCAAGGGGCTAGGCCTACAAAATTCACATTTTCAAGAAAAATGTTTATTGTTTTTTTCTTTTCCTTTTTCATTTTTTTCTTTTTGTTTGTTTGTTTGTTTGTTTGTTTGTTTTTTGAGACAGGGTCTCACTCTGATGCCCAGTCTTTAGTGCAGAGGTGCAATCATGGCTCACTGCAGCCTTGACCTCCAGAGCTCAAGCAATCCTCCAGCCTCAGCCTCCTGAGTAGCTGAAATTAAAGGCACATGCCACTACATCTGGCTAATTTTTTTGTAGAGATGGGGTTTCGCCATGTTGCCCAGGCTGGTCCGGAACTCCCAGGCTTAAGTAATCCACCCACCCTGGCCTCCCAAAGTACCGAGATTACAGGAGTGAGCCACTGCGCCTGGTCACTATTGTTTTTCTAGAAGGCAGATTAATTTTCAAGCTGGTACATTAGAAAGAGGACCTGGAGCCTGTGTGGCTCAGGCACTGATGTGCTGTAACTGGCTAGCAATGAAACAATTGCATGGTGGATGCACTCGGCTAAGCATTTCCTCTGCTTATGTTATCTCATTTAATCCTCATAACAAGCCCAAAGGAGAACAGAAGGACAACTGCTACACTTATCCTCCTTTACCCAAGAGAAACTGAGGTCAGAGAACAAATGTGTCTTGCCTTAGGTTCTGCAATGCTAGGAAATGGCAGAGCAAAGATCTGAACCCATGTCTACTGATTCCAGTGCTTATGTACAACCTAGAAGCCCCATTATTTTCTGGGTATATTACTGGAAATAATTTCAACCTGACAAAGTTGCAAAGATAAGAAGAGTACAAAGAATGCCTATCTATCTTTGGCCTAGCTTCACCTGTTGTTAACATTTTGCCCCATTTGATTTGTCATTTGAGGAGATGACATTTTTAACCTTGAGGAAAATGTTTCCCTTCTCTGAGCCTTGGTTTTTATGTGCATAAAATGGAAGACTGAATGGATTACCTTTAGAGTGAAACGGAACCTTGTTGCTTGATGAGAAGTGATGGATAAAGGATGAGGTAAGCCCTTGGTCAGTGGTCAAGGCACAGTTGCTGCCTCTTTCTCCGGCCTCATTTTCCATCATTCCTGCACATGAATTTGGGCTCTACTCAGTTCTGGCATCTCTCCTCCACCCCCTTCCCCAGTGTACCACGTACCATCCGCCCTCACACCTTGGCAGGTACTCTTCCACAGATGCTCAGCTTTCACTTCATCCCATTTTCATTTCCTGGAGTCTCTGATCCATTTTGGGACTCATGGCTTATATTTCATAACAGGAGGCTTCAGTTCCCAAAGGCCTCCTCTGCAGATATGACTTGAACTTTTCCTCACCTATCCTTTTCCTCGAAAACAGGATTAAACTGTGTGTGTTGGAGGTGGGAGGAGAATCATAAAGAAAAGCCATACATCCACATACCTTAGTACGAAGTTTTGCTTATGGATTCAGTGGTTCTTAGTTACAGAAAATCCCAGCTTAGGAATTGCCAAATTAAAACAAGCAACAAAAACAAAGAAATAAGACAACCAGTAGCATTCATGCTCTGGTTCTCTCTGCTGGAGAACTAAGCAGCAAAGCTTAGAGGAAAGTACCTGAGATTGGGGATCAGAAAACCTGGATTTCTATAACTGGCTGAGCAACCTGCAGATGAGAAAAGCGAGGTCCAGAGAGGGAGACAGATGCACCCAAACCCATACAGCACAGAGCTGGGCTGGGAGGTTCATGCTGGGTGCCTGCACTGCTGAAATGATCCAGCAGCTATAACAGCTCCGTCTCCTGCTCAGCATTGTGCCCAGGGCTGGGCAAACCACCTGCACTTCTCATCTGGACTTTCAGCTGTACAGAAGCTTATCCTGATTAGCAACGCTTCCCTGTGTGAGTTTGCACACTCCTTGCCTCCGGAGACTGTAACCACTGTGAGGTTCGGTGCTGAGGCTCCATTTTCTCACTGCCCAGCAGCATGGTTATTAGGGTTGCTTATTCCACACATACAGGCTAAACTACAACGGGGCTCAGTCTTGATGACATATGATGTAAATATCCTTGTATGACAATAAGAAAGTTGAGGTCCCGAGGGAGCACAGGCTTGCCAAGGTCACTAAGCTAGTTAATGGTGAGGTGTGGACTTGAGCACACATCTCCTGACTCTGAGTCCAACATTCTTTGCTCTATGGAGTACTATCTCCGATGAATATATGTTAAATTCTTCCCACTAGTAACCTACTACATTAGCTAGTTTATTACTTAATTCTGTAAAATGCCATCAGAATTGGCACACTTAAAACAATGATATACTGGAGGGTTATTTACTTGATCAAACATAGAATGCCTTGCATGACAAATAGACTCTTTTATTTATTTTTTGTGTTTTTTTCCCCATTCTTTATTATTTTTTTTCATAGGTTATTGGGGTACAGGTGGTATTTGGTTACATGAATAAGTTCTTTAGTGGTGATTTCTGAGATTTTGGTTCACCCATCACCTGAGCAGTATACACTGTACCCTATTTGTAGTCTTTTATCCCTCGCCCCCCTCCCACCCTTCCCCCCAAGTCCCCAAAGTCCATTGTATTCTTCTTATGCCTTTGCGTCACCATAGTTTAGCTCCCACATATCAGTGAGAACATATGATGTTTGGTTTTCCATTCCTGAGATACTTCACTTAAAATAATAGTCTCCAATCTCATCCAGGTTGTGGCAAATGCCGTTAATTCATTCCTTTTTATGGTCAAGTAGTATTCCATCATGTATATATACGACAGTTTCTTTATCCATTTATTGATTGATGGGCAACAAATAGACTTAGACAGAATGATCATATATGATATGGGGTTAGACTTATTTTCACAGAGCATGGTGAATTTGTACACATGCTTCCTGGACCAGACATACAGGTGAGGGTAACATATCAATGGTTTAAGGCAGGAGTCAGCTAAGTTTCATGGGTGAAATCTGAACTAGCACCTGTTTTTAAAAATAATGTTTATTAGAAAATATTTATGTCCATTCATCTATGTGTTGCCTATGGCAGGTTTCACACAGTCTAACAACAAAGTTGAGTAGGTCCAACAGGGACTGGAAGGCCTGCAAAGCTGAAAATGTTTATTAGTTGGCCACTTACAGAAAAATGTTGCTGGCCCCTTATTTAGGAAATCCCACCAGACACGCATATCTTGGTCTCTCCACCTCTTTTTCTCCATCCCTTTGCCTTTTTCTCCTTCCTTCCACTCTCCATATTGATGGCTACAGTTCTGTGCTTTGGGAAGAAGTTCTACCTGGAAATACCAGACACCCCTCCAAAATAGTCCCATTCTCCTTACAAAGAGCCAAAATCTTAGGAAAGACAAAGTACTTCCAAACTATATGTCAAATCTCTTTCATAATGGATCCTATTGCTGAAAATGGGATTTGAGCTGATTTAGTTTGGAGCTCAGAATGTTTTGAAGGGAAAGAAAATATTAGAAGACAGAACAAATATTTCTTGGGCATCTTTGGGTAAGACCCAGCACCTTCCACTGGGTGCTTACTCTGTGAGGCAGGTGTCAACAGCTCCATTTTATGCAAAGGGAAGCACCCACAGGTTAAAATCCACCCAGGGCCACATGGAAGGGATGACAAGGTGAGGTCAGGACTCACAGCCAGGTCTGGCTGAATCTAATGCCAGTCCTATTTCTCTCATGGGATATGCTAAGAGAGAGATCTATGTACAAACACTTGTTAGAGATTTCCTCTCTCCTTCTCCTCCATGCCCCACTCCCACCACTAGCCCTCAGTGTAACCTTTTCTGCCATGCAGCCTTCTGGCCTGGTTACATCGTTCCCAGATGGCACACAGGACAGTCACACTCAAAGAACCCAGGCAGAGTGTGCTTTTCACCACCAAGGCCCTCTTGCCACTGCTGGGCATGGCCTTCCTGGTGGCCTTGCAGTAGAAAAATAGGGAGAGGTAAGGCCCCAGCTCTGCTTACCAGGAGCAGGAAAAAGAAGGGAAGAGGAGAGCAGGCCCTTTCCCAGCAGGCAGGCATAAAGCGAGACAAAACAAGAGGTGGCAGACAGAAAATCAGCCTCCATCCTGAACACCTATAAGCCAAACACTGTGCAGGTGTTTCTTTCAAACATTCACTCATCATTCATTCATTCATTCAAAATATTCACCCAGTGCCTACTATGAGCCCATCCCCCTGTGCTTGATGTTGAGGACAAAACTGGACACAAATGACAATGTGTCTATGCTCGTGAAGTTTCCAGTTCAGTGGAGGACACAAATAGTACTCAGGGAGCATATCAGTAAGTGTAAAATTATAGTGGTGACCAAGTCTACAAAGGGGGGTACAGCACAGCATCTGGTATAGAATGAGACAGGGAAATTAACTCAGGTATGGACAGCTTTGCAGAAAATATGCCATTTAAGTGGAGGTCTCACGTGATGGGGGGGCAGGTGAATGAGTCAAACGGCAGGGAAGAGCATTCCAGGAGACAAATGTTGTGAAGGCTGTGGCAGGACAGATGCAGGAGTGCTGGGGAAGAGGCCCCGGGGGAGAGGTGGAGTGGGGAGGGAAGGAGCGGACAGAGCCCTGGGGAGAGAGTCAGGGCAAGATCACTCAGGATTGCAGGTGTGTAGGGAGTTTCCATTTCATCCTGAAAACAAAAGGAAAGCATTGAAAGCTTCTAAGAGGAGAAACAACATGATCCCTACTTACATTTGTAAAGATGATCACTCTGGCTACATGATTGAGAATGGACTGGAAGACAGCAAGGGAGACTTAGCAAGAGAGGACTTTTAGCAGTTTTAAAGCAAAGGATGCAGGTGGCAGGGACTAGGATGGCAGCAGTAGAGAAGGGGAGAACTTGTTGGCAGAAGTTGAAGTTATAAAGGAGATACTCATTATTTTAATCTTCACAATGACCCTGTGAAGGAGATGTAGTGACTGCATTTTAAAGATGGGAATTTGAGAATACTGGTTCATGTCCCATGGATGAAAAGGGGCAGAGCCATGTCTGAGACTCAGGCAACTTCCCAGCCTCAACTCTTTCAGGAAGCCCTCCCACATTTAGCTGCTGTTTATTGTGTCTTTCTTCTCCCAAAGCTGGGATAATCTGAAACGCTCAGTTCAATAACTTTGTCTTCCAAAATCTTCTAACATCTGAAACAGTCTGAACTGCAGTGCAGGGCCCTTAACCAGTGCTGATCTAGTTGCTTCTGAGCACTCCTCTTAAATCTCTACTTAGAGATTGAAAAAGTGAGACTCAGAGACCAGCAGGGACTTGGCCAAGGTCACACAGAAACGTGGTGGCAAAGCCAGGACTGAAAATCACTGTTCCTGTCACACACAGATAGCCCCAAAGACTCAACTTCCTTCTGAGTACTTCAAAGATGGTAAAGTTGAATGTCTTTATCAAAGCCCACATGCCTCGAGATTTGGAAAACACAGCTCAGCTCCTATTTTTCAGATAGACCTGAAATGGTTACAGTGAATTCATATGGAGTCCCAAATGCTATTAGATGACCATTCTCAACTAGCACAGGGAACTGCCTTTCCTGGTACTTTTATCTCTTTCTTCCCCTACCTCCTTGAACTTCATCATCTCTTCTGTGTCACCGCTGGGCTGGCTCACACACCCCTGGGCAGACTGCAGGGAACTGCTGAGTCATTGCCTTTGCTAAAGAGGAGCTGAAATGGTGATGGCAGAGGAATAGGAGAGGACTGGGATGTTACAGGTCCAGGCAGGCCTGGGGGTGTAGGGAAGAAAGAACCCATCAGCCCAGCCAAAGGGGACAACAGAACCATTCTAGTGTCACAGTTAGACCCTAAAGGAGAGAAACAGGAAAGGGGAGTGGCACTGGACATGGGGGAGGTAAACAGGGTGCAAAGGAACCTGAAGCTGGAAGCCAGGTATATCCCAATAACAGGAGATTCTCAGAAATATGCCCCATGTCCCATTCACACACAAGTAAGAAGAGATCTCAGAGAAGATCCACCCGTCCACTCTCCCATGTTTCAGATTGAAAAACAGAGATCTGGATAACAAAAGAGACTTTACTAAGGTCACACAGTGAGTTGGTAGCAGATCTGAGACTCCCTTCCTGTCCCCATAGTAAATCCAATGGTCCTTCTCAGCAACTTCACTCTGCCACAATTTCTCTCCCTCCCTATCTCCACCTAAATGCCTTGCAGGTTTCAAGTAATTTTAATCTTTAGAACAACTCTCTATGCTTTCATCTTAATATCCTCATTTTACAACTTAGGGAATTGATGCACAGAGACGTTAAGTTCCATGATTAATATGACATTGCCAGTAAGTGGGGGGGCTGGGATTTGAACCCACGTAACCCACCACCAGAATCCATGCTTTTAGTACTATGCTCTGTTGCTCTTATATCACCAAGGGCTCCTGGACCTCCCTTGGCTCACCTCTGTCCTGTGCCTTTTTCCCATTAAGTCAGTGAATGCTGAAGGCACCCTAACTCCTGCCCAAACTATATGAAACAGAAAAAAACAGATCACAGCCCTTTCATGAAGAATTGCGGGACTTGCAGACTGAGACATTGGGTTCTAAGTTCATTTGCCTAGAACAAAGATGTTGCAGAACCAAATTCACTCTCTGTATTCAACAACAAAAAATTATAGCAGCTGCGGCAGCAACAACAACAACCTAACAACATCAAACACAGTATTAAGAAAGCTCTCCCTGTGATCCTGCAAAAAGCGTAGGGTAATTCATGCTCACTGAATCTAAGCATTCAATTCCTTCCATATTCTCTCAGTTCCCTTCCTTGTTGTCTCCTTTTCTTTTAGCATTTATCACCATCTAATAGATTTGTATTTTGATATAATACAAACCCCACAAGAGCAGGAATTTTAAATTGTTGTTTGGTTTGTGTCCCCACTGCCTAGAAGAGTGGCAGGCATGTAGTTGGTGCAGAACAAATATTTGTGGTATGTATCAAAGGAAGAAAGAAAGGAGGGAGAGAGGGAGGGAGGGAGGGACTAAGGGAGGGAGGGAGGGAGAAAGGGAGGAAGGGAGGAAGGGAGGGAGGGAGGAGAGGAGAGGAGAGGAGAGGAGAGGAGAGGAAAGGAAAGAGGGAAGAAGGGAGGGAGAGAGGGAGACAGGGAGGAAAGAATGAAGGGATGGAAGGAGAGAGAAAGAAAGGAGTTGCTGGGTTAAATCATTCATCTCGAGGCCTGTAGCTTGCTTTTGCTTTTCTAAGTTGAACTCCAATTTATAGGGGACATGCTCAGTGATGAATGTTTTTCCAATTATCTATAAATAGCCCAGGCCTGCTGAGGGGACCCATTGACTTCCCCAGCCCTAATTCTGACTGCTGGATTGTGTGAGGGAGAAGACCAGTCAAGAATCATCAATCGTCAACTTCTAAATCTCCAATGCAGGTTCCCGGAAGCTGAGGATTGCTTCTCAGTTTTCTGGCTAAGATCAAGTGGAGAAAGCTGAGGAGCAGGAAGGAGGGAGAGGCAGATCCCATTTTTCCAATGGCTACAGAGGCTGCAAACCCTTCCCATGTAATGTGTCAATGGAAACACTCCTCCCACGTGGGGCTTTTCAGGGAAAGATGCCAGAGGTGAGGAGATAGGAAAAACAACAGTGAGAACTGAACTGACATTAATAATGTCTGACTTATTTTGCTTTTAGCATACACCAGACACCATAAATTTTTTACATAGCTTAACCAAAATTCATCCACAACCCCATGAGGCAGTTACAAGGTACAGCTTGTAGATGAAAAACTGAGGCTTACAGAAGGCAAATAACTTGCCTAAGAGCCAAAGGAGCACACAGAAGTTATGGGGATCTGTGCTTTTGCAGTGTCCACTGTGCATGGATAGAATGCATGCAGCATGGTTTGTGAGAAAAGTTCCTCCTCCTCCTTCTCCCTACCCCAGCTACTTCTCAGCACACCTCTTTGTGGAGGTAGGAGAGAAGGACCAGTTTCCCTGCCACATGACCTGGACTTGTCACAGGACCTTCTTTTCAGTGGGTGGGTAAAGCCCATGGATGGATCTGCCCTTTATCACTGGCATGGAATCCATGTTTGTACCCCAGGAGAGTCTCTTCCAAGAATCCAGTCTCAAACTGGCTGCTTTCCCATCCTTATAGACAATCCAAGATGAAGAATCACATTCACAGGCAATTGCCTGAAATATGCTGTTTTCCTTTCAGAGCACGTTGAATCATCAGGGAACGATGGATCTTGGCCACAGGTTTTAGACCTTTGTGGAGTCCTGCTTCAGCATTTGGCCATCCCCCTACATTGAGTGCCATTGTGAGAAATAATTATCCAATACTGAATTTTATCTGTTGAAGAAACTGCCTAGAAAGGCACACGGTATCTTATTTATACATACCAAGTTGAGGACTTTACCTCTGGTCTGGTAAGTAAAATTTCCTGAACAAATGCTTGATTCTTTCCCATTAACCCTGTACATTTTATTTCTGAGTATGTTTCCCTTCACACTTTGGCTGCCGGGAATTTCTTACTTAAATTGCCAGCCTCTTCTAAGAACTACAAAACAGTATGGCAGGGATTATTCTGCATCAACCCAACCTGGGTTTGAATAATTTTCCTTATTCTTATTTTCATATTAATATGATTAGTTATTTCATTTCCTCTTTTGAAGTTTTAAAAATCTGCATAAACCAAAAACAATTCACAGTATTTTTTGAAGAATAAGGTGGGACAGAAAGCAAATAAAGAATAAGCCAGGAAAAGCATTATACTGAAGGTCACCCATATAGCCAGGGCAACAGATACTAAGCTCAGTTTTAACCAGATGGGGACCAGGTTAGAGAAGATTTAGGATTTGCTAGTGAACACAAAATCTGATTTCCAGGATTTCCTTCTACAAACTCTGGTTCTGGAACCTTCCAAGGACACTATTACCTTTGCTGCGGCGGCGACTGCGGTACTGCTCCGTGTAGAATGTCAGCTGAGTTTCATCGTCTGCCTCTGAGCCCGACGTCCCCTTGGCTCTCCCAAAGCTGATTCCTCCTGTGAGTAAGCACAGTCTATCAGTTAGTCTCCCAGGCCTCCAGAAGTTTGTGAGATTCCTCAACCATCCCAGAGATCAGCAATCCCATCCCCAGACTTTTCTCTGTAAATCCCAAGCAACCCAGGAGTCAGTGTGATAAATGGAAGGAGTTCATGCTCTGCAGTGAAGCAGATCTTGGGTCCAAGCATGACTCAGCAGCTTCTGAGCTGTGTGACCTTGAAGAGAAAACACACCTTTCTGAGCCCTGGGTTCTGTCTCTCTAAAATAGGGATAAAATTATTCACCTTGTGAGATTGCCTTGAAGATTAAAGGAGATGTAATATATAAAATACCTGGTCCGCAGTACATCCTAAACAACTGATAGCTATTGTTGCTTTTGGTGATAAGCAAACACTCTAGAAAACACTCTAGACAACTTAATTTTAACCACATTTCAATAAAGTGCAAGACGCTGGAGATACAAAGATAAATAGGACTCAGTCTTTGCCAGGCACGGGATCATAAGCTAGTCAGCAGGACAAATGGAATCCTAAGGAAGCTTAAACCTAATTCATGGCTTCTGTTTACCACTCAATGAGGTGCTAGGAATATGGGGGAGTGCAATTCATTTCAACACGGAGGGCCTGAGAAGGTTTTATGCAGGAGCGAAGATTTAAGTCAGGTCTTGAAGGATGGATGGGCCTGCACTGATAGAAAAAGGACTTCCAGCAGAGGTACCAGCTTGAGCACCCTCAGGAATGGGCCATGTGGGCAGTCAGGGGCAACATTAAGTGGAGAAATGACTGGGAAGACACACAGCGGGAGGCCTTGGGTGCCAAACGGAGGATAGGGAGCTTTACTTTTGGTTTCATGGAAGGTTCTGGAGCAAGAGTATGAATTGGCCAGCCATGGTATATACAAGGAAGAACACTCCAGTGGTACCTAGGCTGCAGGATGGGTGCCAGGCAGGGTAAGCAGCCAGGAGGCTCAGTGACCACCTAGGTGAATGGAGGTCAGGGCTTGCATGAGGGCCTGTGCAGCGAGGATGGGAGGAGGAGATGAGTGCAAAGGGTGCTTCAGAGACAAACTCAGAGGAGTGTGGAGGGAAAAGGGTAATGCATTCATATGCTGTGAACAGCTGATTGTAGAAAGGATAAAAAAGAAGGCTAAAAGCAATTATGCCACAATACTAATAGCCATTAATTCCAAAGAGAGAAATATGGGTATGTTTTATTGTTATCTTTGTGCTTTCTGCTTTTTTAATTGCCTAAAGGATTAGTAAATTATTTACTCTAGAGAAGAAATAACCAGGAGAGAGAGCCTCTGAGGATGTTGGGGGTGAGTAGATGGGCACGGGAGAATAAGGACTTTGGTATTTAAAATTGTTTCATTGATGGGGCTTCAGACATCTACAGCAATAGACTTTCTGGGAGGAGACTTAAGAATCTGGTAAAAATGGTTGTCCTGGATGGAGAATTAAGTGCCTGAAAGATGGGAACAGAGGGAGGCTACTTTTCTCTATAAACTCTTTGCATCTTTTCAATCAAGCACCATGCAAACCTATTACCTATTCAAAAATTTCAACTAAGGAAAAGAAAAACATACATTAAAGGGAAATGTTATTCAATGCACGAAAGGATTTATTATGTAATTTCCTCAGGTAGGGTATTTGAAATGGCATTCAGTATACAGAAATTCTACTTGCAGACACTTTTTCTGCAATATGGTTATTACACATTCATTCTTTCTAGCAACATTGTTGCACAATCTGCTATGTACCTAGAAGATTTGTAGACATTATTGCTGACAATCCTCATCATGATATACTCATAAGAGTGGTGTAATTAACAAACTAGATAATAAAGCAAAGATGCAAAGACATGCTTAGACATGCAAAGTTACTTGCATAGTCACACAGCAGATGACTAGGAGAGTTAAGCTTCGAGGCTAGTCTGTCCAACTCCAAATTTGGTCTCTCTGTAATATACACATTGCTTTCCTTAAAACCACTCATGAGCGAACCCTGAAAGAGCAGATCATCCTTCGAGTGTCAAGATGCTAAGTACAGCATTCAGAGCTTTGTATACAACATCTCATTCCGAATTCATACTACCCTTAGGAGAGAGGCATCATTGTGCCTACTTTACAGATGAGGCAAGTGATGCTCAGAAAAGAAAAATGATTTGCTAATAATGAGTGAAGGTGGACTTCGAAACCAGGTGGAACTAATGCCCAAGCTCAAATTTCTAGCCACTTATGATGCTGCCTCTCAGTTTAAGGCTCTGTAAAATTGAAAGATTAATATCTGCCTCCCCACACCCATCCTTCCTTAAGACGGTATGTTCTAATGAGTGGGAAAGTACAAAGGATGACAACATTTGATCTTTGTCCCAAAATGTGTCATCAGGCAAGGTCTGTCCCGGAGCCTTAGTGCACACTTCCCCAATCCCCAGCAACTAAAAGCAGGGCCTGGAGACATCAGGAGACTTCAGATTTCAGATTCTGCCAGATGCAGTTCTCCATTTAAAGGCTTAGCTTTGAAGTGGAATTGGCAGGGACCTCATGGAGATTTTGGAAGTGACTGGAGAGCAGAGGTCCCCAGAAGCCAGTAGGGCTTTTAAAATTGCCATTAAAATATTTTACTGTTAAAAAAAAAAAAAAGAAGAAGAAAGAACAAAGAAAAGAAGGGAGAAGGGCTGGGCATGATGGCTCACACCTGTAATCCCAGCACTTTGGGAGGCCAAGGCGGGCAGATTGCCTGAGTTCAGGAGTTCGAGACCAGCCTGGGCAACACGGTGAAACCCCGTCTCTACTAAAATACAAAAAATTAGCCGGGTGTGGCAGCATGTACGTGTAATCCCAGCTACTTGGAGGCTGAGGCAGGAGAATTGCTTGAACCCAGGAGGTGGAGGTTGCAGTGAGCCGAGATCAAGCCACTACACTCCAGCCTGGGTGACAGAGCGAGACTCCGTCTCCAAAAAAAAAAAAAAAAGGAGGGAGGAAGACTTTTGTTCATCTATACATAATTCTTGGCCAAAGAAAAAATGAAGGCATCTGATAAAGTCATTCTCTTATGTTCAGAAAACATCTGCCATACTCTCTGCTATGTCTGGAGCCACAGAGCAAAAAGGAGGGTCTATCCCTGTTAGGAGGCCACCCAAGACTCTTCCCACAGCCCCTTGGATGCCATAGCCACACTTTGAAACATTTCAGCAAAATTCTCACTCCCTTCCTTCCTTCCAATCTCCACTTTATCTTCCCTCCCATCCTAAACACATGACCTGTTATGGCCCTACCATGGTGAACAAATCTGGCTTACAGGAATCAGACTTTATTCTTTCCCTACTGGAGCAAGATAGACAGAGTGACAGAAAAGTCACCAGGAAATTCTAATGTAAGAAAAGCGAACACTTGCATAGTGCAGTATCTCTTCCAGGCACTATTCTAAAGCCTTTACATGGGTTGACTCATTTCATATTTACAAGAACCCTAGGAGATAGGTTACTACATTTATTCCCATTTCAGTTGGTGAGAAAATGAAGGCACGTAGAAATTAAATATTTTGTCCAGGGTCACAGCTTGTAAGTAGCAGAACCACGATTCAAATTCAGACAGTGGCGGGTAAATCTATTCCTTTTTTACAATGCTGGTTTATAATAAAATATGAACAAATACTTTGTTTAATATCCACAGCCATCCCTATAAGGACTGTATCATGAGTTTTGGTTTCATAGATGAATAACTGTCTCAGAGAGGTGATACGAGGTAGTAAGTGGGAGAAATGGGATTGAAATTTGGTCTGTCTACCTGCAAAGCTTGCTTCGTACCTAATACAACCAGGGAAAGTGTGTGTGTCTGTGCCTATGTGTGCACACACACATGCATGCATATGGATGTAGAGGGCTGGCAAATGCTTGATATGTTGACCACTAAGGATTAGCAGTTCTCTTAATTGACTCCAACACCTGGACCTGTTTTCTTGTAGGAACTCTAATCAGGCTTAGCAAGATCTTTGTGACTCTCCCATCTTTCCACATGTCCAGGCACAGTGACCACACCCCTATAACTACCATAAGGGTTTCCATAAAGGCTTTCCCTTCTGGTCAAGCCTCCATTTCCAAACTCTTCTGACCTTTATTCCCTTCTTGTAAGTACTAAAGTACCATGTGTTCAGAGTGAAAACTGAGGCTCAGAAACAATGTCTATAAACCAGATTCAATAGAAATATAATGCAAACCACATATGCCATTTTAAATGTTTCAGTAGCCCCATTAAAAGGGTAAACATAAAAGTTCAAATGAATTTCCAGAATATGTTGCATTTCACTCAGTATATTAAAATATTATCATGTTAACATGAAATTAACATAAAGTTATTACCGAAGTATTTTATATATTTTTCATAAGTCTTCAAAACCCAGTATGCATTTTGTGCTTACAGCACATCACAATACAGACAAGCCACATTTCAGGTGCTCACCATATTGGAGAACACAGTTCTAGACATATTTGTACAACAAATATTACTGAGCAAATTAAGGGCAAGGATCTGAGTACAAGATGAAGATGAATAAGCCACGACCTCCACTAAAATGTTCAATCTTAAAAAACAATTTGGATTTTTGACCTGGATGAAAAAATGGCACAGCTGGGATTCTGTTAAACAACAGTATCTATGGTCCCTACTCTCAAGGCACTTGGAGTCTAGTTAGTTTCTATATTTGTTTATCCATGAGCCAAGGGAAGTAATGGACTTCAGTAGAAATAAATTAAGTTATTGGAGTCAGACATGAGTTCTAGTTCTTTGATTCACTTATTAGCATATGGCCTTGGACAGGGCATTTGATCTCTCTGATCTCATCTTTAAAAGGGGTACAAGAACTCAGCTCAATGGTTATTATTGGGAAAAGAGTATGCTGCATGTAAACATTCTGCACAAAGACCAAGAAGTGAGAGTCAGGGCACATTCCTCAATTACTTGATGCTTGTCTGTGTTTAACAGAATGAAAGGGAGGAAGTGCTGCTGGTTTGAGGTGCCCCCTGACTCTCCTGCCTGCTGTGACATCCTGGGGAGGTGGCAGCCACCCAAGGCATACAGCCTCTGAGTATCCATATAATCTGAAGGGGCCACAGGCCAATTACAGTCTGACTTGGAGGTGATTCAGATGGCTAGAAAAGGGCCCCCTCTGTTAGCATTTTAATATAAAATTGGTGATTTAGTGCAATAAAATGCAGCCATTAGTTACACAGGGCTGCTCCCGTACTTCCATTTAGGGGCTGAGAGAAAGTGAGAATGGTTAGAGACTGGCAAGAAAAAAGAAGAGGTAATCTATCTGCTGGAACCAGCAGCCTTTCTATCCTTGCTGCTTGGGCCCTTGGTTCTTCTGGTACCACAGAGCCTGAGGTGGAGCCATTAAGAAGGTGAGCTAAACACATGCCACGGTGTGATAAGTACTGCCCCAGGTACCTTACATGCAATATCCCTCCTACACCTCACAAGGGGTCTGAGATGTAGGAGTTAATCCCATTTTATTGGTGGACAAATAAATATTCAGAATCTCACTGTTGCTTAATCAAAATTACACAAATGGCAGAGCCCAAATTTGAATCTGATGTATGTCTGATTCAAAAATGCTCTGTTCTCATAAAAACATGCTTACTGTCATTAGTCAATAGAAAATGCAAACCGAAACCATAGATATCACATCATACCCACTAGGTGGGTGATAATCAAAATAATGGAAAATAGCAGATGTTGGTGAGGTTGTGGAGACGTTGGAACCCTCATACATTGCTGCTGGATATGCAAAATGGTGCAGCCATTGTGAAAACCACTTTGGTGGTTCCTTAAGAAGTTAAACACAGAATTACCACATGATGCAGGATTTCCACTCCTAGGTATATACCTCCAGCCCCAAAACTGAAGATAGGGCATTCAAACAAGTATCTGTACATGAATGTTCATAGCAGCACTATTTACAAGTCAAAGGGTACAAACGACCCAAATGTCAATCACCTGATGAATGGATGAACAAAATGTGGTATATAGACATAGAATATTATTCAGCCATAAAAAGGAATACTGATACATGCTACAATGTGGATGAATGTTGCAAATATTTTGCTAAGTGAAAGAAGCCAGACATTAAAGGCAACATAGTATATTCATATTCTATTTATATGAAATATCCAGGATAGCTAAATCCGTAGAGATGGAAGTAGACTAGTGGTGGCTAGGGCTGGACAGAGGAAAATGGGAATGAGGGGTAACAGTTAATAACTATTGAGTTTCTTTTAGGGGTGGTAGAAATGTCTTGGAACTGGACAGAGGTGATGGCTGTACAACCTTGTGAATGTACTAAATGCCACTGAATTATACACTTTAAAATGATTTATTATTATTATTATTGAGACAGAGTTTCACTCTTGTTACCCAGGCTGGGGTACAGTGGCATGATCTCAGCTCACTTCAACCTCTGCCTCCTGGGTTCAAGCGATTCTCCTGCCTTAGCTTCCTGAGTAGCTGGGATTACAGGTGTGCATCACCATGCCCAGCTAATTTTGTATTTTTAATAGAGACGGGGATTCACCGTGTTGGCCAGGCTGGTCTTGAACTCCTGACCTTAGATGATCTGCCTGCCTTGGCCTCCCAAAGTGCTGGGATTACAGGCGTGAGTAACCGTGCCTGGCCAATTAATGATTAATTTTATCTTATGTGAATTATATCTCACAAAACGAAAAAAAGAAACCAACTTTTTTTTTTTGTAATATCACTAAATTAGTGATAGAACCATAAATGGGGAATGTGAGAGCTGTGAGAGAGACAGGGAGAGGGAAAGTTGGGGCACAGAGTGGAAGAATTACATAGCCACCTTGAAAGAATCAAGAGCTCAGACCTCTGGAGTCCTAGCCCAGTGTGTGGGGATGCAGAAGGTGACCATTCAGTTTGTCCTAGACCACATGTTCACCTAAAATCATCACAATACTCACTCATTTGTTTATGCATTCTTTAAACAATCATTTACTCAGGGCCCATGCTGTCCCAAACACTGTCTAGGTACTGAAGATAAAGCCTCAATAAAACAGACAAAAATTACTGATTTATTGGAGTTTGCTTTCTAGTAGGAAAGCATTTTAGATATTCTTGGCATACCATTCTAGGGCTTAGCAAAGCCTTCTACATGAGAATTCTTACCTCAATTTTGCTGCTAAATAAATGAAGATATTCAGAGATATTTAAAGCCTTCCCCTAGATGGCATAGATATTTGGTGGTAAACTAGGAATTTGACCCCAGGTGTGCTCTGGGGCTAATCAGGGCATCTGAACAACATGAAAGTCATGTTATGGAAAAGTATGGAGCAAGATGATACAAGGTCTTTCCTGGGCCTATGAGAGTTAACTCACTGCTCTTCTTTTGCAATCTACCTTCTATTCTTGGGCTGCCCTGTCCACAGACCTGCTCTGCCAGCCTCGACAGGCCCAGCCCTCCACACTCCATCTCCTGCTCTTGCTATCATGATGGATGGTGGTGACATGTTAAATTATTCAGGCTCCGTGTCTTCCTCAAGCTGGTGACAGTGATATTGCATTTTTAGATTACCCAGAACTGTGCCAGATAAAGAAATATGTGGTTCAGGAATGGAAAAACCCATCTGACCCCCAACCATCTAGGGAATACAAATGGTCCCAGTCATAGAAAAAGGACAGAAGTGGGTAAACTTCCCACACCCCCTATACCACACAACTCACAATTGCTCTGAGCTCTAGAGCTAAACCACAAATGTTCATACACATTCACTTCTCGGAGATGTTTTGACCACAACTGCTACCTGCCATCAGGCACCTGCTATAGGCCAGGCACTTTACACAGAGGTTACTATGCTATTCCTCCAAATGTGGCCAGGAGAGGTGGAGCTCCTTACTTGTGGTCACCCATCCAGCTAAGTGGAAGGATATGGATTCAAACCCTGGTTTGTCTGATCCCCCAGGGAAGAAATTTCTGCGGCATTCTTGGGATTCATGCTGAATTTTTAAAATGGATTTTTATGGTGAAAACCTATATATGATAAAATATAGCTAAACCTGATTGTTTATAATTTCAGGGAAAGAATAAGAAATAACTGAGAGGTCCATTTACAGAAGACTGATGAAAAAATCATAGCATATAGTCTTTCATAAGACCATTGAAAACAGTGACATAGATCTAAATTATAGACATACAAACCTCTCCATGACATACTTTTGGGTAAAAAAATATGCAGAGAAGAATACAAAGAGGGACTCCACTTGTGTAAATTTATATATGCTTGCTCATATTTGGTATGAATGCCATTCTGTGTATGTAATAAAAATAAAGAAGAAAAAAGTAAAAAGTCATTCTGAGATGGCATGATCTACGGTTATGAACAAAGTTTTAAGAAGCATATAATAAAACATATTTTAAAAACAACAGTATTCTGTTTTTAAAGTGCACACATAAAATATATGTAAATACACACATGCAAAAACATATTGAAGGAAACATATTAAGGTGTTACGGTGGTTTTTCTCTGGATGATAAGATTTAGGTGTGCTTTAAAACATTTCTTATTGTTGCTCCTACGCATTTAAAAATTCTCCTCCAATGAACTTCTAATGCTTGCTAATAAACAAAGATACCTAATAAAAGCTTTGCTTATTTTTTTAATAAGTACTCTTTATTGCTGCAGTTTAAACCCATTACTCACTTGACCTTTAACGTAATATGGCCATCTCAGAGGGGGATCATTCCATCACCCAAGAAAGGAAATGACCCAATTTATCCCTGAATTTTGGCTTAAATAACTACTTACGAGGGAGAAGCTCACCAATCTAGCTTAACTCACTCTTCCAGGGAAGTAACGCTTTGTCTTCTTGAACATCCCACTCCTCCCTGTGGGATGGTATATTTTCCAAATGGGGCCATAACAAAATCTCCCATCCTGCCTTATCTTTTGCAATGAGACCTTCGCCACACCCCCATCAAAGGCAGAGTCTCATTTCCCTGCCCCCAAATCTAGGCTGGCCTTAGGAACGTAACTCTAATCTACAGAATGCAGAGGAAGTGACTCTGCAGGATTTCTAGAGATAGAACCTGAAAAGCAATAAAGCTTTTGTCTGGCTTTCTAAAAACACTGGTTCTCTAGATGTTTCCTCTTAGGAAAACTGCCACGGTGCTGTGAGATTCTTAGCCACATAGAAAGGCTATGTGTAAGTGGTTGAGTCAAGAGTCTCAGCTAAGCCCAGCATTTAAGACATCCCACCCCATCCCAGGTGGCAAAAACATGAGAGAACCTTCTAGTTGATTCTACCCTCTGCCATCTGTTACCCGTGGATGTTTTGAGTTTTCCAAGCTGAAGTCCAGTCCTTGTGGAACTGAGATAATTCACCTTTCCTTTATCATTATGACTCCCTGACTCCTGGAATCCGTGAGTATAAGATTGTTGGTTTAATGCACTAGCTTTGGGATGTTATATCATGCAACCATAGGTAAACAGAACACTCCCCTTTTCCAGTCCTACAAAAATCTCCACACTCTTTCCAAGTTATCACCATATGGCAGCCTGGGCAATGGGAAGATGAGCTGGTGTGGTGTCCAGAGACCCTGGTCCTAGGTCTGTCCTGTTCCTGACATACGGTGTGACTGAAAAATATATTATCATCTCACAGATATTGCATAACAGATAATACTTTTACTCTCTTCCCAAACACAGCAGCTCATTTGACATTCACAATAACTGGATGATGGGCATTGCTATTCCCACTTGAAAGATGAGGACACAGAGGGTCAGAGACACTACAGATGCCTTGGTCAAGGTCCCATAGCTCATAAATGGCAGAGCAGAGAGGAGAATATAGAACCAATTCTGGAAGCTACAGTAGAGTAAGGGGGCAGATTTGAGTATCTGAGGTTGGTCAGGTATTAAGTTCCGTGAAATTTCCACTTTCTAGATTCCGTCCAGACTTTTGAAATGGTAGAGTCAGACTGTTAGCTTCCCTTTATGATGGTCCTCAGTCATCTGAGGTTGCTTATGTGCCCACTCACAATCTTTTCATCCAAGCTACATATTTCTTTTCTTCTTTTTTTTTTCTTTTGAGACAGAATCTCATTCTGTAACCCAGGCTGGAGTGCAGTAGCGCAATCTCGGCTCACTGCAACCTCCGCCTCCCATTTTCAAGCTATTCTTGTGCGTCAGCCCCTTGAGTAGCTGTGATTTTTGTATTTTTAATAGAGACGGGATTTTGCCGTGTTGGCCAGGGTAGTCTCAAACTCCTGGCCTCAAGTGATATCCACCCCCCTCAGCCTCCCAAAGTGCTGGGATTATAAACGTGAGCCACTGCACCCAGCCCAAGCTACATATTTTTATTAATTCCTTCAGCCATTCCTTATATGTTTAAAAATTATAATTTTTGAATTATAAAGTCAGTACATATTTATTGTAGAAATGTTTTCAAAAATAAGAAAGGCACAAAGAAGAAAATAATAATCAAGTCAAATTTTATTACTCCCAACTGACTTCTCTTACTTTGAGATTTTAACAGTGCATTTATATGCATACGTTTTTACAACTAGGTTTCATTGTCTTGTTACTTGAGCATATCCTGTGAATTTTGTAAAAAATATCTATCTATCTATCTATCTGTCTATCTATCTATCTATCTATATACCGATACATTTATTTATGCTAGGAATACATATTGGGGTTAAATTATATACCTGACAGCTTTTTCTATTATGTAATTTACATATGTCATATGTGTGTCTGTGCATGTGCACACATCTAGATTTATATGTACAAAATATTCATCTATACATGTATCTATACCTACATATACCCAAATGATACTGGTGATTTTCTCTGAATATTGAGATATTCTTCTTATCTTTTTTCCTTTTTGTGAGAAAATAAATATAGATTGCTTATGGAATTAAAGCTAATTAAAATGTCATAAATATTATCATTCCATTAAGTATTCATCTTCAATATCACCTAATGCCTGAAAAGTTCTACTATTGACATAGTAGAATTACTATGTCAATGTACTGCTTATTTAACCAATTTCTTATTGTTTAAATTTTACATTGTTTCCAGTTTTTCACTATTTTATCACACATTCTTACAGGTAAATATTTCTACACATCCCTATGCATCCCCATGTAGAAATTTCTTGAGTGTTGAAAGAGAAATTGATGGGTCAAAGGGTTTCGACATAGTTAAGGTTTTTTGATCTATATTGTCAAGACACCCTCCCGAAAGGATATACCAATTTTATCCCAATCAGCTGTATATGAGTGACTATTTCACTGTATCTTCTGTAACACTGGGTATTACATCATTGTTTTCAAATCTTAGTAATTTTGATATGCATCCCATATTTCAAATTCATTCTGCCGTATCCTTTTTAAAATAGTTCAATTTTCTCACATTCTTTTTGCGTTTTGATGTCCAGAATTGGGCATGCTAATTCAGGTGTGATCTGACCCGCATAGAGCAATAATGGACTACACCTCCCTCTCTCTGAACACAAGACTTATAATAATGCAGCCCAAGCCTGCTTCAGCTTTATTGGCAGCTGACTTACACTCAACATGCCCTCAGTTCCTTGTTGACATGCACTGCAAATAAATCTGGTCTTTCCTATCATGTATTTGTAGAATTGATGCTTCTAAACCAAAGTAAAGAACGTTTTGTACTACCAAATTGTATCTGTATATTTCAACCCTTTCTTCTAGTCTCTCAAGATGTACTTTTTTGGTCCTAATCTTCTGATCTCATAGTTGCAGTATTCCCTGACTACAGGCCCTTTATGAGTTGAATAAACCTGAAAAGGAGCAGGAGGTAAGAAAGGGAACAATAGTGACTGACTGCCTGCTACATGTCAAGCAACAGGACTAAACATTTATGTATGGTACAATCATTGAGTACATGTAAGACTGCAATTAAGTTGATGCTGATATCCATGTGTTAAATATCAATAAATTGATATCTTCAGGGATTGTCTTGAGAAAGATTGCACAGCCAGTACAGAGACGGGGTTGGTTGGGAAGTTTAACTGTGGCCCTTGTTATTCCCAGTATTCCATGCTAGGTATTCCCTTCTTTAAGACACTGACATTCATGTTGGAATAAAACTTGACAGCTAATGGGCAGAGAACCCTCTTCAGGGTGACATCAGACTGTGAATGAAAACTCTTTGAGAACATGTAATTGAATAAAAGTAAACCATCTTGACTATACTATCAAGCAGCCTACAATTGTGCCCTTTGGAAAAAAACAAAACAAAACAAAACACACACACACACACACACACACACACACACATTTTGTTCATTCAATCTGTTGGGAGCCCATAATGTGCCTAGAAGTGGACATGCACTGGGAAGTGAAACAGAAATAGTTTCTGCCATCAGAGAGCTTACATTTAATTGGGAAGATTGAATATTCAAATAAACACATGCAGAAATTAATATACTTGTGAGAACCAGAGAGTTCTCACTAGGGAAAACCTAGCATGGAATCCTGGGAATAGAAAGACACTTAACTTCCCAGCAAACTCCATCTCCAAACTGGCTGTGTGACCTTGCTTTGTCAAATATCTTGGGTGCATTCAGATATCTGGTATCTGTGGTATATCCCTGATCTTCCCATGCAACAAACCAACCCAAATAGAAATGCAATACATCTGGCATAATTTTTCTTCATGAACCCATGATGGCTTCTGGTGCTCCCAACTTCCCTTCACATATTGACCATGTAAATTTGACAAACCCACCTCATTGTACTTGAGAATCATAATCAAGATTCAATAGTGCTTCACCATTTATTAGTAAGCTGGATAAAATCTGTCCTTCCGGCTGGGCATGGTGACTCACGGCTGTAATCCTAGCAGTTTGGGAGGCCGAGGTGGGCGGATCACTTGAGGCCAGGAGTTTGCAGCCTGGCTAACATAGTGAAACCCCCGTCTCTACTAAAAATACAAAAATTAGCTGGGCGTGGAGATACATGCCTGTAATTCCAGCTACTCAAGAGGCTGAGGCAGGAAAATCGCTTGAACCTGGGAGGCAGAGGTTGCAGTGAGCCGAGATCTTGCCACTGCACTCCAGCCTGGGCGACAGAGGGAGACTCTGTCTCAAAAAATTAATTAATAAATAAATAAACAAACACAGAGGGAGACCCTGTCTCAAAAAATAAATAAATAAATAAATAAAAATAAATAAATAAAAATAAATCTGTCCTTCAATAGAATTTTGGAAACTCTTGTTCCTGCCTTGATTTCTCCAAGATTACACCCAACTCTCTGGTTCTGAAAACATCTCAAGATTATTTTAGCCCCTGGAAGTAATTTGATTGGGTCTAGAGATGGAAATCAAGGCAGCCACTTCAAAGTAAATACTTAATACTTCTGTGTTAGAATTCCCCTTCTTATAAAATATCTTTATTCTCCCTTTCTTAGTTTTCAGGTTTTTTTCTTGATGTGTGACAAATCTGACAGAATCAGAATGAACTTAGTTCTTTACTTTCATCTGGTAATAAAGTTTCAGTTGTTTCATCCAATAGGACAACTATTTTCTTATTCTTATTGTTCCAAAAGCAATTTTAAAAGTTTGTTTTACCTTTGCTTATTTTCTTTCAAATTTGTCCACCATGCATTGACAATTTTGAAGCCTCAGCCTTTCCGGGAGTATTCTCATGAGTTTGGGCTAAATTGTTTCACCTTTTTGGCCTTTTCTGTCATCTTTTAGTTTCCTATACAAGTATATCTTCTCCCTCTATGCTTCCCAATTTCCCTGCTCTTTTTAATTGTCTGTGATTATTTGTTCAGAATTTTATTTTTCAGAATCTTCTCTGAAATACGCCTATTTCACGTTGGAATCTGCTGCCATAGAACCAGGAAGATCTATCCTCTGCCATTAAAATGTTATGTATATATATGTTCATAAATTTTTGGTTATAATTTTTCATCTTTTGAAATAAAAAAGTTATTTCTTGCTTTAATAATATCCAGTGCTGTCTGGATATTATTTTATGAAATGATCATTTTCCTAAATTGCTGCAAGCAGTGCAAATTTATACGGTCCTTTTGGGAAGCAATTTGGCAATATAAAAAAGAACCTTAAAAAATGCCCATCCATTTTGACCTGCTTCTGGGAATTCACCATAAGGGACCCATCCTAGACACAGGATGGGCTTTATGCACTGTTATACTCATTGCAACATTATTTATAAATATTGGAAAATGGAAAATCGCCTTAATATCCAACTTGAGGGGAATGGTTAATGATGTTAGAATATTAGGCTTTGATGATGATGATAAAATAATGTAGAAAATACTTACATTTCAATACAAGTTTTAAGAAAGGGGATAAAAACACAAATCCTATGTTAACAAAATGATTAATATCAAATACAGAGGAGGTTCTGCATATGGTACAGAGGAGTACGCTAGTAACAGACCTATCCTTGTGCAGATAATAATGATACATTCTGGACAAAATGCCAAAAATACTACCTGAGGGCTCCTGGAAGTAAATAAAAGCAGACATATTTTGGAAAGAAGTTGAAAAGTAGAGGAAGTAGCCAGCACAGGATGAATTTCTCATCTTCAAGGTTCTTCCTTTGAGGGTAGTCTACACTTACAGCATAGCTCAGGGAACCTGAAGCAGCAGGAGTAAGTTTGCCATTGTCTGGACTGAGGACCCAGTGGATGGATCCCAGATCAAGTAAAGCCAGCAGAGAGTGAGGGAAGAATCAAGAAAAGGAGAGACTCAGAGAAGGGGAGCCCACAATCTGTGTATAATCTCTGCCCATATCTCCGGCTGACCTCTGGACTACACATGTGAAAGGCAGGCCCTGACAGGCTCAGCTGAAGATAATAAAACACGGAGATTTGAGCTGCTGCTCACCAAAGGCAGGACAGCTGAAGTCCAACCAAATTAACTGCCTTCAAAAACAAAACATGAGCATTAAAGAAAAATAACAAAACCCAAGAGTCTTCATAAAATAAATTCACAATTCCCAAAGTTAAATCCAAAATTACTCAACATATGGTAAACCAGGCAAGTTTCATTCATTCCCAAGGGAAAAGACAACCAGCAAAGGCCAACTCTAAGATGACCCAGATGTTGAAATTAGCAGACAAGAACTTTAACAGCAATAGCTGTGATCAGTTGGGTAAAGGAAATGGTGATTTTAATGACTAAAAATGTGAGGACTATTGGCAGGAAAAAAACTATATCTACAAATATATGCACCAAATAGATATTTTAGAACTGAATATGTATAAAATAAAAAAAAAAACACTGGATGGGCTTAATTAAATGAAGAAAATAATCAATGGCTTTGATTAACAGAACTTTTCCAACTCCCCAATCTGAGAAACGAAGTAAGAAAAATTAAACCATGTCTAAAGGACCCATGGGACAATATCAAACAGTCTAAATACAGATAACTGGAGTCTCAGAGAGATATAGAATAATAAAAATAAAGAAATAAAGGCTAGAATTTACCAAATTTGATGTAAGATATAAATTATCAAATTCGCAAAGCTCATGGAAAATCAAACATGATTTAAACATGGGAAAAAGAAAGAGTTGCACATCATAGTCAAACTGCTGAAAATGAAATATATATAGACACCCTTGCTTTAGCCATTTCAATAAAGCAAGAAAAAGAAAAAGCTTAAAGTTTGAAAGGAAGGAATGAAACTGTATTTTTTAAAGATGACATAATTATTTATAAAAGTAAGCACAAAGAATATACAAAACAACTATTAGAATAAATTACTTTAGCATGATTGAAATATAAATGGTAAATATACAAAAGTTAATTGTATTTCTACATACTGGCAGCAAAAGCTAAAAAAAAAATTCAAAAATAATTCTATTTACAATAGTGTAGAAAAAACTCTCAAATACTTAGTAATATGTTTAAGAAAAGGTATGCAATATATCTTCAATGAAAACAATGTAACACTGTCAAGATAAAGAAAATCTAAATAAACAAATATACCATGTTTGCAGATTGTAATACTCAATATTGTTAAGATGCTTTCTCCCCATAAATTTAATATTGAGTAAATGAAATACAAGTTATAATCCCAACAAGGTTTTTTTTTTTGTTTTGGTAGAAATTGACAAGGTAATTCTAAAATTTATATGAAAGTGCAAGTAATCCACAATAGCTAAGTAATTTTATAGAAGAACAAAGTTGGTAGACTTAACACTGCTTGTTTTTAAGATCTATTATAAAGCTGTAGTAAACAAGACAGTGTTGTATTGGCTAAAGGATAGGAATATAAATCAGTGAAACAGAATAGAGTGTTCAGAAGTATATACAATTGATTTTTGATGTAGTTGTCAAAGGAACGTCTTTTCAATAAATGGTGCTGGAACAACTGGAGAGCCATATGCTAAAAGGAATGAACAAAAGCCCATAGTTCATACCATATACACATATTAACTCAAAATGGATTACAGAAGTAAATGTAAAAGATAAATCTATAAGCTTTCTAGGAGAAAACAGGAGAAACATTGTTTTGACCTTGGGGTAGGCAAAGGTCATAGATAGAAAACAAAATGCATAAATCATAAAAGAAAAAAATTGAGAAACTGGAGTTTAGAAAAATGAAAGATCTTCTTCTTCAAAAGACACCACTAAGAAAAGGAAAGACAAGCTACATAATCGGGGAAAATAACTGTAATACATATAATACATATATCTGACAAAGTATGTTTATAAAGACTCTTACAACAATACAAGGAGATAAGCAAATACAAAATGGAAAAGATTTGAAGAAATACCTAAAAATATATGAATGCTGATAAGTACATGAAAAGATCCTCAACCTCTTTAGTCATCAGGGAGACATAAATTATATCACAATGAGATACAACTGCACAACAATTAGAATGGCTAAATTTTAAAAAGATCAGTCTTACCAGTCTTGACAAGGTTTTGAAGCAAGTGAAACTCTCATTTACTGCAGATGAAAACATGCATCATGTATCCACTTTGGAAAAAAACCCTATTTCTCAAAATGTTAATTCTACAACAACCAAATAACCCAGATATCCCATTCCTAGTTACACAAGAGAAACAAAACCATATATGTTCACATAAAGACTTCTGCATGAAAGTTCACAGCAGTTTTATCCACAGTAGCAATAAGCTGCAACCAACCCAAATATCCACCAACTGGTTGGCAGATAAAATACAGCATATTTAGGCCAGGCGTGGTGGCTCACACCTGCAATCCCAGCACATTGGGAGGCCAAGCAGGGTGGATCACCTGAGGTCAGAAGTTCAAGACCAGCCTGGTCAACATGGTTAAACCCCGTCTCCACTAAATATACAAAAATTAGCCAGGCATGGTGGCAGGTGCCTGTAATCCTAGCTACTAGGGAGGCTGATGCAGGAGAATCGCTTGAACACAGGAGGTGGAGGTTGCAGTGAGCCGAGATCGCACCATTGCGCTCCAGCCTGGGCAACAAGAGCAAAACTTCGTCTCAAAAAACAAAACAAAACAAAACAAAAAAAAAAGGATCTACTGACAGGTGTAAATAAAGGAAGAAATTTCAAAGTCTTTATGCTGAATGGAAGATGTCAGACACAAAAACTACATACTGTGTGAGTCCATTTAAATGAAATTCCAGAAAAGACAAATCTAATCTATAGTAACAAAAAGCAGATCTGTGGTTGTCTGATATTGTAGGTAGAAAGAAGGATGTACTGTAAAAGGTCGTCAGGAATCTTTTGGGGGTGAAGGAAATGGTCACTGGTGTATACATCTTTCAAAACTCATTGAATTGCATACTCTAAATGGATGTGATTTCTTGTAAACAAGTTATACTTTAATAAAGATCATTTTTAAGTTGCATGTAGAAAAATATAAGTAAAGCTTGAAAAAAATAGGGCAAAATTTATATGTTAGTAGTTTTTGGAGGATGAGGTACAGAACATTTTCATTTTTGTTTATACTTTGGGGAATTTTAGAAACTCTTTTTAATGAACATTAGTCTTTTTTTTTTTTAAAAAAAAAGTCTATGGGATTTATCAGATTAAGGCCAGCTTTGTGTCCCTAGTCAAATGTGTGACTAAGATGTGTGTTTTAGTCTAATATAACTCATTATCGAATGACACTCTTATTGTTGGTCAGACTTACGGGCAGAGCAGTAATCCCAGAGGGATGAGTATCCTCACTTCTCCTCTGCATTTCAGGCATGAAATTAGAACACAGACAATTCAATAATTTATCAGAAATTGTGTTTTTAGCATAACAATTCTTCCTGCAGCTGTCTGGAGAACTGAGGCCCTCATTGATACACTGCATTAGCTCTGAATTGTTTTGTATATTCAAAATTCATGTTATATATCAATCATGGAATAGCAAAAAATTATTGAATTAGAGTCAGAAAACCTAAGTTTGAGGCTTTTTTGTTGTTTTGTTTTGTTTTTTAATTCTGTGTTACTGTGGTAGCTTTATACATAGCCCTGAAATTCTTGACATACTTCTTACTGAGATACAGGATCTTCAATACTTGAATCTGGGAGGGCTTGTTACTGCTTTGACTAAAAGAAAATGACAGAATTGAGGCTATGTATCTTGCATGGCCAGGTCAGAAAAGGCCATGCAATGTCACTTAGTTCTCCTGGGACAGAAACCAGTCACTATCCAAGAAACCTGACTACTCAGAGATTAGCATTTTGGAGAGCCCACATGTAGGCACACCAGTCAACATCCCCATTGGAGCTCTTAGCCAACAACTGCACCCATTTCCAGCCATGTGAGGGGGCCATTTTTGATGTCCAGCTCAGTTGAGCCTTCAGATGACTACAGCCCCACCTGGTGTTTGGCTACAACTATATGAGACACCCCGAAGCAAGAACTGCCCAGCCAAGCCCTTTACGAATTCCTGACCCACAAAACTGTGGGCCAAAGGAAAAGGTTGTTGCTTTTAACCACAAAGCTTTGGGGTAATTTTGTATACAGCAATCATCACCATTAACAGTGACCTTAAGTGAGTCACTTGAGCTCTCTAAACTCTAAGTCTCACATCTCTAAAATGGGAATATATCTATTCTAGGCCGGGCAATGTGATGGCTCACACCTGTAATCCCAGCACTTTGGGAGGCCGAGGCAGGTGGATCACTTGAAGTCAGGAGTTCAAGACCAGCATGGCCAACATGGTGAAACCCTGTCTCTACTAAAAGTACAAAAGTTAGCCAAGCATGGGGGTGCATGCCTGTAGTCCCAGTTACTAAGGAGGCTGAGGCAGGAGAATCACTTGAACCCAGGATGCAAAGGTTGAGGTTGCAGTAAGCCGAGATCATGCCACTGTACTCCAGCCTGGGCGACAGAGTGAGACTTTGTCTCAGAAAAACAAAACAAAACAAAATATCTATTCTATACTATGGTCACAAGTCTTAAGTGAGATAATACATTTAAAAGGATATTGGAAACCTTGGACAACAAATAGCTGTAGTTTCATTTATTCAAATATTGATTTGTTTACTCAACACGTTGTTTGAATGCCTACTACATATTAAGCCTGTGCAGTAGGCTAGGGGTATAACTGTCAATAAGAGACAATTGCTGGCCGGGCGCGGTGGCTCACACCTGTAATCCCAGCACTTTGGGAGGCCAAGGCAGGAGGATCACGAAGTCAGGAGATCGAAACTATCCTGGCTAACATGGTGAAAACCCGTCTCTACTAAAAATACAAAAAATTAGCTGGGCGTAGTGGTGGGCGCCTGTAGTCCCAGCTACTCGGCAGGCTGAGGCAGGAGAATGGCGTGAACCCAGAAGGCGGAGCTTGCAGTGAGCTGAGATTGTGCCACTGCACTCCAGACTGGGGGACAGAGTGAGACTCCGCCTCAAAAAAAAAATGCATATATATATATATATTGCTCCCATCCAAGAGCTCACATTCAGATGGAGGAAATGGTCAAGAATCCAGAAGGCAGAATGAAGTATAATAAGGCTACAGCATAGGCTAATGCAAGAGCTGTGGAACACATGGCAGGGCCTCACTCCTATCTCCTGGGGGTAGCAGAAAGAATGGTCAGGATGTGAGATTAGGGTTGTGTGTGTAGTGAGGCATGAGAATGGAGGAAAGATGATCACACACAAGTGAAACAGAGATTCTGGCTTGGCTCTAGCTTTCAGTCAGTAAGCTGAAACTAGTAAAAGAATGTGAACTTCTCTACAGAGATAAGGGTTTTCTTGTGAACCTATGTAGATTGGTCAGAACATACTTTTGAAGCATGATGGAGGCACTACAGGGTCTTTATCATGTGCATCTTTCTGGCCACACAAGAATTAAACAAACACACAATCAGGAACAACAGATTCAACTGCTAACTTGAATAATCTTTGCCATTTGCTTGATCAAAGCTATAGACAATGTTAAGGGAAAAGATTTCATCAAAAGTTTTTTTTTTTTTTTTAATTCTGCACAATGCTAGTCTAGGAGAATGGTGATTCTGGAAGGCAACAGTGGAAGCTTTGCTCCAAAGTCCTTGCAAAACTGCTCTTTCCAAGCTAGGCTACATGGGAATGTGCCTGCCTCCATGGCCTAATAGTTGTCCTGTGGCCAGTAGAGTTATTTCCAATTGTTCCTAAAAAGTCTCTCTGTGTGAGTGTGTGTGTGTGTTGATGGGGTTTTGAGGCAGTTCTGGCATGAGCCAAAAAAAAAAAAAAAAAAAAAAAAAAAAAAAGGCCTTTCCCATTCATCGTTTAATTAGGTCTAACAATTACATAATGTAAGCAGAATGTCCTATTACTGATGTATAAAGCTTTATGCTTGGGAGATGACAGTAACAGATTCACAATCAACTCCTGGGTCTCTGGACCCAGTGTTCTTTCTCATACCTCTTGTGGACAATATGGTAATAGGATAATATGGTAATATGAATGCTTAAGCATGGGGACTGGTGGTGATAACAGTGAGGTTTTCACAGCAGTCAAGAAATCAGGCAAGTGAAAAACAGAGAGGGGCTCATCTTTGGGATGGGGTACCTCAGTTTCCCCTTAGCTAGGAAAAATTCATTACTCTCTGTGGAAGACACATGAAAGTTTCTACACAAACACCAAACTTAACTAGCTCAGATCCAAGTGGAAGGGACTAAATGTAAGTTGCTATTTGCACTTTTTCTTTTCTTTCTTGGACAAGTGTAGGGTTTTAAACAGCTCTGGGAGATGGGAAAAAAGCAAAGTGGAGAAAAAAAAAAAGAAAAGAACGAAGAAAGAGAAAAAAAAAAAACGCAACTCCACTAATACCCAAAGTTGTGTCAACAGGCTGTTTTAGGAAAGAATGAGGGACTTTGTTGAGAGTGGGAAGGGCTCCCCTCACCTACTGCCTCAAGATGTGAGCAGAGGCTTTTTCTCTCCCTGAGCTCCTGATATGGTTCCTGGCACATAGTAGGAGCTAACAAGTGTTGGCTAGAAGGAATAAATCAAGAGGAGTTCTCATCAGCACCCCCTACCCCATGGTACTGCAGATGTTTTGATGAGATGTTTTCCAATTTAATCCTGTTTGCTGAGTTATTAGCCTGTTAATCTCAAACATAAATAATCTACCATGTGCTGAGAGTCTGACTTTTTCTTTCCCTGAGCTAACAATCCCCAACAGCTCTTCTACGTTTCTATCCCAGGAGAAACAGTATGCTTTCTAAGCAGCCGTCACACTCCATCTTTCTTCAGACATGGCACTCATTCCCAGGGTGAACTTCGCAGGCTCTGGGGGTAAGAGCCACCCAAAGGCCCCTGCGTCTCATGGCAGCAGGGCAGAATGTAGGGGAAACCCCTTTTGAAAATCACCGTTATATTAAAAAAATAAATAAATAAATCCTGACCTCTTCACAAACCCAACGAGGAAAAAAGTGCCAGGTTGTTCAAAGGGATTCACTGACCAGTTATAAGGAAAGCTCAGTAGCCGAGACCTAGGATTCTTGGGTCTACATCCTGGTTCTATCAGTGTTGTCATGCGGGTTTAAGTAATTTAATTTCCCTGTTTTCTTTTATAAAACAAAAGTAATTCTATATTTCCCATATGGTTTGGAAAGCTACTATTCAGATGAGAGGACATCACATGGTTAAGCCAGAGTTCTTTTTTGCCCTTCCTAAGACAGCTACTGGCCCAGTTGCCCCCATCCTAGATCTCCAGTCATGAACTTACCCAGACCAAAACATGGTAGTCATCACTGATCCCTTTTTTTCCTCTCCTAGAGGACAGCCAATCCAGATCTAAGTCCCATTGTCTCTACCAAAAAATCCTAAGGTTTGATCATTTCTCATCACCTCCACAGCTGCAACATTAGATGAAGCTATCATCGTCTGTCTATTTTACCACAAAATGGGCTTTCTGACACTCTCCAGGCTTCTACATTTATATTCCCAATGCCTATTCCATGCACAAAAGTTAGAGAGGTCAGATTATAAATGTAAATCAAACCAAGTCCTTTCCCTGTTCACTAGTCTCCAATGGATGCTCATCAGCTGTAAAACAATACTCCAAAATCCACAGCTGGATCCTAATTATGTAACCCCAGGCTATTTTTCCATCTTTTTCTCTTCCTGCCCTTCTCACTCACCCTGGTCTTCCTGCAGGCCACTGAATACATTAACCTTGTTCTTGTCTCAGGGTCATAATACTGTTCTTTCTCTTCCTACAATGTTGTTTCTCCACAGGTCTCTGTGCAACTGTCACCTCCTCAAGAAGCCTTCTCTGACCACCCTAAGATACTCCCTTCCTCCACCTCCTCACTCTATCTTTTTACCCTGTTTTATTTTTCTTCATAACATTTATTGCTTTCTGAGATGATGTCATATCTACGTTTATTGCCTCTCTCTTACAGAAGAATAGAACCTGCAGGAGTTCAGGACCTTTGTCTTTTTATCACCATACTCTGCATTCACTTAAGTGCCCAGCATTGGGTAGGCATTCAATAAATACTTGTTGAATGAATGAATAGATAATGCACAGAAAAATTTAAAGCTAAACAGTAGAAAGAAAAATTGTAAATTGCCCACTCTGCCTGCCCTCTCAAAACAGAAAAGGATTTACATGCAGGTTTGAAAACATCTTGCAAACACATATACTTTTGGAAACTCACCTGTTTGTTTAAATGAGGAACTCTCTGGGGAGATGAAAGAAATGAATTTTATTTGATTAGGCATGGTGTGCTATTTCCCAATTGCTTCTGAGTTTGCAGAAACTGGCTTCAGGTTCAAGGAGTGGGAATGCCCAAGCTTCCTGTAGCCAGGACAAGGAGGCCCCTATCATGTGTGTTGAGGAGAAGGTAAACTAGGGTGTGGCCTCCTGATGTCCTGACCCTCTCCAGCACCTCCTTCTCCTTACTCTCTCCTGCATCTCACAGCTTTCACTCCACAGCTTGCAATCAAGCCTACCCTTACAAGTGCTAGAAAGAACACATGCAATGATTGGGAGCTAGATTTGAGTCCAACTTCTTCCTTCATGTCTGATTTTCAACAAATTATTAAACCTCTCTGAATCTTTTTAAATATAATTTTTACATTATTTGAAATATGAGAAAGAGACACTAATCCTCACCTCACCAGCCTTCCTCTGATAGATGGGATTTGCCAGAGACTGACAAAAATGAGGGCATCCCAATGTGACACAATGTGACACGCATGTTATCCTGAATTTCATAGGAAGATGGGGTTTGACTTTAGAAGCTTTCCTATGGGTAGATTTTGCAAGATGGAGGTGAATAAACAAAATAGCACTATAGCACTAGAATGTGAAAAGGTAATTCCCTCACACAGCTATTATTTCATATGAAAGGAAATCATATATAGATATCTCTATATATTTGTATGTGTGTGTGTGTGTGTGTGTGTGTGTGTATATATATATATATATATATATATATATATACCCTGAGTATATATACTCAGAGATTATGTAATTGTGAAATGCTGAAAAATTACAAAATATTTTGGCTCCTATTGGGTGTGGGGGTGGGAATAAAACACTGGACTGGAAGAAGGTGGTGGCTCATTGGAAAACTTTGTCATATCTCTTAGTGAATGACTGGAAACTCACCTTCCCACACGTGTTCTGAGAACTTCCTGCACAATGAGTCATCACGTTATGATGGCAAGTACTTGCTCACACCTACAACATGCCCACTTTCTGGACCTGAACCAGTTTTCAGACTTGTATTCACCAACCAAAGGAGAGCCTGGGTGCCCATGAGGAAGGCCACCATGCCACAGTGAGTGTATACAGTAATGTCTCCTCTAGGCCTTCCTCAGAGGGACTTATGGACTTTTATTTGGACAATCATACACCAGAGGAAGAGGAACATCCAGACATTTCAAAGACCATTGAGTACAAGTTGACAGTGATAGCAGAGACCCCAGGCATACTTAGAGTCGGGGACCAAGGGGTTCCAGGTAACAGAATGGAGTCACAACCTAGGTGTAGCTCACAGTGGGAGGATCCTCTCCCTAGCCCCCAAATGTAGAATTGACACAGCCATACTTGGTGGCTGGAAGAATCCTCCTCTCATTGTTTCTTTGGACTCTGTGTTAAAACTATCATAATGGGGAAGGCAAGTGGAGACATTTCCATTGCCACCCAAGAGAGGAAACTAAAACTAAAGTCTCATCCTGTAGGTAATGGAAGCAATCAGTGCTATACTTACAGACTTTAAGGATGCATGAGTGATGGTCTGTATCATATTCACATTTAATTCACCAGTCTTGTCCCTTCAAAATTCAGATGGATTCAGGAGGGTAACAGTGAGCTAATACAAACTCAAACAAATTGTAGGCCCAAGTTTTGCAGTTGTCAGATGTAGTGTCTATGCTACAGGTAATTAATACAGCCTGGGGTACACAGTATGTGTCCATTAATATGGAAAATAAGTTTTTTCTTTTCCATCTCTATCTGGTAAAATTATTAGAAGAAGTTCACATCCACATGGGGTAGGCATCACTACACATTTGTGGTCTTGCCCCAGGGCTTTATTAACTGTTCTACCCTCTGTCGTTACATAATCTGAAGAACATGGACCATCTAGATATTTCACAGAGTATCACATTGGTCTATTATGTTGGTGCATCACTGGGCTAGAGGAACAAGAAAGGAAAAATATGTTCAAGATTTTGGTAAGATATGTGCTTTAGAAGGTGTGAGATAAATCTTATGAAGAATCGGGGGTTCACTACATCAGTGAAAATTTTAGAGTTCAGCAGTCTGTGGCATGCCATAACATCCCTTGCAAAATAAAGAATAAATTACTGCATCTCACAGCTCACACCTCCAGGAAGGAAGCAGAATGCTTGGTAGGCCTCTTTTGATTCTGGAGACAGCAAATTACACACTTGGGAATATTTCCCTGACCCATTTTCCAAGTAGCATGGAAGGCTGCCAACTCTGAGTTGGATCACAGAACAGGAAAAGGTGCTGCAGCAGTTAGGCTGTGATGCAAACAACCCTGCCATTTGTTACCATATGACCCAGTGGACCTTGTATTAGTCCATTCTCACTCTGCTATAAAGAAATATCTGAGACGGACTAATTCATAAAGAAAAGAGGTTAAATCATCTCATTGTTCTGCTGGCTATACAGGTTTCTGCATCTGGGGAAGCCACAGGAAACTTACAATCATGGCAGAAGCCGATGGGGAAGCCAGTTCATCTTCACATGGCCAGCAGGAGAGAGACAGGGAGTGAGGGTAGACGTGCTACACACTTTCAAACAACCAGAACTCCTGATAACTCACTCACCATCTTGAGAACAGCAAGGGGGAAATCCGCCCCCAAGATCCAATACCATCCCATCAGGCCCCTCCTCCAAAACTGGTCATATAATTTGACATGGGATTTGGGTGGGAATATAGAGTCAAACCATATCACCTGTAGGATAAGAGTTCCTGGTGATAATAAATACTGTGTGGATTGCAAGTTCCAATCAGGAGACACACAATGTAGATCTCCTGCTCTCAGAGTAAGGTCATGCCTTCTGCAGCAGAAAGAATGCATTTGAAAGAAGGAACTTTCCCGTGAAAGTTTCAGGTATGCTATTGGATGCTATCAAGAAAACATGCAGCCATAATCTAGCAGAAGTCATGAGCTGGTTCTGTCAGACCCTCTGAGTCATGTGGTAGAGTATGACTCTCACATAAGATGAGAGTGGCAAATCACAATTAGGTCCAAGCAAGCTCAAGGGATACAAATAAACTGCAGTAGCAGATGGCCCAGGTCCCATAGCATCCACCACAATTGCACTAGTGCCTCTCACTCAGGTTGCATTTAGGGACACCTGGGAGTGGGGAGGGAAAAGGATAAGCTTATTTTGAGGAGAGGTATTGGCTCTGTATATGGATACAAGGATACAAGCTAAAAATAGGACCACTGCTAAGCAATGGGCAGCAGTCTGAAGTGTCCACATGGTCATTGACTTTGTGGGGAAAGAGAAGAGATTTAAGGTGTGGATGCATGATTCGATTTACTGGCTAGGGGCTTGACAGAGAAAGACAGGACAATCCTCCCTTTTGCTTGTTCAACACCAACTTAAAAGACTTTATGAAGTCAACAGGGTGGCTACGGCTGTGTTCATTGCTGGTGGTGGGTTTATGGAGGAGGAGGCAAACAGAGACACTGTGGAACTTCCTCCTTCACTTTTAGCAGTTCAGACACATGCCACAACTCAGTGCTCCATGCGAAACATGTCCCAATTCCCCGGAGCCTGCTTACAAAGCTTTTAACCCTCAATGTCTTTCAAACTGACTTTGATCATCCATATAAAACAGAATAGCACCAACACACACAGACCAGATGAGGAGCAGAAAGCTCCAAAAGGGGCTGGAATCAGTGACCTCCAGGATACCCCTGGCCCTGAGATTACTGAAGAGGAAGCCAAGGATGGGAATATCTTCCTAGTGCAGTGGCTCTCTCACTTAATCATGTATCAGGATCACCTGTAAGGCCGTTAAAACACAGATCATCAGGCTCCACCCTACAGTGGCAGGGGCTGAGAATTTACAGTTCTGTCAAGTTCCCACGGGATGCTGATGCTGCGTGTTCAGGAGCTACCCTCTGAGAATCACTGTCCCAGAGCAATGAGGATGCAAAAACAGACCTGTGGGCACCACTCCAAGCTTTAGCACCCTGTGCTCAAGCAGAAGGCTTCCATGAGAGAGGCCATATGTGTCACAGTTAAGAGACTGGACTTTGGGGTTCAATTAATCTGGTTCAAATCCAGGTTTTGCCACTGACCATCTATTTGACATTAGACAAGTGGGTCTTGCCTCGTGAGCCAAAATTTTCTCACCTGTAAAATATGGATAATAATAATATATACACTATGAAAATATTGTGAAGTACAGTTAGATAACATATGCAAAATCAAAAGATGCATGGTAAGCTCTTGATAAATAAGAATACAATGACAACACACGATGCTAGTGTTACTACCCTGTAGAGTACTGGCTGAATGTAAGAGGCTGTATTTCTACTGGCTCTAGCCCTTATTCTTTAATTTAAATATTCATCTTTGGAGACTCAGAGAGGTAATTACATTAAGAGGCAAGCAAAGCAAAGAGACTGTAATTGGGACTGTAACTCCACCCTTCTCCATTCCTCCCTACCCACCTCTCCTCAGCCCTCTTCTCCAAGGTCAGTTTGTTTAAATTCGGACTTGGACTTCACCAGGAATTGGTTTCACATTCTTCTTACTCACTGTATCAAATGAGTATGAGCAGCCATATTCTTTCCTCTCATCTCTGCGACATGCCTGTCTGTGCTTTTGGAGGCTGATGTCACCACAGCAGTTAACTCACATGCCTGGCACGTAGCGTACACCCGAACAATATTTGTTGAATTGCATCGAATTTATAGGAATTAAGGAGACAGGATTTTGGATACATTTTCATCTCTGTGGTGCATGACCTTGGATTAGCCACGCCCCCTTCTCCAGGTCTCAGTTTCTCACTTGTGAAAACAGGGATTTCTCAGGCTTCTTCCAGCTTAGCTATAGCATAGTGGGCAGAGATCTGAACTGGGAGTCAGTAAACCAGGGTTGGGGGCCCAGATATGCCACTAACTCATGGTAAAAAAGTTGCTTTCCCTCTCTGTGCCTCAGTTTTCTCATTTGTGTTATGGGACGATTTCTACATACCCACCTCCCACTCCACATTCCTGAATTTCATTTAAGGCCTTTTGAGGGTTCAAGGTCACAGCCTTTAAACAGTATTTGCCATAACAGGAAAAAAGATATGATTCCTTCTATCATCTTGATGTGGCCACATTTTACTGGAGGCTTCTGGAATCTTGCTGGATAAAATCTCCCATAACAACTCACAGCAATAATGATCATTAATATTGTATATAATCATTAAAATAAGTAGCATCATATTACTTTCAACTTAAATGGTATCTTTTAGCTGAGAGTCTGCTGATGCTTTAGCATGACAAGTGAAGGAAAGGAGGCACTGCTGTTGGAGTTGCTCACTTAAATCTTCCTTACATGCATTTTAAACCTAAAGGAAGAGATGGGAGAAGTTATTTGATATAGCATTAGATTTTGTTTTAGAAGCTATTGCTTCACAGAGGTTGAGGCTGTAGCGAGCCACCGTTGCACCACTGCATTCCAGCATGGGTGACATAGCGAGACCCTGCCACCATGAAAAAAAAAAAAAAAAAAGCTGCATGTGGCATCTGTGCCAGGTTCTGTTACTTTCCAGCTGTATGATTGTGGTCAAAGTGACACAACCTCTCTGTGTCTCAGTCTACTCACCTGTGAAGGCTTCTCTGCACATTTCACAGGGTTCTTACAAAGATCACCTAAGATAGTAGGTGCAAAAATGTGTTGTCAACTGTTAAGCTCTCTACAAACACAAGACATTGCCATTATGGTAATAAAAATCAAATGGCACATGAATATTTCAGAAGCAAGGACTAGGACAGATGTGTAAAGTATTCCCTTCTAATGGGGTTTTATAAATACATGCTCCCTCTTCTTATTACTAACTTCTTAATAATCTCTTTGCAAAGCTTGTCTTCAAACACCCTTTGTCTCCCCCATCATTTCTTCTTAACATCTCCTCTCTCACACAGCTATTTACTTTTGAACTCTGGGTGGCATTTGGGGAGACAGTTGGTTAGAAAAATATACACATACATATTTTGTACAGAGACATAAACAAAATGTATCCAGGGCACCTCAATTCTGAGCCAAGATATTAAAAAATATATATCTTCTTTGTGATCTGTTGCAGCTGCTCATATTAGCAATACTTAGTCTGAAATTAGGTTTAACAACTCTATCCCTATATGTAGCCACAAATATGTTCACATGTGGCATTAATGTGGAAAGAAAACAAATGAAATATGCTCAGATGCATTTTCATTCTGTTAAATCTTAAAGAAAGAAAGGGTTTTACAAAGCCTTTTGGAGTCTCTCTTGGCTAAAAAGGAAATCCTTTTGCCATTAACTGCTCCTGCAGAGAGAGCCTGCTAGCTGCAAGATCATGATGAGGGTAAGCATTAATTAAATCTAACTGCGAGAGAATAATTATGTACACATATCCGTCAGGGCAGGTTGTCACTATCCAGTAACAAAGTTGGATACAAACTCCATCAGCAGAACTGTCAGGCGGCTGTTAAAAGGATATAAATGTGTCCCAAAAGGATCATTTCATTGCGGCGGGGGGGGGAATTGGATTGCAAAGGATTAATGAGGCGAGGGGTTTGTGTTTTCAATTGGATGTAAAATGCAAACTAAGTTGTGGTATCATCATTTAACCTTAATGTTTAGCTACATTTGGATTTTTACCATGTGATGGGGACAATTAGACCTTGTACATCAAACCAGCATTTTTCCATCATGGAATTACATTAAAGGTTAGTTGTTTTTTTCTTTTAAGTTAAATTGCACAAAAGTTTACAACAAAATCATAAAACCCAGTTTACACAGATGGCATATTCTTAATAATAATTAGGTCAGAAAATGAATATGAATCCCACCAGAGTAATTAGGATATTCAGTAAAGGACCCTTTTTGTTGCTGCCTTATTTCTGTCAAGTTTCAGTCTAAGCTCTGAGGCCTATGTATGTGCAGACATCCCACACAGGTAATGTGAATGCAAGTCTTGGAGGTATGTGCTGCTAACAGACACAGCTACAATGTAGCAGAAGGTACAGGAGAACTGGAAGCAGTCAGGTCTAAATTTACCTCCAAGCTCCTGGCTGTGCAAGTTTGGGCAACTTACTTCATGTCTCTGAACATCCATTTCTTTTACAAAGTAAGGGTTAGAGAAAGGTTGTTACAGTAATACATGTGAAACTCATTACTCTTAAAAGAGTAAAGAGCACAAAAGAAATGGCCAATAATTGTGGTTTCCTATCAGATATATGTCCCAAATTAGAAAGTAGAATAAACAAAACCATGACACTAGCTTTGAGATTCATTCCTCCTATAGTTTCATCTTTGTTGGAGGAATTAAAGAGAGTATTTCCAGCCAAGGCAAAGGAGTAGGAAGCCTAACTGGTTTCACTGCAGACTTGGTGGACAACTAGAATGGTTAGCACCAAAGTAATTTACTCCAGTGAACGTTTAATAATCTGTAATTATTATACTTGAATGCTTGAGTGAGTGATTGATTGACTGTCTGCTTCTTTCTCCAAATCTTGAGTTACATAGAAGTGAGGACCTCATATGTCTAGATTTCCATTGCAGTCTCAGGGCTGAGCATAGTGTCTTACACTGAGTAGACATTCAGCTGAAAGAATAATGAAAGTGAGGTTGGAGACCCTGGGTAGGTAGTTAAGCTTAGACAGAAGGAATAGGCAGGGCTAGAATTGGGGAAATGGGAATTAGTCACAGCAGCCCTAAAGAGCAGTTTGGAAAGGTATCATCCTACGGCAGGATAATTGCTCTGACTTGGACTTGTATAGCTCTGCTGGGACCACAGATGCTGATCTAAGAATGAGGCCAAAGAGTCTATCAGAGATCTTAGCCATCCTGGGTTGCTGTAGTTATTGGTATAATTACCTACTCTTGAATTCTCTAGATCTTGTGGAGTTATTTCTATGTAGTTCTGCCTGAACGCAAGATGATTTCTTTGGGACCCTTCTCCATGTTACAATCTGTGAAGGTTGCTCCGCAACACTGCACTGAAAGGGAGCTCACCAGCGTTTCTCGGCTAACACCCTCGGCAGGTAGCAAGGCTGATACAGATACAGGAAGGGGTCAGGTGTTACAGCTGCTCCCTGCAAATCTTTATAACTAGATCACACATAGGTAATTTGGAGAAGGCTCTTTCTCTCTACGGAAAATACCCTGACAAAAGCTTTATTTCCATGGTTTTGTAATGGCCCAATGGGTTCATCTTGTCCATTGCCTAGAAAAGCTAATGCACTGAGAACAGCAGATTTTTACAATAGAGAGTTTAATTATTGCACAGCCAGCTAAATGGAAGACTGGGGTTTCATTACTCAAATTACAGTCTCCCTGTGATTTCAGAAGTTAGGGTTTTTTTTTTGTTTTGGTTTTTTTTTTTTTTTTTTTTTTTTTTGAGACAGAGTCTCACTCTGTTGCCCAGGCTGGAGTGCAGTGGCACGATCTTGGCTCACTGCAAGCTCCACCTCCCGGGTTCACGCCATTCTCCTGCTTCAGCCTCCCCAGTATCTGGGACTACACGTGCCCGCCACCACGCCCACCTAATTTTTTGTATTTTTAGTAGAGATGGGGTTTCACTGTTTTAGCCAGGATGGTCTCCATCTCCTGACCTCGTGATCCACCCGCCTCGGCCTCCCAAAGTGCTGGGATTACAGGCGTGAGCCACCGCTCCCGGCCGGGTTTTTTAAAGATAGTTTGGTGAACAGGGAGTTAGGGAATAAGAAACACGGATTGGTTTGGTCAGGGAAGAAATCATAGGGAGTGAAAGCTGTCTTCTTGCACTGAGTCAGTTCCTGGGTGGGGGCTACAAGACCAGATAAGCCAGTTTACTGGTCTGTGTGGCAACAGTTAGTCCATCAGAAATCAGGGTCTGACATTCTGGCCAACATGGTGAAACCCTGTCTCTACTAAAAGTACAAAAAATAGCTGGGCATGCTGGTGTGTGCCTGTAGTCCCAGCTACTCAGGAGGCTGAGGCAGGAGAATTGCTTGAACCCGGGAGGTGGAGGTTGCAGTGGGCCAGATCCCATCACTGCACTCCAGCCTGGTGACAGAGTGAGACACTGTCTCAAAAAAAAAAAAAAAAAAAAAAAAAAAAAGAAATCAAGGTCTTAAAAATACTTCAAACACTAATCTTAGGTTTTATGACAGCGATGTTATCTATAAGGGCAATTGGGGAGGTTAGGAATCTTGTGGCCTCTGACTGCATGACACCAGAGCCATAATTTCTAATCTTGTGGCTAATGTGTTAATTTTACAAAGGAGGTCTGATCCCCAGGCAAGGAGTGGGTTTGTATCAGAAAGGGGTTGATGCCATCTTTGTTTCAAAGTTAAACTATAAACTAAACTCCTCCATAGTTAGCTTGGCCTATGCCTAGGGTTGAACAAGGGCAGCATATTAGTCCATTTTCAGACTGCTGATAAAGACATACCTGAGACTGGGCAATTTACAAAAGAAAGAGGTTTAATTGAACTTACAGTTCCAGTTGGTGTAGAAGCCTCACAATCATGGCGGAAGGCAAGGAGGAGCAAGTCCCATCTTACATGGATGGCAGCAGGCAAAGAGAGAATGAGGAAGATGCAAAAGCGGAAACCCCTGATAAAACTATCAGATCTCATGAGACTTATTCGCTCCCATGAGAACAGTATGGGGGAAACTGCCCCCATGATTCATTTATCTCCCACCAGGTCCTTCCTACAACATGTGGAAATCACGGGAGTACAATTCAAGATGATATTTGGGTGGGCACACAGAGCCAAAACGTATCAGGCAGCTTGAAGGTTATAAGCAACATGGAATTGGTTAGGTCAGATTTCTTTCATTGTCATAATTTTTGTAAAGGTAATTTCAATTTGAAGCAGAAATATGAGATATATGGATTGAAGGCAAATACCACTTCTTTGCATTGACAGTGACCATTTTTCTAGAAATGTTCTCCTTAACCACAACCTCTGCCATACCCACTTCCTCCCTCCGTTCCTCAAAAAACAAACAAAAACATAAAATCTGCACATGAATTGCTTCTCCCTATCTCCACCCCTTGATGTAAAATAAACGACTTTCAGACAGATAAAAATTAAACTACATCTAGCCCTAAATGTTGCAGAGTCATCACTGAAAATAAAATAAAATATTAAGAAATGGCCAAAGCCAGAAAATTGAGGTTATAAGACATCAAGATCCATAAACAGAATTTCTCTCTTCTTAAGAAAATTTTTTAACCTCTAATTTTTGAGGGCAGAATTTTATATATGTCCATTTTATTATATCTTTAATAGTGTAGTTAAATTTTTCTATATTATTATTAGTAGTAGTTTCTCTACTTGGTCTAATAGGAAGATTTTTGTAAAATGTCTCCCACTTGGACTATGTATTAATCAACATTCCCTGTACTTCTCTCAGTTTTTTCATTTAAGCATTTTGAAACCATGTTGTTCCTATATGTAAGTACAAATTTCATTTCTCTCCCAGTAAATGGTTTCTTTTTTGGTTAATTAATAATACTCTCTATTCCTAAGGATTTTTCCTTGTTCCTTCTTATTGTTGTAAAATTAATTTTGCCATATGATTCCATTTTTTTATAAGCCTTCATTTGATTAGTATTCACAAAATATATATTTTTCCTTTCCCTTTCCCTCTGTCAAACTTTGTGTCCTTATGCTTTAGAATGATCTCTGGGAAATAGTATATAACTGAATTTTGTTTAATATATCCTATCACAGGGCCAGGCATGGTGGCACACGCCTGTAATCCCAGCAATTTGGGAGGCCAAGGTGAGCAGATCCCTTGAGCTCAGGAATTCAAGACTAGCCTGGGCAGCATGGTGAAACCCCATCTCTACCAAAAATACAAAAAATTTAACTGGGCATAGTGGCATGCACTTGTGGTCTTGACTACTCAGGAGGCTGCAGTGGGAGGATTGCTTGAGCCCTGGAGGTTGTGGCTGCAGTGAGCTGAAATCATGCCACTGCACTCCAGCCTGGGTGACAGTAAGATTGTATCTCAACAACAAAAATGAAAATAAAAATAAAAACTATCACTGAATCTTAATGTGCAAATTATATTTACTGTAATTTCTGATGCTTTGGGGTTTATTCCTATCACTTTATCTTTCACTTTTTCCTTGCTCAGGCTTTCTCTCTACTTGTATCCCACCCCACCTGACCCCCTACCTGGAGTCATCATGACACCAGCTTCTGAACTCATAGCTTGGCTTTGCATTTCTTACAACTTATATCTGCATTCCTTAAGCCCGGGGGGCTTCCTTTCTTTACTTTTGGGATGAATCTTAATTTTTTAAAAAGTATATTTTGTCCAACATTTATTTTGTGTGTATGGAACAGGAAGAAGGCTCATGTTAGCTTTGTCAGCCATATTGCTGAAAGTTTACTACATGACTTGCCTGTTTTCTTTCCATGTAGGAATGGGAGCTTTTGCTATACACACACACATACACACATACATACATGTGCAATTGCAGAATTGAGATTTTTCTATCAAAATATTGAAGCCCAATATATAAACATAGAATAAAAGCTTGATTAAAAAGCCCTACCTATTCAGCCACAGTTCCCCTTCCCCTTCTCCCTGAGCACCTATTTGTGGCATGCTTGAAAACATCTGCTAACGGCCCAGGCAGTCTATCTCATATCCTCACTATGTTTAATCATGTATATCTCAATCATGGGAAATTGTAAAGCTTCTCTTTGTAGTCTTCTAAGTGATTTATGCAGTTGATTACAGCTGAATTAGAAAAGAGCTGAAGTTGTCAACTTCTAACTATGTATTTTGTTAAATTTCACCAACAGTCAGTCCTAATGTAGGTAATAGGGCCTATGTGGACCAAAAATAAAACCTTAAGCCTGCCCAACACACTGAATGAATCCCCTACCACACTCAAAGCCAAGAGAAACCTGAAAAGCTGAATTTCCCATTATGATGAAAAGGGCAGTCAGACATGTCTCATTATACCCCTCTTCTTTTGGAGTTTAGGCACAACTGACCAGCATTAATATTAAAATAGAGATCAAAAGACTGACAAAATAGATGCTGTAGCAATAAGACACCGAATTCCAACCTGACTCTGATGTAGTAACACATGACAAGTGAAGGAAATCAAAATATTTTACCCCAAAATATATTTTCTTGATGTATTTTGAAATGGCCTTGCAAAACCATCTTTTGTGGGGAAAATTTGCATCTGTAGAGAATCTCCTTCCCTTTCTAGGTCTTTCTGCAAATCCAGGAGAAATTAAATGAGAGTCTGGTACTTTTAAGGTCTTAAAAAGTACATTTACCATATTCTCTCTAAGGTTACTGCCTGGAGGCTTCATCTACATAACAAGAACCTTGGCATCTACAACCCCCATTATCTTAACTCAAGCATTTACTTCAAGTCTTTAGATAATGTTTAACTCAACCAATTGCCAATCAGAAAATCTTTTAATCCACCTATGACCTGTAAGTACCCCTGAACCAATGTATACCTTACATATATCGATTTATGTCTTTGCCTGTAACTTCAGTCTCTGTAAAATGTGTGAAACCACACTGTTACTCTCAGGAACACTTTCTCAGGACCCCTTGGGACTATCATGGTCTATAGTCACTCATATTGGCTTAAAATAAACCTCTTTAAATATTTTATGGATTTTGGCTTTTTTAAAACATGATTTTATATGGTCAAATGGCATAAATAGCCAATGATTTCACAAATTAGAGGACTTGAATTATTCCATTCCTGGATCTGCTAGTTTCTCTGTGTGACATCAGTGAGTCCCTGTCTCCATCATTTCCACATATACAAGCAGATTGGATCAGACAATGAAGCAGAATGATGATGTGTACCTTTTGGGCTCAATCCAAAAAACCTTGCAGCTCCTACTTCTGCTGTTTTTGGATCTCCCAGGCATGTGAACCAGGCTGGGATAGCTGGCTAGCCAGAGGTGCATGAGATGTCAGCTGAACCTACCCCACCCAGACCAGAACTAACCACCTGGAGCCAAGCCCAAATGTTTTTATTGAATTAAGTGCTAAATAAATGGGTGCTATTTTAGTTCACTACGTTTTAGGTTGTTTTATTATGCAACAATGCTAACATAGCATTATTACCATTCTACTGAAAGAAATATGGTAGAGTTGTATCCCTAGGCCCCACCAGGATCTGGTCGTGAGCCTTCCGCTAAGGCTGCTTTCAGTTGCCTCTCCATCCTCCAGGCCAGATAGAATTGACTGAGAGCCCCCTGATGTATTTCAGATGGACAAGAAAAAGCTCCTGAAGGAGACATACACTTTCAGGAACACAAACTTCTCTGAAAGACACATCAGGGAAGATTTATGGAGGCAGTTGTGTGCTCTGACTGCTGATCAGCTTTCTTATGTCTCAGTACAATACAACCTGTGGGTCACCGGGTTGGTGGTGGTACTCTCCCCGGCTGCACCTCTTAGAAGAGACCTGAGGTCAACAGACAGAAAGCCAGAGACTGAGGGAAAAGGTTTCCTAATCAAAGATACATGCCATTTCTTATCTTTGAAGATGCCAGGGTGCCGATTCCAGGATGCAACAAATCTACAGCATGCTTTAAAGAAGGATTTCCATAAGCATCCTAGCATATTCTCACGACAGTCCTGGACAAAAGAATGGCAGATATTCTCACATCCCCAGATACTGGGGATGAATAATATCCCCAGGATATTAAGGATATTAAGCAGTTTCTCTAAAGATCCTCCCTGAGTATCCATTGCACTTAGGGCAGGGTTGGGGTTCAAACCAGAAGTTTCTGACTCCAAATTCTGAATTGTTTAGTGTACAACAATATTTTTCAATTGTATGTATCATCAAAGACTATTTGAGTTGGGGGAGACCTGTGGAAATTATCTAGCCCATCACCTTTGCTTTCCAAATTAACAACAACAAAGATTCATTAGGTGCTTACCATGCTTAGTACAGCCTGCGGAGCACTTTACAAACATTAACTAATTCTCCCAGCCTCCCTGTGAGGTGACTGATTGTATGATTTGTAGATTAGGTAATGGAGATTTGATGCATAAGTCATTTCCCAAAGTTGAGCCAGTCAGTGGCAGAGCTAGGATGTGAATCCACATCTGTCTGACTCCAGACCCTGAGCACACTGCCACAATGCCATATAGCCTTTTAGATGGGGACACTGAGGCCCAGAGAGTGGAAGGTCTTGTCCAAGATCATGAAGCCAGTTTGATTAATTGTCCATTAATTCATCAATTATTGAGGATCTGCTATTTGTCAGGAAGCAGGCTAGCCAATGGGAACACAGGCATGACCTAGATATAGTTGTGCACTTGAGAGTAATTAAGGGAGAAGATAAGAAGTGACTATAAATTACTTGAATAAAAGATAGTAAATGACAAATATCTCAGGGAAGATAGTGAAGAGGTTGTCAAAGTTTGGAGGAGGTATGCACGACTTTCATTTGGGAAAAATTTGAAAATTCTTCACAGAGAAAATGGTTTAAAGGTCTTGTTTGAAAGAAGAGTAGAATTTGCATATTGGCAATGGGAAAGAGGAAGAAGTTCAAGCTGCAAAAAGCGCATAGAGGTGGAGGTAAAAGGAGTTATTTCATCATAGACTCAGGGCTGGTCTCCAGGTAGTTGTGTCTATCCAGTCCTCCTTGTAACCCCTATAACTATCTCATGGTTTAAGTGGAACCTCATTTTGATGATGCAATGTCAAAACTTCCTTTGTCAAAAGGGGCGGTAAACCTAAATCCCACCCAAAAATCCTTGGTAGGAAGGGAAGGCTGCTAAGAAGGACAAAGTGTAGGGAAGCAAAGATGGGGACCAAAGAAACAAAGGAAGATCAATCCTGGGACTACCTGTTCAATATTTAAGCAGAGCAACGACCCATTAAGGCAACTAATTTAAAGTCGCTAATGTTTCTATTTTCTTCCAACTAATTGAATAATTCATGACCAGTTACTAATGAAAATTATATATATATATATATATATATATATATACACACACACACACACACACACACACACACACACACACACACACGCCTGTGTTCCAGGGACAGTGTCCCACAGTAAAAGCACATTGAAACATTGAAGCTTATCTATCAAGAAGGATAAAGGAGCCAGAATTTGCTTCTCCTCCCAACTGTGGGATGCTGCTGGGAAATGTGTGAGCAAGATCCAAAGATCCAGGGTCTGATTTTGATGGAGGATTTTGTGGCTTCCCATCTTCCCACTGGCACCTGCCTGGATCACATTTTCCCCCAGATATTCCCGTTACCCCCTGCACAGCTTCATCCCTATGTGTATTTGCATATTTTCTTTATTCTACCAGCAATGTCTTCCCAAACTTTCTCTTTATTTAATGCATTACTTAGGATTACCTGCTCTGTGAAGCCTTCTTTAATTATTCCCCCAGTTTAGTAAATACCCCAAGCCAGCCCACACCACCTTCATGTATCCATTGTGGTGCAGATACGTAATGCCCTGCTTCCTTCAATAAATGGTGAAGTACTGGTAGGCCGAGATCTAGTTGGCATATACCACACACATGTGGCAAACTAAAAACATTGAGAGTGGATGTCTTAAAAAATGCACAGAGCACTATCCAGTGACGTAACACTGTGGGCTCCTGAGGACATGGGACTGGCTCCCTGGGGTTAGTTAAAAGCTGAGGGGACAGTGCTGATTCATTCTTAGCTCAGAGAGGGAGATGCCTCACCTTCTAGAGCCTCATAGCTCCTGAACACCCTCACAGCAGCACTGATGACACAGAAACACTGCCAATGCAAGAGAAGCTGCACGTACTTCCTTCCAGGATCTAGACTAGGTAGGTATAATTTCACAGCTCAAAGATCTTAGTTGTGGTAGCTAAGAGTAGAGCTCAAGTCATCTGGGAATTTAAATGTGGGCTCTGAATTCATAGCTCCACTATGTACTAGTTGAGTAAACTTAGACAAGTGACTGAAACTGTGTAAGCTTGAGTTTCCTTCTTTGTTGAATGGGGATAATTATAGTACTTACCTTATGGGTTATTGGGAAGTTTTAAATAAGATAAAATGTGTGATGGGCAAGGTGCCTAGAACATACCAAATGCTCAGTAGATGGTAGGCTGCACTGCATCCCATTAACCGTTTGCATACTGTGAGCTCCCAGCTACCTCCCTTTATCTATTTACCCGTCTCCATCCATTCATTAATTTATTCATATATTCTTCCATTAAACCAATTACTATCCCAAGCCAGTTCCCTGTTAGGCATTCATTCTACAGACAGACATAAATCACTGTTTTTTCCATCATGGGACTGTGAGAGCTGAAGAAGGTGACAGATGTATTTACGACAGACTGCAATAAGGGCAGTGATAAAAAACAGTACTGGGGCTATGAGTGCTCAGAGAAAAGAGTGGCTTGCTGGGCTGCGGCTGCGGTAGGGGCTGAGAAAATGCTTCACAGAGCAGATGCTGAGGCTGGATTTTGAAGATAAACAGCAATTTTTTGCCTGGAGAGAAAGGGTGGGGAGGAGGAAAGGGCCTTTCAGGAAGAATATGATCAGCACTCGGACCTAGAAAGCAAGGCATACTGGGGGAAGGGAGAAATGGCCCATGTGCTGGAGGCTGTAGGACACAATGGGTTGGGGGTCAGGAGTAGACAGAGGCAGGGTACAGCCCAGGCTAGGAGGGAGCCTTGTGTAGCAAGTGATGGCAACTTTTAATCCCATTAAACAATATGCCCTTCATCCTATTGGTTCTTGCTTCTATAACAAGGTAAATGTATCTCTGTGAGGTAATAATACCGATAAAAATAAGACTAATAATCATAGCAATGATCAGAATAATAAATAACACAATAAAAGAGCACATATGTTCAGCATGCAAATATGTCTGGCTCTGTGCTAAATGCTTTACTGGGATTATCTTATTCTGGCCTATGGAAATCCTTTGAAGATGGTAGCATTCTCACCCCCTTATAGTTAGTTAAATCATGGTTCTTCTTCCTGGGACATCAATATTGTATGAGGAATTGAGCAAGTGTTAAATTAATTAACTGAAAAATACTATAACTTAAACTAAAATAAACATGCATATACTATGAAATAAAATGGCATGATCTTTTAAAAGATGAACCTGAAATGTGAACTTTATGACAGATTCTTTTGAGCACAGCTGCAGACCCTCTGGGGGTAAGTTCATTTTCATATGCCTTTAAGAAGACTTCATTTCAAAAGCTCAAGAGGCCCCCAGTGCAAGTGACAGAAAATCAGGACAATGTTCTAGGTGGGGGAGGAACATGGCCAAATTTACTGTGTTTTCAAATGATCACCCAGCTGTCAGGGTAGAGCATGCATTTATCGGTGCCAACGCTGCTGCAGGAATCTGGATGAGGGACAATGAGACCTCAACCAAGCTAGAGGCAGTGGCTCAGGAAGGGGAAGATGGATTTATGAGACGCTGCAGGCCAATGGGCAGGACTTGGATGACAGTGATTGTACTAGCTATTCCTTATTGAGGGTTGAACGTGGGACAGGCACTGGGCTAAGCATCTCTTGGGTATTAATTCACAACCCACATGTGATGTTGGTATTATTAGCACTATTTCCAGAAGGGAAAACAGAGCTCTTATTAATTAGCTTAAGAGCATTTAGTTAGTCAATGGTGGAATTAAATTTCAAACACAAAGTCCCGCTTTCAAAAACCGCTACCTAAACTAAATAAACCTATGGAATTTCTTCTGTACATCCAAAGAAATCTTCCTCTGCTTTATTTGAATGCCACTGTCCTTTATACTGCCCATAAGATGCTGGGGAGTGGCTCCTTAATAGCAGCCTCATAAAACCCCAGCACTAACATGAAGTCAGAAGTTCAAACCTCCACTATCCTTCCTCTGTCTGGCTAAGAATGATGCACTTCAGCCTCCACCAGGCCTCTCAGGAAGAAGGCATAGCTACAAAAATACCTTGGAGCTGCTTTTAACCATGTGCTCAATTCCATGGCACTGGTTCTCGGCTACCCATTCCATCTTCTGGAAACTAGTGGGCACCGTGGCCCGGGGATGAGGCCTAAGGAAGCAGAAAGAGGGCAGGTGCTCCCAATCTGGACCAGGCAGCCCACGGCAACCTCAATGGCAGGAGAGGGCAGAAACAGTGAAAGACAGAGGATTCAGACCATCCTATTTGGGATTTTGGAGGCTAATGGAGCATTTCCAAAATTCTGTTCCTATAGATGCTTCTGTTCAGCAAGTCATTAATAAATGTTCCAATGGGAGAAATAAGAGTTTGCAGTCAACATAGTATCAATACATTGAGTTAAACAAAGCAGCCTAGCTTTCTGTACTGCAGGACTTCTCAGAGTTTTTAATAGACTAAGATTCATTCAAGAATCTTCAAGAGAAAGAGGGAGGGTGGAGAATTTCCAAACTTTTTTTTTTTTAATCATGAAATTCTTTTGTCCAAGGAAATCTTGATGGGCTGTCTTGGGTAAGTTTGGAAGTATAGGGCTGACATATACTGTCCTTACTCTTCTCCTGCAGAAATTGTATCCCATGGTAGCAGCAAAATCACAAGCATACTGTGATTAAGCTGTTTTGGAAATTGCTTTAATAGCATCCACTTGAGCACATTTACTGTGCTACTTGTCAGTGAGTCTAAGGGGGAAATAGAATTCTCTGGGCGTTGGTACCAGGAGGATTTGGTTTATCACAGATTCCTCTTGCACCATCAATATGAGAGCTATAAAGCTGAGCCATTTTCCAGTGATCTTTGATGTTAATACGCTCATTTACTCAACTAATATTTATTAAGCCATTTCTATGTGTTAGATTTATAAATATGAATCTTATATTTTAGAGAGGAGGATAGTAGACAAGCAAAAATTTAAAATTTTAGTCTGAACTACTACTGTGGAAGAAGTTAAAAAAGGAGGGTGACGTAAGAGATAGTAGCAGGTTGGGGACTGAAAGGAGCAAAACTGTAGATTGGGTAGTCATGGAAGTTGGTTTTTAGGAGCTGACATTTGAAAGGCGAGAAGGGGCTGGCTAGGAGAGCAGCTGGGGGAAAGAAAGAGGCATGGCAAGGAGAAGGAGGAACAAGTTCTCAGATGCTAAAGAAGGAACCGTTTGCTGTGTTGGTGAAACGTGAAGGAAGCCAGTTTGGCTGGAGCACAAGGAAGTGCAGAGCAAATGATGTTCGAAAAGAGGGCAGGAGCCAGAGCCAGATCCGCAAGCCAAGGTGCAGAGCTTGGATCATAGTCTAAGAATAACAGAAAACTGTCAAAGGATTTTAAGCAGGGGAGGGGCTTTCTCTGGTTTATCTTTCTAAAAGATTGCTTTGGTAGTTTTGAGGAGACTGAATGCAAGGAGAGTATAGTTGTAAGGAGCAGTTAATAAATGACAGTGGTCATGATGGTGACAAAGAGGAAGGACAGATATGGAAGAGATACAAATAAATTTCTTCATGCATAGTTTTCTGAGACCCCATCTAACTTGTAAATTAACTTAAAACAGACTTTTATTAATAATCTGACTATGAAATTCTTCTCTAAGAGGGGAAACATTTTAAAGTAAGTGGCAAGTTTTATGCAAAAATACTTTCTATGTAACATTGTTTATCATGATGAAATATTAGGAGCAGCCCAAATGCCTAATAGTAGGGGCTTAGTTAAGAAAATTATGATGCATAAAAATAATATTTTTGAAAAATTCATTGACATAAAAATGTTTAGAATGTGATGTTAAAAAATGAATTCAGGTTGGTAATGAAGGGAGGAAAGGCTATAGACTTGGAGTCAAGAGTGTTTATGGAATATGTATGTGTGGAGAGGACTTAGGAGGGGGATTTCTGGTGAATGATACAGAAGTAAAGATGAATAGGTAAAGCTATACGAAATTTCAAGTAACCCTAAATGCCTTACCCAGAACAAACATAAGATTGCATGTATTCATTCCCTGATGCATGCCATCTGAACTTTCCAAGGTGGTCTACATTCAGCCTTTTATCAGGTCTTCACAATAATCTTCTGATGTAGGGCTTGGCATCCTCATTTTACAGAAGAGGAAACTGAAGTTCAGGGAGAACCAATGATACTTCCAAAGTCATGCAAGTTAAAACTGACTTGGGCTGGGATTAGCACTCAGACCTGTCTGACTTTAAGGTGACTGCTCTGTATCACTACAAAATGGTTTAAACCTGGGGTTTCCCATATGAGTTCCAAAAACGAATTCCATCATTTTCTTCTGCCTCAATTTGTGATCTGACAGCTTAACATGTAGAGCTTGGTTTTTTACAGGATTCAAGATTTTACAAGATTAAGAATTAGACATCCTCTCAACAGATAGCAAACATCTACTATGTGTCAGGCACTGATTTAGGCCAGGAATGTAAAATAATAAGACAATCCCTACCTTCAAATAACTCTCTGTCTAGCTAAGGAAAGAGCCAGACAAAAGACAATGATATCACACAAAAATGAATCTAGTGCTTAATACATGTATAAAGGAAAGCTGGGAGGATTCAGTGAATTGTGACTGTGACAATCAACAACGTCTTCATAGAAATGTGCCATGCATGTTAAGCTTGAAAAGACAGGTAGAATTTCATTAGTGTATCAGGTTGGTGCAAAAGTAATAGCACCAACATAATAGTACATAGTCGTTAAGTTAAAAGGTTTGAGACTCAGACTGCCAGGTTCTCCCTGGCCCCACCACTTACTAGAATGTCCCCTCAGACAGATTACAATAGCTGTTTGTACCTTAGTGAAATTATCTGTAAAATGGGAATTACCACTGTACCTGCTTCATAGGGTTGCTGTGAGGATCAAATGACATAAGATGCATATATCATTTAAGCTGTTTCTTGGAATAAGTTAAGAGTCAATAACCCTTAGGGGCCAGAGAGGTGGTTTCATGCAGAGAGCATGGCATGGGAAACAGCACTGAGGACAGAGCACAACAATCTAGGAAAGACAGTGGAGAATAGAGCTCTGTGTGGCTTTGAGTGTCATGTTCATAGCCTGAACATGTGTGAAGGTGCTAGATAACCACTGAAGCTGTGGGAAAAGGGGGATGACCTGATCAGAGCCAAGTTACAGGAAATGGAGAAGTGAGAGGCAAGAAGAGGAGACTACTAGTTTTTCTATCTACTCAGCTAGAGACTACTGAGTAGATAGAAAAAAAAATGGTTTGGAAATTAAGCAGTGACAAGTTGATTTCCTTCATATACGAAGTCACATAGATGGTAGAAGAAGAAAGAAGGGATGAAGAGAAGGAGGAGGAGGAAGAGAAGTAGGAGGAGATGAAGATGAAGGAGGAAGAGATGTAGAAGGAGAAAGAGGAGGAGGAGGAAGAGGAGGAGGAAAAGGAGGAGGAGGGGAGGAGAGAAGAGAAGAGAAGGAGAAGGAGAAGGAGAAGAAGCAGCAGCAGAGGAAAAGGAGCAGGAAGAAAATATCTGCTTTTTAATAAATGCTGGGTTAGGCACTGTGCTGAGTTATTCTTACAACCCTGTGAGACAGGAGTGGCTTGGAGAAGTAGAGTGATTTGCCCTGAGTGACATAGCTAGGTAGCAGCAGAAACAAAAGTTGAATTAATTCTATCTAATTTACAATACCACTCTTGATCATTCTGTTATTCAGCCTGCTAAAAAGTAGGCGCAGACCCCTGTTTCTGGCTCCCAGACTGAGGATGTCTCCTACTAGAATGTTCTGCCACTTTGTACTCTCTGACCGGCAACAACTTAAAGAACATCTACTTTGCAGAGGTCCTGGTGCTACACACTTTCCATATATAGTTGCTAATCTCAATCACTGTAAAATTTATACTATCCATTCTCATTCTCAGTTGAGGCACCTGGGGCTCAGAGAGGTTAGCTCTGGGTGTAGGGAGCATAGGTCTGCAGCCTCCAAGGGGATTTATCAGGGAGAAAGTGGCACAAGTTTTATGAGCACAGGGAAGCAAGGGAAGAATGCACAGATCTCCCTAGCATCTTTGGAATCAGAGGACAACCTTCTGACTTCCTGGCCAGATGTGCCAGGAGGGCCTACCTCGAGACTTGCTCCTCCGCTTCCTCTTCCCTGCCGATGTGCTGCGCAGGGGTGGTTGCAGCTGACCGATCTCGATGGGCGTGTTAGCGCGGAAACTCTCCTTGAACTTCTGCATCAGGGACTCCACTGTCTCCTGAGTCGCCTCAGCTGCTGCTATAAGGTAGCAATGGGGCTGAGGTTAGGGCTTGAGCCCACCCTCAGCACCTAGAGCACTGGGGCTGAAGTTAGGGCTTGAGCCCACCTTCAGCCCCTAGAGCACTAGACCTGGCCACCCTAATTCCTTGAAACTCCCTCCCTGACCCATTGAAGATATAGAATCAAAACCTTGCAGTCTAACTGCAGATGTATCTGTTGGATTACATACTTATGTATTCAACATTTACTACGTTCCAGGTACTGCTCTAGGCCCTTGAGACTAGAGGGCTTGGTCGTGAAATGTGAGACACAATTCATTATTCAAGTAATTCTTAGTTCAGTAGGAGACATATCCAGACAATTCTAACATTGTGCAATATTTTTGCAATAGAAGAGTACAAAATTCCAAAGGATCACTGAAAAGGGTCATCACACCCATCTGAGAATCAAAATAGGCTTCCAGAAGGAGGCAATATTTAGGATGAGACCTTAAAGATGAGTAAGAATTAGTAAAGAAAGCAGGATCAGGGTGAGGTTGGACAGAGCAGAGAAGACAGCGTCCTGGATGGAAGGAGAAGCATGTGTGATGATCTGAAACGAGAAGGAGCACGGATGCTTGAGCATTGGAAAGTAATTTATGGTAGTTACAAGAGAGCTTGCAAAGAGGAGGCTTATGGGAGATGAGATTGGAGTGATAAAGACATCTGGTAGGCCACATTTAGGAGTATAAATTTTATCCTAATGGCAAAAGGTATCACCAAAAGGTTTTAAACAGAAAATCTATGTGTTCAAATTAAATCACTTTGAAAACAATCACTAACTAAAGTATGGAGAATGCAAACTGAAGGAGGAAAGGAGGCCTGGACTGAGGCTTTGGAAGTAGCCAGTCAAAGGCAATGGTGGTCTGAACCAGGGCAGTGGCAGCGAAGGTGACACAATATCTTAGGAGACACAACCACAGTACTGTGGATATGTCGATCACTTAGCAACATATACCCATTTTATTGAGGGGATGTTGAAGCCCCAAAACACAATATATGTCTTACTCCAAGATAGGAAATGGCAGAGTCAAGCCTTCTAACACCTTGTCCAATATTCCGTTTGCACCAATACCTTCCAATGAATTGTTAGTAGCCACATTTCCAAAAAAGTTTCAAAGTTGAAACTGGTAGAAAGTTCAGTACATGGAGAAAGTAAGGTCAGAAGGGCAGAGAGAAAAAGTTGGAAGATAAAAGGAAAAAAATAACAGAAAAGCTTGAGAAGGAAGGAGGCAACATAAAAGGCAAGAAGAGAAAACCAAAAAGAAGAAAAGAAAAATTGCTGAATAGCCTCAGTGCCTTTGTTCTGAGAAATTCCCAAAGACAGCCCTGACTTTGAAATCTTCAAACTCATCCCTCCCTCCATCTGTGTCTCCAGAGGCTGGGAAATTTCTTCTTCAGTTTGAGCTACCTGCTGTCTGATGCCAAGAGATGGGATGTGCCAACAATTTCTGTTTCTTTGAAGGGGCTTCATCAGACTAGACAAAGAAGGCTCCTGAACAACCCAGTACCCATTTCTAAGGCGCTCCTGTTTTCTCAGGGAAGCTTATCAGGTTAGACAGATGTGTCTGCAGAGTAAGTCAGACCTAGAGGGCTTGTTCTGGTATTGGGTTCTGTGAGAAGTCCCATCTTGAGGGTTATAGGGAAAAGGTATGATTGCTAAGGTAAAAAGACAATTGACAATACAAATGAATCATGTGGTGGCATTGGTTTCCTCATCTGTCTCCCTTGCTATCTCTCTCCACAGATATCTTAATTAGGTGTACTTGAAGAAACCAAGAAGATTCCAGACATGGGGTCCCTTCTTCAAGCCTGGGATGAAGAATCCTTCAGCTATAGCCTGCAGTATGACTCTGAGAAGCAATGTCATGCCAAGTTTTGATTCCGTAAACCCAGAGAGAAAAGTGCTTTGCCCAATAGATGGGCTATACTTTGGTCAAAAGTCCAGAATAAGCCACAGTTTGGAATCCTCGAAGGGAATGACCCACACAGGATCTGTCAATATTCATTCATTCATTCATTTCTCCACTTATTCATTGATTCATTCATTCAACAGAATTTACAGAAAAAAACATTACATACCAATGCTGAGAACCAAAGACATAGCTTAGCTTGGGCTACCATAACAAAATATCATAGTCTGGTTGTCTTAAACAACAGACATTTATTTTTTTCACAGTTATGGAGGCTGAAAGTCCAACATCAGGGTGCCATGGTTTTGGTGAGATTTCTCTTCCTGGCTTACAGATGGCCACCTTCTCCTCCCTGTGTCCTCACTCGGTGGGGGAGCAGGGAAAGAGAGAGAGAAAGAGAGAGAGAAAAAAAAAACCTCTCCCTTCCTCTTTTGATAAGGCCAAAGTTCAATCAGATCAGGGCCCCTTCTTATGACCTCATTTAACTTTAATTACCTCCCAAAGATCCTATCTCCAGACACAGTCAGCCACGGATTGAATTGTGTTCCCTCCTTCCCCAATTTATATGTTGGAGCCTTAACTCCCAGTGTGACTGTATTTGGAGGTGAGGGTTTTAGCAGGTAATTAAGGTTAGATGAAGTCATAAGAGTGGGATCCCAATCTGATAGGATAGGTGGCCTTATAAACAGGGTAAGAAAGAAAGACCCCACTCTCTTTCTATGGACACAGACTGAGGGAAGGCTGTGAGAGGACACAGTGAGGGGTGGCATCTGCAGGCCAGGAAGAGGGCCCTCACCAGAACTCGAACATGCTAGCACCTTGATCTTGACTTTTCAGCCTCCAGAAGTACGAGAAAATAAATTTCTCTCGTTTAAGGCACCCAGTCTACAGGTTAAGCTTCCCTAATCCGAAAATCTGAAATCCGAAATGTTCCAAAATCTGAAACATTTTGAGCATGGACATGATGTTTGAATGTTATTCTCTAAGGCAAGCTTGTCCAACCTGCGGCCCAGGGGCCACAGGCAGCCCAGGACAGCTTTGAATGCAGCCCAATGCAAATTCATAAACTTCCATAAAACATTATGAGATTTGAATTTCTTTTGCTCAGAAGGTAGAGAATGATTGATAAGGGAAAAGGAGGGATTAAGGATGACTCCTGGGTCTCCTGGCTTGCACAGATACGGATGACAGTTCCTCAGTAAGAGGAGGAACACTGTAAGAGATGACATTTGAGAGGAGTGAACACTAGTTTTTTTTTTTTTTTTTTTTTTTTTTTTTTTTTTTTTTTGAGATGGAGTCTCGCTCTGTCACCCAGGCTGGAGTGCAGTGGCGTGATCTCAGCTCACTGTAACCTCTGCCTCCTGGGTTCAAGCAATTCTTATGCCCCAGCCTCCCGAGTAGCTGGGATTATAGGCATGCACCACCATGCCTATACTATATATAGGATTTTTAGTAGAGGTGGGGTTTCATTATGTTGGCCAGGCTGGTCTCAAACTCCTGACCACAAGTGATTGGCCTGCCTCAGCCTCTCAAAGTGTTGGGATTACAGGCATGACCCACTACGCCTGGCTCTTTTTTTTTAAAAACTTTTATTTTAGACTCAGGGGTACAAGTACAGGTTTGTTACGTAGGTAAACTGTGTGTCATGGGAGGTTGGTGTGCAGAGTATTTTATCACCCAGGTAATAAGCATAGTACTTGATAGGGAGTTTTTCTATATGGAAACCTCAGAATGTCTTTGAGACATCTAAGTGGAGATGCTGGGTAGACAGTGAGTTATGTGGATCACACATGCACAGGAGAGAGCTGGACGCTCTGGAGACTCAATACCCGCATTCCTTGGAAAAGGTAGACAGTGAATGTGGGTAGTGGCTGAGAACATGAGCTTCTGTGCTGGCAGAGCAGAGGCAGCAGAACCTGTACTCATTCCTAGCTTGTGCTGGCTGTTCTCCATTTACACTCCCAGATCCACCCTTCACCCTCTGGGCTGTGTCACCCGCTCCTTGTTAGATGGCTACTAGTTGGGTTTGGCCCGTGGGATGCCCCAGAAAGATATGGGAGGAATTTGAAGGTATTTCTTTCCTTGTTCCTTTCCTGTTTCAGTACCATGTTTCTGACAGAGACTGAGATTCTCAACAATTACAGCTTTCTGCCCAGTGTCCCTTTTCCACAGTCCCAGTTCTCACAGGGTCCAATAAAACCATGTCTCCCTGCCTTTTCAGTTCTAGGAATCAGTAGTGGCTTCCTGACATTCTTGTCCTGGTACCTTGAAATTCCTATGTTGATTCTTTTTACTTTGCCTACACCTCTATAAATAGCCACTTCATTGAATTCTTTTTAAAAAAATCCCATTTGAAGATGTGTTCTTTGTCTAGCTGGGACCTTGACTGATATATCATTCAGCTTCCCTCTCTTTTTTTTCATGGCTCTGACATTCAGCAATTCCTAAAGGTCAGCCTCTTTCCATTTTGCAATTTCTGTCTTCTTTCTTCTAAGCTGATACAGATTTGAGTGGCTGGGAAAAGAAGGCACACAGAGAAGGAAGGGGTGATCCCCTGAGCTGCAAGGGTTTCTAATCCCCACTGTAGCAAATCCCATCCATCTGTTTGGCTGCTCTTGCCTCAGTGACAGTGCCAAGAGCCCAGGCAGACTTAGAGGGGGAAGTGCTTTGCAAACCTCTCCATGGCCAATTTCATCCTGCATACAACTCCCCCTATCCCTGATCCCTCCCGACCCCATTCAGCAGCTCTATCGATATCAGTATATCAAGTTGTCCAAACAAGCCACATTACCTCCTGGTACCCGCTGAGCTCTGACTCCCCAGAGCGGCAAAATGCTCACCCATCGCCTGGATGAATGCAACAGATGCTGCTTGATCTGAGCATCGCGGCAGGCCCAGGAAAGGGAGGGAGAGGAGGGGAACACTGCCTCTTTCTAATTGACATATAAGAGATTGTCAAGCTTAATGGTAATAAACCACTGGGGCCTGAGGAAGAAAGCCCTGGTCCCCAAGCCAAGCTAGAGAGAGAGGACAGGAAAGGAAAAGACAGGATGGAAGAGGAGAGAAAAAAAAAAAAAAAACAAGAATAAAAGAGATAACTGTGCTCAGTAATAAAGAAGAGAAGACAAGAAAGAGGGGGTCTAAGATGAGTGGGAAGAAGCAGAGAGGCAGAACACAGAAGGGAAGGACTAAAAAGGACAGGCGAGGAGACATGGAAAAGAAAACAAGAAAAAGAAGAAGGCATAGAAGTTCATGGTGAGGGATACAAGACTACAAACTGGGTTCAGTGTATACCGCTCGGGCAATGAGTGCACCAAAATCCCACAGATTACCATTAAAGAATTTACTCATGTAATGTAATACCACCTGTTCTATGAGAAAAAAAATTAAAAGGATAGAAGGACTAAGTTCTAGTGTTCTATAGTGCTGTAGGGTGACTGTAGTAAACAATAATTTATTGTATTTTTTCAAATAGCTAGAAGAGAGGATTTTGAATGTTCCTAACTCAAAGAAATGACCAAGCTTTGAGGTGATGGATATGCTAATTACCCTAATTTGATCATTGCACATTATGAGCATATATCAAAATATCATACCGTACCCCATAAGTCTGTACAATTATTATGTGTTCATTAATATTATTTTTAAAAATAAGGGATAAAAGGGGGTGGACCCTGAGTCATTTTGCAAAGGCATAAGTGTTGTATGGGTTTCCAGATACCAGGCAAGCCTTAGCTTCTACCCTGGAGAAGAGGCACTACACATTATGTCTACACTGATACTCAAAAACTGTACACTTAAACTGTATATTTAAACTGTCATCCTCAAGACAAGCCTGGCCAACATGATGAAACCCCATCTCTATTTAAAATGCAAAAATTAGCTGGGTTTGATGCAGGCCTGTAATCCCAGATATTCAGGTAGCTGAGGCAGAGAATCGCTTGAACCTGGGAGGTGGAGGTTGCAGTGAGCTGAGATCACGCCATTGCACTCCAGTCTGGGTGAAAGAGTGAGACTCTGACTCAAAACACACACACACACACACACACACACCCCCGTTATCCACCGTTCTCTTCCCCCACGCAACCACCCAGGACGTTCCACCGATGAAACGCATATGGGTTTGAGTTGAAGTTCCAGTATCACTTTGCTCGCCCTCTTCAATTTTTTCAGACATCATCAGTCTGTGACATAAGAAAATTCACATTTCTTGAGCACCAACTTTTTGCTAGGTAGGGAGCCTGGTATTTCCTTATGGTTTCTCACTTGTTCCCCCTAACAACCTGGAAAGTTAAGTATTAATAATTTCTGTTCAGAGATGAGGATAGCAAGACTCAGAAATGTTACATGGTTTTTCCAGGTCATGCAGCTTAGGGACGATAGAACTGGGATTTGGACTCAGGTTATGGTGACTCCAATGCTCTGGCCTTATCTGTTGCTGCACTCTATAAGTACTCCCTCTCTGGTTGGCTGGAGATGGGTATGTTAATCTTGGAGTTTGGATGTGACATTTCTGGGCCTGGATGGTGGCTCTGATAGCTTAGCTCCTCTTCAGATCATCTAGGCAAAGAGCCCTAGGAAATCTGGTGCTGCCTGAAACCAGTGAGTGGCTTGACTTGATTGGAGATTAGCCTGTTATGCCAGTGGACCCTTGCTCAAGACTGTCCACCATGGAGGTTCCAGGGTTGACCCATGTCTCACTGCAGAACTGTACTAAGAGAACCAAGAAGCAAATGGACATTGACCATATTGCCTAGTGCAGGTGAGAAATCTCACTCGAGTTCCAGTATCAACTCTCCATGTGCATGGCCTTGAGTTACTTCTTTCACTTTTGCAACCCCTGGTATCCTCCTCTGTAAATGTCTGCAGGGTTCTTGGGACGATTAAATGTAATTATGTACAAAAAATGTCTAACAGAGCTTCTAGAACATAGTAAATGCTCAAGAAAGAGTAGTCATTACTCATCTTTCTCTCACTAACCTGTCAGCTTCATGACATTTCATTTAACTCATTCTTTCTCATTCATTTTGAAATTTTTGGTGTCATAAAATAGCCACTTTGCAAACTTTCTTAGAAATTATACATTCCCCCTTTCATTCAAATGTGAAAATAGAGGCACCAAGAGATAAACTCATCATAAAGTTAGCAGCAGACCAAGGTCTAGCACTCAAATCTCCTATTCCACTACTCCTCCCTGCTTTCCCAAGTTTTAGGATAATTTTAACCTCAGATCTGATAGTCAATTTTGTGCGCCAATTTACTAAACCATGATATCCAGGTATTTGGCCAAACATTATTCTAGACATATCTGTGAAGATTTTTTATCTATATTTTTTTAGATGACATAAACATTTGAATCAATAAAATTGGAGTAAAGCAGAACATTCTCCATACTGTGCATGAGCCTCATCCACTCAAGTGAACACCTTGATGGAAGAAAGACTAACCTCTCTGAGTTAGAGGAATATGCTACCTTTGGACTTGAGCCGCAATATCAACTCTTCCTTGGGTCTTTAGCTTGCTGGCCTACCTTACAGATCTGGAACTTGCCAGCCTCCACAATGACATGAACCAGTTTCTTTCTTTTTTTTTTAATTTTAAATTTATTTTTATTTTTATTTTTTTTGAGACGGAGTCTCACTCCATTGCCCAAGCTGGAGTGCAATGGCATGATCTCAGCTCACTGCAACCACTGCCTCCCAGGTTCAAGTGATTCTCGTGCCTCAGACTCCCGAGTAGCTGGGATTATAGGCATGTACCACCATGTCCGGCTAATTTTTGTATTTTTAGTAGAGACAGGGTTTCACCATGTTGGCCGGGCTGGTCTCGAACTCTTGACCTCGTGATCCACCTGCCTCAGCCTCTCAAAGTGCTGGGATTACAGGCATGAGCCACTACACCTGGCCTGAACCAGTTTCTTAAAATAAATCTCTGGTTAGATAGACAGATGAAAGGAAATAGAAGGATAGAGAATACATATAACTAATAGGGTGTTGTGTGTGTTTGTGTGTGTGTGTGTGTTTGTGTGTGTGTGTGTATGTGTTCATGTCTTCTTGGTTCTGTTTCTCTAAAGAACTCTGACCAATGCAACCTCAGTTTGTGTCCTCGGGCTTTGGACTTTGCACAGTCAAATGCCAGGACTGGGGACAAGGTGATAAGAGAAGACATCTTAGTCCTAAGGTACACCTAAGCTGGGAAGACCCAACATAAATGCAAAAAAAACCATCCAATTTGGAAATTGTGAGAGTCCATTCATTGCATACAATATTCCATCTTATATAGGAGTCACCTTTTCCTGAAAATACTAAGAAAGAAAACAACAAGCAACTAGCGTTCCTTAGGCAGATGAGAATGCTTCATGACTAGAATAAATTTAAAACCCAAGCACACATTTTTAAAAAATGGCTCCCTCTTTCCAACTCTCAGGGGTAAAAATTGATGGATTGAATTTTCTCTCATTTTAGTTTTTCCTCCTGCACATTTTCTTAAACCTTTGGTGCCTGGCATAGCTTATCTTCAAGCAAGCGTCTGCAGACAAGACAAATGAACAAAAAGGAGCAAATATAAATTGGAAAACTTGGGAATAGCCTTTTCTTATATACAAGATCTTGGGCCTGTCAGTTAATACTGCAGACTTGTAGGGTGGTCATGATTTCTGCTAGGAGAACTGCATTGAGTTTGAATGATGGAATTAAATTTAGCGATATTTTTCTCTGTTCTGTTAAAAACACAATACCTTCCAGGTTCTCTGGAGCTGGCTTCACAGTCCCTAGCCAGAACACAGATGGTCTCTAAGATTCCCTCCGGTTCCATCATCCTGTGTTCCTAAATGTAAATGAATGTGCTTTCATGAAGATGAATGCAATAAATACAATTGCATTCTTCAGTACGCAAAACACTTTCACCTCCCTCAACTAATGTTATCCTTACAAACTGAACTTCCACGTTACAGAGACCAGAAAGGTAATGGACATCCCAAAGGTTGGGCTGGAGTTGATACTATAGGCCCACAAATCCTTTTTGAGGAAAAAAGGGTCAAGTAAGTAGACATCTTCGGTCTAAGGCTTCTGGGTCACTTCATTACCACCTTGATAGCAATGTGCAGGAAGCGAAGGCTTTGAAATCAACCACAGTCTCTTACCAGCTGTGAGACTTGGGCAAATAACTTAACACTCAGAGTCTCAGCTCTCCTAACTGTTAAAATGAGGCTTGCAATTCCAAATCTAATAAGCTGGTTTAGGATTAACTGAGATGCTAAATGCATATCAGAGTGTCTGATACAGAGTAAGCACATTTTTTAAGAGACAAGACCTCATTCTGTCACCCAGACTGGAGTGCAGTGGTGCAGTCATATAGCTTACTGCAGCCTTGAACATCTGGCCTCAAGTGATCTTCCTGTCCCAGACTCCTGAGTAACTGGGACTATAGGTGCATATCACCACGCCTGGATAATTTTGTTTTTAAAATTATTTGTAGAGATTGGGCCTCACTATATTGCCCAGGTTGGTCTTGAACTCCTGGCCTCAAGTAATCCCTCACTCAGCCTCCCAAAACACTGGGAATGCGGGTGTGAGCCACCACACCTAGTCAGAGAATGAGTACATTTTTATTGTGCCAAGAAAACATTTTTAAAAAGAGATGGAGTCTCCCTACGTTGCTTAGGATAGACTCAAACCCCTTGGCTCAAGGGGTCCTCCCACTTCAGCCTCTTGAGTATCTGAGACTAGAGACATGCCACCATGCCGTGCTATTGACAAAAGAAAAAAAAACAAGTAACAAAAATCTTAAACCATTAGTCATATAGTCATAGCAAATCCAGATTTTCTGCTCAGCATGGACAGTGGAATCCAATAATCCAATGAGAATCAGAGTCACTAGCCAAATTCCTCCCTCCCAGATCTATCCTGTCCATGACTTCAGAGGAAGGCCACATCATATGGCTCAGAACTCCGTGGGAGTAGAGCCACCTATACCTTACAATGGAGTTCTTCATTCAATACCGTTAGTGGATGCTGTATCCAGGGCCAGGCACTGGGGACACAGTGATAAAATGAACACTGTCCCTTTTTAAAACAGGACACTGTTTAGTGGAAGAGGGAGGTAAAGATAATGAAAACAGAGTGTGCTAAATGCTTAGGTAGAGAGCAAAGCATCATAATACTGAGAACCTGTCTTCTAACTCCTTTTGCAAGGAGAAAGGCTATGAGAAATTTCCAGAGAAAGTACCAATTGCTCAGAGCCTTAAATAAAGGATGTGGAACTTGGGAAAGATGACAGAAAGAGTATTATGAGCAAGAGAAAGGGGCAAGGGTTATACAGAAAGTTCCACACACTTTGGTTCCCCTGGAGCTTAAAGTGAGAGACAATTTTGTTACCAAGAGAATTCATCTTCAAGCTAGGAAAGAGAGCCTGCTGTTTTCTACCCAATCTTACTTCTCTTCCAAGACCCTCATTTAAAAATTCCACTTCTTTTCATAGCCCTACTGCCTGGCCCCACTCTCCTTTCTGACATCTGTTACTGTTATCCCAGATACCCTGGGTGCAGCGAGAGCAGAGTGTAGGGATCTGGACAGACTTGGGCTTGAGCCTTCATTATATCTCGAACTCATTATGTGACTTTGGGTAAGTTCCTTAAATTCTTTAAGCCTCAGTTCCTTCTCTGAAAAATGTTGAGCATAAATCTCCCTCAAGAATTGTGGGGTTTCTTCTTTTGGTAGTGCTAAAATTCAATGTAATAATATAAGCAAAGTGCTTAACACACTACCCAAACTGGATTAAGCAATCAACTAATTAAAGCATTTATTATCATTATTGTTATCCGGCTTAACCTAGATAAGCCTGCGGAGGGTCTTGCACAGAGTCAAAGCTCAATAAATACTAAGTTCTCCATTTCCCTTTGGGGTAACCGATCGCCTTTGACTCACTGTTGTCCTTTCATGTTCAAATTTTACTATCCTTCCTGGATCCTGTAACATTCAGGGTTTTCATCTCCATTCTACTTCATCCAGTCCCATTCATGGTTACACCTTGGATCTTGCCATAATTTGGAATCTGGATGTGGCTGCAACATTAATTCCAAAGACACAGCTTCTGCTCATGGTCTTCTGTCTGCTCTCATATCTTGCTCTTTCATGCTTATCAAGTTTCTGCTTTGACCTCCAAAAGATCACCAGGTCCTGAATTTAGGCATATTGTGTCAAACACTTGGGAAAATATAAAACTGTTGCTGACAGATTTATATTAAACTGTTACATGCCAGAAAAAATTGTTTTTCCAGCAGCTAGTTGGAAGAAAGGGGAGAACCCCACTCTCTTACTTTTAATTCCTTCCTTTCTTGAAATTTTACTTCCTCCAAGTTTCACTTCTTCCCTAAGAACTTGAAGTTCTCAGGTGATTTGTTACCAGGATTCATCTAAATGTACCATTCCTATTTTCCAAGTCTATCTCAGTATTCAATCACAATAACACTAATAACATTTACTGTTTATGGAGTGTTTACTACATGACAGTTATTAGTTTAAGGTAAATACAGCCATCATTTTATGTAATCCTCATAATGTCCATGGTACATGGAAGTATCTGCCTCATTTTTTTACCCCCAATTTCAAATCCACATTGTTGCTGCCTCAGTATAGATAGAGTACACTTCATTGCCCCTTGACTTGGGCTTGGCTGTGTGACTTGCTTTGGTGAATGGTATGTGTAGGGAACTCAGGATGTGCTAGTTATGAGCCTGGGCTTCAAGAAGCATCACATATTTCTACTCCCACACTTGCATCTGACACCACCAAGAGGAAGGCTTGTCGCAGCTAGTGTGCTAGATGAAGAAGGAAGAATGACTCAGGGTAGACTCACAGCTCTGCAGCATGGAGCAGAGTCACCTTAACTCCTACAGCCTGGGTCCTTGACCCTAGCAAATCTGTAAATGATGAGCAATGCCTGTGAGATGAGAACAACACTTCATTCTATCCTCCTTTCTATCCTCAGAACTAATCAATATTTATTATTTCAGGACACTAAGATTCTATAGTTGTTTGTTACGTAGCATTGTTGTGGCAGTGACTGACTGAAACACAACCCTTCAAGATACATATCATTATCTCTATCTTATAAATGCGTGAGTGAGGCAAACAGAGCTTAATTAATTTTTCAAGGGTCATACACAACCTTAGAATAGCAGAACTGCATAAATATCCTCAAATACTACTTTAGGGCTTATTTTGCAGTGGGAACAATAAACATGATTTAATAAATTGACTTCCATACAGAAGAGGGTGAAATAAATGGTCCTCCTCACAGCCACCTTTCCTTTAGACCACATTAGTGATAATTGTGAGGATGATCCAAGAATTGACAATCACCTGAAACTAGAGGTATCCCTCGTCAGTGGCATTAGAGACTGTTAACACATCCATTCACAGTTTTTAGAGTTGAGCTATGCTTGCCGAATGAATGAACACATGTTTCCAGGCATGTATGACCAGGCACTCAATGAAGGGTATAAAAATATGCATTGTGACAAGAGTATATTACTTACCCATAATATGGCTGGGAATGGGGATGAGGAGAGAGCAGAATGTGGAATCTGTATAAATTCTCACTACTTCAACTGTCAGATTTTCCACCCATCTTCTTTGAAACTAAGGCAAATCTTCCCAGTGCAATAGGGTGGTTATAAAATTAAACATATGTAAGTCAACTATAACGAATGGCAGGGATGTTAGAGCAAAATTAATGCAGCCACATTATAAATATGTCCTATTTCTCAATATTAAACTCTTAAAAATAGACTGGCTAAATATATAGACAATAATGGATTGAGGCTAAGTTGGCGTTACTATGAGGCTTGGGATTTTCCATTTAATGGCTTATAATTTCCATTTCCCATTTCTACATGACAGTAAGAGCAGGCTGGCTTCATTATTCATGATTACATGCCGTCACCATCAACAAAAACACAAGCAGGAAGCTAGAGAGTAACATTTGGGGTGTAGCAGAGGATCCTGAATTGGAAACTCAGCAGATCTGGAAGCAGAAGAATGGCACTCAAGTTCCATGTTAGTTGCTGTGTGACTTTGGACACTTCACCAAGCCTCTCTCAGCCTCAGGAAATTAAAACTACTGTGACATGTATCTTAAAGCATTTGGTAAGCTAGGTCATTATAAAAGTTTGCAATATTATCACTTCATTTTTACTAGTAAACCCTAGTTACAAATTCTGCTTAACACATCCTTAATTAAACAGTATACATACAAAAGGATGAGATAAAACAAATGGTTAAAACATGTGAAAAATTATTTTATTATTATATACATCAAGGTCCAAATCCTGGTTCTGCCTGTTAGCATCTGCTTACCCTTGAGTACAATGACATTGATGTTCTGAGCCTCTCAGTTGTCCTTTGTTTACTTAATGGGGATAAAGATATATATAATAAGGATTTAAATAAGAAAACTGTAATATCATTCACTCATTGTGTGTTTAGTGTTTACTCTACACCAGGCACCATTACCTCATATGCCACTCACCACAAGCCTAGGAAGTGAGTGACATTATGGAGAGAGCCCATAGCTTGTCTGACTTCCATGATCTTAACCACTCTGAAATACAGGAAGAGGAGCAAAAGAAGAGTGTGGAGGGAACAGAGAAGAGATCAAACTGTGGAGTGCTGGACTGTCCCAAGCATGTATGGAGGCTGCTGTATAGATATGGGGTCCCATATGCATCCCAGAAATTGTTTCTATCCCATGGTAGATAATCCTGAATTGTCTTCTTCTTTTCCTTGTTTTGGCCCTGGTTAAAACTGGCTCAGCTAAATATTATAGATAACTCCTTTCTTCTCTATCCCCTTCCCAAACAGCAGCCAAAAAACTGAGCTAAGGCAGTAGAGAGGACAGGAAATCATGTCTTCAGCAGAGCAGAACAAATTCCTTCTCTGATGTTTTTTGGTGAAATAATAGAGATCCATCCTAGGGAGCCATTTGCACAGGGAGCCTGCATGTACGGGTGGACGGGTCTTGAAGAATGCTCTTATATTGCTAATGTGCACAATGAGGTAGAGAAATGTGATAAAAAGAAAGAGACAGAGAGAGAGAGACAGAGACAGAGACAGAGAGGCTGTGATAGAACCTCAAAACCAAGCCCCTCTCTGTGCAACACAGGAGACTCTGATAACCTCAGAAGGAAGCTCACACTCCAGGCACTGTTCTGATAAGGGTTACAGACTATCAAGTGCTATCTCTCTTCTCTGAGTATCCTCCTCCTCTTCCTTATCCTTTATCTGTCACCTATGGATTTAAAGCTCCAGACATTGGACCTGAATTAGAGGTAGGTTTCCAAGCAGACTTTTTTGCAGTCCACACCAATAATGTAGATTTTATAAACACATTCAACTGGACATTTTTCCTTCTCTCCTAACTTTTCATTCAATTATCTGGGCATCAGAGAGATCAATATGAGTTAACAGTAAGGTGACCACTAAAGTCTAGAACCAAGAAGAGCACAGCTTTACTCTTCATTGCTCAGACCATACCTAGGAGTGTGTTGACAGATGAGTGTTACATTAAGCATATTATTAACAGAGCAGAGTAGGTCCAGATATGAGAAGCTAGTCTGACATGGAAGATTGTAATGGTATCATGAGGAACTACAAGACTCTAAGGGAGTAGAAGTTAGCTGCCTTCAATTAAATGAAGGGCTATAGTACTAGCACCACTTCTAATATTAATGTTTAACATGTGTATTGCTATAGCTGCACCCCAGGCTCCACGATGCATGCATTATGTATGTTATAATTACAAGAACTAGTATCTTTTGAGTGCTTACACTGGGCCAGACATCTGCTAAAGGGTTTTGAAGTTATAATTTCATGACATTCTCTATGATGCTGCAAAACAAACACTATTTATAACTCTCTTTAACAGATGGGAAAACTGATCCTGAGAGAGATTAAGGCTCTTGACTAACACAGGGTTTCTCAACTTTGGCACTATTGACATTTGAAGCTGGCTAATTCTTTGCTGTGGAAACTGTCTGATGCATTGTAAGGTGTTTAGCAGTATTCCTGGCCTCTATCCATTAGACTCTAGCAGCCCTCTCCCCAAGCTGTGACAATGAAGAGTGTCTCTAGATACTGCCAGATGTCCATTCAGGTTGTGAACCAATGGACTAAGGTAACAACTATTATTTTATGAATCTACATCTAGAGATTCCTAACTAAGGAAAGAAGACCATGAAGAGGTGTTAACTGGGTGCAAGCCGGCAGTGACATCACTTTGCAAAAATGAAAACAAAAAACCCAGAAGAGATTAAAGCATTTGATAAACGTGAACTAAAAGGCAGGTCAGACCACTGACAATGCTTCAAGTCCATTATCCTGTGAATTTAAAACTTGAGGTTATTTTTATTCTGTTTTGCAGTAACTGTGGTTTAGTAGTTGTAGAGGAAGATGAAAATCTTAATTTGAAATGTCTTCTCCTTAGCAGAAGCCTGAAGAAATTCACCTTGCCTCAACATGTATGAGGTTAGGAAGGTGCCACTCCCAACTCCATTTATTCACTCCTCCAGCACATACACACAGACATACAGACATACACCCTCTTGTCCATGCCTCTGGGCTCAAAAACAATTGATCTGATTCGTTATCTAGCTCTCCGCAGAAGAAAGCTGAGATACAATAGCAAGTCATCAGCTGTGCAGCAAATTGGCAAGTTTCCACTGGTTTGTAATAAGTTAATGATGCCCAAGAAAGGAAGACATAGACAGGAGGGAAGCCCACAGCCTCCCACCTGTCTCTTTTCATGGCCAGAACATCTATCCCCTAAGCTGTATTTGAACACAGAGGAGGGAAGCAGAAAGGAGACATGCACATCTCTAGCAATTAGAGACTGGAAGGAAAAAAGACACATGGATCCAAGTTAGCAGGAAGCCTGGTGGAAGCCAATCATCCAGGTGGCATTTCAGAGTCAGTCCTCAAAAGAGCCTCATGCAAGGAATTATACCAAGATGAAGTTAAATTAAAGCTGGACTGAGTTGGGCTGGACATCAAAATGAATTCTTCAATTAACTTATATGACTCAGGCACTGAAATAAAAATGAAAAGGGGGAGAATATGGACTTCCATATCCAGAAAGCCAAGTCAGATCTATCTGTCTGGGTGACTTTAGCCTTCATCTGCAAAACAGGGACTGAAGCAACACTTGGATGTTGAGTATGGTATATCAAAGAAGAATGAAAGGTTTTCTTAGGTGGCATACATAAAGATGCAGAAGTACAAACTCATTTTCAGTTCAGAAACTGATGAGTTATTTAGTATGACTAGAGTTCAGTTTTCCTATAGGGTTGGTGCTATAGATGAGAAGGAGCGAATGACCCCATCGTGATGAGGCTTAAATGCCAAGCTACACATTTGAAGTTTAGTCTGTATAACATATATAAGAAGACTTTCATCAGAAGAGTGACACTGTCAGAGATATACTTAAGAAAGATCAGTGTAACTATAACTATGGAACAAGGATCTTAGGGAAAAGAATGCATCATGATAATAATGATGAAAAGAGCTGCAATTTATTAAGCCACATGGCATGTATTGGCATTTAGCACAGTGCCAGTAACTGTGCTAGGCATTTTACCTGAATTTCCCAATTTAATACAACAGTGTAAGGTAAATACTTATACAAAATAAAAAAATAGAAAAAATTAAGCCTATAATTAAAGTTGTGCTCAAAGTCTCAATAGTAATTATACGTGTAGTCAGGGTACTAACCCAGTTCCACTGCTAGTGACTATGCATTTATTCAAATAAACTGTGCAAGTCCAGATACAAAGATACAGATTTTGACTATAGCAGTATCAAAGGAAATAGAAAACAGGACATGCATTTAGAAAAGATATGTTTAGGGGTTAGAATGGGCAAGAATGAAAGGACTTAGATATGAATTGGAGGAGACAGGAAGAAGTCAAGACTGCATTCTAATTTTCCCATTTGGAATGCTATATAAGTATGATTTGAGAGTTAACTATATCCCGATATATCCAGAAGTTGGTTGGATGTTCCCCTTTGCAATTACAGACGGATGACTTGTCATTGATATGTTCCTTACTATGATCAACTTGTCTACAGAACTAAATCAAAACTTTCACCACAGAAAATTTTAAAATGTCATGGCATGAATAAATTTCCACATTTCCCTATCAGTATCAGTGAGTGCATGGCAGAAGGGCATTGGGTGAGGCCACGTCCTAGACTCTGGGATTTTGTCAAGACTAGAAGATTCAGGCAGATAGCCAGGAAGAACACTGGTGAAATGTGCAGGGGGGCTTGTGGAAGACTGAACTTGAAACTTTGGTAAACAAAATTTATGCAAATATTTACACTGTCCTATTAAATTTGCTTATCATGAATCTCTCTGTGGCTTTGACCTACCAGGTAAGTCAAATCCTTGTGGTCTCACTGCTTTTCTGGGACAACAGACATTGCACTCACTCTGATCTTCACTGCTTGCCCACCTTCAGCAAAGTCTCCATCCCTTTCTGCATCCTTGTCCTCTTGGATGTACCTGGCCCTCCCTACCTCATCCTCTCTCCAGTCACAGTCCTCATTCACTTCCAAGCTAATTGTCTCCACTGGTGTATGCAAACGAACCATTTATGGGAAATGCCGTGGAATGTTAATTTCATTTGAAATTGGGTAATTGCAAAAAGTGCTTCCACTTTTTTATTATATAGAATGAATAAGTATTGTATTAATAGTGCCATTTCCAATTATGACCACTATCGCAGGCCTGTCGTCTGCTAACTGTGGGTTATTTTTCATGGAGCATTTTTCTGAACAGTTTTTTTAAAATCCCCCCTTCTTTGCACCATTGTAATTAAGATAATGCAGAATAATTATAAAAACATTGGAAGCTCAAATGCCAGCATAGACTATCCAACTAGTGCTGCATGCTTATTCTAATTTCTCAAGCGAAAAAGAAAAAGTGTTGGAGTCTACTGAGGAAGGCGGATGAAGGTTGATGAAGTCAGCAAGAAATTGGCCAGAACAGCTCAGAAAACCTGGCCAGAGCCCATGTGTGGGGAGCTGAGCTTGATTAGATATTTCTAGAAAGCAACCAGGAAGTGTGCTAAAGATTTTTGGGTATTGAAAAAATATTTATTGAGCATCAATTCATTATTGAGTTGTGTGCCACCATGCACAGCTAAATTTTGTGCATCTACTGTATATCAGGTGCTTGATATAGATGATCTGATTTCCCCATCAAGACAACTTCATGAGATTTGTTTTTTATTACCATTTGACAGATAAAGAAACTAAAAGTCTAAGACGTTAAGGAAGTTGGACAACTTGAAAAACCAGAATTTGCAAGCTGAGATTTAATCCTCGATTCTACTCTTAGCTAGTTATGGCAATTAGCTAGTTATTGCTATTAAGAACCACTCCAAACAAGATTGTATTCATCAATGTGTTTGTGGGTAAAGTGGAGGTCAGATTAGTCTGGCTAGGCTCAGTTTTGCTCCAAGCTGCAGATTGAGTTCAGGTTTACTTCATGTCTCACATCTTCTTTAAGCCAATGGACTATGTGGGACATATTCCCACAAAGATATGAAAGTCACAAGAAGGATACTCCACTATGAAAATGCATTTAAGGCCTTCGTTTGTGTCCTACCTACTTACATCTTAATGGTCAAAGTAAGCCAGATGGCCAAGCTCAACATCAATAGGATGGGAAAGTGTACCCTGCCCACAGTGGCCAATGGGGAGTGAATATTTGCCGAATGGTAATCCAAGCTATTAAATAACATACCTATAAAATGTTTCAAGTTTCTACAACACCATGAAAATCACACAGGATCTAAGTTCCTAGGGGGCAGGGGTCCAGTCAAAGGGAGGCATCTGTGGTGACACAGAAGTGGTATAGTATTATGTGACCTGGAGCAAGGTAGTTCCTCATTGTCACTTTTCCCATCCATATAAATCACAATAACACAGGACCAATCTCCCTAAAAAGGCCACTGGAGGGTAATCACAATAACACAGGACCCATCTCCCTAAAAAGGCCACTAGAGGGTGACTATGATGCCTATAACAAGTTTTAAGAAATGGAATGCTTCTTTGTATGCTCATGTCCTATCAACTTGTTCTGCTTTATTCTTCATTAAACATATTATATATTTATTTTTATTATTTTTCCTCCCTTGAGTTTCCAAATGTATGCTAAATGAATATAATGACTTTCTATTTCATTAACTTTTATATTGCCCATACCTAAAACACTGACTAGAATGTAGTAGGCACTCAGTAAGATTTCTTAATAAGTGAAATGCAAGGTGTGCAAACCCCAGCTTATAAATATCCTGTATATGTAACACAAAGAATGATACAAAGAACTGAACTTGCACTAACTAGGTACTGTCTTGACTCTGAAGAAAGGACAAGGTTTTGTGAGAGACACAGTGGGATGATGAAGATCATAATGGGAAGAGATGGTGATTTCATGTTGGTACTAATGATAATGGAAATTATAAAGTACACACACACACACACGCACACATACACACACACAAATGGTCCCTCAACTTGAAATCAAAAGTAGTGATGACATTTTCTGAGCTGTGAAATTTTGGCAGATCTTTTAACCACTGCAATTCTCAAGGGATCTTATCTATGTAATTGGTTTAATAATATAGACTGCCAGAATATCTCAAGTCTCTGAGATAACATGTTAAAGCATCTGACACAAAATATATGTAGCTACCAGGATGATGATGATGGTGGTGGTGGGGACAGTGGTAGTGGTAATGATGATTAGCATTCTCTTACCATGTTGTTTTTCTTGGGAAAGGAACACAAAAATAACTCTTGTGAAAGTAAACAGAATTAAAACCACACAACAGATACAACAAAGGGCTGGGGGTTAAAAGTGAGAGAAAGCGCTTCCATTGAGGAGAACTGGAGCAGCTTTATGAAAGAAAAGGCGTTTTTTTTCTTTTTTCTTTTTTGCAAGACAGGGTCTCACTCTGTCACCCAGGCTAGAGTGCAGTGGTGCAATCTCGGCTCACTGCAACCTATGCTTCCTGGGTTCAAGCAATTCTCCTGCCTCAGCCTCCCTAGTAACTGGGATTACAGTTGTGTGCCACCATGCACAGCTAATTTCTGTTTTTTAAATAGAGACGGGGTTTTGCCATGTTGGCCAGGCTGGTCTTGAATTCCTGACTTCAAGTGATCTGCCCACCTTGGCCTCTCAAAATACTGGGATTACAGGCATGAACCCCTGTGCAGGCTGAAGAGGAGGCTTCTCTAAAGACTCTTAAAGACTATGTAAGATTCATATATGGGGAGATGGAAGAGCAAAATTCTGGCAAGGGGAAACAAAGCAAGAAAATCTACAGAGAGAGAAAAGGGCACAGGTAACAGTTACAACTGTCCAAACAATTTTCACACATTTTTCTTTTTCTTTTTTTTTAGAATCTTTAGATTTATCTTAGCAATTCCAGAGTTACTATATTAGTTGATTTCTATAATAGCCATGTATGACATATAGGACAGTTTATATCACCACTTTATAGATAAAGAAACAGAGACTCAAAGAGAGTGCATAATTTAACTTTGTAGCTGGGTGAAAAATGGAAATTTCAGCTCAGACCTTGAAGTGACACATATCAGAAATCAAAATGAGTTGGAGGTAGATCACCCAATAGATCATGAGAAAAGCAGATAGATAAGAACCAGTTAGTAAACTATTAAACTTTTCTATCCTATCAGGGGAAGAACAGGTAACTTTTGAAGAGATGATTTATAGAGGATTTTTTGGGAAACAGCATTATTGTGAGCCTCACCTCCTCCTTCCTGGAGGTGAGTGCCTGCTCTCTTGGCAAGTGTAGAGAGAAGGGTTCTCTCAGGACTACTCATGGAGCTTCACTTGTGGTCCCTGGCCAGTGATCTGGTGTCCAGGTTTACACCAGGGAAATGTATGGAATGAGATGGGCTGGCCAGCTGCTCTGGTGAGAGCAAAGCAGAAGTATCTGTGTAGGCATTCGCTTATATGCCCAGAGCATTCTCCAAGGCCCAGGTAGGATGACAAACCAGAGAAAACAAGCATGTGGTTAAAATACAGAAGAGCTACTAAAAACAAGGACTCTAAGCCAGACTGTATGAGCTCCAATCCTGGCTCCTCCACATACCAGCTGTGAGATCTTGGGCAAGTTCTTTAAGCTTTCCTAGCCTCGGTTTCTGTATCTGTAAAATCTGTAAAATTCAGATAATAATTGTACTGTTGTACAAAGGGTGTTGTGAGGATTAAATGAGTAAATATAGGTAAATCATTCATTACATTGTAAGGCCTATGCATATGTTGGTTAGTTATCAAAATCATCCTAAATTCCGTGGAATAAGGATGCCTGGAGGGGTGAACAGATCTCATTAGAGAGAAGCCAGAGAAATTATTGGATTCATAGAATGAGTGAATGAACACATGGGAACATGCATGCATCCAAACACATTAAAGAAACCTCAGAAGAGAGATGGGTAGGAACAGGGACTGGTTTCTAAGGAGACCAGGAAAATGCTCCCAGACAAAGATCTTTAATGTCTACCGGGATCACTGAAGTTGAAGTCAGGTTATGAAAATGCCAGTCAACCTTTCCTGCTCCTCATACCTTTCTCTGCCAGGCTCCATCTACACGGAAGCCCCAGAGGGGTTACAAACAGTAGCTAAAAAGTAGGGGAGGAGGTAAGTGACAAAGAGAAAGCAAGCAAGTTTCACCTGCCTTCCTCAGCTCCCAAGACAGCTACAACTCCAGTTAGGGGAGCAGAAGGGAGGCCCACCTTTGAGTGGAGACTGAAAGGTTGGCAAATATATGGCATTGAACATCTCTGAATTGAGACTGTATTTTGTACATTCAGTAAATGCTGGACTTTGTATTACCTAATGCTGATCAGAAAAGTCACAGGACTGCCAAGTTTTCATCCAGGGGCAGAGGAAAAACTAATGCCATAATACTACTCAACAAGTATAAAGGGTGATAGGAAATAAGAGTAAAGATGCTTTGTGACTGCATCACATGGGCCATTCCTGGACAGCATACTGGGTTACAACTTTCTCATACTATTTTTGTAATACTTACTATTTTATTACATTTATACAACTTTTTTTCACTCTAGCCAGGGCTTTTAAATAAATCATCACAACCAATCCAGATAAAAATTACTTAGCATGGAAGTGGCAGAATTTGACTTGAGTCTACATCTCCCAACTCAGGAACCATTCTCCCTACCATGAGACAATCGATATATACAATTTATGAGTCTAAATAATGCATTTTTCCCTTTAGTTCACACTTGGATTGACCATTAATAAGTCTTTTTTCCCCCAACGGGTTAAGTACTTTTGCTATATATTCCCATTTTATTGTAGACTTCCACTCTTGTAACACTTTTCATAGGTGCAATGATGTGTGATTGCTACCAATTGAAAATGACTTCCACACAGGCAAAGGCCATATTTGTATAACTTATGACTCTCCAGCGACCAGCATAGTGCCTGGCATATAGCAGGAACTCACTATATGTCTGATAAATGAATGAATAAATGGATTAATCATCATTTTCACCATCAGTTTCAAAGCACTGATCTTTTTGAGTTCAGTGATTTTTTGATTGATAAACAATTGGTTTCATGCATAAAGATCTGTCTTGAAATATATTTTCAATTAAAACATTACATCCACTGGGTTTTAATATCAGTTTTAGAAGCATCCACTTTTAGAGGTATGTGAAACCTTCAAAATCATGATTTTCATATGGGGAAACTGAGTCCCAGAAATTGAGAACAACATTGAGACAAGGTCAGGATGAGAATGCAGGCAGAAATCTGCCCCTAAGTTCAGCACTCTTTCTGTGACTTCCAACTGGCTGAAGAACCCTTTGGCCCTGTATAGCTGATTGTTTTTATGGATTCATACTCCAGGGTATCACCTGGTGAGACTGTCATTGGGTGTAAATGAAAAGTGAACAGAAGCCTGGAGGAAGCTTCCACTCTGGCATAAATAAAGGAGAGCAGAATCCTAGCCTAATGTTGTATGAAGTTTGGGGAAAGATCAATAGCTATTAAATCAAAACAGCCTCCTGGTCTCCTTAAACCCCTGCCCCCCAATCCCCTCCAGGTAGCCAGCAGGCTCTGAAGTGTGTTATTCATGGGTAGATTTGAGGTTGTGAATGAAGCATCCTTATGAAACATGGGCCTGAGCTGAAGCAGCGAAGGTTCCTCAGGGCATAAAGATAGGGATCTCTGACTTCTCCATGGGATGTCAGGCTTTGGTGAAATTTTCCTGGCACATGCCTGACCCCTGCTGCTGTGAACTTTGCTGGGAGCCTACCCATCCCTCACTGGGCATCTGATTCTCAGCAGGTGTTCAGGAGGACAAATGGTGATAGCCAAGTTGAATGAATGCCCTCTCCATGTGGGCACTGTACTAAGTGCATGGATGGATCATCTTTCACTTCTCCCAATAACCTGATGAGATAAATAACTTCTTATTATGGCCATTTTACAGTTGAAAAACCTGCAGCTCTAGAAGGCTACCACACTTCCCCCAAGAAGATATGGCTGGTGTAGGGTAGATGAAGTATTTGAACATACAGTCTGACTTCAGAGCCCACACTGACAACCACTGAGCTTTGTAACTCCTACAGCTCACATGGTGGCAATATTTGTTTGGGGAGGTCATGGCCTCTCAACACACCTCCCTGATGCTGCCCTGCCTATTCCATCCCTCTCCCGCCATTTGCATTTACACTGACGTAGAGTGTATGAGTCTTTTGACGAACACTTACAACATGCCTTGTATGATTTTAGTTCATTACAGTCAGTACTTTTCTTCAGTCTCTGCACAGTAGGTATTGTTACATCTGCCTTACAGAAGAGCAAATGGAGGCTCAAGAAGGTGAAATATCTTCCTGAAGGTCATCTGGGCAGCAAGGGGCAAGGCTTAGATTCTGAGTTCAAGGGCTGGGCTCCTTTCAAAGTGCTTGAGTGGAGCCCTGCCTGACTGACCCAGATTGAAGTGATTCCCATACCTCTAAACTGCGGCTCCTCTTTTCCTGATACTGTCTTCATGGAATGCAGAACTGCGCAGCACGGAAGTCCAACAGTTAACTCATGATAATGGATAGTTACTTGTGTCATGAGACTTTGGGGTCCTGAGAGTGAGGGCCACCTGTGTTCACTCTGCATTCCACACAAACCCTTAGCCCAGCACCCAGCACACTATAGATATTTAAAATTCCAGTGGCAAAATGTCATCCTCTTTCTCCATAATTTCAGCTGTGAGTTACGGAGCAAGTCACTTCATGCTTCTTAAACTCTACTGTCCATGTCTATCAAAATGAAATAATACCACCTCCCTATAAAATTGGTTGTATGGTGAAATGAGGAACTAAATGTAAAACATCTATTATTAAATAGAATGCCTTATGCAAAGTAAGTGTCTAGTAAAATAAAACAAATACATTAAAAAGCCGTTATCATAGGAACATCTGCACCTGAAGCAACCCATTGATTATCTGAGGTTTCCAAACCTGTGAAACATAATCATGGAGTAAAAAGTATCTCTGGAAAGAAATAGAAAACAAATAATCCTGCTTATTAGTAATTATATAAGACAGGTCTTAACTTAGTTAACTGGTTTTATGGTACACAGACATTGAGGCTTATCAATAAAATTAATAATAATGATGCTGATGATAATACCAAGCATCTGCATAACATTGTATAATTCTAGAATGTTCTCATTTATAGTAACAGTGGAAGGGAAAAAGAGACACAAAAAACAAATATGCAGGTATGGAGTCTGAAGGGTCAGGTCACAAAGGAGAGCCCAGCAAATCCTCCGGTATGGCTCCCCTGTCTCTCTCCTCTTCAGTCTCATCCTTTCTAACTCATCCTTTCCGTTGTAGTCAATTTGATCTGCCAAAAATTCAAATAGAATCTTATAATTTATCTGTCTAAAGACTCTTCATGACTTTCCACTGCTTTTAGAACAAAGTCAAATGCTTGCACATGGCTTGCAAGGAAGGCCCTTTACAGCCTGGTCTATAACAGCCTCTTCATCACTTGCTGCTATCTATTCCTTTGTGAAGCAAAACAAGCCAAACCTAACGTCTCACAGCTCCTTCACATATAATTTTCTCTTTCACTTCAAATACTTCCTATTCCTCATCTCCCCTAGCTAAGAGCTACACATCCTTCAGATCTCTGATTAGCTCTCTGCTACTCAGATAAATCTTTCCTGACCCTCTGCAGTAAGTGGATCCCTTTGTTAAATGGCAGCATCTAATTATTCCCTCATAACATACTCTTATTATTCAGTATCTTCTTCCCCATAGACTGCAAACTCCCCTAGGATCAAATAAGATATTCCATATTTAAGAACCTGGCATGACACCAGGAATGCAACATGATGTTTGACTTCTTTCCTCTCTTAGACTCAGTTTCCTCAAAGGGATAATTATGTTGACAACATCCATTCTTCCTGCCATACTGGGCTGGTATGAAAATAAAAGGACATATAAAAGAGTAATGTTAAAATTCCCAATTGCTATTCATTTAGCAGTGATATTTATCTTATTTTGTAATTTAGAAAGATGATCTACAAAAGCAAAACCAAAGTAAACCAAAAGATAATTCGAAATTTTGATAGGTAAGATTAGGAAAAATACCATCAATGGGATCTGAAAAAAACCTCAAAATACTTCGAGCGAAACACACGATCTATATTGATTTGTCTATAATGCTCTATCTCTGTCATCTGTCATCAGTTTATCTATCTATCTACCTATCATCCAATGTTGATCACACCAAAACCTTTTTTTTCAAAACATTTCCTTAATTGCTAAATTTTTGTGACTTCAAAGAAAAGTGAAATCCATATAATTCTGAGTCATCTACAGTTAAATCATTAAAACATTACTTTTTAGTGGTCAGGAGATTTTGAGATGATTTGAATACATTTCCTAAAACCATTATCTTCTTCTCTCTTCATTTTAACCACCCTTCCTAAACACAATGCCACACTAAGGAAATGAGCAAAATCAGAATACAACAAACGCTCAAAATACTGTGGGTGCATGAACTCATAAAACATGAAATAACTTTCTGGGAGTTGGAAATATTGGCTGAAAACATCATTTTCTCTTTTGAACCTGAATGTGATGGACAAAACCAACTGAATCAGGGAAAAAAAATATCTATTTAGTACATTATCAAGCATCTATGATAAACCAGGCTCTGAACAAGGAAGACATTGACTCTAATCTCAAGAACTTATGTTACAGAAGTAGAGAGAGACATCAAGTAATTTCATGAATGCCATGCACTGCACTGGACTCTCTGTGAACATGTTACAGGTAAATCTGATGTTATCTGGGATGTCAGCAAACGTTTTCCTGAGTAAAGAATATCCAAGGTAACATATGGCTTGACTTTTAGCCTAAGAGCAATGTTTTATAGCCATGGAGGTGATAAGAACTGATCTAAATTTTAGAGAGGTTATCAAGGTGGCTTTGAAGAGAAAGAAACCCAGGGCAGTGGGCAGTATGATGGGGTAGAGACCATTTACAGAGGCCACTAACCAAGTCAGCTTCTTTGAGACTCAGTTTTTTTCACCTCTAAAATGGAGGTTACAATCCTTCTTTCTCCATTGCAGAGTTGCCTGGAGGAGATAAGAGGATAGTGGGAGGAACTAAGAAGCTGGTGGGAGGAGCTAAAACAATAGGAGGGAGAGCTCTAAGGATGATGGATGAGCTAAGAGAATGATGAGAGGAACTACGAAGATATGGGAAGAACCAAGAAAATTATGAGTGTGTGAATGCTTCACAACCTGAAAATGCTGTGCATGTTAAATTAATGGGAATAAAATGTACTTTATCAGTGTCTTCACTTCCACAAGGACATGGATCCTGTGATGACCTACGGTCACACACCTTTGATGAAGTATGAGAGTTTTTAACTTACATTTGGAGGTGAGGGTTCTGTACCCTGAGATCCTAATGAAAGCCAGAGCGTTGATGAAGTATGGGAGTTTTTAACTTATATTTGGAGGTGAGAGTTCTGTACCCTTGAGATCCTAATGAAAACCAGAGCCTTTATTTTTTTAGAAAACTGCTTAGTGTAGAACAATGCCTATAATCCTCACCGATTTCCAGACACATATGCCCTGTAATCAATCCAGGGACCTCATGTTAGAAATTTCAGGTTTAGTATAAAGCCTTCAGTCATTACAGCAGTTCTTTTCTAACTTGTCAGATTATAACTCATAGTAAAAAATACGCATTTAATATTTCTAGCCAACTGAACAAAAGTTGCATGAAGCAGTAATATTTCCTATTCTCTCCTGCTATATTGTTCTCTATTTAATGTTATTGCAGTTTGTTTTTTTCATGATTTTAAATGCTGGCTAAGACTTATAAATTGAACCTAACTTGTAGTGCGAAAAACAATGTTTAAAGAATGACAAGCCTATTTTTCAGTTTTGCCTCTATCTGTTAATTGCAGGGGCAATCTTGGACAATACACATCTCCTCTGAGCCTCAATATCCTCAGCTGTAACATGGGGATAATAGCGCTTACCTGAAAAACTGAGACAATTAAGGTAATACTATAAGAAATCACTACGCAGAAATCATGGCACAGACTAGGTGTTCAATAAACTGTAGTGATTATAAATAGAGGTTGCTAATGGGGGAATTAGAGCATAGCTAAATCTCTCTTGCCTGAGGGAAAATAAAAAGGAAGAAGAAAAAGAAAAAAAAAAAATCTCATTCATTTTCCACCCAGGGGGTCTTTCTGTCTTCCAAATGTAGCTATTTGCTGTGGGGAGAGGAACTCAGTCCAAATGCCTCTGTTTGCTGTGACAGGATTTATAAATAAGTAAAACGCTTTATCAAACATTTATAGTTGTGTGTGAATCCGAAAAGAAAAAAGAAAGGAAGAGGCACGTGGGCTTGGGGTTTATTTATAGTGACTCTCTGCTTTTCCCTTTCCTGCCACAATTGCACAGCTTAGCTTTCATTTGCTTATGATTGTTCTTGGATAAACTTCACTTCCAAACAGAGGGTATTAATTATTAAAACACAGACCAGATAAAACAGCCCATTCTGTTCCCCCAAACAATGACAGGATGATGCGGCAGAAGGAAGCCACTAGAAAAAAGGGCAGAGAATTGCCAACACACGCTTTCAAACAGAGTCAATCTTTGGCAAAACTCATGTTAACGAACATTCTGTGGGCGCCTACTATGTGCAGCTTGGAGGCTACGTCAGACATGGTGGGGTGGGGCAGGGGGCTGGTGTGGGGAGGGAAGGTTTCCATGATGAATTAGAGACAGCTTTTAATTTATATCCCAGTGAAGGGAGGGAGTTCCCAACAAAAGCAAGGAGGAGATATGTAAACACCAAACTCTAAGAGAAAGTGCCTCTGAACAAAGTGCTTTGGGAACGGCATAACAGAGTACTTCCTCTTAGGAGGCATCCTGGTCTTGGAAGGAGAGCAGCTCTGGGATCTGGCTATCTTGGGTTTGAATCCCTGTTCCAGCACATCCTACCTCTGTGATCATGAGCATGGTCATCTCTTCATGACACAGGTGTGGTTATACCTCTTGGGGAAGGTCATTGTGAGGACTAAATATGAAAATTCATGTGAACTGCTAGACACACTGCATATAATCATTAAATAGCAAGTATTTAATAGTAATAAGATTCAGTTTGGCACATAGTAGGCACTAAATAAATCTCATACTTCCTTTCCTTTGCTTGAGAGTCTTAATTCAATTTCAATTGCATCCACCTTCCAGCCACTCCAAATACAATGTGCTTGTATATCATTGACATCCTCTGTTTCCCATTGTGTGTCTCATCCTTATATGACCTCAGTTGCAATCTTCTTCAGAACTTATCTATTAATTAATGTATTCATCCATTAATATTGATTGAGCACCTGCTAGGTGACAACACTGATGAAGGCACTAGGGATTCAATGAAGAAGGAAGACAAAATTTCTACCTGCATGAAGCATGCTTTCTAATGGGGCAGAGAGCAATAACTGCATCAATAAGTAAAATATAAGCTTTGTCAGATGATGCTAAACACTAAAGAGAAAGATCAGGCAGGAAAAAGAAGCATGAATTGCTGGAGTGAGTGCTATTTAAAATGAGAAGGCCTGGGGAGACCTTATGGGGAAAGTAACATGTATGCAGAGACTGAAGAGGTCACAAGCAGCCAGGTAGGTATTTAAGAGAAGAGTGTTCCAACAGAGAAGACAGCAGATGAAACACCTTGAGGCAGAAGCAGGCTTGGCCGTATCCCATTTCTCATTTTAGTCTTCAGAAAAGAGGCAGGGAGCAGAGTGATTTGATTTTGCAAAACAACTCTGCTTTTCCCACATACTAATATAAGCAAGCCATACCTTGCCAGGTATCGTATCCATTGTCCACATTAGGTTCCACAAATACATGTACCAAGAGACAGATGCCTAGATGTGTTCTGCCCCTTCTTTATGTGACAGGGCAGCATGGTTCTAGGCTGGGCTCAAAGTTGCTGGGAACCGCATCATTACCACCAACCATGCCATCCTGAGATCCTGAGCTCTCCAAGGATGAGAGCTCTCAGCGACATCCCATAGAATTTGGACTAACTTCTCAGGATGCTAGCACTTTGCAGGAGGAATTTAAATAAAACTAGAAACAAACAAAGGCAAAAGAAAAAAAGAAAAGAAAAGAAAAAATATTACGAGGAAGCACAGAATAGAAATATTCTCCTTTGCCCAACTAACTGAAACATTTGCAGGTATGCAATGCCTCACAGAGTACAGGTACAGGGTTAGTGTCATGTCCAAAGAGTAAAGGCTCCAGAGAAAGCCCTGCCTGCATGGGTTCCTGGCCTAGCTGTGTGACTGCAGAAGGGTTGTTTAACCTCTCTGTGGATGAATCTATAAAATGAAACTAATAACAGTACTTTTCTCAAAGCACTGGTGTTAATGTAAAATGAGTTATTTGAGTAAATGTCTAACCTAGTACCTGGTATGGAGTAATCTATTTGATATGGTTTGGCTGTGTCCCCACCCAAATCTCATATTGAATCATAATCCCCATGTGTCAATGGAGGGACCTGGTGGGAAGTGACTGGATCATGGGATCGGTTTCCCCCATGCTGTTCTCGTGATAGTGAGTGAGATCTCATGAGATCTGATGGTTTTACAAGGGGCTCTTCCCCCTTTGCTCCTTCTTCTCTCTCCTACTGCCTTGTGAAGAAGGTGCTTGCTCCTTCTTCACCTTCGGCCATAATTGTAAGTTTAAGTTTCCTGAGGCCTCCCCAGCCATGTGGAACTGTGACTCAATTAAACCTCTTTCCTTTATAAATTACCGAGCCTTGGGCACTTTTTATAGCAGTGTGAAAATGAACTAATACACTATCTAAACATTAGTGTTTAAAAGAATGACTATATACATTTTAGTAAATTCATATAAGGGGACACTATATCGTAATTAAAAAAAATTATCAATACTTGCAACAACATGGATGAATCTCAAACATGATGTTTTGAGTGAAAAGAAGGCAGACACAAAATAACGCATCTGTAGGATCGCATATCTATGAAGCACAGGAAATATCAATTTATGATCTAAGAAGCCAGAGTACTGTTTACTTTTTATGGGTGGACATGGTCTAGGAAGGTACAAAAAAATGAAACATAAGGGGTGCTAGAATTATTCTATCATAAGGCTGCCCAGCAGAACTTTCTGTTACAATGACATTGTTCATATTCTATGTTGTGTGATACAGTAGGTACTGTAGAATAGGCATATGCTGCCACCGGGTCCTTAGAATGTGGCTTGTTTGACCAAAGAACTGGACTTTTAAGTTTAATTAATTTTCATTAATTTTAATTTCAAAGGCCACTGTATCGGGAGGCACAGATCTATATGTTGGTCTGGGTGGTGGTTACTTGAGTATAGGCATACATAAAGAAAACCAAGAATACATTTAAGTCTAGTGCAATTTATATGCACTGCATATACTTTATTGAGTGTTACCTTTTAAAAATTAGCTATGACTATTAATCTACATGCATCACCTCATACATTCCTCACACACTTGAGGTAATATAGAGAGGAAAGTCCCCATTGTCCCCATTTGTGAACTGGTTCAGCTGTGGCTCAGAGAGGTGGATGTGATCTGGGAATGGTCACGTGGCTTGTGAATCCCAGAGTGGGTAACATTTCTATCCAAGTTTTCTCTCACGAATGGGAAAAAGGCAGTGTAAAATAACCTGCTGAGATGATTTCATTCAACAATTCATTCATCAAGGGCATACTGTTTGAGTGCCAGATGCTGTTTTAGATGCTTAAAAGAAAACACTGGACAAAAGGGAAAGTTCTGGTTTCCATGGAGCTTTCATTAGGAATCTTTGCTCATCCCACACTTTGGCCACCCCTTGGGTCCCTTACCTGAAGTAACTTGACCATGGGCCAAATTGTGTGAAATCAGACTCAACTAAGCATTCGCAGTTACCTATGCTCTAGATTTGACTCCTGCTTCCTACTGGAACTACCTAGGCTTCTTGTTCTTCTAGACTTAGATTTTCTCATTTATAAAATAAGGAAAGGGATAAAAGAAGACATACAGGAAAAATACTAACTAGCATAAAGGCAAACAGCATGTATGGCAATAAAGATTCTTATTACTTAATTGTAAAACACCAATTACTTACAAAAAAATAAATAAAACCACAGCAATCCAAAACTTCATTCACTTAGCAATCTGGCCCCAAAACAAGAAAGCAAAACCTGTTAGAAACAAATGAAATTCACCAATCTTGAGTTTGAATGAAAGATTTTTGCACATCTGTCTTAAAAGCAACCGTAACTACAAAAAAATCAAGCAGGCAAAAAATTAGATATAGAAATTTGGTCAATAAAAGTAACAGGTAGTATCTAATGGTTACACATGAAATGTTTTGTCCATTAATTAGAAAATGTACAGTGTTTCTCAAACACACAGAAACTATTTATAAAAAGTAGCCATGCTCCAGGGTACAAAGTAAACCTAACAAATAGCCAAGAATTTAATAGTACCCAGAACATATTATTTAATAAAATACAGTAAAATTAGTGTTAATAACAAAAAGTTTTCTAAACATATGCCTGGAAATGTAAATAAAAATGTCCAAATAATAAACAAAATAATAAAAAAATAGAATTAAACAACATGCACGCTACATAGCAAAACTTGAGGTCTAGAGATAAAGAAACACTTCAGAGAAAGTTATACCATTTGATGCAAATATTGTTAAAAAGAAAGATTGAAAAATAATCATCTAGGCATTTAAGAAGTTAAAAAAGAATGGCAATAATAATAAAGAATGTAGAATAAAGAAAATATGATAAAAATTAATGATATAGAAGAGAAATAATATAGAATATCAACAAATCATGAGCAAAGTTTTTTTAAACCTTTTATCACTACGTCTTGCTCTCTCTCCTTTACTCTTACTAAAAAACAGAAACCAAAACCAAGAACAAAAAAAACACTAATAAAATAGATATAATATAACACCAACAAGATTGACAGACAAGGCATAAAAACAAAATCTCTGGAATTAAAATGAGGACAGAATTATAGATGTGGTAGAGACTTGGGATATGTATAGCTAGCTAGCTAACTAGATAGATAGATAGATAGATAGATAGATAGATAGATAGATAGATAGATTAGATAGACACACAACCATGAATACACATACTTATTTATCACAGGTATACAAACACACATGCATATATAATACTATCTGCTAAATATTTAACAAATAATATTAAACAACACAAGACAATATGTCTATAAATGAGACAACTTAGAAAAAATAAGTGAGTCTCAGGAAAATAACAAATACTAAAACAGAGTTAAGAAGAAACAGACAACTAAAATAGCCATATAAATATTTGAACCAATAGTCAGAAATTACCATCTAACAAATAGACAAACATCAAACAAATAGACTTAAGCATAAATTCTAGCAAACTTTATGAGATATACCCACTTCACATAATAATTACATATACAAATATTTATACACAATAGCATGACAGCACAAGAAGGAAGGCTGTGTAAACCTCATGTTTTATGAAGCTAGGATAATGTTGATATTGGAACTTAACAAAGATGTTAAAAAACGTAAGGATAGTTTACTAATAGAAACGACAGTAATACACTACACAATCAGGTTAAAAGAGAAGACATCACCTCACTTGATGCTGAAAGAGTATTTAATAAATTGTAATATCCAATCACGGCTTGAAAAATGATTAGTATATTAGGAATAGAAGGAAAATTTGCTGTCAAAAGTTTACTAACATTTACTATTTGGTTATCTAACAAAAACCTAACACTCTATCATTATGATATATTATGACATATAGTGATAGAGCTTTAGTTTTATTTTCTTTAAAGTAAAGTACAAGAAAATGGCATGCTCTGCCATCATTTTTCTTCAACACTGAATGGGAGGCCCAGTCTGGAAGAGCATTAGAACAAGATAATTCAAATACAAGATACAAAGATTCGCAAGACTATTAATGGCAAATTATGTCATTTTTTCCACATGAAAATTTAAAAAAAATCTAGAGGCTAAAAGTAATAAAATAATCACATCTTCTGGCTTCAATCAAAGAAAAACTGATGTTCTTATACACAAGAAAGGAACAATTAATAAATGTAATACAAGTGAAAAGATACAATTTGCAACAGTTGCAGAAATAGTGATGCTGGTAGAAATTAGATACAACTAAAAGTCTGTGATATATGTATAGATAAAATGTTTAGATGTTTAACTCTATTCATAGCCATACAAGAAGGCTCAAATAAAGAAATATATTATTTCATGGATGAGAAGTCTAAGTTTTGTGAATTTTGCAAGTGAGTCTGTAAATTGAATGTAATCCCAATCCCAGTGACAGCAAGCCTTTTCATAAATAAGACTTTATCTTAAAATTCACACAGAAGAGTAATGAGAGAAAAATAGCTAAGACATTTACAGAAGAAAATGAATGAGGGAGTCCTGCCCTTTCTGATACCAAGATATTACAAAACCATAATAACTAAAAGTAGCATGGTACTAGAACAGGAGAGCTCAGAAACTGACCTCCAGATACACGAGGACTTGTCCTATGACAGTGGTGTCATAAATCCATGGAGTAAGAATGGACTCCAGATAGTGAACTAGGACAATTAGCTATCCATGTGAAAAACTAAAGCAAACAAAGTCCATGGTTAAAGACTGAAATGTTTACAAGCAAAATCTTAAAAATTTAGAAGAAATTATAGGTGCATAACTAAGACACTAGGATAGTAAAAAATTCTAAATTCCTCAGTTATTCACAAAAAGTATAAACTACAAATGAAAAAAACATTGTAGAATTAAAATGAAAATATTCAAAATTAGGAAATGATTTTCTTAACAAAACTAAAACATAAGTCATAGATTGGAAGAAGATATTTTCACATGACAAAGGCCTACTTATGTTTTTAAATATGATTATTATCAATATTTATAAGGAACATTTACTAATCAGGTAAAAAAAAAACCATCATAAAAATATGCAAAAGATATAATCAGGATTGAAAAAGAAAGAAAATTTAATATAAGGAAAAATGTTTAACCTCATTATTATCTTTGACATGCAAATTAAATAATCATTGAAGTTATAATTTCATATCTTACAGAATGGCAAAATATAATAAGGGTTGTCGAGAATTTGGGAAAATGAGAGATTTTATTCATTGCTGGTGGAGTGTGGTAAGATAAAAAATTTAAAAGCACAGGACACAGGACAATCTTAGATAAGATTATGATACCATATATAAAGTAAAAGTATAACTATCCAAATAGGTTAGAAATATCAACCTTTGTGTAGTAAGAAACAGAATCAGTGAAGTTGATTAGCTATGTGTAATTTAACATTTTAAATGTAAAAAAATCCGATGTATACCACAAAATATTTGTATTCTCATTTGGGTGGTTAGAATATATGTAATTATATTTACTTTATTGCATGATAAAAGTAATTTGTAACTAAAAATAAAGTACATTTTAGGAGTATTTTAGAAAAGATTTAATTGAAGAAAAAAAAAGATAGATATGAGGATGTAAAGATGAAGCCAAGGGAAAGATCAGCGCTAAAATTTAACTTACAGTGCCAGGTACAGTGGCTTACACCTCTAAACCCCACAACTTGGGAGGCTGAGGTGGGAGGCTTGCTCAAGGCCAGGAGTTCAAGACCAGCCTAAGTAGCATAGCAAGACTTCATCTCCAAAAAATTGTTTTAATTAGCTAGGCATGATGGTGTACTCCTGTAGTCCCAGCTACTTGAGAGACTGAGGTAGGAGATTGCTTGAGCCTATGAGTTGCAGTGAGCTATGATCACACCACTGCACTCTAGCCTGGGTGACAGAATAAGACCTTGTCTCTAAAAAATAAAGAATTAATACATACAATGTCTGGTATATTTCCTAGAGTTTCTGTTTCAAATTAGACTCTGAGCATTCTAGCAGACAGTACAAACATGGAAAACTTGTTATAGTATTCAGATGTCTAAAAAGTTTAAAATAACCATCTGGCCAAAGAACAGTAATCCTGATTCTGGTTTTTGAGGACAATGTTCCTATTTCATAACCTGTGTGAGTTATTAAGTAACAGCCTCACCCAGACCCTCTATGAAATTAGAGTGAACTACAATGAGGTCTAATGATAAAAACAGTACCTGTATAGGCCAAGGAGTGTCTAAACAGTTTATGCTCTGTAACTAACTTAATACTTACAGCTAGCCTTGTTTTATTATTATCACCATTTTATGCATAAGGAAGCTGAGGGACAAATCAGTTAAATAACTTGACTCAGTCCTACAGCTGTGAAGTGGAGAAACCTGGAACAGAATGCATTCTCTCCACCGCCCGGTGTTAATGTCATCAAGGCAAAGTCAGCTTCACAGAAATAGTTTCATCATCTCCAAGTAAGATGGTCCAGGTGTGTCTGGGACCTTAGAATTGTGTGACCAAAGCTATAGATTCCCTCCCTCAGAAACTAAAGGTACCCAATGTTTTGCAAATATTTTCAGTGTAAAACTCAAACATGGGCCCCACATTTTAAAAATCCTACTCTAGAAAGGAGTGAGCAAATTGCATCTTCTCAGTCATTGATCTATGTATCTACCTGTTCACCATGGGGCATCCTTAATTTGGGAGGATTGCTAATATAATTAACATAGTAGGAGTGCACAAGAACTACTAGTTGTGATTAGAGTCATCATTTTTGTTATTGTTATATGCAGCAACCTGCGACCTGTTCTCTCAGCTTCCATGTGTGGCCTCTAATCCTCCATGCTTCCTTTAGTGGTAGGTGGGGCCCCTTCAGGAATAAATCTGAACTTGTCCATCCTGTGCCTCATTTGTTCCACACTCTACAAGGGCTTCACACTTAGAGGAGAATCCCAGCTCTTTACCATCAACTCCAAGGCCCCGTGTGATCGGGCCCTGTCTTAGGTCTCCAATCTCACCATCTATAATTCTCACCTTTTCTTACCCACTCCATCCTATTGTCCCTTGTTGTTGGAATCTATCTCAAAGCCTTGCCTTATTTCAAATACTCTCTTGTTCTCTGATAATCTCTCTGACTTAGCAGTGCTTCATCCCTTTCATTCTTTATTCTCTCTACTCCATCTTGACCCTTATCTCCATCCTTCATGAATGTTTTTATGAATGCATTCATGTAACAAATGTCCATGCTCTCCACTAGAATGAAAGCTCCACAAGGACAAGTACTGGTCTATTTTGAGCACTGCTGTGTCCCTGCTACCTGAAAGGCACCCAGCAGAGAACAGACACTCAATGAGTGTCAGTGAACAGAAGGAAAGGAGATGGGTAGGGAAGTGAGTTGGTTTTTGTGATGATAACTTTTGGATACTGTTTTGGACAGATCTGTGTGCCCAGTTTTGAAGTAGATTGGTTTCACCCTCAAGCACTTAAGGACCAGAGATATATGTCCAACAGGAGAGGCCAGCATAGACAAAAATCAGCAGCAAATTCCCCAACATCCCTCACTAACTGCTCCAGGGCAGGCAATGAAAGGACAATGGATAAGCGCTCAGAGGGACAAAATCAGAGGGGGCAAAGTTCTAGGATCTCTGCTGGCAGGAAAAGTGTGGAATTCTGGCCTGCCTATCCTGGCATAGAATCCTCACCACTCAGATCCAATTAGCAAGGGCACAGAGAAGACGCAGGCAGGGAAATCAAAGTGCCAAGGGCTGGCAAAACATCATCTGCAGGGGAGAAGGCTGGGCCCAGCTGGGCTGCATAGAGCGGCACCAGCCCTAATTAAGTTATTAGACACACATGGCTGCAGCCAGGGTGTTCCTGGGCCCACCACCACAGACAGTGATGGCTCTGTGGGAGGCTGCTGACTCAGGATTCCAACTGAGCTCCCTCCAGCCCTCTCATAGCCTGTTTTTCCTTCTCCTTTCTTCCTTTATTCTTTTGTAAACATAGTAGATGAAGCGGATATTCCCTGAGAGTAGTAACAGAGATAACGTACGTGCACACAATCCTTAACAGTCTATATGACACACCATTAGCTCATTTCTTTTATTTATGTATTCAGCCAATATGTATTGAAGGCTTACTATGTGCCAGGAAATATCCCATGTGCTGATTACAGAGTATGTGTGAACAGACTTAGAATTCCAACCACCAGAGCTTTCTTTCTACTTTGGGAAGGACAAGACTATATATGTACACAGCATATGTATGTATGCATACATGTATATAAATATATATAATGATATGCTGATATATACATATTTTCACATATATATGCTTATGTGGGGATATATATGTGTGTGTGTGTATGTATATATATCCACATATCTTCTATATATAGTCATCTTGAGATAAGTAACCCAGCTTGTTGCCGTTTCCATCTCCCACATGGTGAACCAGTCTCCAAGAGGTAAAATGGATTACTTAGGATGACACCATCCTAATAGGAGACCCCATCATTTGTAACACTAGGGAAGGGATTAGCAATATTCTTCTGGCTCCTAAAAGGAAGTCTCTCTTCTTCCTCTTCTTGGTTGCTTCTCCTTCTTGCACCTCTTCCTTGCCCCCATCTCTTCTCTTACCTTTGATAAATAAAAGTGTAATGTAACGACATGAGGGCTTCCCTCCTATGCTTGTTTCTCTCCTATGCTTGCTGTACTCCAGGACTGCTGGGCCTAAAGGCACAGGCAGGGCCTTTCTGCCTGATTCTGAAAGACCCCACTGCAGATCTGTCATTCAGACCCCACTGCAGATCTGTCATTTCAGGCTGCTGAAAGTTGGTGTTTAGGGACTTACTTTACCCCCAATCCCCTGGTTTTGCCATTTCCTTACCTCAGACATTACCCTCCCTATTCAAGGATGTAGGATGTAGGTGATGGATGATGCTTCTGAGATCATTGGTTCTCATTTGATAGATGGGAAAACTGAGGTCCATCTAAGGGCATCCAATTCAAATGGCAGATCTGCAGCAAAGCTTTGAATAAAATGCAGGGAGGCCCATTTCCAGATCAGTGCTGTATCATCTCTTGGAGCATGCTAGCTCTGCATCTCTCTTTTGATTCACAGAGTAGTCTTCCATTCTTGATCTCTCTGCCTTTTTTCTGATCTAAGTTTGTGCCACCATGTTAAATGATCTTTCTGGGAGGAAGACTATCTGGGCATGACACTTCTCAGTTAAAAGTTTTCAGTGGCTCCCTGGGGCCTCCCAGATAAAGTCCCAGGACCCTGGTGATCTGACCCATCTCTTCCTCTACAGTCTGCTCTTTCTGTTCATGTTCCTTTGTTGCCAGCCACTTGAAACTTCTCACAGTTCCTACAATGTTCTCTCCCTGTTGCCTTGGGACCTTTACACATCCCCTTTCCCTTGCCCCTGGGTTCACTGATGAGCTTATCTTCAAATTCAGCTCAAATGTCTCCTCTTGAGGGAAGTTCTCATCCACATCGTCAGCACATTTGAATGCCATTTCCTCTGTGATCCTGGAATATTTGTTCATATCCATATTTCAGCACACTCACAGCAATCATTTATTGACTGCTTACTATGCACCGAGCACCATTCTAAACAACTGATCTGGAGTATCTTTTTTTTTTTTTTTTTGGACAGGAAGTAGAATTTATTGGTGAGTATTAAGAGGGGGCAGCACAGTGGAAGCCCTCATGAGTGCAGGGCCCGCCACTTGTCCAGAGGGCCACGACTGGGGATGTACTTGACCCCACAGCCATCAGGGATGAGCTGCTTCTCAGCCACCATGTCTTCAAATTCATCAACATTGAACTTGGTGAAGCCCCACTTCTTTGAGATGCGGATCTTCTGGTGGCCAGGAAACTTGAACTTGGCCCTGCGCAGGGCCTCAATTACATGCTCCTTGTTCTGCAGCTTGGTGTGGATGGACATGATAACTTGGCCAATGTGAACCCTGGTCACAGTGCCCTGGGGCTTTCCAAAGGCACCTCGCATGCCTGTTTGGAGCCTGCACTGGGGTAGCGCAAGGTCAGAAACATAAACATACATCTGAAAGGCCTGTTTCCATGGTCCCTTAAAGCAACCCATACAACAAACAGGCTGCATACACTACCAAGAAAGCTGCTGTTTGCAGCCATTGCACAATGGGCCCCCATGAGGAAAGGAACCCAGTTGGCTTAATTGGCTGCAGATGATCTGGAGTATTTCAATTATTCTTCACAGCAATGTATAAGCTGAGAATGCTCACATAACTATTTCAGAGATGGGGAAACTGAAGCCCAGAGATGTCAAATAACTTGCCCCAGGTCAAAGAGCTGGTAAGTATCAGAGCTAAGATTGGGTTCTGGCAAATGTCTCAAATACATTTCATACTGCTGAAATTGCCTGTTTACTCAACTCTCTTACACACAACCATAAACTTGTTGAAGGTATTAATCCCTCTATAACCTAGCACTTAGCACAGTGACTTCATTCTGTACATGGAGTGTGCACTTTGTAAATGGCCACCGAGTGAACAATACAAGACTCTCTTCTATTTTATTTTATAGCATGCTAGACAACAGGATAGCACAGTGGCAAAAAACACAGACTCTGGAGTCAGACCCAGGTCCCAATTGTAGCTCTACCACTTCCTGGTGCTTAAAGCAGGTCCTGTTTTGCCTGGTCTGTTTCACAGGGCTAATGATGATACCATATGGAAAAATCATGTGTATTAAATAAAGAAATCCATAGCAAGTACAAAGCATAGCACTTGGATCTCAATAGACAGTAGATACTCAGTGTTTGTTATAATGGCCGTTATCATTCACTGTGTTCCTTCCCTTACCCCTTTCTTTCTTTCCTCTCTCTTTCCTGCTCACCTTAAGCAAGAGGCGTCCTCTCAGCAAGACTCGTTTGGGATTCGCAAAAGCTGAGAGGGAGCATGACTTCTCTGGCCCACTGAGCCCAGTGCCCTCCTTCCCCACCCCATGCTGCCACCTTCCAGCTGTGAAATGGTGTCCCTGCTCAACTGGGCCCCAAAGCTGTCAGGGGGCTGCCAATTTCACAGTTCACAAGGCTGCTGTTCCCCCCGATTAATGGGGTGCCAGCAGCCATGGGCAGGGCTCTGATACCAGTCATATGGGCTCTCTCTCCCCTGCCCACACTTCCTGAGGAAAAGAGAGCAGGCCAGCCTCATGCATATTTATGTAGGGAGAGAAATGATTTTGTACTGCATGCCTTCCAAAAAAAAAAAAATAATAAGATTTCACCCAAGTCCCAGGCATTTCCCTGAGTGAACTCAGCATGCTTCAGGGAAGAAAACGACACAGACACAGACACACACACACACACACAAACACATACCCCACAGATGCACACATGGCATAATGAAAAACTGAAAACACTTTATATACCACTGATCTGAGCAGAGTGTTCTCACACCAAGGATGACCCAGGAGACACAGGAGATATTAAACCCTAGAGCATGGACAGAATTATTTTGAAATTAATCCAGTTCCACCCTATAGCTCTAGGGAAATTAGAACAGATAAGGTCCAAATGTAGCCGGGCACTCAAGGCCTGCCCCACCACCTCCTAATCACTGCTTTTGTCTACAGCATTCCTGACCTCAGACTAAGCTGTTCTCTGTTCCTTGTATAAGCAATCACTTTCGGTGGTATATGCCATAGTGGGGCAGAAGAAAAGCTTTCATCTTAGGGCAATCCCAGTCCTTCTGTTCCAGTTACAGAACGTCTTAAAAGCCACTTCAGCTTGCAGTGTCTCGGTGCCCCCATCTCTGTGTCCTAGAATAAACTGACCCAGGCTTCCTCACTGTGTTTGAGCCACATTGGCCTTCTAGGCCATTAAGCAAGCCAAGTTTTTATTTCAAGAGACTCTTCCTCATATTGAAACATCACGTTGGGCCCCACAAATACAGACAATTATTATTTGTCAATTAAAAAATAAAACAGAACTTTTAAAAAGATCACTTTCTCTGTTCTTCAGTTCATTTGGTTGAACGCTACATACCCTTCTAATTCCAGCTTAAATCTTCCTTCCTCAGAAAGGCCTTCTTGAACAGCCAAATTGAGGTCAAGTATCCCCTTTCTTCTCCCAGAGCATGCAGTATGTTTCCTTCCTGGCAGCTTTGTGTTAATTAAATTAGTAATTGTGTGATAAGTTGGTTCAAGTCTCCAGTCTCAAGTCTGATTTTCTCATTAGAGGATAGCATCTCTGAGGGAAAGGGTCACGCCAGCACTTTCACTGCTCTGTCCTAATGAGTATTTGGTAAATGAATGAATGAATGAATTGCTGAGTAGTTGAGAGAATTAAATAAAGAAGCATATAAAGCACCCGATCTATCTGCAGAGGACTTGCTCACAATGCACTATAATAACTAACATTAATTGACCCTTTTTCTTGTGATAAGCACTCCTTTAAGCATTGTGACATGTATTAATCATTTAGTCTTACATAAATTACATCATTTGTTCTTACAACAACTCGGGTATCCACATCCTTATTGTCTCCATTTTAGAAACGAGGACAGTGAGAGGAAGGGGAGCATTTACTAATTTGCCCAAGGTTATACATAGCTAGTAAGTATCAGTAAATTTCAGGAGTTGACCTAGGTAGCCTAGTCCCAGAGTCCACATTTCTATCCACTACTCTCTAGAAAGATATTAGTTCCATCCCTTCACCTTCCCTCTCAGATATGTTCAGGCTTAGATACCTTGGTTGAAGACTTTGTCTTCCACAAAGCCTTTCCTGATTTGCCAGCCTCACTCTATTACATCTGAAAACCTACATCCCCCTTTCCCACATCCATGCATAGAGAGCTGGGGTTATGAAATGCAGCCCTGATATCAGAATATCCTCTACTGCCCTCCCTCTGGATCTTTTATGGGTGGAGCAAACCTCATTTTCTTGCAATGTGAGGACACAGTCCAGAAATTGCTTTCTCCTCTGGGGTCCTACAGGGAGACACCCAGCCCTCAGAACCAAGCCAATTTAACACTCAGGAGAACCCTCTCCTCCTGGAATATCCATCTGACCTCCTTTCTGAGATAGCTACAGGTTAAGAGCCAGAAGAAGGTGTAGAGACCTCACAATCCATCTGCCCACATATAAACAGGCTGAGGCCCAGGGTTGAGAAGGACAACTCAGGCAACAGACACGCTGAAGGCACAGCCCAGGCTCTCTCATTTCTACCTGACTGCCCACCCTCTGTAGCATACTGCCTCCTCTCCCCTGGAGCAGAGCCGGGGGTATAGCAAGCAGACACTGCCAAGGACATAGCTGGAGCTGTGCCGAGCCAAAGCAGGCAGACTGTCTGTCCATGGGGCGAGGCTGCTTCCTGGGGTGATGAACAGCGCCAATCAGGCAGCACTTAACGCAATTATAATGAAGTAGATGCATCTGTTCTCCGAAGGCTTCATTCACCAGGGAAATCATGAGGAAGTGATATCTCTGTCTGCCGACCTCCTTGGGACACTCTCAGGGACAGTCCTGGAGCCAGGAAGCTGTTGACATGGACTGGAGACTGGCCTCAGCCATCTCAGAATGACAGTGACTGACACCCTTTATCTCTTTTGCATCATTTCTGTAAAAGGAGCTGTCAGTAGATAAGAGTTCGCATGAGAGAATGTCTTCCTCTTTTCCTGGTTTTTCTAATAACCTCACCCCCTACATACACTGTTGGTCATGCCTGCAAGTCATATGGCACTGAGTTCCAACTCAGCTTCCACTGATTTTAATGTATATCCACACCCCACAGTTCCACTGAAGAATGCAGGTTTAGACCAGCAAGGAAGGGTCCAAGCTGTTCATGATACAGATGGGAAGACTGAGACTCAGGGAGGAGATATGACTTTCCCAAGATTATTACTATTTGTGTCAGGTGGCCTCTACACCAGATTGTTCATATATTATTGCATTTCATCCTGAAAATAACCTGAGAAGAGTCCAACACTATTAAAAGCCAGCTTCACAGGTAAGGAATCCGAGACTAAAAGAGGTTAGTTACTCTGTCCACGATTGAGGCACTGTATGGGCACACGATTCATACCCACATCTGCCCATTCCACACCCATCTTGCTACTATCCATCATCCCAGAAAGCCCTGACGTTATAGATTGGCTTTGGTTTATAGACTAGTGTGTCTATAAACATTTTGATAAGCTAAAAGTTGTTTAAATCCTCTTCTTTTTTACATTTATTCCTAGTGCTATATATGAAAAGAATCCTGTGGTGAATTGCTTTTGTAAAATGAAGAATCATTTAGGAAAATAATCTGTCACTTCCTGATTTATTTCTTTGCTAAGCTGAGCTTTTCACAAATCAGTCTCCTTTGAAGCAAGGCACACCAGCCCTGCTCTGGGCAGATGGACTCCCTACTATTCTGGACAGGATATGATGTTTGAGGATCTGCCACATTCACAGATGCGTGCTTTAGTAAAAAGGAGCTGCAGATGCTTCATAACCTAGAGTGTGGCTTGCTAGGTACCCCAAGACTCCACCATCCTGATAAAGCTGATAGGAACAGAGCTCTATATCTGCACAGAGTCAGATAGTTCCAGATTAGCTTATGGATGGTGACGTCTCCTGGTGTGGGGATCTCCTCACTAGGGCATTCAGTATTGGATATGACAAATTCTTTCATGGAGTGCTTGAAAAGAAGGCATGAGAGAAGAGTCAGAGGCAGGCAGAGCATGTCTCACAAGGAATGGAGATGGGCTAGGCACAGAAGCTGTGAAGCAGTAGAAGCCATGGGCATGCAGAGGTTAGGAAGCATAGAGAGGTTATTTCCAGGTGGGAGCCAAAGAGGAACAGAGAAAAAGAGGCCAAGATTCATGAATTTAGCAGAGCTACTTGAGGCAGAATCAATGAGCCAATTGCTGTTATATCCAATCAATAGTGTATCTCCATGAAGCCTGAGACTGTTTCTGATCATACCTGTCCTTGTGTTCCTCAAGGAACAGAAAGGTAAAGGAAGTACGGGAAGCAGAGTTATTGGTGAAAAGAGAGAATTTCAAGGTCACACAGACCTAGCTTCAAATCCTGGGTCTAATACAAACCAGGTACATGACCCTGAGCTAGTTACCAGAGCCTCCTCTGCTTCGGTCTCCTCATCTGAAAAAGGGAGTGATTAGAAGTAATGACCATATCAATTTTTTGAAAATTTTATGCGTAATTATTTATTAAGTACTGGTCACACAACTTGGCCCATATAGAGTAACTAATATTACTCCTATTTCTACTAAAAATAAATCCTGGCCGGGCGCGGTGGCCCACGCCTGTAATCCCAGCACTTTGGGAGGCTGAGGCGGGCAGATCACGAGGTCAGGAGATCGAGACCACCCTGGCTAACACGGTGAAAACCCGTCTCTACTAAAAAATACAAAAAATTAGCCGGGTGTGGTGGCGGGCGCCTGTAGTCCCAGCTACTCGGGAGGCTGAAGCAGGAGAATGGTGCGGGCCTGGGAGGCAGAGCTTGCTGTGAGCCGAAATCACGCCACTGCACTCCAGCCTGGGCAACAGAGCGAGACTCTGTCTCAAAAAAATAAATAAATAAAATAAAATAAAATAAATAAATAAAATAAATCCCATTAGCTGAACTAAATAGCCAATCATTTGAAATAGAAAGAAACTGAATTAAGGCATTTAGGTAAGTCTTCCATTGATTCATTTACTCACTTGTTTTATCAATTCACTCCTCAATTATTTATTTGCTTTCTATACAGTGCCAGGCAATGTTCTAAACAAGAAGCAGACAGCATGGGACAAAACAGACACAATTCTTAAAGATGGACAGATAATACTTATAATGGGTCAAATGGTGGCAAAAATTATAAAGAAGGCCGGGCGAAGTGGCTCACGCCTGTAATCCTAGCACTTTGGGAGGCCAAGGAGGGCAGATCATGAAGTCAGGAGTTTGAGACTGGCCTGGCCAACATGGTGAAACCCCATCTCTACTAAAAACACAAAAATTAGCAGGGCGTGTTGGTGCACGCCTGTAATCCCAGCTACTCAGGAGGCTGAGGCAGGAGAAACTCTTGGACCTGCAAGGCAGAGGTCACAGTGAGCTGAGATTGTGCCACTGCACTCCAGCCTGGGAGACAGAGTGAGACTCCATCTCAGAAAAAGAAAGAAAAAAATAGAAAAATTAAGGTAATGGAGAACACAGTGTGGTGCATGTGTGTATGATTATGTACATTGTTTTATTTTTTATTTTATACAGGCTGGTCAGGGAGGGCCTTAGGGTGCTATATGAAGAAAAACCTGAAGGAACTGGGGGAACAAGCCATGCAAAGCCCTGAGGAAAGAACTGTTCAGGAAGAGAGAACAGAGATGCAAAGGCCCTGAGATTGATGAAGATGATGATGATGATGCTAAAAAATAATGATGTGCTATGGTTTGAATGATTGTCTCCTCTGAAACTCATGTTGAAAGTCAACCCCCAATGTAATAGTATTGAGAGATGGGGCCTTTGAGAAGTGATTGGATCATGAAGATTCTGACCTCATTAATAGGTTAATCCACTCATGCATTAAAGGACTAATAGATTAATGGGTTGTCATGAGAATAGGTTAGTTATCACAAGAGTGAATCTGTTTTAAAAACTAGGTTGGCTGTCTGTCACGAGTCTCCCTGGTCATGTGATGCCCTGCGCTGCCTCAGGACTCTGCAGACAGTCCCCATCAGCAAGAAGGCCCTCACCAGATGCAGCCCTCCTACCTTGGACTTCCCAGTCTGCAGAACTGGAAGAAATAAATTTATTTTCTCCATAAACTACCTAGTCTCAGATATTCAGTTAAACAGAAAACAGACTAAGACACAATGGAACAATAACATTGCTATCCTACATCTGTGTAGTATGTTACAGTTACAAAAAGCATTCACCTTTATAATTGTTTGTTCCTCCCACGTTCTTGTGAAACTGGAATCTCCATTTTACCAATGTGACAACCAAGGCTTGGAGCAGGGTTTCTCAGCCTTGATTTGATAGATATTTTGAGGTGGGTAATTATTTGCTGGGGTTGGGGGGCGGTCCTGTGCATTGTAGAATGTTAAGCAGCATCCCTGGCCTAACCCCTCCCTAGTCATGACAAAAAAAAATGTCTTCAGACATTGCTAAAGGTCTCCAGTGAAAGATGTGTGTGTGTGTCTGTGTGATAGAGAGAGAGAGAGAGAGAGAGAGAGACAGAGAGAGAGAGAGAGAGGAAATCACCCCCGATCCTGGTTGAAAGTGACTAGTTCAAGACATCAATATGTCGAAATTAGTGAGTAGGTAAGGAGATAAGATTAGAATCTGACCCATATCCCCTAGTCAGGAAAGTTTAAGACCATCACCCTTTCCATAGCATGAGGAGTTTTCCGAAGTTGCCTGCGTATATTAATACTGGAAGGTGTCATGTAGTTTATGGGGGTGGGGTGGAGGAGAGTGAGATGAGGAGACATAGTGGGGCTATCATCTCCATTTTCCAGTCACTGGCCTCTACTTCAGTATGGAATAGCAGCTAAGGGAGCAAGATGCCTGTCTCCTCACTGCTGTGTTGTTGCTGGATGCCGAGGAAACATCGTAGCTGGGAACTCTTCAGAAACCAAGCTCCTGTCCTGCCAAAGATGTTAACCACCCAGGATGGCTTCTAGCCAAGTTACAGGGGTTCAGCATTCATTCCACGGATGAGAAAGCATGCATAGATGAGAATAAACAACTTGTTTAAGGTACTACAGTTTTTAAATGTGGAGAAGAAAGGGCACTCAATAAATGTCTGACTTGGAAATGCCAAGGAATAATGATTCTATGGGCTACTGACTGTAAAAGCATCCACATTTTGAGAGTCCCATGGGAGCCAGGTACCCGTGGGAATTATCTATTTGCAGGCAGGTCGGTGGCCTCTCTAACCATGCTCAGTGGGCAGCACTACATCTACCTGAGCATCAGTGAGTGCCCTTTCCCCAGAGCGTGGAGTCTGAGAATGGCCGTCCATTCTCACCAGGACTTCATAATTCTAGTGTCCCCTCCTGTCCCCACCTGGGACAGTGGGTAGAAGGTCCTGTCTGCCAGACATCCTAACCTCCCAGATAGGAGACTCCTACATCCTGAACAATGTCTTATAAAAGGACACAAAAAAGGTGAGGATTGTAAGCTGTAGAGAAAGAAAACAACGGCACTTAAAAGTGCTCAGGAGATAGGATCAGGAGAACTGCTGTTTACCCACTACCCACTAGGCAGCAAATTAGTCCCTTCCAGTCAGGGATATATTCATTTGCCCATTCACCCATTCATTTTAAACATATTTAGCAATCTCCTATGATGAGTCAAGACAAAGGCATGGGCTGGAACATGGATAGAAAGGAACTCCTTCAGAAGTGGTGTGGTTGAAACGTTAAGATGGCATTGACTAGAAACAGAATGTCCACATCAAAGCCACCATTCCCCACAAACGCTGCATCCCCCATACACCCAGTATTAACTTGCTGTGTAACTTCAGATACCTCTCTCCCCTCCCTGGGTCTCTGTTGAATGAAATGAATATTTCAGACAACATGTCAATAATAGCTTCCATTTCTTGAGTCAAAACACTGTGCTATTTTATATATATGATTTCCTTAATTCTTACAAGAATACTGCAAAACAAGTAATCCCATTTTAGAGGTGAGGAGGTTGAATCTCAAAAGTATTAGTAAGGTGAAACTGGACCCCGGTGTGTCTGGTTCAAGAGTTGGGCATCTTAACTACTTTATCCTCTGCTGTCAAAGTTCTTAAAGGTCTCTTGGTCTCTGATCTGCTGCCAGCCTCTGCCTGGCTGGTAAAACAAAACTCAAGGAGTTGAAAGAGAGTGGTATCCTTTCCTAGACTAATCTGTGCATCCCTACCCTTATACTAATGGAGAGTGAAGATACATACCTTCTAGAAAGTCTTAAAGATCCTAAGGCCTCCCGCTCTTGCTACACAAAATAGGAAGTGAATCCATTGTTCCTGTATACTCTGGGTTCCCACTGCTCAGATCATAAGGGCTGTCTCAATTTCTCCTTCCTCTGGGAGATGTGAGTTCCAATCTCTCAGGAAGGAGGGAGAATTTAGGTTAAGGAACTTAATCAGGTGGTGTTCCTGATGAAGTAGAGAGAGCAGCCCTTCCAAAGCAGTTGCTACCACTCAGCTCCTGCTAAGTGCTGGAAGGCACAAGAATGGGCCTAAGGTTTTGAGATCCTTCAGTCACCAAGTGAGGCAGAAATGTGAATTTCTATGTGAAATTTTCCAATTTATATATATTAACAACTGAATTCAAAAATATACCCTGTAGGCAAGCAAAAACAAAACAAAACAAAACATTATGTAGGGGCTAAATTCTGCCTGTGAGTTTCCATAGTACAATCTCTATTCTCTGCTCTCGTTAGTATCCTCGCTTCTGAGTTGCAACTCTATGTCCAAATCACTCCTTCTCAGTTTGGCCCTAACTGTTTACCACCTTTGCAAAAATTCATTCCCCCATTTTCCAATGGCTTTTCATGTCACTCACAGGAAGAGTCAGTGTCCCTTTCTATCAGGCTCTACATGACTTTCTTACCACTGCTCCTATAACCCAATTTATTCTAGTGCTCTCTCTCTCAATGCTACTCCTCCCTATTCCTCTAGTGCTCCAATCACACTGGTGCCAGGGACCTTTATACCTGCTGTTCCCTCTGCCCAAAAAGCTGTTTCCTCAAATATTCAAATGGCTTGCCTCTTCATCTCCTGTAGATCAGTTTTCATGTGTTATCTGATCATTAAGACCTTTCCTGAGGGCCCTAATTCCCTCCTTTGTTTTCTTTCTCCCCCATTGCAATTATTATCATTCATTATTATATATCTAATATATACATATATTTTGTTCATTTGCTTATAGTCTTTCTGTGCTAGAAAGAAACTGCTATAGAAATTGACTTGCATATATCTTATTTATTGCTTTATCTTCAGTGCCTTAAATAGTTCCTGACACACAGTAGGTACTTAATTAAAGCTTGTTGAATTAATGAATGAAAAATAGATGAATAAATGTTACCTTATTTAACAAATGTGTATGGAGACTTCCCAACAGATATTGAGCTAAACATGTATCAAGAACTTTAAAACATTCAGACCATTTGACCCAATAATTCCACTCCTGGGAATATACCCTGAGGAAATAACACAGAATAGTGAAAATGAATTTAAGACTAAAAATGGTTGTTGATGTTGAATACAAAATAGCAAAAAAAAAAAAAAAAAAGCTGCTAAAATGTCCATCAATAAATACATTATGAAGCAGTCATGAGATAGAATTACATGCATGTTGAAATACTTATTGTATAATATTAAATAAAAATGCAAGATAGAAAACAATAATTTTTCACTTTCAATATATAAAAGGGAAAAGACAGAAAAAATTAGTAAAAAGTTACTGTGGCTATTCAATGGGGCATACAAAAAATTGCTAATTTATACTTTACTTTCAAGTGTTCACTAATGAGCATGCATAACTTTTATAATTAAGAAATATTAGATAAAATAAGGACTGATCATACTTGTGGTAGTAGTGATGAATTTAGCTCTACAGTGGATAAAGATATCAAATCCAGAGGCAGGCTGGTTCTTTGTCAGAGGCATTGAGGTTGAGCTGTCCTGGACTTTCTTTGTCAGTCAGTTCCCCACTGGGTGAGCTCCAGCCATTTCAAGGGAGCCCAGGACAGGAGGTACAAAGTCCCCTGACTGCTGGGAAACTGCTTCAGCTCTGATCAATCAGAGAACAGTCGCTTCAGCCCCTGACATTTACCAAACCTCCTTCAACCTCATCTGTCACTATGCGGTGGTACTGCCTTGCCAGCCACAGTCTAATCAAGTCAGAATGTGCAAGGGTCCCCAGAGATAAAGAGAAAGCGGGGCTCTGAGGGAGTAGGGAGAAAGGAGAGACAGGGAGATGGAAAAGGATCATGAGGGAGGAGGGGAAGAGCAAATGTTCAGAGCATGCCCGTTTGTTTTGCTATCATGGCAATTAATGCTGGGAAGTGACATTTTAAGGGGCTCTAGTGACAGCTTTGGTGACATTCCTGTTTGTGATTCCATGACAAATCTCTGTCTATATCTTATTTTAGAGAGTGTGTAGAGACAGCTCAGAGGATGGCTATCAGGGGATGCCAAGCTCCTGTCTGTTGGAGGCATTGCTGCTGCCTGCTTTGCAGAGCCTAGGCATTTAGACACCAGGGCCAAACGTCCAAGAGGAGGCACCAGCTAAGAAACCAAAGCAAAAAAGCCGCAGAGGCAGGGTCTGGTCCAGGATGGCCTTGTGAACTCCACCATGTGGTACAATTAATTGGAGCAAAAAATGAATGCTCTGCCATTCTACAAGTGACATTTGGTTTGTCAATCAGTGGCAAAGAAAAAAAAGAAAACTCAATTCTGAATACTTTCCAGGCTGGCTAGTTCTAAGGAGCCTATTTTCAAACACAGATATTGCCTCCTTGTTTTCTAAGAAGTCCTAAGATGAAAATTAAATAGAAATAAATTAAGCTCAAATTTTACAAGCTGAGAATTAGAAGAGATTACTTAAATTGTGTCTGATCTCTCCCCATGCTATACCATTTTGACAAATGTCTACCTAGTCTTGTTTGAATACTTCCAAAGAGTAGTTCATGATCTTTCAGATTAAGAGGGGGAGAGCAATGTAGATATAACAAGTTGTTTACCAAATAATATTCAGGATGTCACAGGGATAAATACAGTGTGGCAAAACAAAGAGAGTACTGAACTTGAACTTAAGGGATGTGGGTATAAAGTACAATTGCACCATCAAACTCTCTGTATTTCATGGATGAGTGACTTAATGTCTCAGAGCTGGAACAAGGTTCTGTGTCTCTCAAAAGTGTTCAATAACACACAGTTTATCATATAATGTTTATGAAGCCATTCTATAAATGTTAAAGTGCTGTATAAAATAAAGCAGCTATTACCGTTTTATACCCTTCTTAACTGTGACCTTTTAGGGAAAGACTATTCCCTATTTTGCTATGTATGTCTACATTAAACAGTCTTCAGCACACAGTGGGTGATGGTAAACATTTGTTAAAGAAATGAATATGAATGAATGAACAAATGAATGGTGAGGAAGAGGTGTACCCAAAGAGAAGAATCAGGAAGTAAATGCAATCCTGTCTCCCCCTGTGGCTGTGGAGATGGCTAATGAAGGAACAGAGGACACAGGACAGAACTATGAGCCTTCAGGACATTTAAAATGCAAAATTCAAACATCACTGGGAATAGGGAGAGGACAGAGGCAACATGGAGAGGAAAGAGGCAGTTTGGTATAAGGATGTCAAGGCACTTTGATGTTAAGAAAGTCATTTCTGGCTGGGCGTGGTGGCTCATGCCTGTAATCCCAGCACTCTGGGAGGCTGAGGTGGTTGGATCATGAGGTGAGGAGATCGAGACCATCCTGGCCAACATGGTGAAACCCTGTCTCTACTAAAAATACAAAAATTAGCTGGGTGTGGTGGTGCACACCTGTAATCCCAGCTACTGAGGAGGCTGAGGGAGGAGAATCACTTGAACTTGGGAGGCAGAGCTTGCAGTAAGCCAAGATGGTGCTACTACACACTCCAGCCTGGTGACACAGCCAGATTCAGTCACCAAAAAAAAAAAAAAAAAGAAAAAGAAAAGAAAATCATTTCCAAATTTTTCTTCTTTTCATCCTAGAGGGCCTATGTTTCAAAAATAATCCCACATGCAACCACTTTAAAGCAGTCTTGCTTTTGTTAAAACAATTCTGCCCATTCTATCTTCCCCTTGCCCTGCACGTGCTCCTGGCAGCACCCTCAAGGCACAGTCAAATGGGAGCTGCTGTTAGTAAGGGAGTTCCCCAGGCTCTCTGAAAACTGGCATCTGGGGCCTCAGAACAGAGTATGGCTTAAAGATGGGCAGTAATTCCCATGCAGGGAGCAGAGGGCAGGGTGTTGTTGTTGTTGTTGTTTTTCCTTTCCCCAGGGAAGATAGAGCATCGTACAGAAATAAGATAAGATCTGAGGCACAAGGCACAAGAAAGGGCAGGTTGAGCACATTTCATAAGAGCAAATGTGGAAATGATGGGCCCAGTGGCCTATAGGGTTGGGTAAAAGACACAAGTGGCTGGCCATAGAAATGGCAGGGGTAAGACCTAAAACCCTCATGTGGGCCTTGCCTGGCTCAGGTACCATTTCCAGTTCCTCCACCAACCCCTCAAACTGAAGCCCTTGAATTATCTTCATCCTTCAGATCTCTGGGAAAGAAATGTCTCCTGCAAGCCACCTCAGATCCAGTTGTCATGCACCTGTTCCCACTGTGGCCTCTGGCACTTTATTAGCTCCTCTAAGAAAGAGGTTTTTAAACTTAAGGTTATGACCCACTCTCAAACTGTGAAATCAATTCAGTGGCTCCATCAGCATTACAAAAATGCCATCAAAAGAATAGAAGCTATCAGAACATGGTCCCATGTAATGACAATGTGTATTATTTTGCAAAACTTATTTTAGAGATGTGCGCACACACATTCACACGTGAATATGTGCAGGCTCACTGTATAAAACATAGTTTTGATTATGTCTGCTGTTCAACGTTGTGGATAAACATAGCTCTAAGAGACTTAGCTTGCTGACATCTAAGCTAATGTCTTTCCTCTCCTGCTCATATAAATGGACAGGAGTAATACATGTTGTGTTATCTCCAGCACATGCTTGGACTTGGGTATCAGATAAAGCTGGGTTCAAATTCTGGTTCCATTATTTGTAGTTGTATAAATTTGAGATGATATCTAGATTTTGATAAGGATAATACATTCTTTATGAGATAGATGCAAAGATTCAACAAATCATTGACTTGAAAATGCTAAACAAGATTTGTCCAGTGCAGAGAAAAGACAAAGAACACATAGAGGTTACCAATCAGTGGAAAGACTAAAATATCCATCAGTCCATTCATTCATTCATTCATTCATTCACTCATTTATTCCTCTATCCACTGACCCAGCATATTTATTAACACCTGCTATGTGCCAGGGATTGTTTTAAGCACAGAACAAACTTGGTACTGATCTCATGGAACCTTCAGCCTACTAAGATAATTAAAATACTTAACAAATCCAAATAATAAAAAGTACTATTACAAGAACAAATAGTAAAGTTGACAGAAGACAAAAGAGAGGAACTCACATAGAGAAAAGAGGTTTGTCTGAAGAAATGAGATTTAAACTGAGATCAGAATGATGAGAGAGAGCCATCCATGCCCTGACAGATTGGGGAAGGAAAGAGGGTAGTTTTCCAGGCAAAGATAATCATGGCACATACAAAGGGCATAGGAGAAGAAGGTTAGCAAGTCTGAAGAACAGAGAAGAGGCCATTGTGTCTGGAGCATGGAGGGCAACTTTAAGTTGGGACTGTTGTGACTGGAGTGATCACAACAGAGTGGCTGCAGTGTGGAGAAGGGAGGAAGAGGATGGGATAAAAGCAGGAAGACCAATAAGTAGGTATGTGAGGATGAGGTAATTGTGGGGATGTCAGGAAGATTGATGTGGCTTGAAGAGGAATGGACGGTCATAGGGTGGGAAGCAGGGGTGAAGGCGAGGAGTCTGGAAACTTAGGCTAGAGCCTCATTGTGAAGAAGCTTGAACACCAAGATAAGACATTGAATAAGGTGTTGACTCTGAAAGAGCTCTGAAAATTCATGAAATGCTACACAAAGATGAAATTTACATGACATTCACAGGGGGTGTCAGAAGGGTGAGTTAACAAACAGCTTCTCTGTTTCTGACACCCTAGAGTGATCTATTGACACCAAACATGAGTTCCCTGCACCCTTGGGGACCACTCGAAACACTCCCAAACAATAGGATCTCCCTGCTGCAAAGTTCCTTCTGCCAATTTAGGAGCTCAGAATTACTGTGTAACAGCTTCCTTCTTCAGGGAACACATGTTGATTACCTATTTTTTATTCCCAGATTTGTGAGTGAAGCAAGCCCATGGTTGCTGTGCATTAGCTCTCCCTAAGCTTTTAAGAGCTCATTGCCGTCCCAAGGATTACGAACCTCAGTGTGGTGTAGTGAGTTCAAATCCCAGCTCTGCATCTTACTACAATAGCTCTCATGTTGGAGTTTTCACCTGACTCAGCCATACTCCAGCTGTGTTACCTTGAGCAAGTTACTTAACCCCTCTTTGCTTTGGTCTCCTCCTCTGTACAGTAGGGATAACATTAGTACACACCTCATAGGGTTATTGTGAGGTATAAATGACACAATTCATGGCAAGTTCCCAGAAGAGTGGTAGAAATCAGCTGTTGTCAGCAGCAGCAGCAACAGTATCCTAGCCTAATCAATCCTTCCATCCATCTTCTACTCAGGATTAATTACAAATGGCTTAATGAGGTAATGTACAGGACAGCAGCTGGCTTCCCCACAGGCACTCAATAAAAGTCCCTTGTCCCTTTCTACCAACAAGCATTCCATTCAGATTTCTTGGACTGGGATCCTGAGAAATAGCAAGGTTCAGTCTACTGGTCCCATGTCCCAGAGATCACAATGCCTTCCTATCTATCACTGTCGGCCATTGCTGGTATTTAAGGGTATATCTCTCTTCTGCCTCCACCCTAGATTCTAAACTGAGGCAGGAGAGCAGAGAAAAGCTTGCATACTGCACACTTCACCAAAAGAATCATTTTTCATGGTAACTATGAGGACTGATATTTTACAAAGGAAGGCATTTGGACCAATGTTAACTGAGGGAAAAAAACAAACAAAAGAGAAAATTATGCATATAAAATGATAACAACGATATAGATAAAGACCAGAAGCACCCACTATAATATAAGAACAGTCAGTTTGATGGGGTAGTGGGTTGTTTGTGTAGATCTGTGTAGAAAAGCATACCCAGCTCCCCTTGAGAGAATAAAACAGACTTTTTAAATGGATATGCCAGCATTTATCAAACTTTCAAATGCATGTGCCTTCTGATGCTGTGATTCTGATTTTTGGTACACATCTGTCCTACAGAAATATTCTCATGCTTTACAAGAATAGCTAGCTAGGTATACGTACAAAGATGTTTGTTGACCCATCGTAAGTGCAGAAAATTAAGATAATGGTCGGATGTGAGGGCAATCTGGCTGTGACATCTGTCACCCCATTGATCACCAGGGTTGATTCAGCTGATCTGGCTGGCTAGATGGGTGTCCTCTTCCTCCCTCAATGCTCCATGTGCATCCCTCCTGAAGCTGCGTGCTCGGTTGAAGAGGATAACCATCTCTGACAGAGGATGACTGGTCTTTAGTCAAGGGTATATGAGTAGCTGCACTACCCTACCAGAACCTCTAAACAAGCTCTCAAGATAATGGTCAACAATAGAGGGTTGCAAAGTTTGATATATTTGGTATGTTCTTAGCATGTGATCCAGCAGTACAGACTTCAGTGGGAGTAAGGTAAGTATGCATGGCTGACTTGAAAAGATACTTTCTATATACATTGCTTAATAAACTATCAAATTGCTGCAGAATGATATATGTGGATGAGATAACCCCACTGACTCCATTAATATATATGTAGGTGCAAGTGTGTGTGTGTATACACAATTATATACACTGATACACACACATCCATATACATATGTATGTATGTTATGGCTATATTGGAAAATGCCAGAAGAATATAAATTAAATAAAACAATATATTAGCCTTTGGGTCCTGTCAGTGGAATAGAATGAACAGGCAAGGGTAGAACATTTAGTTGTTGCTTTATATAATACAAACTTCTTTTTTTGTCTGAAAGGTCTTTATTTCATGTTAATTATTGAAAAATATTTTGCTGGGTACAGAATTATAGATTGGTAATTTTTTTCCTATAAGCACTTTAATGATGTAATTCCATTGTTTTCTGGCTTTAATAATTGCTAATGAAAAATTAGTTGTAAGTCTAATTTTCTTCTTTGAAGGTAATGTATCTTTTTCTTCTGGCTGTTTTTAAGATTTTTTTTCTTTGTCCTTTGTTTTTTAACTGCCTGAATAAAATGTGCCTATGTAGTTTTTTTTTCCTTTATTTCTTCTAAACAAAAGGGGGGTACATACACAGAATGTGCAGGTTTGTCACATAGGTATACATGTGCCTTGGTGGTTTGCTGTACCTATTGAGTGGTCCTCTAAGTTCCCTCCCCTCACCCCCAACCCTCCAACAGGCCCTGGTGTGAGTTAGTCCTCTCTCTGTGTTCATGCATTCTCAATGTTCAACTCCCACTTATGAGTGAGAACATGTGGGGTTTGGTTTTCTCTTCCTATGTAAGTGTGCTGAGGGTGATGGCTTCCAGCTTCATCCATGTCCCTGCAAAAGACATGATCTCATTCCTTTTTATGGCTGCATAGTATTCCATGGTGTATATGTACCACATTTTCTTTTCCTTTTTTATTATACTTTAAGTTCTGGGATACAAGTGCAGAATGTGCAGGTTTGTTACATAGGTATATATGTGCCATGGTGGTTTGCTGCACCCATTACCACATTTTCTTTATCCAGTGTATCATTGATGGGCATTTGGGTTGGTTCCACAGCCTTGCTATTACAAATAGTGCTGCAATAAACATACATGTGCATGTATCTTTATAGAATGATTTATATTCCTTTGGGTATATACCCAGTAATGAGATTGCTGGGTCAAATGGTATTTCTGGTTGTAGATCCTTGAGGAATTGCCATCCTGTCTTCCACAATGGTTAAACTAACTTACATTCCCACCAGCAGTGTAAAAGCATTCCTATTTCTCCATATCTCATCAGCAACTATTGTTTCCTGACTTTTTAATAATTGCCATTCTGACTGGCATTAGATGGTATCTCATTGTGGTTTTGATTTGCATTTCTCTGATGATCAGTGATGTTGGGCTGTTTTTCATATGTTTGTTGGCTGCATAAATGTCTTTTGAGAAGTGTCTGTTCATATCCTTTGCCCATTTTTTGACAGGGTTGTTTTTTTCTTGTAAATATGTTTAACTTCCTTGTAAATTCTGGATATTATACTTTTGTCAGATGGGTAGATTACAAACATTTTCTCCCATTCTGTAGGTTGCCTGTTCATTCTAATGATAGTTTCTTTTGCTGTGCAGAAGCTCTTTAGTTTAATTAGATACCATTTGTCAATTTTGGCTTTTGTTGCAATTGCTTTTGGCATCTTCGTCATGAAGCCTTTGCCCATGCCTATATCCTGAATGGTACTGTCTAGGTTTTCTTCTAGAGTTTTTATGGTTTTGGGTTTTACATTTAAGTCTTGTTTCCATCTTGATTTAATTTTTGTATAAGGTGTAAGGAAGGGGTCCAGTTTCACTTTTCTGCATATGGCTAGCCAGCACCATTTACTGCAGAGAAGATTCTTTCCCCATTCCTTTTTTTGTCAGTTTTGTCAAAGATCAGATGGTTGTAGATGTGTGGTGTTATTTCTGAAGTCTCTGTTCTGTTCCATTGGTCTATATGTCTGTTTTGGTATCAGTACCACGCTGTTTTGGTTGCTGTAGGCTTGGAAGTAGCATAGTTTGAAGTCAGGTATTGTAATGTCTCCAGCTTTGTTCTTTTTGCTTAGGATTGTCTTGGCTACATGGGTTCTTCTTTGACTCATGTGAAATTTAAAGTAGTTTTTTTTTTCTAATTCTGTGAAGAATGTCAATGGTAGTTCGATGGGAATAGCATTGAAGCTATAAATTACTTTTGGCAGTATGGCCATTTTCATGATATTGATTCTTCCTATCTCTGAGGATGAAATGTTTTTCCATTTGTTTGTGTCCTCTCTTATTTCCTTGAGCAGTGGTTTGTAGTTCTCCTTAAAGAGGTCCTTCACATCCCTTCTTAGCTGTATTCCTAGGTATTTTATTCTCTTTGCATGGGAGTTTTATTCTTTTTGAATGGGAGTTCATTCATGATTTGGCTTTCTGCTTGCCTATTCATGTAAAGGAATGCTTGTGATTTTTGCACATTGACTTTGTATCCTGAGACTTTGCTGACATTGCTTATCAGTTCAAGAAGTTTTGGGGCTGAGATGATGGAGTTTTCTTTTTTTTATTATTATTATTTTTTAAATTTTATTATTATTATACTTTAAGTTTTAGGGTACATGTGCGCAATGTGCAGGTTTGTTACATATGTATACATGTGCCATGTTGGTGTGCTTCACCCATTAACTCGTCATTTAGCATTAGATATAACTCCTAATGCTATCCCTCCCCCCTCCCCCTACCCAACAACAGTCCCCGGTGTGTGATGTTCGATGGGGTTTTCTAAATATAAAATTATGTCATCTGCAAACAGAGACAACTTGACTTCTTCTCTTCCTATCTGAATACCCTTTATTTCTTTCTCTTGCCTGATTGTCCTGGCCAGAACTTATAATACTATGTTAAATAGGAGTGGTGAGAGAGGGCATCCTTGCCTTCTACTGGTTTTCAAAGGGAATGCTTCCAGCTTTTCCCATTCAATATGATATTGGCTGTGGGTTTGTCATAAATACCTGTTATTATTTTGACATATGTTCCATCAATATCTAGTTTATTGAGAGTTTTTAACATGAAGGGATGTTGAATTTTATCAAAGGCCTTTTCTGCATCTATTGAGATAATCATGTGGTTTTTGTCTTTAGTTCTGTTTATGTAATAGATTACATTTATTAATTTTCATATGTTGAACCATCCTTGCATCTCAGGGATGAAGCCGACTTAATCATGGTGGATAAGTTTTTTGACGTGCTGCTGGATTCAGTTCACCAGTATTTTATTGAGGATTTTTGCATCGATGTTCATCAGGGATATTGGCCTGAAGTTTTCTTTCTTTGTTGTGTCTCTTCCCAGTTTTGGTATCAGGATGATACTGGCTTCATAAAATGAGTTAGGAAGGAGTCCCTCCTTTTCAATTGTTTGGAATAGTTTCAGAAGGAATGGTACCAGCTCCTCTTTGTATTTCTGATAGAATTCAGCTATGAAACCATCTGGTCCTGGGCTTTTTTTTTTTTTTTTTTTGGTTGGTTGGTTATTAATTACTGCCTCAATTTCAGAGCTTGTTATTGGTCTATTCTGGGATTCAACTTCTTCCTGGTATAGTCTTTGTAGGGTGTATGCATCCAGGAATTTATTCATTTCTTCTAGATTTTCTAGTTTATTTCCATAGAGGTATTTATGGTATTCTCTGACAGTAGTTTGTATTTATATGGGGTCAGTGGTGATATCCTCTTTATCATTTTTTATTGTGTCTATTTGATTCTTCTCTCTGTTCTTCATTAGTCTAGCTAGCAGTCTATCTATTTTGTTAATTTTTTCAAAAAACCAGCCTCTGGATTCGTTCAGTTTTTGGAGGGTTTTTCATGTCTCTATCTCCTTCAATTCTTCTCTGATTTTAGTTTGCTCTTGGCTCTCTAGCTCTTTTAATTGTGATGTTAGGGTGTCAATCTGAGATCTTTCTAGCTTTCTGATGTGGGCATTTAGTGCTATAAATTTCTCTCTTAACACTGCTTTAGCTGTGTCCCAGAGATTCTGGTATGTTGTCTTTTTGTTCTCATTGGTTTCAAAGAACTTCTTGATTTCTGCCTTAATTTCATTATTTATCCAGGAGTCATTCAGGAGCAGGTTGTTCAATTTCCATGAAAATGTGTGGTTTTGAGTGAGTTTCTTAATCCTGAGTTCTAATTTGATTGCACTGTGGTGAGAGAGACTGTTTGTTATGATTTCAGTTCTTTTGCATTTGCTGAGGAGTGTTTTACTTTCAATAATGTGGTTGATTTTAGAATAAGTGTCATGTGGCACTGAGAAGAATGTATATTCTGCTGATTTGGGGTACAGAATTCTGTAGACGTCTACTAGGTCCACTTGATCCAGAGCTGAGTTCAAGTCCTGAATATCCTTGTTAATTTTCTGTCTCGTTGATCTGTCTAATACTAACAGTGGGGTGTTAAATTCTCCCACTATTATTGTGTGGGAGTCTAAGTCTCATCATAGGTCTCTAAGAACTTGTTTTATGAATCTGGGTGCTCCTGTATTGGGTGCATATATATTCAGAATAGTTAGCTCTTCTTGTTGAATTCTTCCTGTTACCATTATGTAATGCCCTTCCTTGTCTTTTTTGATCTTTGTTGGTTTAAAGTCTGTTTTGTCAGAGAGTAGGATTGCAATCCCTGCCTTTTTTTGTTTTCCATTTGCTTGGTAAATCTTCCTCCATCCCTTTATTTTAAGCCTGTGTGTGTCTTTGAACATGAGATGGGTCTCCTGAATATAGTACACTGATGGGTCTTGACTCCTCAACCAATTTGCCAGCCTGTGTCTTTTAATTGGGGCATTTAGTCCATTTATATTTAGAGTTAGTATCGTTATGTGTGAATTTGATCCTGTCGTCATAATGCTATTTGGTTATTTTGCACAGTAGTTGATGCAGTTTCTTCATATTGTCATCGGTCTTCATATTTTGGTGTATTTTTGCAGTGCCTGGTACGAGTTTTTCCTTTCATATTTAGTGCTTCTTTCAGGAGCTGTTGCAGGGCAGGCCTGGTGGTAATGAAATCCCACAGCATTTGCTTGTCTGGAAAAGATTTTCTTTGTCCTTTGCTTATGAAGCTTAGTTTGGCTAGATATGAAATTCTGGGTTGAAAATTCTTTAAGAATGTTGAATATTGGCCCCCAATCTCTTCTGGCTTGTAGAGTTTCTGCTGAGAGGCCCACTGTTATTCTGATGGGCTTCCCTTTGTAGGTGACCTGGCCTTTCTCTCTGGCTGCCCTTAACAGTTTTTCCTTCATTCCAACTTGGAAAATCTGATGATTATGTGTCTTGGGGTTGATCTTCTCGTGGAGCATCTTAATCATGTTCTCCGTATTTCCTGAATTTGCATGCTAGCATGTCTTGCTAGGTTGGGGAAGTTCTCCTGAATATATATCCTGAGGTGTCTTTTCCAGCTTCTTTCCATTTTTCCTGTCTCCTTCTGGTACTCCAATCAATTGTAGGTTTGGTCTTTTTATGAAGTACCACATTTCGTGCAGGCTTTGTTAATTCTTTTTTGTTCTTTTATCTCTATTCTTGTCTGCATGTCTTATTTCAGTAAGGTTGTCATCAAACTCTGATATCCTTTCTTCTGCTTGGTTGATTTGGCTGTTGATACTTGTGTATAATTCACTAAGTTCTTATGCTATGTTTTTCAGCTCCATCAGGTCATTTATCTTCTTCTCTAAACTGGTTACTCTAGTTAGCAATTCCTCTAACCTCTTCTCAAGATTCTTAGCTTCTTTGCATTGTGTTAGAACATGCTCCTTTAGCTCATCATGGTTTTTTATTACCCATCTTCTGAAGCCTACTCTGTCAATTCATCCATTTGATCCTCTGTCCAGTTCTAGGCCCTTGATAGACAGATGTGGTGATCATGTTGAGGAGAAGAGGCGCTCTGCTCTTTTGGGTTTTTAGCATTTTTTCATTGATTATTTCTCATCTTCATGAGTTTGTCTAGTTTTAGTCTTTGAGGCTGCTGACCCTTGGATGGGGTTTTTGTGGGGGCCTTTGTTGTTGTTGTTGTTGTTGTGGATGATGCTGTTGTTGCTTTCTGCTTGTTTGTTTTTCTTTCAATAGTCAGGTCCTTCTTCCGTAGAGCTGCTGCAGTTTGCTGGGAGTTCACTTCAGGCCCCATTCATCTGATTCACTCCTGTGCCTGGAGATGTCACTCAAGGAGTCTGGAGAGCAGCAAAGATGGATGCCTGTTCCTACCTCTGGGACCTCTGACCTTGAGAGGCACCAACCTGATGCCAGTAGGTTCGCTCCTGCATAGGGTATCTGACAACCCCTGTTGGAGGGCCTCATCCAGTTGGATGGCATGGAGAGAAGGGCTCATTTAATGAAGCACTTTGTGCCTTGGTGGAGAGGGTGTGTTTTTCTGAGGGGAAACCCACTGTTCTGGGCTGCCCGGATTCATCAGAACTACCAGAAGGAGAGGCTAAGTCTGCTGGTCCACAGAGAATGTGGCCACCACACTCCCCAGGGGTTCAGGTCCAGGGAGATCTGAATTCTGTCCCAGAGCCTCTGGCTGGAGTTATTGGAGATCCTACAGGGAAGCCCCACCCACTGAGGAAGGATGGGTCAGGGTTACACCTGAACAGGCACTGTGGCCGCCTACTGCCATTGCCGGTGTGTTGGGCTGTGGGGACAAGTCTTGGGACCAAGCTGTGTAGCCTCCCTGGCTCCACAAAAATTTTTGTGTATTTTTGGATTTTTAGTAGAGACAGGGTTTTTCCATTTCGGCCAGGCTGGTCTGGAACTCCTGGCCTCATGTGATCCACCTGCCTCAGCCTCCCAAAGGCTGAGATTACAGGCATGAGCCACTGTCCCTGGCTGCCTTGATTTATCTTGATTGATCAACTGATGGATCAATCACTTAGCCAACAGGCATTTTCAGAGTGCCTACTATGAAGTGTTAGCCACTATGCTGGATGCTACAAAAACAAAGATAAAGGACACTGTACTCTCTCTCAAAGATCTCTAAGTCTAGCTTAGCAGACAGAAAGAGAAACTGATTATTTTTGTACAGTGTGGGAAGTGGTCAGTTCAAAGTAATCACAACCAGCTTTAAGAGCTGGAAGAGGGAGTAGATTACTCATTTGGGTTGGGTTGAGGAAGATAACTGATGTAGAAACTGATTAGGGGCTAGGAAAACTCCTCCAGCATTTGGAGTTCATTTATCATTGGATACCCACAGCAAATCTATGACCTGGGAAGACTGGCTGTTAAAAAAAACCAAACAAACAACAACAAAAAGAAAATAAAAGCATTTTCCATATAAGGACAGCAATGCTCAATGAGTTATGCTGCAAAAGCCAAAACTAAAATATATAGGAAGATGTTTTCTGCCTTATCTAAGTGATTTTCTTTTAGACAAAGGAAGCATGATGTTTTGGCCTGCTGGTATTACTGCCAAATGAACATCCTTACCCTTTCAAGGCCATATTTATTGTCTGACCTTCACTGGGCACTGTCTATGTGGGAGGCACTGTGCTGGGCATTGCAGGATACAGAGAAATAAAATAAATGCAGACTGTCCTTGTTGTAAGATGAGAAATCACATGAAAATGATAAATAACATTTGAGAAGGCAAACAAATGGGGGTAGTGACAATAAACCAGCAGTTCAAACACAGAAGAGCCTATGATGGACAAGGGGAATATTCAAAGCATTCCAGAGCAGTGAGCATATCATGGTGGCTAGAGCTTGAAGGAAAGCTGGAGATAAATATTACAGCTGGATTTGAGAGAATCTCAGAAGTCCAGCTAAAACTGAAGGACTGAGGTCTACACATACACATCTTGGGGTTCAAGACTTACCACGTGCCAAGTCATGGGGTAGGTATTTTACACATCTTTTATTTTTATATCTAATCCTCCCATTAACCCTTCAAGGAGGAAACTGAAGCCAAGAGTGTTACATTCCCAGTTTCCCAAGATCACACTATAAGTAAATGGGACAAGATTTGAACCCAGGTCCAGATGACTTCAAAATCTATACTCTCATCTACATTATCACTCTACTTTCTCCCTGAGTTTCTAGGATTGAAAAAAAAACCTACTTTTTAAAAAGCCCCCCGACTTTTTCTGTTTGTCCACTGAGCATCAAGGAAAGATGGGCCTCAGAGGAGAATCTCAGGAGTAGAAAAGAAGAATGCAGAACCCAGAGCTCCAGGGAAGGGGCCAAACTAAAAAATAAGGCTTTCTTTAGGCTCTCAAAAGTAGCGGTCGGTGTCTGAACCGGGATCTCCAGCCCAAAGCTTTCACCCGTTATCATCATCAGCCTCACAAGGAATGAAGAGATAAAGAAGAACTGTGCCTTTGTTGCATTTGTCTAAAGGAAAATAGCTAAATTCCATCTGTAAACAAGCTCAACGATAGACAGTAAAGGCAAATGTAAACACATCCTGTGCTTATGTCCAAATAATCAATTGTCCCCAAACAAAACAAAGGAAATGGGTCTTTGCAACAACATATGTGAAAAGGAGCAAGAGGTATTAGTCATCAAAAAGTCCAATGTGAGGGGAGTGATGTCAGCAAGATGCATGATAAGAGACACCTGGCATTTATATTCCAACAAGAAAGGACCAAAGCAATGAATAAACAGCTAGGATTTGACCTGAGTGTCGTCGAAGGCAGAGCACCGAAATGCAGCAGAAGAGTGGAGAAGCATCTGTGGTGACAGGAAGTCCATGAGGGCAATGTAGAGTCACCCAGCCTCTGAAGCACCATCCCCCTGGCCTGGATTAGATTTGCCTAGAGTCAGGAGAAACTTCTCACTGTGGGGAAAAGATAAGCAGAAGATCTCTATCCGACCCCATTGCTACCACAAACACCTACAGTCCCTACTACAGGAGAATTCCACAGTCCTCACAAGCCCTGAGCCCAGTTTAAAGAGCCACCAAGAATTTATACAGCTGCACTGTCCTGGATTAGAAGCACAGCATGTGTACTTCTCACTTCCACCCACCATGTGAGCCAAGTTGCTGCAGCACGGTACACACCTCATGAGTGTGCCCTGCTTTGGGGGCCAATAGCCATGGCACCTCTCCAGCAATGGGGCTCCATCTTCATTACCCCAAGCCCACACGGGTGGCTGAATGTCACAAGCCCAGCTTTACAGAGCTTGGGCCTAAAACTGGCTGTGACTCTTGTCCTACAGAGCAGAGAAACCAACCCCCACTACCCTACTTCCAGCCAGAGAAACAGTATAACGGTCCCACCCACAGCTATCCTGCCTTGAGCCAGCCAAACCACTGCTCACCCACCCTCAAGTGGGAGAAGCCTCTGAGCCTCCAAGCAGCTGATATAACTCCAGGGCAGCAGAATGGCTGCATGCCTATGCACAGGACCTGAGAACTGGCTCCAGAGTGCCCCCACCCACTACAGATATATCCCTGGCCTGCCTAATAGTTCTACGCCCCCTAAAAGAGCATGAGAAACTGTCCCACAGGACAGCCCTGGTGGGCATACCACCAGAACAGCCAAGCAGCCAACAGCCCATGTCCTGAACCTGAACAGCCCCATCAGCCACTCCTTGTGGACATTCCCTAGGCTGGCCAGGCAGCTGCGCACCTACATACCAGGCATGAAACAGCCCTGCAGGCTGCTCCTGGTGGGCACACACCTGAGCCAGCCAAGCAGCCTTGTACTTATATTCCAGACCTGAGAAACAGCCCCTTGGGCAGATATGCCCACAGGTTGGATGAGCAGCTATATGGCCATGTCCCAGGTCCAAAAGAGTCCTGTGGGCCACCACCCACAGAAACGCCCCAAACCAGCCAAGCAACTGTGCAGTTATATCGTGGGCCTGACAAACAGCCCTGTACCCACCCATGGTAGCCATGCCCACCCAGGCTGTTCAGGCCACTGCATGCCCATGTCTCAAGCTGGAGAAATGGCCCTGTGGGTTGTCCCCCTCAGACACATTTTCAGGCCAGCCAAGCAGCCATACACCCACATAGCAGGCCTAAGAAACTGTTTCAAAGGCAGCTCCTGGCAGATACACACCTAGACCAACTGAGCAAACTTATGCCCATGTCCCAGGCCTAAGAAACATCCCTATGAGCTGCCCCTGGTAGAAATATCCCCAGGCCAGCTGAAAAGCTATACTCCCACATTCTGAGCCTGAGAAACATCCCTTTGAGCAGCTCCTGGCAGGTACGCCCCCAGGCCAGCTGAGATACCACGTGCCCTTGCTCCTGGCCAGAGGAACAGCCCCATGGCCCTAATATCAGGGAATCAGACCCCAAGCTGCATGAACATCCCCCTGTTCTGAGAAATAGCCCAGTGAGCCCAATCCTGGCAAAGCTGCACCACCATCACCACAAACTCTCTCAGCCTAGGTCACTGAGTATCTTACAAATGTCACTAATGTAAAATTGTAGCCAATTTAACTACATAGAAACTCTAGTATTGCATCTAACTAAAATCCAGGACAGCACAACACACCAAACTAACACCTCAAGACCAAGTTATACAAATAAGTCTTTCCTTATGAAACCTACTCAATAAAATCAGAAGTAATAATTTTTCTACCACATGCTAAGAAATCAACATAGGGACACATCAAACATGAAAAATCAAGGAAACATGTCACTGTAAAAGGAAAACAATAATTTGCTAGCAGCAGACCCTGATCATAATAAAATACATGAACTGCCAAAAAAATTAAATAATAATTTTAAATAAACTCAGTGAGGTATAAGAGAAGAAAGATAGTCAATTTAACTATATCAAGAAAATGATTCATGATTTACATGATACATTCAACAAAGAGATAGATACCATAAAAAAGAACCAAACAGGAACAAAGAGCTAAAGAATTCAATGAAGAAAGTAAACATATGAATCAAGAGCTTCAACAATAGACTAGGGCAAGCAGAAAAAAAAATCTAAACTTGAAGACAGATATTTTGAAATAACACAAGGAGTCAAAAAGAAAAGAAAAGAAAGAATAAATAATACAAAAAAAAGAAAGCCTCAAGTAAGTGAAAAATATTCATATTAGGGGTGTTTCAGAAGAACAAGTGAAAAGGTGATGAAAATATATTTAATGAAATAATAGCAAAAAAATATTCCAACGTCTTGGGAGAGAGATGGACATCAAGGTCCAGGAAACCAGATAGGTTAAACCCAAACAGATCTTCTTCAAGGCATCTTACAGTCAAGTTGTTGAAAGTCAATGACAAAAAAAATAAATAAACAAAATCAGCAAGAGAAAAAAGTCAGGTCACATAAAAGGGAATTTTCATTAAAGTAACAGTGGATTTCTCAGCCAGGAGAGAATGAGATGACATATTCCAAGCCCTGCAAGGAAATAACTGTCAGTCAGGAATACTGTACCTAGCAAAGTTATCCTTCAGAAATGAAGAAGAAATAAAATCTGTTACAGGCATATGGAAACTAATGGAATTCATCAGCACTAGGCTGGCTTTACAAGAAATGCTCAGTGAAGTCTTACAACTGGAAGTGAAAAGATAACAACTATGATCATGAAAATATGCAAAACTATACAACTCACTGGTAGAGCCAATATATTTTTTGAAAGAGAAAGGAATCAAACCTTATCACTACAGAAAACCACCCAACTGCAAAAATAATAAGAGAGAAAGTAAGAAACAAAGAATACACAAAACAACCAGAAAACACTCAGTGAAACACTGATTAGTTCCCACCTATCAACAATAACAATTATTATAAATGAACTAAATTCCCCATTAAGAATATATAAACAGGACAAAAGGATGAAAAAATAAGACAAAACTATATACTGCCTATTAGGAAATTCACTTTTCCTGTAAAGACAAACATAGAATGAAAGTGAAGGAACGGAAAAATATACTAAATGCAAATGTAAGCCAAAAGTGAGAACAAGTAGCTGGAATTATATCAGACTAAACAGGCTTCAATTCAATGCTGTAAAAATAGACAATGAAGGATATTATATGATAATAAAGAGATCAATACAGCAAGAGAATATAACAATTGTAAATATATTTACACTAAACACCAGAACATCCTGATACATAAAGTAAATATTACTAGATCTAAAGGGAGAGACAGACTCCAGTAAAATAATAATTGGGGACCTCAACATTTTATTCTCAGTATTGGACAGATCATCTAGACAGAAAGTCAACAAAGAAAGATCATATTTAAACTTCACTATAGACCAAATGGATGTGATAGACAATTACATAATATTTCACCCAGCAGCTGCAAAGGGCAAGATTCTTTTCATCAGCACATGGGACATTCTCCAGGATTAGCCATACGTTAGAGCACAAAACAAATCTCAGAAAATTTTAAAACACTGAAATTGTATCAAATATCTTATCTGACCACAGTGGAATAAAACTAGATATCAATGACAACAGGAATATTCATAACTATACAAATACAAGGAGATTAAATAAGATGCTCCTGAATGACCAATGAGTGAAGGAAGAAATTAAGAATAAAATTTGAAAATTCCTTGAAACAAATGAAAACAGAAACACAGCATACCAAAATCCATGGAACACAGCAAAAGCAGTATTAAGAGGCAAATTTATAGTAATAAATGCTTATATCAAAGAACTAGAAAGATTTCAAATCAATAACCTATTAATGCACCTCAAGGATATAGGAAAGCAAGAAGAAATCAAACCCCAAATTAGTAGAATGAAAGAAATAGATCAGAGCAAAAATAAGCAAAAAGACTAAAAGGAACAAAAGATCAATAAAACACAAAGTTGTTTTTTAAAAGATAAACAAAATTGATGAACTAATAGCTAGACAAACTAAGATAAAAGGAGAGAACACTCACATAAATAAAATCGGAAATGAAAAGGGAGACATCACAATGGATATCACAGAAATACAAAATGATACAAATAAATACAAAGTCAAAGGCTATTATGAACAGCTATAGGTCAATAAATTTGAAAACAGAGAAAATGGATAAATTTCTGGACACACAGAACTCAACAAAATTGAACCACAAAGAAATGGAAAACCTTAACAGACCAAAACAAGTAATGAGACTGAGTCAATAATAAAAAGCCTTCCAACAAAGAAAAGTACAGGACCAGATGGCTTCACCACTCAATTCTGCTGAATGTATAAAGAAGAATTAATAACAATTCTCCCAAAACTATTTCAAAACATTGAAGCAGAGGGAATTCTTTCTAATTCATTCTACAAGACATGCATCACCCTGATACTAAAACCAAACAAGGACACACACACAAAAAGAAAACTACAGGTCAATATCCCTGATGAAAATATATGCAAAAATCCTCAAAGTACTAAAAAACTGAATCCAACATGTCAAAAAGATAATACACCATGATCAAGTGGTATTTATCCCAGGTATGCAAGGATAATATATGCAAATCAATAAACATATTTCACATCAATAGAATGAAGGACAATCAATAGAATGATGGAAAAAAAACCATATGATCATCTCAAAGCAAAAAAAAAAAAAGCTTTTGAAATTTTAAATATCTCCTCGTGATAAAAACTCTTAATAAATTAGTCACAGAAAGAAAATACCTCAACATAATAAAGGCCATATATGACAAATCCACAGCTAACATCTTACCAAACAAGACAAAAATGTCCACTCTAATCATTCTTGTCAAACACAATACTAGATTTCCTAGCCAGAGCAATTAGGCAACAGAAAGAAATGACAAACATCCAAATTGGAAAGGAGGAAGTCAAATTCTCTTATCTTATTCCCAGAAAAACCTAAAGAGTCTACCTAAACGTCTTAGAAATGTGATATGGTTTGGCTCTGTGTCTTCACCCAAATCTCATGTTCAATTATAATCCCCAAGGTTGGGGGAGAGAACTGGTGGTGGGAGGTGACTGGGTCATGGGGGTAGATTTCCCTTTTGCTGTTATTGGGATAGTGAGTGAGTTCTCACGAGATCTGTTTGTTTAAAAGTGTTTAGCACTTCTCCCATTGCTCTCTCTCTCTCCTGCTGTGCCATGTGAAGAAGGTGCTTGCTTCCCTGTCGCTCTTTTGCCATTACTGTAAGTTTCCTGAGGCCTCCCCAACCGTGCCTCCTGTATAGCTGTGAAATTGTGAGTCAATTAAACCTCTTTTCTTTATAAATTACCCAGTCTCAGGTAGTTCTTTATAGCAGTGTGAGAACAGACTAATAACTAACTGATAAAAAAATTCGGAAAAGTTCTAGGATGCAAAATCAACATATAAAAATTAGAAGCACTTCTATACATAAACAAACTAGCTGAAAAAGAAACCAAGAAGGAAATCCCATCTACAACAGCTATAAAACAATACAATAAAATACATAGAAATCAATGTAACCAAAGAGGTAAAAGATCTCTACAAGAAAAATATAAAACATTGATGAAAGAAATTGAAGAGGATACAAAAAAATGAAAAGACCTCCCATGCTCATGCAATCTTGAGAAAAAAATAACAAAATTGGAAGTATCACACTTTCAGACCTCAAAATATACTACAAAGCTGTAGTAACCAAAGTTACTGCAAAGTAAATGCAGTATGGTACTGGCATAAAAACAGACACATACATAGATGAATGTAACAGAATAGAGAACCCAGAAATTTATTTACAGTCTACTGACTTTTTACAAAGGTGCCAAGAACGCTTAGTAGGGAAATGGCAGTCTCTCCAGTAAATCATGCTGAGAAAACTGAATATGCATATGCAGAAGAATGAAATTAGACCCCCACTTTTACCCAATAAAAAATTAATTTACAATGAATCAAAGACCTAAATGTAAGACCCGAAATGATAAACATATTAGAAGAAAACAGGGGAAACACTTCAAGACATTGGTCTGAAAAAAGATTTTGTAAGTAAGACCTTAAAAGCACAGGCAAAGAAAAAAAAAGCAAAAGTAGACAAGATTATATGTCAAACTAAAAAGCTCCTGCACAGCAAAGGAAACAACAGAATGAAAACACAACCTACAGAATGGGAGAAAATATTCATAAAATATTTATCCAATAGGGAATTAATATCCAGAATATACAAGAGACTCAAACATTCCAACAGCAAAAACAAAAAACAAAAAAACAAAAAACAAAAAAACCCTCCAATCTAATAAAAAAGTGGACAAATTGTTCTGAATAGAAATTTCTCAAAAGACATACAAGTGACCAACAAATATACGAAAACATGCTCCTTATTAGTAATTATCAGGTAAATGCAAATCAAAAACTGCAATGAGGTATAATCTCATCTCAGTTAGAATGGCTATTATAAAAAAGTCAAAAATAACAAATGCTGGTGAGAATGCGGAGAAAAGAAAACTCATACACTGTCATGCGAATGTAAACTAGTACAGTCACTATATAGAACAGTTTGGAAGGTCCTCTAAAAACTACAAAAAGAACTACCATATATCTAGCAATCCCATGACTTGGTATTTATCCAAATTAAAGGAAATCAGCTTATTGAAGATACATCTGCACCTGCATGCTTACTGCAGGATTATCCACAATAGTCAAGATATGGAATCAACCTAGGTGTCCAACAACAGATGACTAGATAAAGAAAAGGTGGTATGTATACACAATGGAATACATTCAGCCATAAATAAGAATGAAATCCTTTCATTTATGGCGACCTTGATGGAACTGAAGAACATTATATTAAGCAAAATAAGACAGGAATGGAAAGTTAAATGTCACATATTCTTATTCACATGTGGAAGCTGAAAATAATTGACCTCATAGAAGTAAAAGAATGCTCGAGGCTGCTAGTAGGATACAGAGGATATTAGAAGCTGGGAAAGGTAGGAGGGAGACAGGAATAGGGAGAAATTTATTAAAGGAAATAAAATTACAGCTAGATAGGTGTAATAATTTCTAGTGTCCTATACCACTTAAAGATTACTTATTAATGTAATACATAGTTTCAAATAACTAGGAGCTTATTGAACATTCCCAATGCAAAGAAATGATCAATGTTTAAGATGATTGATATACTAATTACCCTGATCTGATCACCATATATCATATGGATCAAAATATCACTATGTACTCCATAAATATGTACGAACATTATTTGTCAATATAAAAAAACATAAAAGAAGTCTAATATGAGCCAGCAATAACTGTAACAAACAAATGGGATCTCAAGCTGCATCAATAGAAGTATAACAGTTGGCAAGAAGGAGACAAAAATCCCATTTTTCTCAGCCCTGGATCATTCCTGCCTTGAGGAAGAAGAGTGTCAGTTTGGGTGTTATGGCCCAGGATGTGAAAAATTAGAATTTCTGTCTAGACGGCAGTGACCAGGAAGGTGAAATGTCTGAAAAATGCTTTATATGAGACTATTTAGAGAAACTGGGGTGTTTAGGTTGTTTAAAATGTACAGTCTCTTTTATTTGTGTTGTCAAATTTCCCAAGAGCTGCTGCCTTGGAAAAAGAATATCAGATCACTTTCCTTTTGGACATGGGGGACCGTGAACACAGATTTCAAGTTGGTATAAGAAGAAACCCTCTAATAGTCAGTAATTGTGTGGAAATGAGATGGCCTCTTTTCCGAGTAGTGAGAAAGCTGTCAAAGGAGGTAATCAAGAGACACTGGAAAGATGTTGGACTGCATAGCCTCTGAGGCTCCTCACAACTCCAATTCTGGGAGTACTGACACTCTTTTATTCTCTCATCACTACTGAAGAATCAGAGAAGACAAACTTGATAACCCAACAGAAATCTAAAGCCATAAATCCAAAGTGGCTTATCCCAGAAAACACTGCCTGTAGTCCCCAACTGCCCAGCTTCTGCACCTCTTCCCATCTTTTCAAAATGCCCCCTGGAAAATGGGCTGTGACATGGAGGACTCACCTTTCTTCTCAAAGTCCACCTTCTCTTCCCCTGGATGTCCCAGACTGTCCAGAGTGTGGGTCACCTGGCTGCCAAACTCGTCCTCGCGGGAGACATGGTTGGCCCGCCTAGGTGGCTCCTCATCCTCCTCACAGTCATAGTCATCCAGGATGGGAGTCTCCCGGATGGGCACGCCAATGACGGAATTGTGGGTTTGCAGCCGGGATGAACGGAAGCTCTCCCGCGCCTGGGGACCCAGCAGCACAGATGGGATGTAGTGGATCTCATGAGTGGCTTCTGTGCTTGCGCTCTTCTGGGGGATGCGGCGACGCTTCTGCCAACGTCGCTGGGCGTACAGCGCCACGGTGAACACCAGCAGCAGCAGCAGCAGCGCGATGAGGCCACCCTGGAGCAGGAAGGAAGGACACACAAATGGGCCACTGTTCTTTGGAATCGAGGGCTGCAGGGGATTTTCCTGTCCACTACACTCTGCCAGGATCCCTGGGTTTGGCTCATAGAGCCTCAGGAACCACCAGCCGTGGTTTTTAAGCTAGAGAGACATTGTTTCAAACCTGGCTTTTTCACCAACAAACTATGTGACCCTAGGCAAACTTCTTCACTTCTCTGAGCCTTGCTTTCCATAGTTATAAAGGTTGAGTAGGAATCCCTGCTCTTCCTTCTTCACAAGGTTGCCATAGGAAGCAAATCAGATGGATAACGGTCATGTCAGAGCAATACAGATAGCTCAGTGGCAGGAAGGGTCAGTGCTGCGGCTTCACACAGGTGAATGTCTGAATCTAGACTCCATCTCCCACCAGCTGAGCATCCCAAGGACAGTTGCCTACGCTCCCCCAGCCTTGCTTCCTCATCTCTAGAATGAGTTAACTGAAAGATCATGAGACAGTAGTAGGCTGTCTTACATCTTGCTGCAAATATAAGATAGCATTATTAAATCAAACATAATGTCTGCATAGTCTGTATTTTCTTCATTTTTCAGAAACACCAGTCTTTAAATTTCTGAATTTCTATAAGGGAACTGGGACAAAGTAGGTCCTTAACAAATATTTGGTAAATGAGTGAATGAAAATGTACCTTTCTAGGGCTCCTTTAATAAGAATTTCAAGGTCAACTGATATATATATATATAATGTGTATATATATACATTTTTTTCTTTGATACACTCAGCTCCTAAATATTTGAGTCTGCATTATCCTACATTAATTTGAAATAAGCTAATGTGTTAATGCACATATCTTACATGATTCATGAAATACTCTGGTCTGTAAGATCCTTCAGGGCAGAGGTATTTTCAAAACACGTCTGTAATCCCCATAACACCTGTCATGAGCTTGAAGTTGAGGGTTTGCATTCTCCAGGCCTCCCCTCAATTGTTCTGTGCCAGAAACCTCTCCTCTGATGGGTAGGCCCTCATCACTTCTCTTGCTTTTCTTCACTTTATACTCTGCTTCATGTTTGGGAGATTGGAAGACACTTTGCTGAATGCCTGCTGTGTAATCCCTAGAGTCAGGAGGAATCACCCTTGTTGTATACAGGGTAGAGAGAGGCTTCAAAAAATCAAGAGACCCAGAAACTCAGAGAGCAAGTGGCAGAGTAATATCTGAGCCTTACTTTTTGTGTGTTTATTTTGTTTGTTTTTGCTTTTTAACTCTAGAGCCTATATTCTTTCAATCCACCTGTGTGGTTGATGGCTTCTCCTTGGCTATGATCTCATTGAAGGCAAGGACAAATTCTGACAACTATCTGTACAGCATCTAACAAAGATGACAGATGTTAGCTGTGAATACATTATCTTAGGGGCAAAGGTGGCTGCTGTTAAACACACCTGTTTAGACCAAGAAGAACACTGTTTGCTGAAATGGGTCAGCCATCCTGCTGACTGTATTTGATATTAGAAAACTGGCATGTTCTATTTGCAAGACCCTCAGCTCACTATGCTGAAATTCAGCACCTCCACAGAGGTAGGGGGACTGGGTGGATAAGAGGACTAAGAGGTGGTGGCCAGGTATGCAGGTGTGGCTGATAGCTCTGTAGCAGGGGCCCAAGCCCTGCCTTGAGTTCAGCAGTGAGCTACTTTGGTTTCCCCAAGAAAGTTTCTCTGGATGTCATAACATAAAAACAAATGCACAAATCAAGCAAAGCTATAAGTACGTGTATTTATGTGTGTATTTGTGTGTGTGTGTTTGTGTGTGTGTAGAATCTATTAAATATATGTGTAAATGCATGTGTATACCAGAGGTGATTATGTATATATCACCTTAAAAAACAACAATGAATCTTTTTTTTCCTCTACAGAACATATGATAGTGATTGCTTTGTGTCACAAAATTATGTGTGACATGATATTATTTGTCTGGGATTTTTTTGTGTTTCAGAAATAAGAAAAGAAGGAGAGGGAGGGAGTGAGGAAGAGTGAAGAGGAGAGAGGTGATAGAGAGGGAGAGTGAAGAGAGGAAAGGGCTGGGGGCAACACTAATCCTTGATAAACACAAGGGCTGACCCTCTCCTTAACACCTTTACTGAATGTTTTTTTATTTAATCTTTAAGACAAGACTATGTGACAGAAATTAGTTTATGCTGTATAGATGAGGAAAAGGTAACTCAGAGAAGTAAGTAACTAGCTTGAAGTCACACAGTCAGGATTTAATTCCAGGTCCAGCTGGATTCAAAGGGCCAGGAAGTGGTGGAGCTGTGACTGGGCCCCAGCTCCCCATTTCACAGCCCTTGGTTACTGAACGGCAATTCTCACTGACTAAAGAGAGGGAAGGGGAGGAGGAGGAAAGATGGTGAGGGTGCATGAAAAGGGAAAAGGAAAGTATTATTTTCAAATTCAGCCTCCAGATGTGCAATGGGTGCATCTTCTCTTCAGAGAAGATTTTCATTCTGGCCCATTGATGCCCCTGGGGGAATCTCCTTGCCTGACCATGCCCTCTGTCTTCTCAACTTTGGGCATTTCATTCAGTGAGAGGATAAGGTCTTACATGGTTCCTGGGCCTTCATTCCTCATCCCACTCAGTATATCCCGATTATGGTTGTGGGACTCTGTGGTCAGATCCCAGGACCAATACTGACCTAGGAAAGATGAGGCCTAACCAACCCATCCACCTGCAACTACTAATGCCCCTTCTTCCTTCCTTGTATCCTTTGCCTTGAGAGCCTTCCAGTAGTAAATGGCTAAGTGTTGGCATCAGACTGACATGATTTTATCCAGGTTCTACTGCTTAGACACTCTGTGACCTTGACCAGTTTATTTTATCTTTCTAGATCTTTGGCTTTCTCATGGATTAAACAAGGACAAGAGTCATAATGCCACCTCATTGGGTCATGAAGGCTAAATAAGATGCTTGTGGGGTATTTAATATAGGGTAGGGGCACATAGTATCATAGGTTGTTAGCTGCTGTTACTGTCAACAGAATTCAGCAAGTATACATTCTGTGTTGAACGAATAAAGGAATGAATGAAGGAATGAATGACTTGAGTTTCTGGCCCTATATACCTATTCTGCACAACTTGCCTTGGATCCCCAAATCCTTTTCAATCTGGACCAAATGTTTGATATGTGCTCTTTCATTCACCTTTACACCTATCATCATCCTACATTAAGTTGGAAACTCAGGCATAGAGACAAACGTCATTTACTCAAGATAGAGCAGCTGAGATTCAAACTAGCTCCAGCATGACTTTAAAACCATGCTCGGAGTGGAGAAGGCACAGGAGCAAAAGCCTACTTAGCCCCTGCTCAGTCTCACTTCTGCCTTATCAAGTTACCTACACAATTTCAGGCACAGATTTCTCAACATAGGAAACTTCCAGAAGAATGTGGCAGAGGGACCCCCTGGTTTGGGAGGCACTGAGCTTGAGGTTCCCTTTAGTTTATTGACCCATTGATTCTTTAGCCCTTGACCTTGCCATTTGATATGAGCCCAAGCCAGTGGCTATGGCTATCCCTTTAGGGCACAGGTTCATTGTCCTCACTCCCCAGCCTGCCCTGAACTCAGCTTCCATCACCTCCAACTGAGTCACTGACCACGTGGTTTCCGTTACAGATTCAAGTTTTATTGCAAGAACTTGGTCAAAGCAGATTTCCAGTATTCTGGGGCTCATCGTGCCACTGACTACTGAAACAGACATCCCAGGCTGGGCTTCTAAAGAACTCAGGAGGCATCATCTAAAACATGGTAGCAGCTTAGGTAACGTTGCAAGCACCAATCTGAACATCCCTCCCTCCCTAGACCCTGAAAAAGTAGTGGAATACATAAAATTGGACACAGTCTCAGAGCATGTGGGAAAAAGCTTCTAAATTCAAGTTTACTTACTTTCTGACCTTGGCTTGCTCCTATGGACCTTCAGTTTATTAATCAGTAAATCGGAGTTGGCCAATACTTGTAATACTATATCACACAGTTAGAACTAGCTAAGACTGGGAGTCAGAAACACAAGGTTGAAATCTAATGCTGCACATATAAGCTGGGCTATCTTGGACATAGAACTTAATTTCTCTGATTAACAATTTTATTATCTATAAAATCAGGTCATAGACTTCTTTATCAAGGGAAGTGAGATGTGAACTAATGGACACGGGATACTTTGCTTAGTGCCTGGCACATGGTAAACCAGTGATAGGAGAAAATCTTCATTCATGGTACCCCCTATAGGCTGCTGTGCAAATCAAATCTGAAAACAGCTGTGATATCCTGTAAAAACTGAAGAGTGCCGTGCACAAGCAAAGGAGCTCAAGAGAACCATCTGGCTGCTTCTGTCATAGTGAGACATCTCACCCAAAGAATGCAGATGAGTGACTCAGAATCAAGAAGGAAGTGTAGACTGTGTCCACCTGCACTGGTCCAGGCTTCTGTCCTGGTCCACACCCATAGAATTACATACTCCCTTCTTTAACAGCTTCCCACACCAGAGGTAAGCAAACAGAAAGGCAGGAGCAATCGACCAGTGCTCAGCACGGCCAGTGTGTCCAGCCTCTGAGTCCACACCAGGAGCAAACACAGGCCCAAGCAGTGGAAAAAAATGCTGCACGGCAAAAGGGGAGCTGAGGAGGAAGAAAAAGACCTAGGAAGATGGCTGTGAATTTTTAGAAAGCAAGTTAAGAAGAGGCGAAATCTCCAAGGGTGACAAGCTGAGACCCTGCTGGCCTCAGGGACGATCTGATGCCAAGTCCGATTTGTACCGTGCTCACTCCAGGGCAGCCCTAGGCAAACAAGGCTGAGGAAGTCACTGCAAGTTCTAGAAATAATAACATCAGTCTATTAGTTACAGGGTTGCTTCTGTGAGGTTGTAAGCTGGACAGATCTTGGGGTGATTTGTTTTTACCATCACCTTATGAGAATTTCAAGAAGCTTTCAGGGAGGAAGTGGAGAAGAGATGTGAGAAAGAAAGTGCACCCCTATCCCTTCTGGAACCTTCCCTATTACAAGTCTCTCTAGGCAGGATCAGCCTGCTTCTCTTGTTCTATTACTGACAGTGAGTCTCAGATTCCCCATGGGAACAAGACAAGGGTGAGGGTGGGAGGTGTCAAGGGCAGAGTGCTCTGATGGGGAAACCAGGTGCCTGGGGGCATACAGGCCAGCATGAGAATCCCTGCTTCTCTCCTTGCTGTTGGCTGTGACAAGTTCATTACATTTTACTTCCTTGGACTGCAATAGGCTCCCTTTAAAATGAGGCTGATAGTTCACAGTGTGAAGAGTTATGCTAAGGATTAAACAAGACATTCAAAGGTCTGGATAAAGGATCTGGCACCACAAAAGTCAACAAATACTAGCATCATTCCTTCAGCTTCCCTATTTGTCTATCACAAACCAAATCCTTTCACCCCAGTTCCCCTTGCTTAAACTCCTCTCCTGGCTTCCTGGGGTCCTTAAAATAATGTCCAGGTTCCCTAGCCTGGTACACAAAACCCCTCATGACTGGGTCCCTGCTCATTCCCCAGCTCCCCACAAGCCTCACCTGTCCTACTTGTCCTGGAGTCACCCTGGGCAGTTGGCATCCTCCAAAGTGTGATGCTCCCTCTTCTGCACTCTCTATCCCCTCAGCCTGAAGCACCCTCTCACTCACTCGACCTGGAATCTCAGAAGGTGACTTCAGTTGGAAATAGGATATTTGCAGAGGTAATTAGTTAAGATGAAGTCATATTGGATTAAAGTGGGCCCTAAATCCAATGACTGGTATCCTCATAAGAACAGGAGTGGACACACAGGGAAGAAGCTCACATGAAGATGAAGACAGAGATCCAAGTGATGCATCTACAAGCCAAGGAATGCCGATGGTCATCAGCAACCATGAGAAACTGGTAGAAAGGCATGGGACAGATTCTCCCTCAGAGCCTCCGGGAGGAGGCTTGCTGACATCATGATTTTGGACTTCTGGCCTCCTGAACCATGAAAGAATAAATTTCTCATGTTTTAAGCCACTCAGTGTGCAGTAATTTAAATGGAAGCCCCAAGAAACTAAGGCACTGCCCTTGACCTCTTGATCTCAGCCCATTCAGCTGTCTAAGCTTGGAGATCACTTCCCCAGGGAACATCTCTGCATTTTCAGGTTGAGGTGAGGCTTTCATGGCTCCAGTCCTCTGGCTGTTGTTATCCAATCATCTGTTTGACCATTTTCCCATTCAAGGTCTTGAGTTGCCATTTACCTCTACCATTTATCCAGCCTTAGTTCCAGTGCTTAGCCCAGGGAAGGTGCTTAATAAACACATCCAGAAGCTGACAATCTTCACCAGACTTTCCAGAGGAATGCAAATGCAAGTACTTGTTTTAGCTCTGATCCCAGCATCAACAAGGCACCTGACCAAACCTCGTATGCCCCTTTGCTGCTTTTACTTTCTCCAATGCCAGTGCCTTCAGCTGGTTTTCTTACGTACACAACCTCAAAAACAGAAAAATACACAGAGAGATAAAAAGTATAAAGCACTTCAAACCACCCCACCAAGAGAGCCTTCTGAAAAGTCAAACTCAGTACACTGTTTGGCCTGGCCTCATTTTAATCTATTTTTCATGTTAAAATATCAAGGCATGAAAGAAGGAAGCAGAGAAAGGAAAGAAAGGGATAATATGAAAAATGCTTTATTTGACAATGTGTCATTCAGAAACTGATTATTTCTGTCTCTGGCCTTTTTAATATTCCCTCACTATGGCCAAGCCACCAGGGGATTTGGTATTCTAAGACTGGATTTATAATACTCTGTTCTGCAGTGATAAGAACACAGGCCTTTAATCCTCAGAGCTGTGAACATGCATATTCTCTCAAGTAATGTCCTTCTCTTCTCGTCACTTGTTTCTGGTCCCTGGCAGCCACGATGCCATGATGGCTGAGAACTGGTGATCCACTGGGCCTTCTCTTGGCCACTTGCCTAATGACAGATCTAGTGGGGAAGGGGGCCCGGGATCCAAGTGATCCGAGACGTCTCCTTTCAGGCCCCAGTCTATGTTTAAGCTGGAAGAATTATTAGAAAATAGTCTAAGTCTTTAGTGTTAGAAGAAAAAAAAAAAAGAAAAAGAAACTGAGACTCAAAGAATGAAAGTGACTTGACCAACATCACAAACCATCCTAAAATAGTTCTGGAGACAGAATATGCAGCCGACTCCCTCCAAAGCTGCTAAGGAAACGTGAATTGTGACAATTTGATCTACAAAATAGCTTCTATAACTTTCCATTTCTCTCTACTCTATGACTGTCCTATGCCCTAGTTTTCATGGATTTTCATCATGATAATTTTAATACATGCTGAATGATCTTCCAGGCTTTATTCCTCCTTTCCCACTATGCTCAATCCATCTTACTTACCGTAACTAAGGCACACATGGAAACTGATCCCTTCCCCATTGACTAAGCTAAGAATCCTGTAGTTTGACAGTTCAAGTCCTCATCATCTATCTTTGTGGATAACCTTGTCTCGAACGTATGCTTTTGAAATGCCCTTCTTCAAATGTGTGCTTTGGCCGTCCATGCAACCACCCCTACTAAGCTCTTGCTACAGAGAAGGCATGGTGCCAAGTATCCAACCACAGTGAAACTCTCTGCTCCCAGTAAGCTGGGGAGCAGAGACTGGGGCCTGAAAGGAGACTTGTCAGAGTACGTGGAGCCTGAGCCTCCTTTCCCACTAGCTCTGTCATTAAGTGAGTGGCGAAGAGAAGGCCCAGTGGATCACCAGTTCTCACCATGATGGCACTGTGGCTGCCAGGGACCAAACTCTCAGTCCTGAGGTGTTTTTGTAGAAGCCATTTACTTTACCTGGAATGATGCCCTCATTCTTATTCCTCACCCTTATGTCTACACATCCAAATACCACCCATACTTCACTGTTAACTTCAATGCATCTACTTTATGAACTCCTAGGCTTTTCCCTTCCCCAGGTGCAGCCAGAAGGAATTTCTTTATCCTCTGCACTCCCACAGCGCTTCGCCTTAACCCTCACTTAAGGATCTTCAGCATTTCCTACCTTGTATTAGAGTTGTTGATGCTCTTTACTTAGCTGCCCTACAGGTTAGATTATTATGCCCAGTGTACAGATGAAAAAAAAAAGGAGACTCAGAAGAGAAACTGCTTAAAACCATACAACCAAGTAGAAAACATATATGATAAGATTTTCCACTGGGGGCAATTCCCAATAAACCATGGGTTCACTATCTCAGAAGGGAGCAGCTGGAGAATAAGATAATAAGAAAGTTCAGAACATATTGCAAAAGGCATAAGGATCTAAAGACTTTTAGACACTGAGGATCTAAAATTTTTTTATGCCGTAGGGTGGCAAAATCAGCTGTATACCTTGGAAAGATCATAGTGGGCATGATGGGGAGATTGAAAACAGGGATACCATTGAGGTAGATTTTAACAAGGGTCTAGGATGGCAGTTCTCAACTGGTGGCAATTTTGCCCCCCAAGAGGCATTTGGTAATAGAGACATTTTTGGTTGTCACAACTTAGGGGAGAGAGTACTGGCATCTAGTGGGCAGAAGCCAGGGAATCTGTAAACATCTCGCATACACAGGACAGCCACATACAACAAAGAATTAACTGGTCCCAAATGTCAATAGCGCAGAGTTTGAGAGTCCCTAGTCTAAGAGAGATGATGAGACCAGAACTAAGAGAGTTAAAGTGGTGGGTCAGCTAACAGGATAGGAAGACTTGTGTCTATTGGTGGGGAAGGGGGTGTCAACAATGACACTGAGGTCTCGATTCTGTCACTGGATTAGGGAGGGACCTATCTATCTACGTCTTATTTTTTCTTGGGTAATCTTCCAGAAAGTTATACAAGATACCAGCATGTAATCAAATGAAGAGATACATTTACATGTGTGAACAATAAGGGAAGAAAAAGGCACAACAAATAAGAATTTGCATGTATACATGTATGTGATTATGTATGTATTCACATTTGTAAAAATATACTCACACCTATGTTAATACATCTATAGTTAGCTATATTTATCTATATTTCTTTTTTGCCTCTAGACAGATATACGGTGACCTATTTAAGAAGTCCCATTATATAAAAAGAAACATGTTTCTCTTTAAAATAAATCATCTACTTACCATGTATCTATTAGAGATACTATTTTACTTCCAAAGATAATGCCAAAGGAGTAAAGTAAAAACACATTGGTTCTTTGGAATGCATTCACCTTCCACCCACTACCCCCCAGCTCAATCTTCCTTAATCATCTTTAGATCAGATTAGAACAGGGTCAAAATCCTGGGAGAACATACTGAATTCTATAAAAATTTATCAAGGAGAAAGCTAAGGAATGCTTGGAGACACCAGCGTTTTCCCGTAAGTTAGACAGACATAGGTTCGTCTATTGACATTTTTGTTAGTACAGTCATGACTCAAATCTATGTCTGTTTGACTTATATGGCTTTGGATAAGTCACTTGAGTTTCTTCAGTTCTCTCATCTGTGAATTGGGTTACTAACACCTAAGTGGGAGAATCTGTGGAGGATTAAATGCGATTGCAGTGTATAACACAGTTAGCTAATAGCTTGCAAGTAGTGGATCTTTATTATTGATGTAAGACCTTGTTTCCTAAAAAAAAATTTGATACAAAGTAGTGGTGAAACCACTACTTCCCCTCCACTATACAATCAGATATTCTCTATACAGTTTCCCAGCTGCATTCCTCCCATAGGCTCCAAGCGGTGATTGTGATCCCTTCCCCTCTTTGGGGTAAGTAGGTGGGATTGGATGGTTTCTGACAGCCATCCCAGCTCTAATATTCTAGAAAATTAAAAAAGCAAAGGCAAACTGGAAAGCGTTTTGGAAGAGATGAAATACATACATTCTTATGACATCTTGCCTGGTATTACAGGTGTAAATGCATACATTAAAACAGTTAACCACGCTGTATCCTTCACACCATTTCACGTTTCTGTGCTTTTGCTCATGCTCCCTCTATCTGAAATACCCTTCCCTCACTTCTTTGTCGAGTCCTTTAAGCCTCAGCTTGTGGGTCATGAGTTCTCTGAAACCTGCTTTTTCTGACTGGGTTAAGTACCACCTGTTAGGTCTTGCAGTGACTCATGCTTTTGTCTGCCAGAGCATGCCGCAGATTGCATCATAGTTTGACCCCCTCCCATCACCCTAGTGCCCATTGAGGGTGTTCTTAATCATCTCTGTTTTCCCAGGATCCAGCTCAGGGTCTGACACTGAGTAGCCCTCATTATGTATTTATTGTATTTCTACACTGAGAGGCAATGAAAGGAAGGGCAGGGTTTTATTTATTTCTGGTTGAATTTGAATGGTACACAGCACAGAGTAGTAGATCTTCAATTACTTGTTGAAAGAAAGGACGAATAAATCCATCATAAATGCCTCTCTAAGGGCAGGTGACCAAAATACACCTACATCTGTCTGGCAGTCCTCCATCTGTCTGTAAGAGAGGGCTGAAGGTAATTCGCATGAGCCATTTAACACAAGTCAGCATCCCACTACATGTCCTCAGGTGGCCTCTCAAGTTCTGTCGCAAATCCCACTCTGAAGGACGGGTGAATGGAGAAGGTAGGGGAAAACATCTTTAGGAGGATTGAGTTTCTTCCCACTCTTTGAGTCATGAAAATATACAGATGGGCCAGGCACGGTGGCTCACGCCTGTAATCCCAGCACTTTGGGAGGCCGAGGCGGGTGGGTCATGAGGTTAGGAGTTCAAGACCAGCCTGGCCAAGCTGTATGTATATATATATATATATATATATATATATATATATATATACAGATGAACCCAAGTGGCCAGAGAGGAGCTTTGCCCTCATTCATTGATTTACTTATTCCCCAGGGTAAGGTCATACCTGGAAGCAGGCAGACCTAAGTTCCCATTTTTACTCTGCCACCTACCAGTAATGGGACCTTGGGACATTCTCTCTGTGATGCTCAGTTTTCACAGCTCTAATACAGGAATAATGCCATTCACCAAAAAGGCTGTTGTGAAGATCGGATAAGGTGATATGTATAAAATATGTCACACAGCCCTTGACCTGCATAAAACATTCAATACGTGGTAGTCATTGGCTTAACTCTTACTACTATTATTGTAATTTTCTGACCCTGTAGCAAACCTTCTGCCTCGATTTAGAAATACACAGGTATGCCCTTGAAGAACTCACAGTTGGTTTGTGGCAACAGGTAAGTAAGCAGGCAGTTATCACAATGCATAGTTCAGCAAGCTCCATGTAAGAGGGAAACATGGTAAGGGGCAAAGAGTTTCTCACAGCTTCCAAGTGTAAAACGTAGAGAAAGTGAGGATAAAAAAGATTTTTCTTGCAATTCCAATTACAGTCAAGTTCAAAGGTGTGAAGAACATGCCCATCCAATCAAGTACACTCTTGCCCAAAATGTGACAGAAGACTGGATAATCAGCTAAACTGTGTAGTGGTTAATGGTGCAGGCTCTGGAGTTGATGGCCTTGGGTTTGAGTACCTGTGCTGTCATTTACCAGCTATGGAACCTTGGATAGGCTACTAAATTTCTCTGATCCTCATCTTTCTCATCTTAATGAGACTAACATTTCATCACTGAAATAGACTATTGTGAAAATTAAACAAGTGAATGCAAAAAGGAATCCAACAGTGTCTAGAATACAGTCAATGCTCAACAAAAGATGATTTAAAAAATTCTGGCAGAGGAAAAACATATTGAGAAAGAAACCAGGCAACTTAAATCCCAGTCCTTACCTTACCCCCTTATAAAGTAAAAGAAGTTTGCAGAAAGCTCACAGGTCCTCATAAAGCGGGTTTGTTTGTTTGTTTGTTTGTTTTTTTAACAGGGTGGCCATAGCAAGCAAATGAACTAGGCATTTCTAACTTCATTAACAGATGACAAAAGTGAGCCTTTCAAGAGGGGTTTTGCCCTTCAAGGCTGAAAAGTCAGTGACAGGACACACATTTGGCTCCAGAATCCTGTTTGTCTGCTGCATGCTGCTACAATCATCTTGAAATGTTCGGTGTGTCTGGAGAGTCGGCAGAATGAAGAGCCTTCATCCTTTGCTCAGTACATTATTCCCTGGGAATGTGTTGCAGATTCACAGGGCTGATGTGAGATCCCTAATATTGTGCCAACCTTAAAATACTGTGCCAACAACAAAGCCTTCTGAGGTCAGAAGTAGGGAAAAGAGAGGAAGGTGGAGGCCAGTGAGAGCCTGGTCAACACTAATACATGAAAAATAAGTTTCATATGGGGAGGGAGCTTCTGAAGGGAGCTGGCAGCATAGTGGGTCTGATGCTGGCTTCTTTAGAAATCATGGGTGGGGGTTAGGGGAGTTGGTGTGGGTGAGGGTCATGGTCAGGGATTGCTGATCTATCACCAAGACAGAGTCACGTTGGTGAAGGCTTCCCTTTGCACCTGCTCTACCACAGTGCTCTTCACCTTTGTCTCCATCACCAGATCTCTATTTCCTTTCCTTGCTTTAACTTTATGTCACTTATCTCTCACTTTTATTATATTACACACTAATTTGTTAACTTTGTTCATGGCCTTAATAGAATGGAGCTTCCATAATGTAGGGCCTTTTGTTTTGTTCATTACTGTCTTCAGCACCAAGAACAGCACTTAGTGTTTTGTCAATGCTTAGTAATTCTTTTTGGAGTGTATGAATAGATTAATGGATGCAGGGATGGGTGGATGGATGGATGGATGAATGGATTACTGGATGGATGAATACATGAGTAAATAGATAGATGTCTCTCAGAATGGTTTAGTAGCTCCTCAAGGACAATAACTAGATATGAATTATTTATTAGCCTATACCCGAGGACCGAAAAGGCTGGAAGATATGTAGTGAATAAAGAAAACATTGCTGTTAGTTCCCTTTTGGTGCCCAGGTAAGGGGTACTGGGTATAGGGATAATGAAGACACAAATGTGATAACTAACTGTTAACTCCTCTCTCTCTACTGTTGGACCAAAGAGGAAGAGGTGGTCTGAATTCCAAGCTTGTTTAGTCATTTATTTATTTATAAATACTTAGGGAGATACTGAGCCAGAAAGTAAAGGGGTGAAAGGGATGTCAGATGCAACTCTTCAAGCACAATCACTTTACACAGAAAGCAACCTGATAGCTGTATCTATTTGTTATTACTATTACTATATCTAGATGGAAATCATAGGACTTTAGTGAAAGAGGGTGTCAATAATGTGGCTCAAAAAACACTGGATTTGGGTTCAAATTCTGACTGGGTGATTAGATGTACATTCCTTGGCTAGCCATGTTACCTTTTTCAGCCTCAGTTTCCCCAGGTTTAAAATGATCAACAATAACAGGTGCCTTTTCCTCTTTATGTAAGGACTTCATTGATAATCATGTTTTTAAAAGAACTATATATGTTATAGAGTAATTTACACCCATCAGAACTTTGTATATAGGTGTTTGTTAAAGAGAGGGACTCCAAAAACCACAGGTAACTCAAGCAGAGTAACTTAGGCGCAAAAGAAACAAAGCTGCAAATCTGCCAGCTTTCCAATACTTCTGATACTTCTGTCATCTATCCATCAACCTTTTTCAAAACCTATTACAAGTCACACAATAGGGGTCTCTTAGAGGCATTGTTTTGCTGCCATTTTACAGCATTGATGCTGTAGCTGCCAATTGTCTTGACGGCATGTTGTGATGGTCTCAGGATCTCCCCTACCGGGCTAGATCAAGAAAACCCCTGGAAAGTTAGTTACTAGGGGCAGAGAGTCAAGCATAAGATGCCCATCAATGAGAAGGGAAAAGAGAGAGGAGTCAATGGGAGGTGCTCTGTGGCATGATAGGAACAGGAATTAAAAGCTGGCCAGTGTCCTTGATGTACCCACCAGGGCTGAGCTGGTATGATTCATTCTTTCTCTTCACCTTGCTGCCCTTTGTCTCCTGAGTATTTAAAGACGTGGAGTTCAGGCCAGTCTTGGTGGCTCATGCCTGTAATCCCAGCACTTTAGGAGGCCGAGGCGGGTGGATCACCTGAGGTCAGGAGTTCAAGACCAGCCTGGCCAACATGGCAAAACCCCATCTCTACTAAAAATACAAAAATTAGCCAGGCATGGTGGCACGTGCCTATATTAGGGGGGCTGAGGCAGGAGGATCCTTGAACCTGGGAGGCGGAGGTTAAAGTGAGCTGAGATGGTGCCACTGCACTCCAGCCTGGGCAACAGAGTGAGACTCCATTTCAAAAAACAAAACAAAACAAAACAAACAAAAAAAACCATGAAGTTCAATATCTCCTGAGTAATCCAGGTAGTAGAGATAATTGCCCAGCTACCTGTCACCTTACCCTTAACAACTCCTCTCATCCCTGAGATAATTTCCACCCCTGCTGGCAGGACAGGCAACCCAGGGCCCAGGCTGCAGGGGAATCTGGTAGACCATGCTTTCTTTCCTGGTTCAGAGAACATCTCAGTTGTAACACTGATAACGCTCCCCGCCCCCAAGCCCTACCATGAGTGCTGAACCTCGATCTGTTCCCTGAGATCTTGCTGTCACACACAGGACTGCCCCAAGGTGGATCTCCAAGTCCTGCTCCCCACATTCCCTCGGGTTGTACATCTATTGCCTTCCAAGACCCACCCTCATATCCAGCTCCAGCTGGGCTACCCAAGACTGGGCAGTCTCCTTAACTGAATCCCAGGGTAAAATACAGGAACTCAAAGCTCCAGCATATTGTATCCTTAAGTGGTCAGCGATAGCGTCCCCAAACTGCCACCCAACAGGACAGCATTTGAAGCACTCATTGAGCCTGAGATTGGAAAGATGAGGTCTGGAAGAGCCTGGGAACTGTCTAAACTTCAGATTAATTAGATGAAGATGAACTTAATTCCACAGCTACTGAAATAAATGTTCATGTCACACAGCCGTCTCCAACCCATATCGGTGAGGGGTCTGGGCTCACTCAAGAACAACTAGCCTGGGTTCCTGGCCCATTCAGAGTCCTGTGTGTTTTGAACCAACCAGCAGGTCCTGAGGAAATGGACTGAGGTGGAATAGGGACTGGTGGTATTGGGACCACTTCAGAGAAAGTCTTTATTTCTGGCCAGGTGTGGTGGCTCAGGCCTATACTCCCAGCATGTTGCGAGGCTGAAGTGGGAGAATTTCATGAAGCCAGGAGATTGAAACTGCAATTCATGAGAATTTCACGAGGGTAGGAGATTGAGAAACATAGTGAAACCCCATCTCTACAAAAAATAAAAATAAAAAAAGGCATGGTAGCGCACATCTAGCCCCAGCTACTCAGGAGGCTGAGGCAGGTCTGCTTGAGCCCAGGAGTTTGAGGTAAGACTCTATCTTAAAAAAAAAAAAAAGCCCTATTGATCCTGAGCCTCTGTGGAATCTGGGTGTGTGAATTTCTTCAGGCTGAAAAAAAAAAAATCACCCAAACTGAGTGGCTTAAAGTGTTAGATATTTATCTCTCTTAGTTCAGGAGGCCAGAAGTCTGAAATGAAGGTACAAGCAGGGCCAAGCTCCCTCCAAAGGCTCTACAGGAGACTCCTCCCTTGCCTCTTCTCACTTCTGGTGGCTCCTGGAATTAACCTGTGGCAGCATCATTCCAATCTGTCTCCATCTTCAAATCACCTTCTTCTCCCCTGTGTCTCTCTCCATCTCCTCTTCTTCTTACAACAATACCACTCATTGGATTTAGGGCCCACCCTAAGTCAGGGATGATTTCATCGTAAGATCCTTAATTAATTACATCTATAAATACCTTATTTCCAAAGAAGATTATATTCTGGGGTTCTGGGTAGACATCAATTATGTCAGGACACTATTAAACCCCGTACACTGAGGAAGGATATCTAGGTCCATTATTTAGTTGCAAGAGTCACTGAAGCAACCCATAGTAAGTGAACCAAAGAGATTGAGCCAGGAAAGAAAAGGTCTAAGAGAGAATGAAAATAAGACCTCTTTTCTCATTCCTCAGTGGCTATTCTGGGGCAGAGGGAGCGGACAGTGCATGCATCATGGAAAGGTAGCATCATCAGCAATGACGAAAGATTCCACAGAGAAGGCTGTGGACTGAAAACAATACAAAATATACAATAAATCCTTTCTGACACAGTAAACTCCACTCGCCTTTTAAGACAGAGCTTGTGTATCTTCTTGACCCTCCCAGATAGAGTTGATCATCCCCAAACTTGCCTGGTCATAAATAACACCTGGGGATGCTCATTAAAAATACATATTTCTGGCCTTTAAATAAGCCTGCAGGAGACCTTATCATCAGGTAGGGTTGGTCTGGGAGCAGAAGAGTATTTAAATCCTATCTACAGCACTCTCTGAGTTTCTGATCACAGCAGGTCAATTGATTCAGTATATCTCATCTTCCTTGTCTGTGAAGTGATGTTAGCAGTAGTATCTACTTTAGGATTACATGCATCACTCTGCTGAGTGATGAAAACCATAGAAATTCTTAGTAATAGAGAGCCAGGACTATTGCCAAGATTACAGCTGTCTACAATGGCCCTAGGCCACTCTTTGGCATATATTTGCCTACATACCTGCCATCCCTGACTAGTCCTTCTTATTTGTGTATGCCAATGTAGCTTCTTGGTTAAAGCTCAGACTCTCGATCCATGAAATTTGAGTTCAAATCTTATTGCTACTCTATTGGTTTTGTGGCTTCTTACAAGTTACTTTATTCTGTATCTAGAAAATGGGGATAAGCAAATCTATCTGATATAATTGTAAAAATAAAACAAAATAATCGATACATTGGTTTGAATTGATTTAAAATCCAAAACAGAAGTGGAATTTGTGGAATTTGGGGAGGATAAAGGGGGAAGGAGCTTGTTGTCACTGGTGAAGTCCAAGAAGCCAACGGTTTAAGGAGAGTTTGGAAAGGGGAGAATAGAGGCAGAGAGAGTGGGAAGCGAGTGAGGAATAAAGGGAGCATGGAAAGGAGGGGAGAGTGTAAGGTGAGAGAGGATAGAAGGAAGTGCAGGAGAGTAGAAAGAAGCTTCTTTTTCAAGAATCCCAGTGGTGTTCAAATCCCATTTCTCAGGCCATTACAAACATAAGAATCTCGTCTATTTTGCTCAGAATCTTCTTCCTTGTTCTCTGTCCCGACCTAGAGGCTGCTGACTTGGGCTGTCAGAGGGCCACTAAGTGAGCACACCTTCCTTTTCTCATCATTGCTTTTCAGGGCCCTGCACTCGGGGAAGCAGCCCAGAAGGGGATTAGAAGATCTGTGGAGACAGAGCTGGAGTAACTGTCTTCACCCTGCCACCTCCATGGGGCTGTATAACAAAATTACAAAAGCCACCCAGGGTAAGTGCTGCTACAAAAGTAACAGCAAAAGGTAACTGTCAATTACAAAAGCATCTAGGAGCCTCATTTTACTCATCCGTTTAATGGGCATCATGAGGGTCCCATGAGTGTATTGTCTTGTTTTGAGGATTAAGTGAAGATGTGCATGTAAACACTCTGGATAGTATTAGGAAATGTTTCTTCTTTATACCCCAGGTTTTGATCAAGATAAATTTCCCCCAAATCTCTCTCTTGCCCAACATCCTTTACTCCTCCCCACTAAGGTAGACTGGATCTGGAATGAGGCTGTGAGCTTGCATAACTCTTTCCCTTCATTGCTTCTTTTGCCGTAGGAACCAGCTGCCCTCCAAAAGCAGCCTTCTGCTCTGCCCTGCCACCCCTTCTGTTTTGTGATAACAGATTCCCATGTGAGAGGGTGCCAGGCACTCAGCACTTACCCTGGGTGGGAAAATACCCATTTTTGCCAAGTCCTCCAAACTAACCTTTTGCAGTAATAAAGGCAAAACATTAATCTCCATCTGCTTTACTCCTTTTACTAATCTTTCAAACTGTTCTCAATTCAAGTGGAGAAAATATGGGGCTTCCACAAATCCCATGCCGATTACCTGGGTCCAAAGAATGTTCTCAGCAAATTGTTCTGTTATTATTACATTCACCAGAAACTCTATTGTCTCTTCTCCCTTTGTTGGGAGCAATTTTTTTTCTTTTTTTAATTTATCTCTCTAAAAGCTTTCACATTTTCCCCCTTTTATCCATACAGTTCTGAAATTTCACTGCAATGCAACTAGGTACAGATTTTTTTTTTTTTCCTTTTTGTTCCTCATTCATCATGTTTGGTAATCAGAGGACACTTTCAATCTGTTGTTCCTTCCTTCTGCTCAGGGATGAGTTCTGGCATTATCTACTTCCTTCCCTGGCTCTGCCTGGATTCTGGAGCTCCTCTCTTTGCTGTTAACAAGCAAGTCTTCTAGGAGGTGAGCTGGAGCTTGCGTTCTTCCAGTTTCAATCTCACAGCCTCCCTGCATCCAGGGCTCTGTGTCCTTCTGAGGGGCAGAGAGCAGGCTGAGAATAAAACTCCTGAAGAAATCAGGGAGGGGCTGCAACTGGGAGGAGGCCCTGCTTCCAATTCCCCCAAGCGAGCATGTGTTCCTCGCTCCAAAGCAGGAAATCAAACAAAATTGCTGGACCTAAACCAGTACCAGGCTCAGTGGAAGCCAGGAACTGGCAACTTAATCCTGTTAATGAGATTTTGGGCAAGTCGCTCAATACCCCCTTAGCCTGATTTTCCTCATCAGTCAAGTGGCAACAATCATTTACCTTCCCTGACTCCCAGGGTGGTTGGGAGAATCAATGAAATGATGCACATGAAAAAGCTTTGCAAATTACTAAGGGCTATCTATGTATAAGCATATGTGTGTGTGTGCATCCAAACATACACAACCTAAACATACCCCAAAATGAACATCAAATTACAGAGAAAGACTGAAGTCTGTTAAGCAAATTTCTGCTCATCTTTTATGATCCAGTTGAAATGTCCCTGCTTCTATTTATTTGACTCAGTGCCTAAAATAATTAGCTTGAATTTTTTTTTAAAAAAAAGAATATAGTCAAACAAAGGAATTGCACTTATGGCAGAGTGGTGATCACTGAACAGTGAGCAATGAGACTGACCAAGGAAGAAAGCAGTTTTGTGTTTTCTATCCCATCTTCACTGTGGATTATCAATGCTCATTGAGTGTAACAGTGGTCATAATAACCTAACCGCCTAAATTTCTGTTTCTGTGTCTCTTGTCTCTCATAAAAAATATATAGGTTAATTCATGCAAATAAAATGCACATTTGATAGGACTCTACTCTTACAAAATGCTTCATGTATCTGTCCTATGAACTGGAGTTTCTCATAAGATTCTATTTAGACCAATGACTCCCTGCTAAAATTGTTGATGGACTATGTCTCTCAGCAACAGGAGGGTGACTTTGGAGTGTGTTGTATCCAAAAGCTGAGCAGCAGAAAGGGGGAGTTAGATGAGATGGTATGGACTATGTAAGTGCTCAGAGGGCAAGAGGGTAGAGACAACTCCTCTCCTCCCACAGACCAGCAAAGGCAGCAGTGGTACTCAGCTGTCTGCCACCAGCCTGAAAAGGGAGCCTCAGGCAGGGACAGATTGTGTTTGGGTTGGAGGGTAAGAGTAATAACTCAGCAGAGACAATACAGACGTGCTTGGCATATTCGGACCACCTTACCAAGATCTCCCCTCCCATTTCTCCTCCACGCCTCTCCAGCGCCAGCTAATCCCTCCTGAACCGGCCATGTGTCTCCTACCGTGCTGAACAGATGCTCAACAGCAGCTAGAAGGAAACCCAGTGGAGGCAAACACACTCATCTTTCTAAACTAAAATCCCACTTTCCAAATATCAGAACGGACAGGAACTCAGAGATCTTAAGGTTAGCTGACATTGTTAGGATTATCACTGCTTTTGTACACTTTCCTTTGAAAAATTTTAATTGGAAATTCATTTCTGAATAAAGCCATAAAAGAGGCGCTGCTCCAGTCTAAATGGAGGTTGGGGGTCTGAAATCTCTAGAGCTCCGTGGAGCAGAGCTAGAAAAAAGGACTCTTTCATTCTGCACAAGGGAATGTCAAGGCTGAGAGAGGATGAGAGCCTTTTCTAGGTCAGGCACGATTAGTGGCAGAGCCAGGACTAGAACCTGGCCCCTTGGTGGCCATTTCAAGGTGTGTTTCCATTGTCAGACTCAAGACAGAAAGCTGTTTAAAGGTGATCCATATATCAGCGATTTCAAGGGTTTTAGGTAAGCAATCGGTGTCTGCTGTTTTAGTGTATTTAAAGAAGGATAAGGCTGGGCGCAGTGGCTCACGCCTGTAATCCCAGCACTTTGGGAGGCTGAGGCAGGTGGATCACCTGAGGTCAGGAGTTCGAGACCAGCCTGGCCAACATGGTGAAACCCTGACTCTACCAGAAATAAAAAAATTAGCTGAGCATGGTGACAGGCACCTGTAATCTCAGCTACTCAGAAGGCTGAGGCAGGAGAATTGCTGGAACCCAGGAGGCGGAGGTTACAGTAAGCTGAGATCACACCATCGCACTCCAGCCCAGGCCAATAACAGCAAGACTCTGTCTCAATTAAAAAAAAAAAAAGGCGGGGGGAGGATAAAATTTTATTTTCCAAGCCCCTATTGCATGTCATTTATTGGTATTGACAAATTGAATGCATTATTAAAACAAATCAATCCTCATTGGAAATCTGTGAGGTCAGTGTTAACATACCCATTTTGCAGATAAGAAAACAAAAAGGTTAAACAATTTGCTCCGGGTCACGAAATTAATCTGTAGCAGCCCTATTATTAGAACCCAGACCTCTAAGACTCAGAAAATCATCCTGCTCTCCAGAAAAAATGTCCTCTCATCTGAAAGTGTATTACTGTAACTACAAGCAAACAATGTAAAATAAACTACTACTACAACAAAATGGCATTTGCACAGTCCTTAGGTTTAAAAGCCTTTCCCTTCATTAGTACCTCATTTGAGCAGCTCTGTATCACATGGCTGGGTCTAGGATGAGGCAAGTGGGTACTTGTCTTGTATGCAAAATTTAAAGGGGTTCAAAAACCTCAGTAATGAAGATAATATTTCAATGCAACTCTTTTTTTTTTAAATACAAGTTAATGCATTCCTGAGTTTATAGGCAACCCTTTAAATTCTACGTCCAAGGTGAGTGAGGCACTCATATTCTTTGCTGGTCCTAGCCCTACAGTTTGCAGACCTGTGAAACAGGGAGAAAACATATTTTCATACCAATTGTGCAGATGAGGAAAGTGAATCTCAGATACATTAAATAACATTTTCAGAGAACTAAAGGCAGGTCTTTCTGACTTGAGCTCAGAGGCCTGGAGTTCATCTTAATCCAAATCCAGCTGTGGCTCTCTCAACCCTGGGAATCTGGTGACATAGGTATGTTGGGGTAGGGAATAGAGCTAAGTAGCATTATACTCACCAGAAAACTGAGGCACATTCACCAAATGAGTTATCCAAGACCCATGGCTACTGTGCAACAGAGCTCGGAAATAAACTCGGATGGAACTCCACACTCAATACTGCCTTCCATCATTACCAAAACACGAGGACTAAAATGTTCTTGAATAATACACAAAAATTCTGAGGTGCTGCATGAATCCACAGTCAGCCACAGTCCTGGAACAGTACTAAGTGGGCTCTGTGATTGCTACCATCATGGGGAGGTCCCAAAGGCTTCATCCCTGGGCCAGAGGGAGTGAGATGGAGAGAAGCTGGCAGTAGATGGGCATTGGAAAAAATGCCACACTATAGATTGGTTGGAAACTTGTTCAAAAAAAATGTGATAAGCAATGAAGAGGGAGCTCAGGGTGGGATGTAGGACCCCAGGGGCTGGCAGTGACATGTGATTCTCCTTCTGTGCTGGACTGTAGGGTCCATGAGGGTAGCGGTGTTTCTGCTCTCAAGCGCCTGAAATAGTGTCAGTCTCATACTAATTGCTCAGTAATGAATGGATGGATGGATAGATGGATGGACAGAACACTTTAAGTTCAATAGAGCATGGTGAGCCCCATTTCCTAAATCTGACTCCCAGCTCTACCATTGATCCCATGCAAAGGGTATCCTCTCTCTGCTTTAGTTTTCTCACCTATAAAATGAACACAATAATTCTATGTAATTCATAGGGATGTTGTAAAAGTAAGGTAATATATGTCAAGTCCTAGTTATAGCGTCTAACACCTAGTAAATGCTACATAAATATTAGCTATGATCCGTAAAGCAACAGTAAAGGGAGTTATCCCAGAAATGCAAAAAATATAGGGATAGTTGTTATTTTGTGTTGTGTACCTGACATTAGTCCAGGTCCAATTGCCAGTCTCAGATTATAAAATGTGGAACAATGCCAGGATCACAGAGTGGGTGAGACTACCATTCTTTTGGCATTTTCTATCTGCCAGCCCCTGCCCTACCCACTTAGAGTATATTATTTTACTTAATCCTTAAGACATGCTTCTGAAATATTAGGTTGGAGCAAAAGTAATTGTGATTTTGCCATTACGTTCAATGACAAAAAACGCAATTACTTTTGCACCAACCTAATAGTTTCTATTATTATCTATTTTTTTTTATAGGTAAGGACACTGAGTCTCAGAAATATTAGAATATTTGGTCAAGGTTGTTGGAAGCAGGTCTGAGTTCTTGCCCTCCGGCCCAGGGATGAAGCCTTTGGGACCTCCCCATGGTGGTAGCAATCACAGAGCCCAGTTAGTACTGTTCCAGGACTGTGGCTGACTGTGGATTCATGCAGCACCTTAGAATTTTTGTGTATTATTCAAGAACCCAACAACTCTGGAGGCTGAGTTCTTCTTTTGAGACAGAGTTTTGCTCAGTTGCCCAGCCTGGAGTGCAATGGTGTGATCTCAGCTCACTGTAACCTCCACCTCCCAGGTTCAAGCAATTCTCTTGCCTCAGCCTCCCGAGTAGCTGGGACTACAGGTGCATGCCATCACGCCCCGCTAATTTTTTCTATTTTTAGTAGAGACAGGATTTCACTGACTTAGCCAGGATGGTCTCGATCTCCTGAACTTGTGATCTGCTCACCTTGGCCTCTCAAAGTGCTGGGATTACAGGCATGAGCCACCACACTCAGCCGAGGTTGAGTTCTGCCTGTGTGCCATGTGTGCCATGCTCACAGTGTTTCACTTCACTCTACCTCCCAGTGGGCCCAGGCCCCATCTGGAAAGGGAGGAGTCAGAGAGGAGATGCTGGTGCTGGGTGCTTCCTCCCTCCTACTCATAGATGGCTGCTGCTCTCAGGCTAGCTCAACTCCCTGGAGACACACAGTTGTCTTTCCCAAGGAGGCTGACACTGGGGCTGCCATTGGTCATAGCTGAGGGAAGGTGACACAAGTGATGCTGCACAGTGAAATCCACCATCTCATGTAGCTCCAATTGCAACCTGGCTCCCTAGAAGGAGGGGAGAGGCTGTTTTAATAATGATACCCCTGCTCCTTGTGGCGGGAAGGAAGGAAGGGCAAAGACCCACTTGTGGAGGCTCAGGCTTTCCTGAGCTCTGTGCACTGGCTCTCCTGGCTCCCGGGGATTTCTTTAGGTCCTTTGGTTTAGCCATGGGTGTCTACAGCCACAGGAAAAGAGTGGGTCCCCTCTGCACTCAATGGGGATAGTGAGATGTCAGGGATATAGGTAACCGAGACAGAATTCAAACCCAGGTCAGCTCAACTCCAGGAGGCTAATAAGTGACGTTGGTCAAGTCCTTGCCCATTTCAAAGCTTTGGTTTTCCTATCTACAAAGGAGAGGATTGTACCAGATGATCTCCAAGGGTCCTCCCAGTGCTGAACCTGTTATGAATGTGTATACTGATAAATCCAAGGCCAACAGCTCTGGCTCTGGCCCAGGCTATGGGTGAATCTCCTCCACAAAGCTCTTCTCAGTTGGCCCTCCTTTCATTGAGCACCTTCAGTGATGAGAAACTGATTATTCCTTGATGATGGAGCAACCTGGGGAGAATTTTGGATGTCACTGACTTTCACTGACTAGTTGCTTGACTTCAGAGAGTGGACTCTTCTCTGATTCTCAGTTTAATCATCAGAGAAACATGAATGTTGGTGCCTAGCTCCAGTGACCGCTATAAAGATTAAGTTGGCTAGTAAGTGTGTGTGAAGTTTCTGGCACCCAATAACACCCCAACAGTAATTTTCTCCAAGTTGCAAGGTATCACCCTGCCAAGTAGAAATAAACAAGCAAAAATGGGTGGAGGGAAATAATGCTCTGTTTACATGCAGATATTAAAATATTTCCAGTCTTTCTCAGCTATAAGATATTCCACCACACCCAAGGATCAGCCAGGCAGCATGTTCTTCTTTGCAGAACTTTAGATGCATTACTTCATCAATGTAAAAACTCAGGCCCAGAGAGTTTATCTGCCTTGTCCAAGGTCACACAGAAAATCAGCAGTGGATTCAGATTCCTGAATCCCAAGCTTGTCATTTCTTCATTTGGGGAACCAAGAGGCCCTGCCACCCTTGGCTGACAGCATCATCCCCTTAGCAAAAGGCAGCTCTGAGTCCCTGCAACAAATGTAAGCAGTGTCTCCTAAGCATCTCCAAATGCCAGGCATTGGGCTAGGCACCTGAAGCACAGAAATGAATAAGAAGTGGCCCCCTCCTCCCCAGAGGATTACAAGTTGGGGAGAGACAACAGGAGGAGGTGGTAAAACCTGTCCACATGTTTCTATAATAGGATCTTCATCACTCCATTATTCCCCTTCTCTCTCTATAAAAGCCCAGAGAAGCAGGCAGATGTTGGCAACATCTGGGCCACTGTTGTCGGGGCAGCAAGTGGCTTTGGGCTGCCATTGGAGAAAAGAAGCTGTTGGTGTTAAGAATAATAATAAAGAGCTAACATTTGCATGGTGTTTACTCCTGTTTCAAGGGATAACCCCCCTCCATCCCATCCCCATTCATTAGCCCAAGCAATGCAGACAGCAGCTCTCTGAAAGCCTAGGAGAACCATTTCCATTTCTTTGAAGGCAAAGCCAAGGCTCACAGAAGTTAAACTTCCTGCTTAAATCACAGAGCTCATAGGAGAGTGCAGGCCCAAACATAAAAGCCCCATGACTCCTAGATTGGTGTTCATTCCATATGCCAGGCTCAGGCATGCAAGTGAATGCAAAAAGATAGGTGGTCCTTTCTCTAAACATAAAGAAAGCATTTGCTGTGTGTTTACTAGGTACCAGGAATGGCATTGTGTGGTTAGTATGCTTAACTCCTTTAACTCTTCCAACACTATGAGATAAGCATTCCAGATGTTCCTTGACCTACAATGGGTGTTACATCTGATAAACCCATTTTATGTCAAAAACATCATAAATTGAAAATGCATTCATTACCCCAATAAAGCCATCATAAAGTTGAAAATTTAGAAGTCAACCATAGTAAGTCAGGGGCCATTTGTAGTTTCATACTTTTTTAAAATAAATACAGAAGTTGAGATTGAGAGAGTTTAAGTAATCTGTCTATGGTCACACTGGTGACTAAGATGGGTCACTGGTAAAGTGGGTGGTTCAGTGACGTGGTGAGAAGAGTTGGGATACCATGTTCCTTGTCCTGTCTTCCTCATAAATTTGTGACACTCTTGGTAAGTGGCAAAGCTGAGATTTGAATCCCAAAAACCTGTCAACTTTGGGTGTGACTGTGTGTGTGACAGCGGAAGGGAACGAGGATGGTTGAAAAAGGAGGAACTGAGCCTTGAATAGGATTCTTCCAGGATAAAGAACAACAGCACATTGCAAGCTGAAGCAATGCTTTCAATGGGTTACACTTGGCATGCCAAACATAAGGTTGGTATGACTGGAGCAGAGTAAGAAAGGGGACAGGAGAAAGACATAAGATTAGGGAGGTACCACAAAGCCAGATAGCAGAGAACCAAGACACCAGACGGTGAGAATAATTAAGTGCGGGTACTATAAATTCAGAACAGACACTGGAGCTACCCCATAGATAAACCTTCTAACAGACCTGCCCTTCAGTCTTCCTCTGTCTTCAGCTATGTGGGCCAGTTTTTCTCCTTAATAGGGATCTCTGAAAGTGTTTCCTGAGGTTTTCCAATCCTCATTTTGTAGATGGAGTCTAAAGCCCAAAGAATTTGCCCAGACTCACATAGCATATGGGGGGCTTGACTTAGGACCTAAGCCATGCTTTCTGCAGACTCTTTTTCACACTCCACACCTTATGTTCTCGGCACTCATTTTCTGCATATTTTGAAATTTTAGCATAAGGCTCACACTCTCTCAATGACTGTCTGAGTCCTGAGGTTTACAATCCTCCTTTCCATCTGAGCCTTTCTGGGCTTCCTCTTTGTCCATCGTAGAAGAGCCACTCAAGATGAGAGGGAGAAAAGGACAATTCTCTCTATGCCAGCTGCTCTTTCCAAGCCTAAGGCCATTCAAAGCTAGTGGGACCATTCGCTCTGACAGTAACTGAGACAAATAAACAAAACTCCACTGAGGTGAATCTGTCCTTTTGATGCTTTTCAGAGTTGACACAGTAGCTCCTCGGAGTCGGCATGACTCATGAGTTCTTTCTAATGGATTAGTTTGGGTTCATTTTTAGCTAGAAGAAAATTTGACAACTGCACTCCTGAAAACCAGGAGTACCTTCTAAAGGATCCATCTGGTTTCATTCAAGTTAGAGGTCATTTTGACATTTATATCAGTGCAAGCAGGGAGAATCTTCTGAAGTAGGAGGCCTAAACACAAAGACCTATAGAGCAGCATTTCCCAACCTTTTTGGCACCAGGCACTGGTTTCGTGGAAGAAAATTTTTCCATGGACTTATGGGGGGCCTGTGGTTACGGAATAAAACTGTTCCACCTCAGATCATCAGGCATGAGTTGGATTCTCACAGGGAGTGTGCAACCTAGATCCCTTGAATGTGCAGTTCACAATAGGATTCGTGGTCCTATGAGAATCTAATGCTGTTGCTGATCTGACAGGAGGCAGAGCTCAGGCAGAAATGCTCATTCGCCCACCAGTGGCTCAAATCATGTGGTTCCTAACAGGCCACAGACTGTACTGGTCCACAGCCCTGGGTTTGGGGACCACTTCTGTAAAGCACATAAATGGGGACTTGAGTAGGGTATCATAGCAGACAAGATTAGGGAGTGGTAGGGACTGTGGCAAATTAGAGAACATGTGATCCTTCTAAAGAAGTATCTGCTACTGAAATTCAGCCAATTGTCACCATCCAAAAATGCAGACTGAGTAGAACGTGCAAGTTACCCCCCCCCACACACACACACACCACACACCCCTATATTTTCATATGAAATTTGACAGTGAAAACTTTCTTTGGCAAGTCTTTTTTTTTTTTTTTTTTTTTTTTTTTTTTAGCTGAGTGGCCCAATTGCAGACAAAATGAGACTCATCTGTGGCCTAGATATGGACTTGGGCTCCCAGTTTACAACCTCTGTCCTATGGGGTCCAATTAGTTTCATTTAACGTGGAGCTTACTTTGACATTCACATTACTATAAATCCTCTTAGAGAGTGTTTCCTATTTGGAATGGTTCCCCTGGACATAGCCTACATCCTCCCAAGCATTCCTATACATTGCTGGGCTGAAAATTGGCAAGTTTCCACCTAGAGGCTATAACCTATAAATATATCTCAAACCTCCATTCCTTTTACACTCTGCTGGTGGATATAATTGAGTTTCTCCCTGTACCAAATGAGCTCTGAGTTCTTAGTACTTGATGTACTTAATAGAGGAAAGTCGGGACGAGTCTGGAAAAGCAAGGATAACACAGAAACAGAACAGGGATATGCTGGCTGGAAGCATCCTAATGGTTTTATCATCCACTGTTAGAAGAGAAAAGCATAATAGTATAACTATCACACCCTCTGCATAATAAATGCCTTATGGCACCCTGGCCAGCACATATACATATGGGTGGCCTTGGAGACATCATGGAGGGTTTAGCCACTGCTACCAGTCTATTCTCAAGAGGAAGCAAGTGGGCCTAAGCATGACTGGAGATGATGTTTGGTAGAAAAACCTGCTGTTCCAGAGGCATGATAAGAAGACTTCCCTAAGGGAGTCCCTTGATACATATTATGTGGTCCCCACTGGTGTGTGGAACCAATCAAGTACCCTGGGAGCTGCCCAGAGCAAAAGTGTGTTTTGGAATCCCACAGGGAACTCCACTCTGTGTGTCACCCTCTGTGTGGTTCTGCAGGAAGGACACTAAACTATAGCCTTCCAGTTTGCTTGTTGATTCCTGCATTCTTTCATTTATTCATTCATTCAATAAATATTAAGTAATTAATCATCATCGCCATCGTCATCATCATCATCACCATAATTGTTGTTGTAATTTATTAAGAGTCTTCCATTTTTCAGGCACTTTGCATTTGCATAGATAATTTCCTTCAATTCTTTTTGCAAGAAACATATTGCTATTCTTCTTTCCTAATAAGGAAACTGAGGCTTAGCAAGGTCATGTGATATGGACAAAGTTGCATAGCTAAGAAGTGGCAGAGCTGAGGAGTGATACTATGTTGTCTAACTCTCGCTGTGGTTTTCTCACTACAAAACACTGTCTAATAATTGTATAGTACTTTGTTGTGTCTCAGAAAGTAATTATTTAATTCTCATAACTGAGAACAGACTGAATTAGACTTATTTTACAGAAGGGAAACTGAGTATCAAACAGGTTAACCAACTTGCCTGAGGCCACCCAGCAATTAAGCTGGTCTCAAGCATAGGTCTTCTCACTGCAAGTACAGAATCGTTTAAAATAGGATATAATATTCATGTTTACAATTCCTTCAGTGATAATGACAACCATTAATAATCCTGGAAGTTATTAATTACTGATGCCTCACTATGTACCGGAAGCCCTGCTAAGTGTTTTATTGGAATTCACTCACTTAATCCTCATAACTATCCTACAAGGTCAGTGTGACTACTACCATCATAACGTCACTTGGCTCGAAGAATTAAATGAAGGTTGCCCAAGCTAGGCAGCTAGAAAATAGCAGAGCAGGCATTAATAGCAGGTTTATCTGATCCTTATTTCCAACTAAAATTCTTAACCCCGCCACCCCTCCCCATGATGTACAGGGCAGGCCTTGGGAAGGATAATAAAGCACATTCAGACCCAGACACTGTCAGATACTTCAAGGTGGCTACCCAATATGCATTTCCCTTTCTTCCTTAGTACCAGCCCATGCTTAGTACCTAACCATGATATGGTTAGTTTTTGTGTCCCCACCAAATCATATCTTGAATTGTAATCCCCCTAATCCCCACATGTCTAGGGAGAGACCTGGTAGGATGTGAATCATGGGGGCAGTGTCCCCCACTCACTATCATGAGCTGTTCTCATGATAGTGAGTGAGTTCTCATGAGATATGATGGTTTTATAAGCATCTGACAGTTCCTCCTTCACACACTCATGCTCTCTCTCACCTGCCACCATGTAAGACGTGCCTCTTCCACTTTGGCCATGATTGCAAGTTTGCTGATGCCTCCCCAGTCATGCAGAATTGTGAGTCAATTAAAATTCCCTTTTTAAATAAATTACCCTGTTTTGGGTACTTTGTTATAGCAGTGTGAGAACAGTCTAATACAGTACACCTGTAACTAACAACTACATCTCAGTCAGGTGGCTATATTCTGGCCACTGAGATGTACATATACATACTAGGAGAAAAGCTCCTTAAAGGCAACTGCCTCATCTGGGAGGTGTGCCTTATTATCGATTTATTTTTCTCTCCCTTCCTGTTGTTTGAGTAGTGAACATGATAACTGATTTTCCTACAATTATCTTAGACCATGTGAGTCTAAGGATGATCCACATGGTCTTATCTTAGAACAGTGGGGAAGGAAGGAAGGAAGGTAGGACAGTGGGGAAGGAAGGAAGGAAGGGAGGGAGGGAGGGAGGGAGGGAGGGAGGGAGGAGAGGGAGGGAGGGAAGAGAGGGAGGGATGGAGGAAGGAAGTAGGGAAGGGAGTGAGAGATGGATGGATGGAAGGACAGAAGGAAGGAGAGAAGGAGAAAGGAAGGAGAAAGGGAGGGAAGGAGGGAGTGAGGGAGGGAAGGAGGGAGGGAGGGAGAGAGGGAAGGAGGGAAGGAGGGATAGAGGGAAGGAGAGAGGGAGGGAGGAAGGAAAGATGGCTGGCTTAGGTCCTTGAAGACACTGTGAAGCTGCTATACCATTCCAAGCTCTCCTATCATCAACGTGAGAGAAAAATAAATTTCATTTTGTTTAATGCACGATTATTTTGACTTTTTTCAGTTATATGTAGGCAGATCTAATGTCAATGAATACAGACCTGCCCTCAAGTAGCTCACAGTCCCGTAGAGAAGATGAATATGCAGCAGACATATCATGATACAAGTAGAAGGTGGCTAAAGCATTGAACAAAACTAAAAAAAAGAGCTCGATTCATCCTCCGTGGCCTCCACGGTAATGACCCTGACAGCAAAATCCACAGGCCAGGGCATGCTCTCTGTGTAATGGCAATGGATAAGCTGTCTGTTCTGAAAGACGAATGCATCCATTTCAATTAGATGTGCCCAGTGCTACGATTGTAACCAATTAATCCTGCCCATCTGAAGGCTGATTAGTCGGAATATTTGGGTGAATGGATAATAACAGGCTAATAAGCCTGCTATCCAAATGCTGCCACACGTCTTTTTTGACACAATATTGTGGATGCATTTGCAGCATCTGTGACTAATCTTCAAGTGGCGGGAGGCCCAGTTTGCAAAGCGGCACAGGGACAGGGCTCAGGGCTGCTGGAGTCTCAGCAGACAGAGCCTACTCCATCTAGTCCTCAATTGTGTGTTTGGATCCAGGCACCCAGACTCTTCCTCTAATGACATCCTTCTGCTTCCTGAAAGGTGGAGACCCACATTGCAGGCACGGAGGCTGGGTGCAGGGCCAGGAGGCAGAAGGTCTCAGTTTCAGGTTTCAGGCACACCCTGAATGCACTGGGTGATTCAATCATGTCTCTTTCCCTCTATAGTTTTTTAATTTCCTCATTTGTACTACTCACCATAATCCCGAAACAGTCTTACTTCTGCCCCCTGGTATCTGCTCACCATCTCCTTGCCTAGTACATTCTTTCCCACTACTCTTTGCCTAGCTAATTCCTTCCCATTCTTTAGGTCTCTGCTCTTTAGGTCCTATTCTTTAGGTCTCTGCTGCCTTCTGGAAACCTTCTCCAGCCACTCTTTGCCTAGGTCTCTGGGCTACATAGAATCCTGTGTTTCATGTATTTTAATGAATATTGCATGAGTATTTACTAGTCCACTTCCCCCATTCAACTCCAAGCTTCATGATGACAAAGACCACGTCTACTTGCTTACAACTATGTCCCTGATGCGTGGCATAGTGCATGGCACAGACAAGACAAAATAACATGTTTTCTAAAGCCTTGTTCTCCCCATTTCACTGAACTAAGAGGCAAAAGGAATCTGGAATTGAAAACAAACAAAAAAAAGCCTTGCAAACCTCTAAATTGATACACAAATGTGAGGAATTAGGAGTAATGAAAAAGTCCTTGAAGGTACAGAAAGAAGCAATTCAATTCTTGCAAGAGATTCACACTTGCTCAATGTGTCACCAATAATTACTCTAGCTTTTCCTTCCCTCATTTGTTGTAATTAAGACATAGTGTTTTCATTAGGGGAGAAACCAAGGCCTAGAGCAACAGAAATTATGCACAGTGCAAATCCTGGCACCATGGCAAACTAGTTGTGTGGACGAGGAGAAGCCATGCAACTCCGCTGAGTCTCAGTGTCCTCTCTGTACAATGGAATGAAAATCTCCACTGCAGAGCTCATAGGTGGCTGTGAGAATCAAACAGTTAATGTGTATAAAATGACTTGTAATTTGTAAAATGCTGTAAAATTGTCCATTCAATAACTTCCTGCTGGCATCTCTCCCAAAAAGACAGTGGAACTCGGATTTCCCATCCCTAAATTCTGGGGAAGAGGACAGAGGTTAAAGGAGAGTATGGGGTGTCTGATGCATTTCTTCACTTAATTCACTAAATATTTACTGAGCATCTAGGGGGTACAAGGTGCTGTGCCAGAAAATAGGAAACAAGAGGTAAATAAAGTGTGCCCTTATTTCAAAGTCCTTCTAGTCTGGAGGTTAGGGGGTGAAATGGGCAAGCAGGTGAACCAGTAATCACCAAAGGACAGGGTGTATCTGCAAAACTATGAGCTCCTAGAATGGAGGGATGGTGGATACCAGCCCTGGGGTGATTATTCAGACCTGACCCAGAAGCAACATCTGGAATAGTTGAAGGTCCATGGATTCTATCTTGTGAGGGATTTTGAACAGAAAAGCAACTAGTTTCAATTTACCAGTTGAAAAAAGATTCTGGAGGCAGGCAAGGAGCCAAAAGCACTGAGGAGGGAGATCACGGCAGGCAGCTAAGTGGAGTCTATCCAGAATTTTGTAGAGAAGAATGGAAAAAGAAAAATCATAACAGAACAAGAGAGAAAAGTAAGAGGGACTCAGGAAAGAATATTAATTGAAAGTGTGAGGAAAGAATGTCTAATAAGAAACTTGTAAAGATAAAGACAAAAGAAGCCAGGATTAGCGGCTTGCCTCCTTAACTTAGGGTCTTTTGAGGCTATCTGCTGCCAATACCATTTGTCACCCAGGCTGCCCTCCTGGCAGTAGAACAGAAACCTGTCTAAAGCAGCCCCATCATTGATGAAGTCCCCAGGAATGGGAGACAGCTCAGACATGGATTCTGATTCTGGGAGTGGTGTGTCCCCACTGAGTAGCCTCTCTCATCTGCAGTTCCTTCATTTGTAATAAGAGGGCAGCAACACCCACTTCACAGGAGCAAGAGTCTTGAGTATGGGATGATTTGTCCCAAATACAGTCCTCGAATAAAACTTAGTTTCTGCTGTATTGAGAATAAAATTAAAAACAAAAACAAAAACAAAAACTGTCATCCAGCACCAGCAGCTCCTTCCTCACAGTGGAGGCTGCAATGTGGTGACAGGCCCACAGCCCACACCTCTAAGAGGTTCATCCTGAGATCTGGCTCTGCTTCCCTTCTGGAAAGAAACAAAATGCTTCATTTCTGAAGATGGAGGAGAGGGAGAAGGCTGTGTCAGCTCCTTTTCCTAGAGGTGCTGGGCACCTGGCACATGGCACTGGGGTGCAGCAGGTGCTTGCAAGACATGACTCATATATGTGCCTGTTAGTAGTGACAATCCCTTTATTGGTATGAAGCATGGCTCATGAAGCCCTTTAACACGCTGTGTCTCATTAGTACCTCTCAGCGACCCCTGCACAGTGATCTTTTTATTCTTAGCCTCCAACAGACAATGAAAATGAGGCCCAGAGGTAATCAGGTGTATTCACAGACACTATGGTGTGAAAGTCTATTTACCGAACACTGTCATGTGTCAGTCAACGCCCCAGCCTCTGGCAGAAGAATGAGATATAGTCTCTGATCTCAAAACATTTCCCATCCTGTAGAGCTATAGACAGGAGGAAGGGTACCTTGTCTACATCAAGTGAAGTGTTATGGTGGAAGGAAGCTTCGAATGGTGAGTACACACTTAGGATGCTTATGAAATTCAAATAGCAAGGACAAAGGCCATAGTGGATTCTTGGAGAAGCTGAAATGTGAGTTGAGTCAACAGTAGCTACTTGCTTAAGTGGAATCGAATAAAAAGAGGAGTGACAGCTCCAGTTAGAGGAAATAGAATGAGGAAAGACCTTCCAGTGAAAACATCATGAAGTATCTTCCATGCTACGCAAAGTTCACAATGTCTAGTGCATACAATATAAGGCTGGGAGTGGCAGAATTGCATTGTTTGGATCCTAGAGAGACTTACAAGTGAGGCCATGGAGTTAGGTCAATCCTTAAGGGAATGGAAACCATGGTAACTTTCCAAATGTGTGCTCAGTGACTAGGCTGGAACCGCAATACTGTTGGACAATGACAAGACAGGTCTATGTCAGTGGCACCTTTCTAGAGACAGAAGCAAAGTCTGTAGTTTCTGCACAGTTTGTGCTATCATGTGTTTGATCAAAAAGCAGAAGGGTGGCATATAGTGCAAACCCCAAACACCCCATCTGGAAAAGGTAAAGGACATGTAGGAGATGGTGCCAATCATCTACTTTTAAATACAAGGTCAGAAACTCTCATGCCCTTTGTGCAACACCCAGTGTTGTGTTTCTCAGACTTCATCAAGGCTGGATGGACTATCGGGCTGCCTCACTGCTGATGATGAGGTTCGGGGCAAGTCTCTTCACTCTCCAGGCCTCAATTTCCACATATGTACAATGGGATGATTGAGCCAGTGGCTCTTTGTGCTCGCTTCTACCTTTGGCATGTGACAAGTCTTGCTTTCTAATAAATTTTTCAGTGAGTATTTAAAACACCTGTTCTCCTGAGCAACTCCTGTAAGTCACATTTGCAAGGGAAGGAAAGAACATAGCTGTGGCTTGATAACCCATAACTGCTGAAGTCGTATGAAGTTCTTCAAGTAGCTACTTGGAGAGAAGAAGAAAGAAAAACAAGGCAATAAACCCTAATGGAAAAGAAGGAAAAGAAAAGGATCCACGGGAAATCTGTTCTCCCCAGTCTTAAATCTCAAAGTCACGGTGAATGCTGGCAGCATCTCTCTGTCCTTTCTGTTTAATCTCACATCTTCCTCCCTGCAACCTGTCCTCTTTCCTTCCTCAATTGAGTACTTAAAAGTGAAGGCTTTATTTTCACTCTGATTCTCCTTTCACAGATTGTGCAAACTGGAAAACCATTTAAGATCATTTTGCCCAGAGGTTTTCAAACTTTATTTTGTAGCAGAACCCTTTGTTCAAATGAAATTTTACACTCAAAGGCCAACATATAAAATTTATAAAAGGAAAGTTCCTCTAAGCATGACGATCGAAGGCCATGCATGTGGTTCCTCTCTTCACCCACCACCTTCCCCCTGGTCTTGAGGCACCCCCACAGATCCCTCAGGTCCCAAGGAGCATGACATGAAAACCACTGACATTGTCTTTTTTTTTTTTAACTTTAAAGATGGAGAGGCTGAAATCCAGATTTAAGAGGGCACTTATTCAAGCCGTATTACTGGAAGTCAACAGAGTTGGAGCCAGAATTCAGGTCTCTGGGGTCCCAGGGTAACACCTATGCCCTTATCCTGTTGCCTTCTTTGTCCCAATCTGTTGAGACCTCAGTCTCAAGGGCCTTCTAAGTGGCATTCTCCCCAGAAAATGTCACCGCCTACTCATCTCCTCTCTCCCTTTCTTTAGAAACTCACTAACCGCCCACTCTGAGTGCTAGTTCTGCTGTTTGGAAGCACATGTATCAGCTTCACCTGATGTGGCAGACATATTCTCTAAGCCTGGGGCTTTTCCATTGCCCACTGCCCCCGCAGGGACTTCTTAATCCAGGTGGAATCAGAAGGCTTCTTATGAATTTCATTTCATTTCAACACACACACCCACACACCCACACCCATAGTCTTTAGTGATGCAGACATAGGAACTGGCAGAACCAGCAATGAATGTGCTAGGCATCAGAAGACTGGGTTTGAGTGCTGGTCCAATTCTTTTCAACCTCTTTGATCCTGTTAGACACATTTCTTTGCCCATTGAGGCCCCTGCCCTCCTACTTCACAAGTTAGTGTTGAAGATCAAATAAGATAATGAAGACAGAAGGACTGATAACCTATAAAGTAGTTTATACATGTAAGGAATGATTTTCTTTGGTAAATTTCTCATCATTTCCCTTGGGCAGGATAATTTTTATCAGTTAATCCCTAAAACCTATTTCCAATTATCTGTTAATTTATTAATGGATAGTTTTAGAAAAATATTTTTCTAACCATTATTTGATCTTGCCTTCTACCAAAACCATTCATTTATTAATTCATTAATTCCATAAACACCAATGAAGCACCTACTATTAGGTTGGTACAAAAGTAATCATGGCTTTTGCCATGACTTTAATGGCAAAAAACAGCAATTACTTTTGCACCAACCTAATATTTGCCAAAACACTGGCTCCATTGGTCTCATAAAGTCCAAGGTCTCATGAGAAACACAGATACTGTCATTCCTGTGGACAGTGCTTCAAATGGGGAAACACAGACTGAGAGAAGCATATGGGAGTGTGTACTCTAGCCTGGGGTGAAAGGTCCCCAAGGGCTTCTAGGAGGAAGTAATATCTCTGCTAATATCTGAAGGTTGAGTTGGAGTGATCTGATGAAGTGGGTGAGGATAAGACAGGAAAACCCTGAGTCACCCAGAAGAAGGGAAGAGCAGGTGGAACAAGGCTGCAAGTAGTTCAGAAGGGCTGAAGCAGGGAGGGCGTGGCCACAGGTGAGGCTGAATCAAGAACAAGAAGGAGTGGGAGCGCAAATGGTTCTATGAGTGAAGCTGAGGAGTCAGCACTATGACAGCATCCTCGCTTTGCAGAGGAGAAGCTGAGAACCACAGAGATGAAGTTACTTGCTCAAGGTCACAAATGGAAAGCAACAGAGATGGAAGGTCAATCCTCAGCTCTGTCCCTCTGCCTGGAGCCCTCTACTCAGATACCTCTGTGGCTTGTTCACTTCCTTATACCATTCATAACTTCAAACAAATGCTATTTTTTTTTTTTAGGTAATGCTTTGTGCGACACCCTTTAAAAAAATAGAACCACCTGTCATTCTCTATCCCATTACCCTACTTCATTTTTGTCTCATGATACTTATTATAAATATGGTAATTTAATATAATATAAATTTATCTATTTGTGCTTTGTCCTCTTCTTTGAAAAAAACATAAGCTTCATGAGGACAGGAATTTCATTCTATTCATGTTGTCTACCTGGTGATTATAACAGCACTGAGCACATGGCAGGAACTCAATAAACACTAAATGAATATGTACCTGAATAAATGAATTTCAACCTATCTAAAGCCCTTGCTATGATACTCAAGTTATATTTCTGTGAGTGATGGGGAGTTTCTAATCTTTTAGCTGCTATTAGCAGGAGAATAACATGATAGAATCTGGCTTTAGAAAGTTCACACTGGTAGCATTGTGAATGATGAATCAGAGAGAGGCAAACCTGGAGGCCAGGACAGTGAAAGGCATCAGTACTAATTCTTGCCAGGGAAGATGATAGTGTAAGATTGTCTACACTAGGTAGTCATAAGAGGGATGGAGAAGAGAGTCTTCTAAAAAGCCTGAAGCCTCAGGCAGACTATCAGCACAGGAATTGGGAGCTCACTAAGAGAAGAGGTCATAAAAGGAAAAACACATCTCCAAGGAGGCAAAACTGTTCTCATTTCTAAATATTATGCCCAAAAGTGGCTAGAATAGTCTGTCAAATTAAATTCCTTCAGAACAACCTCTGATAAAATTATATTCTCTATAGGTTGGAGAAGAGGTGTCTTTGGAAGACGATAAAGGAGATTTTTGCATTGCCTAATAATGATGGGGATGAATGTCTTAATCAAATGGAGATCAAGGCCAGGCTCATTTGATAAAGAGGCCAGTTTCTCTGAGAAGATAGAGCCTGAGCACCAAGGGACAGTAGGATGCCCCCGAAAGTGAATTCTTCCTCCTTGCTTTGTGCATATGCATGCTTATCTGTGGCCAGAACTCTGGAGGCAAAACTAAAAGGTGGTGGTTTCTGTTCTGACAAAGCCTGGACAGAAACTAAGAAGATGCTGCAAGTAACTAATTTGATTGCATCCATTCATTTCCCTCGTTCATTCATTTAATCAACCAGTCCACCAGGGGGTCTTCAGCTAATACTTGCTGATATTCTCAAAGTGCCAGACACGCACTACCACCAAGGACAGAGCAAGAAACAGGACAGATCCAGGCTCTGTCCACATGGTGCTAATGGCCCAGTGTCTCCCAACTATGTTCTTTGCACAAGGTCATTAAATTAAAAAAACAAATCGTTATGTTGTTAGAGTGTTTTATATTTGCCAGGGACTAGATATGTCTTGTACTATTTAATCAGCAATTCTATGAGGCAGTTATCATCACCCTCATTTGTCAAATAAAGAAGCTGAAGCTCAGTGAGGTTTAGGAATTTGCAGAATGATGCAGCCTGAGATGTGGGAACATGTATTTAAACCCACGTCAAGATTTTGCCAAAGCCCTTTTTCCATTCTCTGCAGCCTCTTACCTTTGCAGAAATTGGGCTCCAAAGTCAGATAACCTTGGAGTGAATCCTGGCTTCACAAGAATGTGCACTTCAGATGGTGCCTGGCTCTCAGTAAGTGCTATACTATGTTATATGTTGTTGTTGCTGTTATTACTAATTAGGCAAGCTCTTCATCTCAGAGTCATAGCATCCTCTGTGAAATGGGACCACTAATGCATTATGGAATTTTGATGAGAATTATGAAGATTTAAATAGATGATGTAGATTGTGTCCATTTTCCTGTCTGATATATTGGGCAGTCATTGGTGGCAAGGTCAGAGCCCCTGGTCATACCATGACTGAGAGGCATGACTGCATCTCTGGAGGCCTGGTCCCAGGAGAGATCCCTTGATAAGGCTTTTCTTCCTCTCCACACCTGGGTCCATTTGTTCAAAGGGGCTACAGTGATCTCCCAGATCTGTTCTTATATCTCTTGTTTCTCTTCAGCATGGGGAGTAAAGCAGAGGAGCAAAGGAGGTGCTGGGTCATGAGGCCAAGAATAGCAATGCCCTCTGGAATGCCCTGAGGCAAACAGAGCTCCAGGCTAGGGACCAATCCCAGAGACATTTCCTTGGCCACCACCAAGGCTGTCTTCCTCCTACTGGAAAGCTTCCCCAAGATAAAAAACGAGCTGGTATGGCAGGAATCCAGCAACTCTAGTGGAGCTGGACATTGTGACAAAAGCAAGGGAGGGACATCCATTTAGTGAGGACTTTCTGTGCCGGGCCTTTGCCTCCTTCTTTGCCTGTCCCCACCATTCTTATTCTCATCACATCTCTAAAACAAGCAGGGATTACCTGCTCCATTTAAGAACAAGGAAATGGAAGCCAGAGAATTACAGCAGTTGCCGGCAGTCGCTGTCCCTCTGACCAGGCAATATCTGATGGTGTCAAAGCATCCATGAAACAGGAGCTGGGGCAGAATTGTGGGGAGGATGGGCCTACGATAACCTCTTGTCCTAGAATGAAGCTGAGGTCAGCCTCAGGACTACTGGCCTCGGAAATGCAGTAGCCTGAGCAGCTCCTATGCCTTATTTCTTCCACCCCATTTTGGCCACACACCCAGAGGTTCTTATCTGCATGAAGTGCCAGCACCAGGAAGCCTTTCTGAGTCTGAACGCTCACAGGCCTGCCTACCTCCCCAGCCCTGAACAGCATCCCGACAGGCTGGGAGAGCTTGGAACTCTGGAGTCTGGCAGGGGAGGTGAAGGTGAAGGTTCCAACGCCAGCTTTGCTTTTACTGAGATTTACTTCCTTGGGCAAATGACTCCAACTATGCGAGCCTCAGATTTTTCCATCTGTCAAATGGGGCCAATAATAGGTACCATAGAATGATGGTATGAGAAATAAATGATAAGATGTATTGAAGCACATGGTGAGCATTCACTAAATGATGGTCATAGAGTCAAAATGATAAAGGCTATCATTTATTGAGGATTTACTACCTGCCAGACCCAGTTCTAAATGTTTGTGTAGTGATTAATATCCTTAAGTAGCATTTATCATTATTATTGATACATTTTCTTAAATTCAACATACGTTTCATCTACCACACTTCTGTAAAGACTACTACAACCCAACCCAGGGTTTCCTTGGCAATTTGATTTGACCAACAGCTCCTGAGCACCTCTGAAGGGTGAGACCCAGGGTTAGACAATGGTGAGACACAAATGGGGATCGTTTATGGTTTCTGCTGTGGGTAGGAAGCTTAGTGTCAACTTAAGCAATAAAACAGGGGCACAGTTGACTACCATAACATAAAGCAGTGGCATTTAAATTATGTCCCATTGGGGCCCACAATAATAAATACAGACAGTTGTATATATGTGTATATATGTATGTAATTAACTAAAATTTTTTCACATCAAAAAATACTAGATGTGAGTCAAGGTGTTCCATTCTGGTTTATTCTATTTTGGTACATTCTGTTCCATTCCACTCTATTCCATATCACTGTCTATTCTGTTCGATTACACATTTTATTCTATTCAGTCCTTTCTGTTCCTTTCCATTCCATTCTATTTTTTATGCCCTCTTCTATTTTTCTTAAAAAGGCTTGCTGTGAGCCAGTAAATATTTCAGGACTTATTAAATTGTTTCAACCCATCTTTCAAAAAGTACTGATATAAAGAAGCTGTTTTCCAGTTAGTTGCAGCGAAGAACATCTAAATTAAATCCTACCTAATCCTAGTATATGAAACACAAATAATCACAGTTCTTCTGGCTGAAGAGGTGTTGGGGGTCCAGAACCAACTGTTTGGTGACTTATTCCATTCTGGGCATCCAGAAATCAGTGAGGACTATTTAGAGTTGACATTAATTATAAACAGCCCCCTCTGGACTTCCAGAGAGAGTGCTTCAGAGAAAGGATGGAAGGGAGATCATTTAAATTTGTAATGCATTCTGTATATTTATCGGATGCCTACTGTATGTCAGGTCTTGAACTAGGGCTGAGATACGGCAGCAAACAAGATGCATTTCACCCTCATTAAGGGGATACTGAATGCCTACCATGTGCTAAAGCACCTTACACACAGAAGCACTTTTAACCCACACTGTTCCCTTGGGAGATTATTTGTGTTACACCCATTTTACAGATAAAGAAACAGGCTCACAAATAGCCTAAGGTCATACATTGATGAATGTTAGAGCTGTGATGTAAACTTGGGTTGATTAAACTGCAGGTTCTTTACTTCTAACTGGGACAATATTCGAAAGGCTCAGAGAGGAGGTGGTTTCTGAGATGAATCTACCTGTAGAGGTGAAGGAGAGTCTTCCCCCCATCCCTCAAGAAACAGAATGGTGTGAGAAAAGTACAGAAAGAAGATTGAGGATGAAACAAATGCCGGGAGAACACGGAGGAGACATATTTGGCTGGAACACAGAATGTATGACAAAGAGAATTGCAATGGCTATTGCAAGCGATGCAGAACACAGGGAGGGGAGGAGGAAGAAGGCTCAGCTCTCTCTAGAGAAGCTTTCTAGAAGCCACCGGGGCAAGTACCACAATGAAGGGCATGTTGGACAGGTCTCTGTTGGAAATGGAGCATCAACTTCAATGTGGAAAGGTACAACTTATGGCAGGAAAACTTACTTCTTTGAAAGCACACATCTAGAGATAATCATCTATCCAAGGGAAAAGCAAATTTGGTCTGAATGAAAATGATGTCCACAAGAATAAAATCCTTTCACTTGGATCACTAACAAAACACTGCCTCGTTTTCAATGCATTTGAGGCTCACACCAAGCCTGCAAGTTTGGCAGGGCAGAGATGACTGTTTTCTCTGTTTGATGATGCGGAATGGGGAGTGGGAAGGAGTTGCAGAGCTCAACTCATGTTCAGCCTCACCCAGGACTCGCCTTATACCCTGTGCTTCCTCCTCCTATGCTTTCCAGAGAACCTGCTCCTCTTTTGTTCAGAGGCTGCTGGGAAAGTAGGGTAGCACATACACTAAATGCTGGAATCCTGGGGCATCTGCAGCTGGTGCAGTCCTCAGAAATGCCACTCTGAGGGTGGACAGAGAATAAAGGGACCTAGTGTTTATCAGATTTTACTATATCTCACACATATTGGATAATGCTTCCTATCATGGAACGTTATCATTGGTTAGGCACTAAGGTTCCCATCTTAAAGGTAAAGCAAGTGAGGCTTAGAGAGATTAAAACAGTTGCCAAGATCATACAATCAATGACTAGAAGAGGCTGGACTTGAACTTAGGTTTGTTTATAAGCCCATGTTCATTTCACCATATCATGATGTCCCTTGATGTAAGATCAAATAATGGAAAATCTAGACTACGTTATAGTAGCATAAATAAGAATACGGAAAAGGGAAAGAAGAAGAAATAAAGGAGGAAAAAGAGAAATTATTACCATTCTTTATCCCATGACTACTACAATTCCCCTACTACTATTATAACTCAGACCCTCTCACCTTCTAAATTAGTTTTTCATTCAACAGCATATTTGATTCTCACAAGAATGCTGCAAAGGACAGAGGACCCACTATTTTCTATGCATTTAAGAGATGGGGAAACTGAAGTTCAGAGAGGTTAAGAAATTGTTAAAGACACAGATAGTCAGTTAAAAACCTGGAATAAAATTTGATCCAAAAGATGTTTAGCTGGAAAAAAAAAAGGAGACAGAAGAAGACTTGGAATATTTGAAAGCATTCTTTGAAATATTTTTGTAGCACAACTTATAGAAAAAAACCTCCACATTTTTCTATGGGACTCAGTGCACATACACACAAAGATACACAAGCATCAAACGTTTCAGAAACAAACTTGTCCTTACTTTCTCTATTTTGTTCTATTCTATTTCCATTTGATTTTGATGAAGAAAATGCTGGTCCTGATTCATTAAATGGATTTACTATCTTACTAATGGGTCTAAAAGGACTAGAGTTTGGGGAACAGGGACACACTGACTTCGGGGCTGCATGAAAGCTAGCTTAAAGGATCCAAAGAACTCCAACATGGAAGGAAAAGTAGATTCATGATCCAGCGCTAGAGATGACACAACTATGACCAAAGAGTAGAAACTGTGAACACAGATTTTAGGTCAATCTGGAGAGGTCTTTCTAAATAGGCAAATCTGTTCAAAAATAGAAAGATTGCCCTGTGAAGTGGTGAGCTCCCTGGCACTAGAGCCATGCAAGCTGAAGCTTAAAGATCTCTTGACAGGGCTGCTGTAGAAGAAATTGAAGGTGACCTCTAGGTTTCTTTCTAGGCCAGAAACATTATTTAATGTATTTTTCTCATTTTCTCCCCAGGACAGCAGCCACCACAGAAAATTTTGGCTTTGAAGTGAGAATCAGAGGACACAGAGGAAAAATAGAGATGCTGAATGTTGGTTCCACTGTCAAGCTGGGGAAATGATATATACCTCTCTCCATTCCCACAACATAGGAGAAATGAGGGGCAAAACAGCATTCCAGGAGTGGACTAAATGTATAAAAGAAGAGCAAAGGAAATCGGAGAAAAGAAGAGATTTGTTGTAGTCATTGCTCTGCCCTCTTTTCCATTGTGGGACAAAGGGCCAGCCTCAGTTTTCCCACCTATACAGTGGGGATACTGTTGGACTACATCTGCAAGGATGATTTCAGTTTTCAGGTTATAGGTTTTTTTGTTGTTGTTTTATTCCTGGGTCCCCTTGTCACTGCTCAAGATGCCAGCTTGGCAGCTGAGGCCAGTAAAAAGAAGAGTAGGGAGTGGTTTAGTCTCTCCATTGGAAGGAAGAAGGAAGGAACGATTGTGGCCCATCTCTATAGCCTTGTGCTGACTTAGAGTGTCTCATCCCATCAAACGCATGGGTCATGAAGTTCAATTCATTAATTTTGGTGGTGGAGGGAGGCTGACAGACTTGGTGCTGACATGAATAATGATGGGTCACCGGGAGAGGCCCCAGCAAAACCTGCAGCTTAATCAGACTCAGAGAGTCTCTGCGGGCATTAATGTAGGCCAAGTGCTTTCCAGCCAATCAGACCCCATTTCAATTTAATGTTGCAAATTGTTACCACGCAGCTCAGCCTCTCAACGCACAACTCAGACTCAAAAGTGGGTTACTCATCTGTTCCCTTTTCCTGTTCATTTGGAAACACCTCCCTGATTATTGTCTGTGTGACAGTTTGCAGCAAAGGAGGTGGATAAAGTATGGTGGCAAGAATTCACACCGGGTTATGTAAGGGGAGCGGGTGTCCCTGCTCCATCACTTTCTATTCACATTTCTAAAGCCATGCTTTGCTTGCTTGTAAAGGTCTGCTGTGTCTCCATCGCCTGCAGGATAAAATCCAAGCCTTTATCATCAAAATTCTTTAGCCTTACCACCCACAGTGCTTCCCCAGGCATTCTCTGCCACAGCCACAACAAACCACTTCCACTCCCTAAAACATGCTGTGCCCTTGCATCTTGAAGCCTCCTTGTGCTTGCATATGTTGTGCCCTCTGTCTGAAACGTCTGCCTTAGCTCCCCTCTGTTTTCTCTGCCTCACCTGTATTTTCCAGTGTCACCCCAGAAAAAGACACACCAAAGTAGTAGATCCTGAAGGGATAGGGATCGTCTATTTCACTTCTTGCCTAGAGTAGATATACAAAGGTAGAATAAATGAATGAAAGAATCAGTATATAACTTTGGCCAAGACATTTCAAGTTTCTGACTCTTCTTTTTCTTAGATACAAAATAATAAAAATAGCTCTTTCACAGATATTATTGTGGCCAGTGACGGAAGGCTTTTCAGCCCTTCCACCCTCCCAGTACCTCTGAGAGCCTTCTTTGGATGAAATTGTCCATGTAAGCTCCTGACCTCAAAAATGCTCCCCTTAGCTCCTGGGGCTTCACCTCTCTGTAGCTCAGGTTTCTCAGATGCAAAATGTGTGTACTGAAGCATGAATGGTTGGAAAGATTAAAAGCATGTATTCACTCATCCCTGCTTTCAGTATATACAACCAATGTATAAGCCAAAAATAAAATTCTAAGGCCCCCCTCAACCATCTGAATGGACCCCTCCTCTCGGCCAAGGGCATTTCAAAGTTAACCTGAAAAACTAGTTCAGGCCATGATGGGAAGGGGAGGTCAGACATACCTCATTATGCCCTCCTCCCTTTGGGAATTTGGGAAAAACCAACCAGCATTAACATCAGCACAGACCATAGATCTAATAAGAAACGTATACAATCTGTTTTCTCTGAAGCCTGCTACCTAGAGGCTTCATCTGCATTATAAAACCTTGGTCATCATAACCCAGACATTCTTTTCTATTAATAATAACTCTTTCAACCAATTGCCAATCAGAACATTTTAAAATCTACCTATGGCCTAGAAGTCCCTGCTTTGAGTTGTTCTGCCCTTCCAGATCAAACCAATGTACATCTTACATGTATTGATTGATGTATTATGTCTCCCTAAAATGTATAAAAGCAAACTGTACCCTGACCACTTCGGACACCTGTTGTTAGGAACCCCTGAGGCTGTGTCACAGGCATGTCCTTAACCTAGGCAAAATAAAGATTCTAAATTGATTGAGACCTGTCTCAAGTACTTTGAGGTTCACAGATGCAAATTATTAAAATGATGACTGTGAAAGTGACTTTAACAGAATAAGGTACAGAGTAAATGCTCAATAAAAGCTTTCTACCTCTTTAAAAATCTCATATCCTTTTTTACTTCCTGTCCTTCTTTCTTCTTGCTTTCCTTTCTTTTATCCCTTACTGGCCCTGTCATCTCCCTTTTTCCCCAAGGTGTGATTTTGGAATTCTCATGGGCTTGGGGAGAGGGGATCAGGTACAGCCTAACGTTGCCCCTAAAAACCCTGACACAACATCAAAGCTAGCCACCCCTTTAACAGAGCACATGAATGCAATGCACTAAGACCACAATGGCTTCACCTTCACCAACTGCTATATATACTGGACTTTGAGTTCCTTTGAGCAATCTGTCATGTGAACAGAGGGCAAAAGGGTTATTATTAATTAAGGGAACTGGGAACCACTGTTATTCTTCTTCTAAAGGTCTACCATCAAAAGTACATCTCACCGTTCCACTCTATCCTGGATAAATAAGTGCCAAGATTGAGGCAAGGTCTGAAGCAATGTGGTTTCAGTTCCCGTCCTCACTTCCTGGTAACAAACTTCATGTGCTTTAGTGCATACATAAATCCCCTAAAACTTATCAAAAACCATATACAATCAAGAATCGACAACCTACCAGCTGTCAACAACAGCAATGGTGTTGAGAAAAATCAAAAGGTCAGAAATTGTGATTTCTTTATGTGGTCTTTGAATGTAGTCACCAAGATGGGAAAGCTGAAAGGTCCAGATAGTTATACTGTGTAGGGAGTGGTAAGGGAGAAGTCACATCTCCTTACTATTAACTAACTGTGTGACCTGGAGCCATCTATTTCTCTCTGAACTTTAGCTTTCTCTGTTGTGGAATGAGTCTGGTTCAGTTTAACAAAACCCAATAGGCACATACCATGTACCTCCCAGGCATGAAGCTAGGCACAGACACATTGACAAATAATATATAGCTTAAATTGACGGGGAAGACTGAATTTGAAAGTACTCCATACAACTGAAAAGTATGCTACACAAATACTCCATAACTCTTTTGTGAAAGTGTGTATAAGTATGTATCTGTTTATGTAAACATGAATTATTCCAGTGAATAAATTGTAAAGTGAAGACATTATGCTCAGTACATGTATCTGATATAAATTAATCAATAGTCTTGCATGAATGAGATGTTATTAGAATAACACTAAAGACAGAGCAGTGAGCACAATGAATTCCCTGCTTTCATGAAGATCACATGGTAGTAATAAGAAAGTCACATTTGAGGGGATGAAAGACAACAGAAGATCCCTGGGCATTTTCACTCAGTTTTGGCAGCATAATTAGTGGGAAACCTTTGTTTACAAATAGAGACTAGGCAAGTTGAGGGTGTGTAATTCAGCAGAAATTGGGCCAAGAAGTAGGATGACCATGTGCTGATTCAGGACCTGACAGCACCATGCCTAGTAAATGCTTTAGGTGTTGCATAGGCAGCAGATCTGTTCAATCTGACCTGGATTTAAATAAGTTTACACAGCTTCAAAGCACTTGGAACGTCTGATTCCACTTTCATGGCTATGCTTGAATTCACCAGGTGTTATCTCTATCAGCAAATGTTTCTTCAATAAATGCCCAGCCAAGCCTCCTGCTTGAACACTGAAGTCTGAAACAAAAGAATGTTGAACTCCAAAGTCTGAAAAAAATTAATATCACACCATTTCTCTTAAAATGTCTCCCATGACTCTCTCCTCATTCTTACCTCTGCTTTCTATCTCCTCCACCATCTGTAGCCCTAAACTGTGCATTTGACTGGAAATGTATCACTCAAGGCACCTGTGGTGGAGTGAAATTGGTTAGGATTTCATGGTCCCATCCAATTTCAGCTAGCAGCAGGCAAGGAGGGGAAATATTCAGTTATGAGCAGTCTCATACCTTTTGCTTTTCTCAAAGCAAAGTTTGGGAAGAAGGATCTTTTACTGTTGTTGTTTCCACTAGAGAACTTTGTCCCTTTGGAATTATTTTGCCAAAGACTGTGATAGAATCTATTAAGAAGCATCTTTAAAACTATACTTATTGGGCAAGGAAGATAATACTCTTTATTTTAAAAAGGTATTATTTCAATTCTCTTTCTTTCTTTTTATCAGCATTATCCTAATGGCCTCTATCATTTAGGAATCAGAGAACGACATAAACAAAAGAGTAAATCTGAGCCTAGTAATTTCCAGGACTTCACCCAGGAATAGAGGATAAAATTTATACCATTAGCAGGGATCATCAATTTTTTTTGGTGGTACCAGAGTGTGGGTATACGGGAGAAAGGAGGAGGCCACACCATTACCATCACATGATCAAGACTGCAATTTGTTTTTCCTGTGGTTAGGCAGAGCCATAAGATACGGTACTCAAATGTAAGGATATGGAAAAACACTTTGTGGTTATTAATTTCATCTCCTACCTAATACTGAATATTCCCACCCAACACTGTGGTTGATATTCTGTTTCTTTTTTTATTTATTTATTTATTTATTTTTTATCTCCTTAGCATCCTTTCCCTCTTCATTTTTAATAAAGACCTAGTTTTCCTTTGAGAAACTAAATGATACCCCTTCAACACCCTCAATCCATGTAGTCTAGATCTGGCTGGCCTGAGTCTCAGTTCAGGAGTGGCCACCTAACCCAGAGTTGGCCAACTGGAGCATTGCAGTGAACTTTTTAGGGTTTGTATTAACAGCAGGAAGGATAATAACCCCCAAAGATGTCCAAGTCTTTATACTCAGAACCTGTGAATATGATAGGTTACACGGTGAGGGAGAATTAAGGTTGCAGATGGAATTCAAGTTGCAAATCAGCTGATCTTATCATGAGAGATTATCCTGGATTATCAAGAAGGACCTAATGTAATCATAGGGTCCTAGTAAATAAAAGAGGGGCGCAGAAGAGAAGGTGGGAGTGTTGTGGTGTGAGAAGAACTCGACCCCCTAGTATTGGCTTTGCAGATGGAGGAAGGGGGCCATGAGCCAAGGAATATGAGTGGCTTCCAGAAGCTGGAAAGGGCAGGAAATCATATTCTCCCCTAAAGTCTCTAAAGGGATCACATTGTTGCTGACACCTTGGTTTTAACCCAGTGAAACCCATTTTAAATTTCTAAACTACAGAACTGTAAGATACTAAATCTGTGTTGTTTCAAGCCTCTAAATTTGTAAAACTTTACAGCAATAGAAAACTACTGCAGGCATGGACACATGAGCAAATTATAGTTCGCCCAGATACTTTGGCTAAAAATAAGAAGGACTCCTTTTTTTCTCTCTTTTTCCCTAATGATACTAAATATAAAGTAATCTTATGACCGGGAGAGATTTTGCCCAAAAATGAAACCTACCCAGAGGAAACCAGAGTGAAGTATAACTTTGTGTGAACATTTTTATCTAACTATTCCTGAAATTAAAAGTAGATATTTCAGTTTCTGGGAGAAATAAAGGCCTTATTTGTCCTTTAGCCAGTTTGAGTTGGATTTATATCACCTGCAAATTCTTTAAAAAAATCCTACCACTGGCATGGTGGAATAAATACCATTTCTTGAAATATCTTATTCCAATGCTGGATACTTTTGCTATTATTTCTTTTAAAAATAGAACTGGAATTGGCTATCGTATAGCTTCAGTCATTGATTCTTACGTCCTGAGGCCACACAGGACAATTTTAACTCCTATTTCACCTTGGGAGATACTCGGGAATTGAAGTAGTGATCCTCATCAAGATCCTCAAATCTTCACTTCTCCAGGTTAAATCCTCTCAGTTTTTTCCAGAATTGTGGTAATATGGTTTTGAACCTTTTCACTACCCTGTGGTTAATCTTCCCTGGACACACTTGATGTTCACAACGTTTTTCTTAAAGATAACACTACAACTGAGCACAGTATTCAATGTAGTGACTATTCAAATCAGAACATCCTGTCCTCGGTGGGACACGTTTATTGATGAAATCTAAATTGAGGCTAGGCACAGTGGCTCATGCCTGGAATCCCAGCACATTGGGAGGCTGAGACAGGTGGATCACTTCAGCCCTGGAGTTCGAGACCAGCCTGGGCAACGCAGCGAAATCCCATCTCTACCAAAGATACAAAAATTAGCCAGGCTTATGACCTGGTCTCAAAATAAATAAATAAATATTTAAAAATAAAATTAAAAAAAGAAATCTAAATTGAAAAAAATACAGTTTATTTATGGTATCCACATAATACTGTTACTTCACTTAGTTTCTTGTCCAGTAAAATCTACAATTTTTTTTTCTAGGTGATACTGAGTTATTTCTCTGGTCCAATCTCTACATTTACCCCATTCGTAAAAATTATGTCTTGATGTACATAGAGATCTTTAGAGTTACATCTACTGAATTTCATTGCAAAGAGAAGTGGATAGTGAGTAAAATACAGGATTTGTATTCAGACAAGTCTGGATTCAAATTCTGGCTCTACCACTCATGGCTGCCTGATGTTGGGCAACTGCATAATTTCTCCAAATATTAGCTTCCTCGTGATAAATTACTGTGCCTTCCTCATACCACTGTTATAGAAATAAATAACATAATGCATGGAAAATGCTTGGTGTAGTGCCTGGCATGTACTAAGCTACCGAATATAGCACCGGTTTTATATTCAATCAGAAAAATAAATAGGTCAGAGCTTTCAATCTTACTTCCGAATATACAAGAGGAAAAGTTAGGGTGAGAGAGGAATAACAAAAGAGAAGGAGGGAGAAAATAAAAACACAACTGGTCTTCCCCATATTCTCGGCTTACATCCAAAGTCAAACACAGCTAGTCTTAGAAAACAAGATATCCAAACTTACTTAATACTGGAAGTGTTAGGCTTAACGTTTTTGTTTGCTTGTTTGCTTTTGAAAATGGGACCTGGTAGGTGGGAAGTAAAAACGTTCCCTTAGAACAAATTAGATAAATACAAAGAAATCACACACATAGTGGAGGAATGAAGATGTTTGTAAGTTGATATTTCGGAACCAAACTTCAGGAAGGACCTTGGCAACATCTAAGCTGAGATGTTTTCCTCCTATAAGTAAGAAATGTAGGCTCAGAGAATGAAAGCTTTTTTCTCTGTTTCAACTAGAAAATCTCACAGCTAGAAGAAGTCAAGGTCATTTTTCCCCTTCTGAGCCCAAAATCCCTGGTCAAAGGGGCCATAGAAGAAGTCTATTTAAGTTTGTCTTTCTCCAGAAGCAGTTCAGAAGATAGGAATTTGACTGTAAGTGGCTTACTTGGAAAGTGATTTCAGAAATAACTATTAGAGGAGTTAGGAAACAAGGCAGGGAAGAAAAAGAAGGCCATAAAGAATAGTTTATAAAGCCAGATGCCACTGTGGGCAACAGAAGGTGCATTGTGCTGGGGCATTCTGAGAACAACAGAAATGCCTCGGAGATAGCCCACTGGAGTGGCAAGGGAGGTGAGGCATCTGTTAACCAACTCCCAACAATCAGCAGTTAAGGACTGTGCTTGAAGGTCCAGTGATTCCCGGCACTGCAGCCTTCCCCAGGCATGGGCAGAGGGGTACCGAGCTGCCAAAGAACCTCTAGCCAAAGAGTCACATGTGCTGGCAACTGAAAGTCAAGCCAGCATTCATGGAGAGGGTCAGTGTTGAGGGCATGTGGGCTGGACACCAAGAGTGTCTGCTATAAAATCCAAGTGGAAATGAGACAGAATCTCCAATCCGGCCTAAATCTGCCAACCAGCAATCAACAAACTCACCAACCAATTAAGAAATAATTACAGCTACTAGCTGTGCTGATATTCTAATATGTTAAAGATACAGAAAGAACATTCAAGTGCTTTATCACTCCACTGATGCAAGTAGTCACATCACTACACAATGGTTCCTCAGAATCAGAAAAAATTGAAAGCAAAATGGTAAAAAAAAAAAAAAATCTCCTAATATTTTAGTGGATAAGAGGTGGGATTATCGAATACCCTTAGGCCATAAAGAATAGTTTATAAAGCCAGATGCCATGTTAACTCTTGAATGCTAATTCCTTTCTGGAATATTTCCTATAAAACTTAATCCTTCAGGAACCATCTAAAAGGCCATCTCTTCCATAAGATTTGCTCTAGTGGTAAAATGAGCTAATCTGCTAGGCTTAACTCCCTGTGACCTACCCAGATCCCTAGGTTGTGCCAGACAGATGCAGTTTATACACATTCCTGCACTTCCTCATCCTTGAGCTTCAAATCAGACAGGTTTTATAATTAAGATATTGTAGAACCTCACTAAGGATTCAAGCTGCTCTAAATGACTGCCCAAAGCTAAGGGCACAGCCAAGGGAAACATCTATAACTCCCTCCCTCCCTAAATGCCATGGGATCCAGTAATAAGCACGCCTACAAAGCAAAAAGGAAGCACACATGCAACAGAAACTCACAAACACACACACACAAAAACATACAAACAATCTGGTTACAAAATATATCTTCACCAGCTTCTACAACTAGTTGTATTTTAAGATGAAATATGAAAAAAAAAATTGGCAAGTTAGGTGTTACTGCTCCATGCTGACCTTTTCCTAGTAGAGTTAAAAGAGCCACCATCAACATTAGAATGCGAAGGTTACTGACAGTGCCATGGAGATGCCAACTTGAAAGTCCCCATCTCAGAAAAAGACCAGCAAGGCTGCTGAGCATGGTACGTCCCTTTTCTCCTAGATAACTACACTGACCCATGTCTACCACCTGCAAAAAAATAAGTTGCCTTTAATAAGTGTGCATTTTTTCTCCTTCCTTTCATATTTTTTGTAATTATTATTTTCGTTTTGCTTTAAAAATCACTTTTCTCCACTAGGGTAATAAATCACTGAAGACAAGATCAACTGATGAATAATAAAATTAGTGGGTATAAACTTTTTAGAGAAACAAGATATTTGTAGAGCCTCAAATTATCTCCCCCAAATGCTTGTTAATTGCTTTAGTGGTCTCAACAAATGTTCACAAATTATTTGAAGCTTTCCTTCTAGGAGGTGGATCTTAATCCCCCTCTTCTTGAGCGTATGCTGGATTTAGTAATTTGTTTCTAAATAATAGAGTGTGGAAAGAGAGAAACAGTAACTTGAGAGTGGAGAAACCTGGCAGCCACCACCTTGTACAAGTCATCAAGTACATAATTAGTCGGTTGATACCATGTACCAGGATGGAATGAGAAGAGCACTTCATCTTTGTGGCATTCTTTGTCCAAATCTGGAGACCCTAAACTAATTCCAAAAATAAAAATAAAAATCAGACAAACCCATATGGAGGGACATCCTACAAAATACCTGACCAGTGATCTTCAAAGGTGTCATGATATTAAACAAAGAAAGGCTGAGGAGGAGGAGACCATGGAGACATGAGAGCTAAATATGGTATCCTGGATTGGATCCTAGTACAGTAAAAGGGCATCAGTGGAGAAACTGGGGAAATAATAGCAAGGTCTTTAGTTAATAGTGTTGCACCCTGGGATCACTTGGTTTAATCTCATCACATTAGAGACAGGGGAAAGCTCAGAAAGAAGAGACTTGACCACAGACACTCAGCAGTTCATTTCTTGTTAATATCTCAGTACATACACATATACTATGTTTATGAAAGATATTAACACTAGGGGAGGCTAGGTAAAGAGTATTTGGGAATTCTCTGTGCCATCTTTGCAAAGTTTCTGCAAATCTAAAATTATTTCCAAGTAAAAAATCTTAAAAAATGCAAAAACAAATAAACATCAACAAAAAAATTCCTCCTCCCAATGGTGTGGTTACAAGCCTTGGAATGGGGCACCTAAGAGCTGGCTCCTGACTTCAGCTCACTCTCTGACTTTGTTGATACCTTTGCCTCTCAGGGCGCAGTTTCTCCAACAGTTTCATGATGTTTCATGATGAGGGGAGGAGCGGGGAGTGATTTAGTAGTTTTCAAGCCATGTTCCCCAGGGCACAGCTTTGATGGTATGTGGGGTGAACTGAGAAACTGAAGTCCTGCTCCTGCAACTCCTCCGAACCTCCAGCCAGAGCAGACCCACTTTGTTGTTACATATCAGGTGTCTATGTGGACATAAACAATGCCAATCATTGCATTTCATTTGATGAATGTGTTTCATTTGATAAATAGTTTCTGCTGTAAAATGTTAAAAAGCACTGGAATAGATTATAAATGTGGTTCCCTTCTAAACTTACTTTCATTACCACCCTGCCAAGTCTTTCCTGAATTAACTGAGAATGACTTAAACACACTGTTATTTTCCTCTTTCCCTCTCTTGTCCATTAGCTTTCTGTGGGTAAAAGCCATGTATGTCCACCTGCGTTCATCAGTCCCCAGCCCTTGTCATGAAACAGTGGTCGATATCAGGTGAATTAATGTTGGATGGAATTCCTGGAGTCAAATAACCTCTTGGAAAATAAGAGGGTATGGGATAAATCCCTGACCCCAGGGACTTACCAGCATCATCTTCTGGGAAAAAGATCTTAACTAAGAGGGAGCAGTTGTAAATTATTGACTGAAGTTCAAATCCAAGGCCTGAACCAACGTTTTCTTCCTCCAGGAGGCTTTCCTTAATCACTCTGGCTAGAAGTATACTTTTTCTCCTCTGTGTTCCCACCGTCTAAGGTCTGTGCTTCTGATACAGTGCCATCTTGTATTCCCTGAATACATGACTCAGGACCCTGACCCAAAAGTATGAAAACCTTCATCTGGGAATAAAGATTAAGTGCTTAACACAAGACCTTGTGCATATAAGATGTTCCAGAAGGTTGAAGAAGCAAATGAACAAGCTCCAGGTCCCTTGTTTCAAGCGGGTCAAAACAAAGCTCTGACAGATCGGGGTTTGAAATCTAACTCTGCCAGTTCCTACAATGTGACATTAGACAAGCTGTAATGTCTCTGGGGCCCCAGTCTCAAGTCTGTCACTCTAGTTAATACTGCTAATAAACTCTGTTGACCAAATCACAATTCCAGGGGTCTAACAAAAAACTTGACACATGCTGAGCGGGTTGTTCAAGAAATATTAGTTGAATAACTAAATTGTGACCTTTCAGCTTCCTTACCCGTAAAATAGCAATACGAATACCTACTTCGCATGGCTGTGGTGAATTAAGTAGCAGAGCATAAGACAAGCAATCAGCACAATGCCTAGTGCATGACAATGGCTCAATAAATGTTTGTTTTTCTTCTAGTCTTTTCCCATCAGGTATTCTCGCCAGTGAGGGGACTGACTTAAGTACTTCTCCCAGCCATGTGTTTCATTATGGAGGCCAAATTAAGAATCCAAGGTGCTTACATTTCAGCAAAAGACGCTAGACCACGGAGTGTGGCATGGGGTGTAATGTATTCACAGTAGCTATGCTAAGAAAACATCTAGGCCCCCAGTTGAGAGACTATGGCAGCATCATTAGCATAACAGGTGCCTTTGCTAGAAGAATGACACTTTAAAGACAAATTTCCCCCAATGCATTTCCCCAAACGCAAGAGTGCATATTTAATTACACTTAATGCCATCTTCTCCTCTATTTCTGCGCTTGAAGGGGACACATCACCCCACAAAATTGGGGAGGTTTTTTATAGAAATGGCTAGGATCCAGAACTGCTTCTTAGCTCCAGGGCCCAAAGGAAAAATGTCAACAATGGTGCTTCGGGGAAGGAAACATGGGCCTTATTTGTTTGCTTGAAGAACATCCAGCTGAGACAGAAAATGATGGAAAGAGCAGAACACACTGGGACCTACGAGAGCTGAGGTTCAGCGTGGGCAAGGCCCCGTGCGAATCATCATCACAGATTATTTTTAATGCTCACAGCAAACAAAATGGTGTAAGTCTAGCCATCATTCTAATTTGCATACAAGGAAACTGAGGTTTAGCAGATATGAATAGTTTTTCCAAGGTTGCATAGCTAGTGATTGAGGCACTTAAAGTTGAACCAAGGCCCATGATTTTTTTCCTCTTTATCTACTGTCCCAATGGTTTCACTTTTGGGGCACATACTCTGCAAGAGGCACTGTGCCACAAATTTCATATACATCTTATCTCACTGAATCCACATGCCCATTGGATAGTATTTTTCCTATTTTACAGAAAAGAAAGCCGTGGCTCAAAAAGTGAATTAATTTGCCCTAAATCACAAGTAGAGGTAATAGGAAATTTGGGATTTAAACCCAAATTTGTCCACCTTTTATCCTCAGTGTCACATTACTAGCTGTGCGAGTTTGAAGGAGTAAATTTTCATCTCTGGGTATTAGTTTTTCTTGTTTAAAAAAATACTTTTTATGGTGGTAAGAAAACTTAACATGAGATCATGAGATATACTCTCTTTACAAATGTTTAAATGTACAACACATAATAGTTTGCTATAGGTGTAATGTGGTGCAGCAGATCCCTATAACTTATTCATCTTGCTTGGCTGAAACTTTATACCTGTTGGGTAATAGCTGCTCATTTCTCCCTCCCTCTAGTCTCTGGAAATCACCACTCCACTGGTTGATGTTATGAATTTAACTACTTGAGGTATCTCATATAAGTGGAATCATAAAGTATTTGTTTTTTTGTGACAATGAGGGTCACAGAGACATTAAATGGCCCTTGTGCCTCTAACATGCCACAGTTTCATGAGTTTCTTTGTCATTAACTTTTCCCTATTTGCTACCACAGGGCATTCCTAACCTTTCAATTATCCCCAAGGGATACCCCTGTACCTGGCATAAGGATGTTTGGTCTCACCATTGAGTGGCTCTGTGATCTTGGACATGATAAACTTTTCTAAACTTCAATCTTCCCATCTATAAAACAGAGCTAATACTAATGACAAAAGCTACAATATTAATACCTAATTGTTTTCAGGATAAAATGCAATAGTAAATGTGTGGATATTTTCTTGAATCTGCCAAAGCACTGTACAAATATTACCTAGCATTATTATAACTATTATCACTTAAGTGGAATGCATTCTTTTAAAAGTGATTAACTTTTGTCAACATAGAGTTGATTCGTGAAAGTATAAATGGTCCTCATTGACCCATACATGAAAATCCTTGTTTTCTAAGATCTTCTCTTCAAAGCTTCTCACTCAGCTTTGAACAGATACTTTCAAATGGACACTCACGGCATTTTATCAGGAAGATGAGAAAATGTTATTTTAGCATAGCGGCTACTAGCACAGACCTGGGATTCCCACATCCTGGACTTGTATCAGTCCATTTTTATGCTGCTGATAAAGACACACCAGAGACTGGGAAGAAAAGGAGGTTTAATTTGACTTACAGTTCCACATGGCTGGGGACACCTCATAATCATGATGGAGGGTGAAAGGCTCTTCTTACGTGGTGGCAGCAAGAGAAAATGAGGAAGAAGAAAAAGCAGAAACCCCAATAAACCCACCAGATCTCATGAGACTTATTCACTGTCATGAGAATACCATGGGAAAGACCAGCACCTATGATTCGATTACCTCCCCTTGGGTGCTCCCACAACATGTGGGAATTCTGGGAGATACAATTCAAGTTGAGATTTGGGTGGGAACAAAGCCAAACCATATCATTCCGCCCCTGACCCCTCCAAATCTCATGTCCTTACATTTCAAATCCAATCATGCCTTCCACAGTCCCTCAAAGTCTTAAATCATTTCAGCGTTAACTCAAAGTCCACAGTCCAAAGTCTCATCTGAAACAAGGTAAGTCCCTTCCACCTATGAGCCTGTAAAATCAAAAGCAAGGTAGTTACTTCCTAGACACAATGGGGTACAGATATCGGGTAAACACGGCTGTTCCAAATGGGAGAGATTGGCCAAAACAAAGAAGTTACAGGGCCTATGCAAGTCTGAAATCCAGCAGGGCAGTCAAATTTTAAAGCTCCAAAATGATCTCTTTTGACTCCAGATCTCAAATCCAGGTCACGCTGATGCAAGAGGTAGGTTCCCAACGTCTTGGGCAGCTCCACCCCTGTGGCTTTGCAGGGTATATCCTCCCTCCCAGCTGCTTTAATGGGCTGCCATTGAGTGTCTGCAGCTTTTCCAGGTGCACTGCACAAGCTGTTGATGGATCTTCCATTCTGGGGTCTGAAGGATGGTGGCCCTCTTCTCACAGCTATACTAGGCAGTACCCAAGTAGGGATGCTCTGTGGGGGCTCCAACCCCACGTTTCTCTTCCACACTCCCATAGCAGAGGTTCTCCATGAGGGCCCTGCCCCTGCAGCAAACTTTTGCCTGGGCTTCAAGGCGTTTCCACACGTCTTCTGAAATCTAGGCAGAGGTTCCCAAACCTCAATTCTTGCCTTCTGTGCACCTGCAGGCTAAACACCATGTGGAAGCTGCCAAGCCTTGGGGCTTCAACCCTCTAAAGCCACAGGCTGAGCTGTACATTGGCCCCTTTCAGCCACGCTGGAGAGGCTGGGACACAGGCACCAAGTCCCTAGGCTGCACACAGCACAAGGACCCTGGGCCCAGCCCACAAACCACTGTTTCCTCCTGGGCCTCTGGGCCTGTGATAGGAGGGGCTGCTGTGAAGGTCTCTGGCATGTCCTGGAGATGTTTTCCCCATGGTCTTGGGGATTAACACTAGGCTCTTTGCTACTTATGTGAATTTCTGCAGCCAGCTTGAATTTCTCTTCAAAAAAATGGGTTTTTCTTTTCCACTGCATCATCAGGCTGCAAATTTTCTGAACTGTTATGCTGTTTCCCTTTTAAAGTGGAATGCTTTTAACAGCACCCAAGTCGCCACTTGAATGCTTTGCTGCTTAGAAATTTCTTCTACCAGATACCCTAAATCATCTCTCTCAAGTCAAAGTTCCACAAATCTCTAGGGCAAGGGCAAAATGCTGCCAGTCTCTTCACTAAAACATAACAAGAGTCACCTTTGCACCAGTTCCCAACAAGTTCCTCATCACCATCTGAGACCACCTCGGCCTGGACCTTATTGTTCATATCACTATCAGCAGTTTTGTCAAAGCCATTCAACAAATCTCTAGGAAGTTCCAAACTTTCCCACATTTTACTGTCTTCTTCTCAGCCCTCCAACTGTTCCAATCTCTGCCTGTTACCCAGTTCCAAAGTCGCTTCCACATTTTCAGTTATCTTTTCAGCAACTCCTCACTCTACTGGTACCAATTTACTGTATTTTTAGTCCTTTTTCACATCGCTGATAAAGACATACCTGAGGCTGGGAAGAAAAGGAGGTTTAATTTGACTTACAGTTCCACATGGCTGGGGATGTCTCTTAATCATGGTGGAGGGCAAAAGGCACTTCTTACATGGCAGTGGCAAGAGAAAATGAGGAAGAAGCAAAAGTAGAAACCCAATAAATCCACCAGATCTTGTGAGACTTATTCACTATCATGAGAATAGCATGAGAAAGATCAACCCCCATGATTCAATTACCTCCCCTTGGGTCCTTCCCACAACACATGGGAATTCTGGAAGATACAATTCAAGTTGAGATTTGGGTAGGAACACAGCCAAACCATATCAGGGCTCTAGTCTGAGCTCCATCCATTCTAGTAGAAGAGTTTTCCCTCCTGAACCTCAGTTTTCTCACAGGTAAAGGTTAGTTAACAACAGCCTTCTCAATGGAGTGCTGTAGAGATTAGATAAGGGACGAGTGTGTGAAGTGTTTAGTGCTATTCTTGGGACATAAAAAAGACTCAGGATATGGTATTATTAATAACAAAGTTTTACTGATGCACAAACAGCAGCAGCCAAAAAGACGGGGCCATGCACATGAGCACACAGAAGCAGAACAGGATGGCTCAGGTGTCCATTTTCATTGCCCATTCCTCCATGCCACCTGCTCTAATATATACCCTTTCACATGGTGTTAAAGGATGAAAAACGCATTTGCTTAAAATCCATCTGCTTTTTATAACTTCCAGAGACCAAAATCTGCACAAGCAGCAGTTCTTTGTGGCTCCTAATTAATTCCTAAACAAAGACTGCTCTGGCAGCAGCCCAGTTTATCAAACCAATTGACCTCCTGGTGCAGAAATGATGACACAGATGTTGTTGCTATGTCACAACCTCATTTTTCACTTTGCATCACTTGGTCAGGCCAGACATATCTTCACCTTCTGAGGAGTAGAAGATAGTCCCCTGGGTGACTCTGAGACCCTAATTGTTATCTCCCATGGTTATGGGCCTTTCTCCACTCAGGCGCCTCCCAACAAAAGTCTGGAGTGGAGGTCTGGTGTGGTAGCTCACGCCTGTAATCCCAGCACTTTGGGAGGCCAAGGCAGATGGATCATGAAGTCAGGAGATCGAGACCATCCTGGCTAACATGGCGAAACCCCGTCTCTACTAAAAATACAAAAAAATAGCCGGACGTGGTGACATGTGCCTGTAATCCCAGCTACTCAGGAGGCTGAGGCAGGAGAATCGCCTGACTCTGGGAGGTAGAGGTTGCAGTGAGCCAAGATCGCACCACTGCACTCCAGCCTGAGCAACAGAGCGAGACTCCGTCTCAAAAAAAAATAGTCTGGGTTGGAACAGGCCAGAAAACATCACCTGTCTTTGGTTAATCTGAGGGCTTCCCAAGCTAAGGAATCTCTAATCTGTAGGGTTCTTGGGAGGCTACCAGTAATAATAATCACAGTGGCCATGAACCCAGTGTCTATTATGTGCCAGGCACTCTCCTGTGCATTGTGCCTGCTTTATCTCATTTCATTCCACACAATCTTTGAAGATATGAGTTAGCATCTTAAATTCAAAGTCAAGAAAACAGAATATTGGAGATATGAAGAAAGGCTTCACAACACTGGAGGTGCCATGGCACTTCGTATAGGTGAGTTACCAAGAACTTCTTTCAAGTTATCTCATCAAGGCCTCACTCCATCACTGTAAGGTTCTGACAGGTTAGACAACTATTTCCAGGTCATACAAGTAGTAGGCCAAGAAATGGTCTTCAAAAGGGGTGGGCCTTTCCTCTGAGTTAGTTGTTCTTCCAATTGGATTAGGAACTCACTCTTATAACCCCAGATAACCTTATTACCTCCTTAAAGGCCATATCTCCTAATACAGTCACGTTAGGGGTTGAGCTTCTTAATCAATATGCTAATGAAGACAGCATGGGCTCAAGGCTGAATCTAGGTTTTGGGTGGTTGTGTGACCTTGAGCAATCTCAGGCTTTTCATCCAGAAAATGAGTATATTCTTACACATTTCATCTGTGAATAATCATTAACCACCAAAGTTCTTGCCATTGTATATCAAAGACTGCCTTTCCTCTATTCTCCAATATCATCTTCCTCATTTCCATCAGAAACCTCACCACATGCACCTTTAGCATCCATTTTTTCTATCAACAGTGTTTTCAAAGCAACCTAGGCTTTTCCAACATGCACTTCAAAACTCTTTGCGGCCTCTACCCATTACTTAATTCCAAAGCCACTTTCACATTTTTAGGAATTTTTTTTACAGAAACACCTTACTTCACAGTACCAAAATCTGTATTAGTCTGCCCACACTGCCATCACAGCATACTAAAAACTGGATGGCCTCAACAACAGAATTTTATTTTCTTACAGTTCTGGAGGCTGGAAGTCTAACATCGAGGCACCAGCAGGATTGGTTTCTGGTAAGGCTTCTGCTGGCTTAGAGATGGACACCGTCTTGCCCTGTCTTCCCATGGCCCTTTCTCTGCTGTGGGTGTGCTTTCACTGATGTCTTTTATCTCTCCCTCTTTTTTTTTTTTTTTTTTTGAGACGGAGTCTTACTCTGTTGCCCAGGCTGGAGTGCAGTGGTGCAATCTTGGCTCACTGCAACCTCCGCCTCCCAGATTCAAGGGATTCTCCTGCCTCAGCCTCCCAAGTAGCTGTGATTACAGGCATGTGCCACCATGCCTGGCTAATTTTTGTATTTTTAGTAGAGACAGGGTTTCGCCATGTTGACCAGGCTGTTCTCACTCGAACTCTTATCCTCAAGTAATTCGCCTGCGTTGGCCTCCCAAAGTTAGTGTCTCTTCTCATAAAGACACAAGTCCTGTTGGATTAGGAGCTCACTCTTATAACCCCAAATAACCTTAATTACCTCCTTAAAGGCTGTATCTCCTAATACAGTCACATTAGGGGTTGAGCTTCAACATATTAATTTGCAGGGGAACACAATTCAGTCCATAATATCTGCCATTCTGACTGAAAACACCTGCTTAATATATTGTCAGGAGATTTTAATGAAATTTTAAATGGGATCATGTTCTATTAATGTTAGTTGGTCAAGAGCATTTGAGCTTCAAGAACAGCTACAATTTATTGAGAAATTTCTATTTATCAGGCACCAAGTCTGTACTTAACATGGATGCTTCCATGCCTCACAATGATTTTATTTGAGAAGGTATTATTGTTGGCACTACTTTACATTTGAGGAAACCAAGGCTCAGGAGAAGGCAAGTAGCTAGCCCAAGATCACACGGTTATCAAAAGGCTGAGAGATCCCGTCCAACAGACTCTCCTCTCCCATACTAGGCTGTTGCAATCATTCTGATGGCCCAGACCTTCCCTGCAAGTGGGAATCCTTCACCTGAGAACATCTGCTACCACAAGAGAGAGGAACTGACCCTCATCTCCCCCCAGACAGCCTCTGGTGACTTTACACACCATCTAAACAAAGCCTCTGGCACAGCCACCAACATATTTCACTCCCTATTAAGGAAAGCTGAGACAGGGCAGGCCTCTGGACACTTCATTAGGGGAACATCAGGACACATAAGGACTGTAATAAAACAGGAACCGAAGAGGGTGTCCATGGGGAAAGCCCGGAGCTGCTTGTGCTTGTACCCCTGCAGAATTTTAGAGGAGGAAGGGAGGGCTGAGGGCACAGAGAGACAAGGGCGGGGGAGAGGGGGATGAGATAAGGCTGCCATGGGAAAGCAAGAGCTTTGCTGCCAACAGAGCAAACACAGGATGTGGATCCCAGCTCAGTCTCTCCCTAGCTGTGTGGTCTTGGGCAAGGCCATTTCACTTGATGTACCACAATGATCCAATCCATAAGATGGAGATATCAATGCTTGCCAGGTGGGATTTTGTGAGAATTAAATAATAATTTTAAAAATTAGCATGTTAAGGCTGTGACTTTCCCCCTAATGGTTTCGATGAACTGTAGGTGGACATGAGGGCGATCTGGCTGCAACATCTGTCACTCCATTGACCTCCAGGGTTGATTCAGCTGATCTGTCTGGCAAGGGAGGTGTCCTCTTCCCCCCTCACTGCTCTATGTGTGTCCCTCCCAAAGCTGTATGCTCCGTTGAAGAGGATGGCCATCCCCAATAGAGGAGGACTGTTTTTTGGTCAAGGGCATACAGTAGCTGCACGCCCCTGCTAGAACCTCCAAACAAGCTTTCAGTGAGCTGTAAGTTTATGATTCTCCACCTTTGTAAATTCCCCAAAACCTCTAATTGGTGTTCAGATCAGGCATACATAGGGTAAGGTTCAGGAAACTATCTTTTAAACAAACACACAAGAGAATTCTTTTTGTTGTTGGTAGTGGTAGTAAATTTATTCTTGAAACCATTTCAATGAGATATATTAACATGTAAAAAGCTGTGCATATTTAATGTATATAACTCAATGAAATGGAACCTTGGTGCCCTGTTAGTGGGAATGTACATTGGTACAGCCATTATGGAAAACAGTAGATAAATTCCTCAAAAAATTAAAAATGGAACTACCATATGATCCAGAAATTTCACCCTAGGTAATTCTTATGTAGGAAGAAAATCCTGCTCCACACCTAGTGAAATACCAACAGTAAACAGGAGAAAATAATATCAGGCAATTTTTAAACCTCCTAGTAATAGTGGTAGTGCAAGGACTTTAGAATCATGACACTTGGTTACCAATATTATGTTGCTTATGTAGGATGAAATATATATTATCTATGGATTTTAGTCTCCTCCTAGGTGATCTGGGTAAACTACCCTAAATAACTGTTTCAAGAAATAAGTAAAATAATGCACATAAACTTCCCTGCATATTCCCCACCATATGGTAAGTGCTCGGTATTATTTCTCTGATAGATTCATTTTCACCTAGCTCTTGCAAATGACTTGTAATAATCCCTCAACTGTGGAAAACATAGACACAAAAAAATTTTCTACCTCAATTCCAACCTCACATTTTGTTTAATAAAGCAATTTACAGGGGGTAAAAATAATTAGTGGTTTTAAATGCTTTAATACAAGCAGGCGCTGTAATCATGATAAATCATCTCTGACATATGCCCAGCTCCTCCAAGTGACAGATGACAAACAAAAGCAGGACAAGGTCCTCCGTCACAGGCGGAATCATTGAATTAATGGAAGAATTATTGCTTCTGAAATCCACTCCAGTCCTATTGAGGAGAACGTTCCAATTTATCAAAGCCAAATGAACATTAATTGCAGCAGTCTGGTAAGTTTTCCAGCCACTATGACCTTCATTGAATTTTAATCCAAAACAGATAAGATTTCCTTCCACACAAGAGGAAACAACACAATTAGCTCAAAATGACAGCTAGATTATGAAGCAGGCACACACAAACAACACACACACATTCACACTCACGCACACTCCCAGTGAAAATATTGATTCTACTTGACTTAAAATTCAGCACAAAGGAGGTGAGCAGAGAAAAAGGTAAATAAATACCATCACCACATCTGCCTAACCCCTTCCCCCTCTTCATTCAGGAGAGAAATTTTAGAGGCGGAAGCCAAGATGGAGAAGGTGGCAGGCAGTAATGGAGACAGAATTTCTGTTAACTGCTGTAATTAATGTTATGTCTCATCAGGGAGAGATTAGGAAAAAACAGAGAAGGAAGGAAGAAAAAACAAGTGTTATTTTGCTATTAAAGACGCCCTTGAGCTGGGAACATTAGCAGCCGAAGTTTGAATTGGGTAATTGTTTGACTGTATCGGTGGATTTGCAGACAGGATTACCACAGTGAAGTGAAATGTAGTTGCGCTGAACCTACAGCGTGAGTGGCTCCCTCAGCATGGAGCAAGGGGCCTTCTGCTGGGTGCAGTTTATAGCCTGACACAGGCACACTGCCCTGAGATTTAGATGGGAAGGCCAGCTCTGTCATCAACCTGCTGTAAGACATCGTGAGTCACCCTTTGAGACCTAAAAGCTTTGTTTTTGTATTTATTTTCACTCTATTAAAGGGGTTGAACTGGAGTTTTTAAAACGCTTTTGTTTTTTGAGAATTAAATCAGAAATTTCTGTTTTCATCAATTCTAAATATCTGTGGCCAGAAAGAACTGGCTGCCTTCTTCCATGGTCCAGGGTCAGGCTTGCCTCAATATCTCATAGTCTCGTAATTGGATGATTATGGAGATGAGCTCCTAAAAAGTCCTTATCCATCCTTGCCCCCTATAAGAAAGGAAATATTATACAGCAGATGGAGCAGAGAGCTCATTTGGAACTAGAAATATATGTTTAATTCTGGGCTCGGACACTGGCTATGTGATCATACTAGAGAGTTGTCTTAACCTTCTAGACCTTGGTTTTATCATTTGTGAAAACGGAACAGTAAAAACAGCAATATCAATAGTATCATTAATACAACATTTGTATAGAGTTTGCATATTTACCAACTTTTAACTGTAGAAACTATTACTCTCACCATTTTACAGTTGAGAAGACAGAGGCACAGAGAAGTTAAGTAACTTAACCAATGTCACTCTACAAGTTACGTGGTGAGGCCAGGATTCCAATCCAGGCAGTTCTGTCCCAAAGTCAACATTCTTGTTTTGGGTTTTAGCCTTTTTATTTTGAAAGAATTATAGACTCACAGGAAGTTGCAAATTTAGGAGAGAGCTCTTGTGTACTCTTCACTCAGCTTCCCCCAATGTCAACATTTTTCATAACTATAATAAAATAATGAATACCAGGACATTAACCATGATTCAACACTATTAACTAAACCACAGACCTTATACAAGTTTCACAAATGATGCCTCTTCCAGCTTATGGTAGCTCTTGGTTTTCCTTGGCTTGGGCTACATAATGCTCATTTCTCTCTCCATCTTCATACCATCTTCCCCTGTGCCTTCTCTTCCATGTGTCTCTCATAAGGACTAATTTTTTTAATTTTTTTCACTAATGTCCTTGTTTTTCCACTAATGTTTTTATTTTGGTCCAGGATCCCACATTGCATTTAGTTGTCATATCTCCCTAGTTTCCTCCAATTTGTGACAATTACTGTTTTCCTTGTTGTTGTTTTTGTTGTTTATGATCTTAACACTTTTGACCATTGCTTGTGAATTATTTTGTAGAATGCCCATCATTGGGTTTGTCCATATTTTTTCATGATTAGAATGGTTATACATTTTTGGCAAGAAACCCACAGAAATGACATTGTCCTTATCAGTGCATTACTTCAGTGGATTCATAACGTCAATGTGTCTGATGAGTGAGGATGTTAATTTTGATGACTTGGTTAAGGTGGTGTGGTCAGTTGAATAGTGGGTCCCAGAAAGATATGCCCACACCCTAATCCCTGGAGTTTGTGAATGTTATCTTATTTGGAAAAAAGGGTCTTTGCAGATGTAATTGAGTAAAAAAATCTTATGTATAACAATCTGAGTTATCAAGGTGAACCCTAAATCCAGTGACAAGCATCCTAATGAGAGGCGCATGGAAGAAAAGACACAGGAGAATGTAGTATGGAGGCGGACGTAGAAATTAGCGTTCAATAGCCCAAACCAAGGAAAACCAAGAGCTACCATAAGCTGGAAGAGGCAAGACAGGATTCTCCCTTCGAGCCCCAGGGAGAGTGTGGCCCTGCCAACACCATGATTTCAGACTTCTGGCCTCCAAAACTGTGACAGAATAAATTTCTGTTGTCTTAAGCTTCTTAAATTATGGTAATTTGTCACGGCAGCCTTAGGAAGCAAATACAAGTGGTATCGGCCAGATTTCTCCACTGTAAAGTCACTATTTTCCTTCTGTAATTAATAAATGTCTTGGGGGGAGACACTTTGAGACTCCACAAATACCCTATATCTTCTCAAAATTTCACCATTAATTTTAGTATACATCAGTGGATCTTGTCAGTAGTAATTATTACAGTGGTGATTGCCTAATGGTGATTTTCTGTTTCCCTCTTTCCTTCTACATTTATTAACTGGAATTCTACTGTAAGAAAGAGCAATCTTTTCTGCCCCATTTATTTATTTAGTCAATTATTTATATCAGTATTTTAAAGTCAATATTCTTAATAACCTCCCAACATAGCTCAAAGGATGTTTGTGAAGGCCAAGAACGATAACAGAGTAGGAAGAATATTTTTAGAGGCCAAAGGAGAAGAAAGGGACCTTCCCTGGGCACCTTGCTGATGCTTCATGAGCCTTTTATCACTTATTCCTCCCCTCAGCCCCATGAATGTGGATCTCTCGCCTCATTTACAGCTCAGGAGAAAGTGAGGTTCAGAAAGGTTCAGTAATGTGCCAAAGGACACACAGCAGTAAGGGAAAGAATCACAGTTTAAGTCCTCATCTGTCTTGTCTCCAAAACCACGTGATTCCCACCAAATCAAGCTATGCTCTGAAGACTGGGAAGGAGGGAGAAAGGTGGATTAATTGAAGGGAGAGGCAGAAGTTCCAATATATCCAAATCAAAGCTCACTTTCCATTTTTACTGTGGGCTTATTTGGGGCATATGAGAAAGGGAGTAAACAGCGTGAACCTCACTGCAAATGTGCTCACAGCATTCATTTTGTGTTGCTGTTAAAATACCACACAAAAGCCCCAGGTTCTTGAAGGGGAGGAAAATGTGGAACAGGAGGCTGGGGCAGAGGAAGTTGGGAATGGTCACCAAGGGGACACACGCCCTGACTCTCTTGCCAACCTGTCCGCCCCTCCCCACTTTACTTCCCTGCAGTCTCTGGATCTCCCCTCTCCTTCCCTTCTCCCAGACTCCCTGTTGCAATCCAGTCCACCCTGCCCTGCCATGGCCTCTTCTCAGATCCACAGTGCTGGGTGCCCCTGCCTCCAGCCCTCTCATCTCTGCTGGATGCTGTCTGGGCTTGATTGCCTCCTCAGCCTCGGATCACCCCGATTGCCCGCCCTTCACTCCATCTACCTCGCTACCCGACTCCCAGCCCTTTCTTGAGGTTGAGTTCCATCTGCTTCTCTTACTCGCTGTCTCTCTCTTTTCCTGTTCTCTTCTCTCTGTATCACTTCCTCCATGCTTTTTATTCTCTGTTTCATTTTCCCCCATCTCTGCTTTTGTTGCTAAATCCCTTTCTGTCTGTTCTTGCCAATTCTCCTTTATTTTTCTATGTCTCTCCCATCCTTGGTGCCCCATTCTCTCAGTTTCTTCTTTATTTCTCTCCGTCTCTAGTAATTTCAACGTACCTAGTATAGAATAGTTTCTCAATCAACATGGGTTGGATGTTTCTGTCGGTATTTTCTTCTGCTTCCCTCTGTCCATATTATATATACATAGCTATAGCTATACACGTTCTTATTCTGCATTGTGCTTTGGCCAGGAGGTTCAGTGGAACTGCCTTCAGGCCCTTTTCCTGAGCTGCCTCTTGCCATCTCCAAGATACCCTTGTCAAACTTTTCCATCTGGGCTTTATCATTGGCCCACACTAATGGGACAGGGATGAAGAACATCCATTCTCCAGCTTCATTTTCCCCATCTACAACATGAAGGTGGGGTACATTCTATTGCTGTGGCAATTGCTTGCATGTGCACCCCCTGTAAAAGAATTGCACACCCCTGCCATTGGCTCTGGGCTTGGCCATGTGATGTGCTTTGGCCGATAGAATGTGAGAGAACCCACATCTGAGCATCAGTTTCAAGAGGCATCCTATATTTTTGCCAGCTCTCTTGCTCATTCCCTCTGCCATGAAAACCAAATGTTTCAAACTGGGGCTCCCCTTCAGCCAAAGTACCAGAAGGAGAAGACAAGCAGAGCTGAGCCTGCAGTGACTGCAGCTGCCGATGTGTAAGGTGCATGAGAAGTAAAGCATGGTGTGGCCAAGGCACTATGATTTAGAGTGGTCTGTTTGCAGAATAAACAAGCAAGAGCTGACTAGCCTGGAAGAGTTGGATATTCTATGAGGTCTCAGGTGTTTTCAGCTCCAAGATCCCACTATATTTCATACTTCTACTGTTTTTTTTTTTTTTTGGAAACTCTTGCTAAATGGTTTTATGTGCATTAAGTTTGATGTTATGATTTTAATTTTATTTCCATTTTGCAAATGATCACACAAGAAACTCAGAGAGGTGAGATGACTAGCCTGCATTTCTATAGCCGGTATGTGGAAGTCTAAGCTTGAAACCAGGCCTCCTGAAGCCAAATTCCATGCTCATTCTACTTCGCTATGGTGCATCTCTAAATGTTGTGAAAAATAAGCATTTCCTATATTTCCTACACATGGAAGCTATGGCTTATTTTCCTACTTTGCCCACAGGCCTAGCTAGAGACCCTGCAGGCTTTTAGTGAAACCATGTTGTTGAAGCAAGTCAAGACCAAGCCACAAGGTTCATGTGACTTAAAATTTTAAAGTATTTTTTAAAGTCTATACTTACAATATTAAAAGTTCTACTTTCTGGAAAAAAAAACGTGAATGATACTCATGGGGTATGTCCCACTTTTGTAAAAAAGTACTTGGGATATTTGTGTTACAAAACTTCATCATACCTTGGCAATTGATATAAGCTTGGTATCTTCATTTTTAGATGGGTGCAGTGAGGTTAAGAAGGGGATGTGACTTGCATAAGATCATGGAGCATATTGGTGGCACAGCAGAGACACATAACTATTTGTGCTGCATGTATTACATGGTTTTTCCACTACTAGATGTTTGCCATCCTCACATTTTAAATAATCCCTCTCAGGATCTGTTTTCCCTACTACTCTGTCTTTTCTCTGAAAAGCATTTGGGAATCACAGTCTGTAACAGCTTGGCTTCTCCTACCCTAGTTGTCCTGAGTGACCTTCAATGATATTACTTATAAATAACATGGTGGCAGTATTAGGTTGATGCAAAAGTAACTGTGGTTTTTGCCATTGAAAGTAATGGTATTTCTCAAAGTTTCACCATTAATTTTAGTATACATTGGTGGATCTTGTCAGTAGTGGTATTATTTTCAATGGCAAAAACCACAGTTACTTTTGCACCAGCCTAAATATTTATTGTTTTCAGTTGAATTGGGTCCTCCAAAAGCAATATGTTAAGCTCCTAACCCTCAGTACTTCAGAATGTGGTGTTATTTGAAGACAGGGTATTTATAAAGGCAATCAATTTTTAAATGAGGTTGTTAGGGTGGGACCCAGTCAGAGTGCAGCGGCATGATCTCAGCTCACTGCAACCTCCGTCTCCCAGACCCAAGCGATCCTCCCACCTCAGCCTCATGAGTAGCTAGGACCACAGGCTCACACCACCAAGGCCAACTAATTTTTTGTATTTTTGCTATAGACAGGGTTTCACCATGTTACCCAGGCTGGTCTCAAACTCCTGAGCTCAGGTGATACACCCATCTCGGCCTTTCAAAGCGGTAGGATTACAGGCTTCAGCCACCGCACCTGGCCTCTGGTGTCCTCATAAAAGGGGGAGAATTGGGGCATAGAGACAGACATCACATGGGCAGAATGCCATGTGAAGATGGAGTTCTGCTGCCATAAGCCAAGGCACTACCAGAACCTAGAAGGAAAGCCTGGAGCAGATCTTTCCCTGGTGCCTTCAGAAGGTGCATGGTCTCACAGATATCTTGATTTTAAACTTCCGGCCTCCAGGATTGTGAGATAATAAATGTCTGTCTTTTAAGCCACTCAGTTTGTGGTACTTTGTTATTGCAAACTAGGAAGCTAATGCACTTATAAGTAGCAGAGTAATGACATTTATAGAACCAGGGCTGTGTGTCAGGCTCCAGCATATGTGCTTTATATCTATCATCTCTGATGATTCTCACAACAGCCCCTCTTTAGACAGGTAATTCCATCAGAGAAAGTACATGCTCAAATCCCACTACTACCAAGTCAGTTATGGAGCCAGAATGTGAACCTCAGAACACACAGAGTCACAGGTCTTACAAGTTAGTTATACTTCCTGTGCTTATTTTCTCAACAGTAGAGCAGGAGTAATAATATCTATTGAGATTACTGTAAGAATTTAATGAGTTAAATACATGTCAAGTACAATCACACTAAGCACTGTAAAAGTGCTTGTTAGCATTATTAAGATTCTTCAATGTCTTGATTACTCAGTTATTATTTCTACTCAGTTACTGTTTCTCTTAAGATATGGCCCCAAAAATAAACACAATATTTCAGTTCTCGCCCAGTACCTCTAGAATTATTTGTTCAGAAACCTAGCCTTTTATTAATTCAACTTAAAATATAAGACCACTTTCAGCAATGAGACCCCATAGTTGGCTCAATCTGAGCTGGTGGCTGATTTTGTAAAAAGCTTTTTTTTTTTTTTTTCTATCTCTTTTTTTTCTAGCAGATAGGCTTTTCATTGCTAGATTTAATAGGCAGGTAAACCATTCCATGATTGAATGATTAAATCAATGAATGAAGGAATATGCTATGAATGAAAAAACGTCACGGTTGGAGCAATGATATAAAGCCATCTTTTACAGAAACCTTTAAAAAGTGTTATCCCAATATCACACCGATCCTCTAAACAAAGCTACTGAATAAGAATGGTAGTAATAATTTCTTAGATTTGTGTGACATTTTATATTCCTCAAAGTATTATTCTATGTTATTATATCACAGAGTCATAGATCATCTAAATTGGAGGCAACTACAATAGTCATCTAATTTAACTATTATTCCTCTCTAAACCCCAGTGACTTTGCCTGCACAAACTCAGGGAGAAGAAACCCACAACTTCTTGATTCGGCCTACTCCACCGATGGATAGCTCAGACACTTTGAAGTGTTTGTCCTGTCGTGCATGAGAATTTTGACCTCTTGGAATCCTGAATCCTCCCTCATTGGAGGCCAGCAATACAAATCCGTGGCATTTTCTTTGGGATGATCCTTCTGAGAGAAACATGCCCTCAAAATTCTTTTCTTCTCCTACATCAAACCAAACATTTCTTTTCATCCCCTTTCTCAAAACATTTTGTCACCACAAAGACAAAAGGGAAAAAACAAAAGCGCCAAGATAAAACATATTGGTCTCAAACAGTTTCTATCTAGTAACTCTTGTGGAAATCTTTAAAACAAGACACATCACATTAAAATGAAATTATATTTCTCACTGTTAAAAAGGGGGAGAGGAGGAAAGAGTAGAATTATATGACCAACCCTCTGAACCACAAGTGATAACTATTTTTGTTGAAAGCAACTTTGATCTATGCAAAAGTGAAATATATATTGAAATGCCAATGTGACAATGGCAATGGCAACAAAAAGCAAAATGAAAAAAACAAATAAATGCAAAAAAGAAACAAGAAGTTGTGATCACATCTGCTAGGACCTATTGCATTTCCTCATGCCTGCGTGAAGCAGATAAACTCTTCCCACTTTCTTTTTTTTTTTTTTTTGAGCAGAGTCTCACTCTGTTGCCCAGGCTGGAGTCCAGTGGCGTGATCCTGGCTCACTGCAAGCTCCGCCTCCTGCCTGCAAGCAGGCAGATCACGAGGTCCGGAGATCAAGACAATCCTGGCTTCCCACTTTCTAAATAAGGATACCAACACTAAAAGAACCTCTTTCTTTATCCTGCAAGTTTGCATATGTAGATCACAAACTTAGCTGGCAAATAGTTAGGGGCCCATAATAGCTTGTTCTGATAAACAATGTAAAGTGCACCCCAGGATTCAAGCCATGGTTTTCCTCTGACTTTGCACCTGTAGTCAAATCACTCAGCCTGCTTTGGATTTCTTTTCTCCTATCTATAAAATGCTGGCATGAGCAACTCCTCTCCCTAACTGACAAGTTTCCAATTTCTATCAAATGTTTTGTGCACCTGGAGTGAATACTCTATAAAATAACAGACATGATAACCCTCACTATAGCTAACATTTTAATAACGGCTACTGCTTTTTGAGCACTTACAGAATGTCAGGCACTGTGCCATGCAGAACTGTGCCCAAGCACACAGACTCTCAGTTTGGACAGACCAGAGTTAGAATCTCAACTTCAGCACTTATTGGTGATGTGGATGGGCAAGATGCAAAAATCCCACTAACTCCTAAGCCCTCATCTGTAAATGAAGGGCAACAACATTACTTATCATATAGAGGCATTGGAACAATTAGATGAAATAATAGAGGTGCTGCACTTAGTGCCTGGCATACAGAAAGTTCTCAGTGGTGGCAGTCATTATTTTCATTGTGCAGGGCATTTGTGAGTGTGATCTCATTCCGTGCCTAGAAAAAAAATCTCTAAGTATTGGGGAATATTATTCCAGTTTTACAAATGATGAAGGTAACTTGGCCAAGGACACAAAGGTAGTGATAGAGACATTATTCAACCATGGAGTTGATTTCCAAGTCATAAACCCTCATAAAATACCCATGGATTCCACATAGGGTACAGTCTTCGTAAGAATTCACTCATGAAATCTTATCAATTTAAATCAACAACGGATGCATAGAGAAGGAAAATGGTGGCCTGTTATATAGATTAAGGGCATAGTTTCTGAAACCAGCTTATATAGAGTGAAAAATTGGGTTTGCCACTTAACCTTTGTGTGATCAATGTCACGTAGATAGGTATTTATTAACATTTCAGATTCCTCATGTGAGGGACAGTATCCATCTTAAGGTTTGTTGTGAGGATTGAAAGTGATAATATGCAGAGAACAAAATTTGGAACACTGCCTGGCATACAGTAAATACTCAAAATAAATGTCAGGTATTATGATTATTTCTCTAGATCAGGCAGCAAAATAGCAGCAAATATAAGACTAAAGCCAATGTCTTTTTACTCCTAAGTTGAAGTCCTTTAAACATTGCTTCAATGACAATATTAATAGCCATTTGTGACTATGCACTCAGTATGTGCCAGCCTGGGTATTAGGCACCATTGTATGTTTTTTCCACTCTTTTCTCCACTCTTTTCAATAATTTTTCTCCACTCTTTTCAATAATTCTGTGAGATTGGTATGATCAGTTTTGTTTCATACATAAGGAAACTGAGGCTCAGAGGCATGAAGGGATGTGCCTAACGTAAAATTACCAGGAAGCAGGAAGTAGAAGAGACTATATTCAGAGCCAGGTCTGCTGAATTCCATCGCTCTGCTTTTTTTCTCTGCATCCTGCCACCTGCACAGCTGAGGAGGGTATGCTGAAGCTGAGGCAGAGGACAAGAGGAGATGACTGTTTACTCTCACTTTCTGGACTAGGTTCAGAGTACTTCCTTGCTGCATCACCTTTTGTGATATTAATATTCAGATGATGCAACCTTTGGGACAAGGTAGATGCTCGACTCTAGCCTTCACAAGCCTACAAAGCATGATGGCTCCACCCCAGGAGGCATGGATGGTAGCAGGTTCCAGTGGCTGAATGGGAGCTGGTTTCCCTGCATGGGTGAGCAGGATATCTGTGCTGTCAAAAGGGGATGGAGTGCATAGACCCTAGCCTCCAGACTTCTTTGAGATTTGACTAGAAGATTTGGGTCTTCTCACAAACCACCTTGGATCTTCACCAAAGATGAAAACAATAGTGTATCCAGCAGGGTCAGGGCCATGATGTCATGAATTGCCAGACACAAGTTTTAATCCTGGGGAAATCCTGGCCCCAGAACTGCCTTTTTGTTAGCCCAGGAGACTTAGACAAATCAATTAAACTCATGAATCTCAGATTTCTCAGTTGTGAAATGGGGAGACAGATCCCAGCCATCTTAAATGTAAACACTCTTTTTGTTCTTGCTGCATTGTCTGTGGCCAGAATGACAAGGGTAGAGTCTGAGCCACAGAGAGGCCTGACCTCCAGGCCAAGCCCTGCTGACTGACTGAGGGATCTTAGACAAGTCCTAGCCTGTCCCAGACCTCAGTATCCAACTATGGAATAAAAGGGTATAATAAATCAGCACATCTCAAGTTTTTCAACTAAACTGCCCCTATTAACAAAAGCAAATACCCTTAAGTGCCAAGCTCCTCTGATCTGAGGACTTGTTGTGTCTACATAACTATTAGTATAATCCTTGTTCTATAAATGACAAAAACAAGACAAAGGGCTCATACCCGAGTTCAGTGTCAGAGAGAGACCTCAAGTCTGTGCTCCAAGTCTGTGCTTATGGCTGTCTTCCTACCTCTAGAGAGAGCAGTGTTATTGGCATGCCCCACCTCTCAGAGGAAGAACACCCTGGGGTTCAGTGTCTCCAAGACATGACTCTGTTCCCTGAGGGGAGGGCAGGGACAGGAGAGATCCAGATTATGGAGCCCTGAATGGGGGAAGGAACTTTGGACCACACGGTGGTAGCCTTGGGTCACTTTGGCTCATGGGTGGGGAGGGTCTGAAGGGTGCCAGCTTCCACGTTACCTACTCTGCCAGCCAAATCTGGAACTACAGGGAATTTCAGTGACATCTGGGTCTTAGTGAGTTATTATTTCGAAGCTGAACTCACTGAGCAAAAGGGAAAGTTGAGGAAAACCTACCATCCTGGGGAGAAAGTCTGATTCAGTGAAACTAACACTGGACCTGGAAGCAAAAAAGACACATTGGAGGCTCATTTATAATTGAGATAATACTATCCAGGTTACTGGGTTACAAGAAGGATACATGCAAGTAAATGTGCTGAAACACAGAAAATGTTTAATGAACATTGGTCAAAATTGAGTCTCACTCTCAAATGTTAAAGGAAGAAGAGCATTCACACCCCTCCGCCTCTTCCTAACATTAGATGGTGTCCCACACCCCATGAGGAACTCAGCAAGTGCCCTGAGATGGTGCTTATAAATTTGCACCCCAAACTTAGCATGCAGGCACCCACTTGCTTGGTGTGAGGCTGCATCATTTGCTAAATATACATATGGAAAAAGTCTATCACACTCATTCCATGAATAACACAAAGGCCTTGATTTGTTCCTCCACGTGATGAGCATGCGTAAGGTCCAAAATTAACATTGCTGTCTGGCTGGGGAGTGTATGTGTTTTTCCAAAAAGAGAAAACTTCTAAGATCTTACTCAGCCCTAATCAGAATGTCTAATGCACAGTGTTCGTTGAAGAGAAACGAGAAAGAGACTAAAACTAAAGGTCGCTCCGTTGTGGAGTCTCAAAAAATACTGCTGATTGTTAAATTGAAGGAAGCAATGAGGGTTGAGAGGTAGCTCTGCTCTGCTGAGTGGCTTTATGCCAATCACTTCACCCCTCTGGGCCATAGCCTCCTCATATGTATGTTGGAGATACCATTTCCTAACCTTGGGTATCTGGCAGAGCCGTACTAAAGAAGAAAAGGAGAAGTGAATGTAAGAGGGGCTTTGAGGAATATAAAGCATCAGAAAGATGTGAAGTTTCTTCCTGAGCCCATTAGACTCTGTGCTTTCTACCTACTGGATTTATTTTCTGGTTTTGTTTTTCTATCTACCATGCAATGCCAATAAATATAGCTTTTTAAAGAAAGCATATAATATAAGCCCAGATACTTTTAGACTACCACTCAAGTGATTCCAGCCCTAGTAACCTTCTGGGTGGAGGCAGCAGACTCAGAGTTCTGTATCATGGGGCCAACAGAGCTGAACAGCCACATCCTCTCTCTGCAAACATGTGGAGGTGATTCGCTGGACCTCATCCATTCTTGGCAAGAGCACAATGAGATAATTTCCATACATGTATCCAGTATAGTGCTTAACAAATGGTAGATACTCAAGAAATTCTTGAATTGAGAGAAAACAGGGTGTACAGGACATAGTTCAGGCTTAGTAGCCAGATATGCTTGGATTTGAACACTCAAGAGTAGTTCCATCATTCGCTGGCTATGTGATCTTAGGTAAGTTTCTTTGCCCCTCAGCCACAGTATTCACAACTATAAAGAGAATTATGGAGGGGCTTCTGTGGACCCCCACAATGGCTACGTCCAGCCCAGCTACAAGGGCCACCATGCAGTTGTTGCAAGGGTTAAAACACCTGACACATCAAGGGTACTTAGGAAAAGGCAGCCTGTTCTGGTTTTATTCCAATTTTGTTTGTTCAGTCATTCTTGGAATGGCCAGTTGTATTCTGAATCACCAAACCTCAGCCCTCAGCAAAGCAGGCCAAGCACATGACAGATGTTAAACAGCTATTCCCAGAGATGTCAGCCAAAAGGCCGAGGAGTTGGAGACCCTTTATTTTCTTCTCTGAAGCACAATTAGTTTGTCACAGCTGACAGATGATGGATGGGTATGCATCAGTCCAAGTGACATCACAGAATCCATCTGATTTTCTGTTTCTCATTCTAACCTCTTGAGTTTGGTTCTTTCCTTCCATCTGTGGACAATCCCCCGCCCCCTCCATCTCTCCACCCATTCCTCCCCCACGCAATCCCCGACCCCGGTCACATCCCCCCATCACTCACCATCACAGAAATGTGGAGGATGTGCATCTGCTCCTCAACAATCTCCGAGGGCTCCTGGAGAGTGGGGGCGGTGGCTTGGGCCAGCTGCCCGGAGCTGCTCATGGAGACGTGGAAGTACAAGGTGCCATTCTCCAGCCACTGCTGTCTCCAGTGCACCAGCGAGATGTCCGCTGCTGTGCCAGACATCTCTGCAAGACAAGACCCGAGGCACTGGGTGAGCCGTACGCCTGGCCTTGGTGCTCCAGGGAGGAAAAGAGCCCACATAATCAGGAGCTCAGAAGGCATCCATTTTTTGCCAGGATACCTTTCCTCACATCAAGTCTATGAGATAGGGATCATCACTTTCATTTATAGATGAGTCAACTGTGACCAAGATTCACCTAAAGTAACAGAGTAGTGGAAGCAGGGTTTGCACCCACATCTGTCTGAGGCCGTTTTTAGTACATCACATGTGATCAGGTAATTCATTCTACTCTGATAGTGGAATGAAACTAAGGATAAAAGTGCTTTCATTCTTTTGTGGCTATGGAACTAGAAGAAGATGAAGGAAAGAAATCCATGAAAGGAGTGGGAGTTGAGAGTGTGGATTCTTTAGAAGTTGAGCTGGAAGTACTCATGGCCAAACCTCGGAGCCAGAAAGGCCCAAGAGAGCACCAACTCAGCTGAGGTAGCTCAGGGTCATCTTGCATGGGAAAGGAGCTTGCCAAGAGGGTTGCCCTGAGCGTGTTCCTCTTGCTTCCACAAGAGCAGCTCCATTTTTTGTAAGGTATATACTGCACTCCCAAGCAAGGAAATGTTGGCATAAAGTTTCCTTGGCTTAAAAATACTGGCAAAGCTACTGCCCCATCCCAACGTTCTCATATAGCCAGTGAGGAGTGAGGACTTTCTAGTAAATTGTAAAATTCAATCTCCCAACTTGAAGTTTCTAACTCTTATCTCTATGCTGGTTTTCCTTCTGTAAATACTTTTAAAGTGATTATCATTTGAATAGTATTTTTGTTCAATGTATCATACCTTTTTATTAGTAAAAAAGGGTCATGGCATAAGATGATGAAAGTGTCATTGCAAGGGGATTGTACAATTGTTCCAAAGTCCCCTTGACTAAAGGTGTATGTGCCTGCAAATGTCCTAGAAAGACAAGGCCTATCAGTGAATCTTATGCATGAATACAAGAGAAGGGTGGTGGATTTCTTGGAGGATTATTAGGTCTGCATTCAAGGGAGACAAACAGGAGACAAATAGCCTTTATAATGTCCATCAGTAGACAAGTAGTCTTAGTGGTGCTAGAGGCTTAGAACCTTGACCCCTCCCTCCTGAGACAGCTATGACCTTGAGGCAGTATTCCTACAGTCTCCAAAGACCTCGAGTGCATTCACACACACACACAAACACACACACACGAGGAGAGCTGATAGGCAAGCTGAGTTACAGCAACTTATCCAATCAGCTCTCTCCATGTCCCACTGCAGCACCCATCATATCTGATGACACGGAATGAAAAAGAATCAACTTGAAAAGAAGAGGAGATGATACTACCAAATCACTTACTCATCACCCAATTCCACTGAACTATTCTTATATCATCAATGCCCAATAGACTCTCCCTCCTTGAGGTTCACAATCAAAAATCCTTAGGAGAAGAGTGTTTAGCACTTAATAAGGGCTAAAAAATGTTAGCTACGAATTTTTAAGTTAGATATTGATTTATCATCATCATCATCATTATTGATAGGAACAGGATCTAATTCATCCTTCAGCTGCTCTGAAAAAAAAGAAAAAAAACAACAAACAAACCATGAGCCATCCTTGACAGCTTGCTTTCTCTCCCACTCCTCATTCAGTTCATCAGAAAATCCTTCCAAAGTCATCCAACATTCAACCCTTTGCAGTCCCTCTACATCAGCCACATGGGACAAGGCGTCATGCTGTCTTGCCTGGCTTACTGCAAGGACTCCTTAACTTGACTCTCTTCTTCCACCCTTGTCCATTCTATTCTCAGCCAGGAGCCAGAGGAATCCTGCCAAGCAAAAGTCATCTCACATCACTAAGCCCTCCATTTACAGTCTTTGCATGGCCTCCTACTCATTCCAAGTAAAAGACAAAGTGGTGAGAACATAGTAAGTTATTAGGCCAAGCAAACACATGCTTGGGCTTCCCTTGCAGCTGGAAGAGTTGAACAGGCCTTGAGATAATCACGAAGGTTTGTCAGCACTTAGAGCACAGGCCCCAAAGGCCCTGAGAACCCATTGTCGTTCTGGGGAGGGGCTGATTGGGTGATCAATTTGAGTGGTAGGTCTCCTCTCAGCACCTTCTCTTCATCCCAGGCTGGGGTGATCTGCTGCCCCACTGACCCCCTCCCAGCCTTAGCACCCAAGGCCTTGGCAGTAGCTTCTCTGGCAGACAGCCAGCTGGGCCAAGGCAAGGTGAAGACATTATGGTAAATGGTCTGGCTCATTTTTCTCTCAGTGCATCAAAGCCTAAAACCAGAGGTCCAGGGAACCCAGGGCTGAAAGCTGCACTAGAAATAGCAGTGTCTAATTCAGTAGTTCCATGTGCTGCTGGCTAGGCAGGCACTCCACGTGCTGAGAGTCCCTGGAATGGCACCAGAAGAAAGCTCCAAGGTAGGCTACATCTGGTTGACACAGCCTGGCACAGTTGAAGGCGGAGCGAGCAGAGGGATGCTTGTGGAAATCTGAGCTCCTTGCTCCTAGCACTCTCTCCAGCCTGTGCCTGAAATCCCACTATTAAAGAGGCTTCCCCTTTCCATGTTCAGATGAGAAAGCAGAAGGTCTCAGAAGGTTAGTGACTTAAGTTCACTGGTGAATTTGTACCTAGCTAGAACCAGTGGATTTCCAGTCCATGCAATTTCTACTATGCCAGTTGCACTTACATCTCCTTTCTCTTGACTAAATTAGCCCATGAACCAAAACTAGATTGAGCTCTTTGTTTGCTACAGCGATGAGTGCACAATCAGCAGACAGTAAACGTTAAATGATAATAACAGTGTGTGAAACACAGTAAATATTGAATCACAGAGAATAACTCCGGACTTACTTTATTACAAAGAAAAGAAACTGTTGTTGAAGAGGAGAGAGGAGGGGTATGAAATGTTAAAGGGAAAAATGCTTTAGCAGAAGCAGAAGGCCTCGATCATTCATTCACTCATTATTCATTTATTCATGCATTTGTTTATTTATTCAACATACTTATCAAACACCTACTCAATCCCAGGCAGCTCAATAGCTCAGAACACGGAGTTAAATGAGACATAGCCTTGCCTTCAGGGAGCTCATAATCATTTAGCAGTGGAAATTCTACCCAGCCAAATGTCTCCTTGCCCATGTTACTGTCCATACACATACACACTCTCCATTGACCATGGTCCAGGCAACTGTGTGTTATCGGGACTATCTTCTACCATCACCCCTTCTTCACACACTCCATCCCTGCAGGACTTACAACTGTTTCTCAAACAAGGCAGACTCCCACTTGTCTCAGGCCATGAGTACTTTCTGCCCAACATTCCTAGCGCTCTCCTCCCAGAACCTATGAGCTGTCTTCTTCTCAGTGTTTGTCTCTCAGTCCAAATGATACCTGCTTGGAAAAGCTGTGCCTGTCCACTCTAGCTGAAGTGGTCCTCTTCACACACATCCAACCTTTATTATATCCCTTTTACAAAAACTTTCTACAGCAGTTATCATGATTAGAAATTCAGGCTGGGTGCAGTGGCTCACACCTGTAATCTCAGCATTTTGAGAGGCCGAGGCAGGCGGATCACTTGAAGCCAGGCATTTGAGACCAGCCCGGCCAACATGGTGAAAGCCCATCTCTACTAAAAATACAAAAATTAACCAAGCATGGTGGCATGTACCTGTAATCCCAGCTACTCAGGAGGCAGAGGCCCAAGAATCGCTTGAACTCGGAAAGTGGAGGTTGCAGGGAGCCAAGATTGCGCCACTGCACTCCAGCCTGGGCAACAGAATGAGACCCTGTCTTTAAAATAAAATAAAATAAAATAAGAAAGAAAGAACGAAAGAAAGAAATAAATTTATGCTTTACATTTCCTTGAACATGTGTTTATTGTCTCTCTCTCCAGGAGAGCAGAGACCTTGTGTGTCTTATTTCCTGCCATCTCTCACGCACTTTGGAAAGTGCTTGGCACATAATACATGCTCAGTAAATAATTACTGAATCACTGAGTTACATACATATATGTATATATATTTCAAATACTCATGCCCTTTTTCATCTTTAAAATGCTTAATGCATATATATATATATTTCAGTGATTTGGTATATATATATTTATGTATTTACATATATTTCAGTGACTCAGTAACACACTTACTTGCACACATCCATAATAAAATGGTGGAGGGACTAAAAAATAGAATTCAAAGAGTGTTACATTTCATCAGAGAATTAAAAAAAAAAAAGAAGAAGAAGAAGTAAAGGTCGATTGAAAACTCCAAAGTGGGAAAAGACTCTCCCAGCTTGCAACCAAGAACTACTTCCAGAAGGTGGTGGTAGGAGCATTGCAGAGGATGGACAGATTCATGTCCCTCAGAGAGGAGGAGGAGAAGGCATAGAGATCAGCTGGTCATCGCAGGGGCATGAAGCTGCGTGTGTATGTCGGAGTGGAGCAGAATGTCAGGTGAGAAATGTAGTTCAGGGCCTGGCGTGGTGGCTCACACCTGTAATACCTGCACTTTGGGAGGCCTAGGTGGGCGGATCACGAGGTCAAGAGTTCGAGACCAGCCAGGCCAATATGGTGAAATCCCGCCTCTACTAAAAATACAAAAATTAGCCAGGCATGGTGGCATACACCTGTAGTCCCAGCTACTCGGAAGGCTGAGGCAGGAGAATCACTTGAACCCGGGAGGTGGAGGTTGCAGTGAGCTGAGATGGTGCCACTGCACTTCAGCCTGGGCAACAGAGTGAGACTGCATCTCAAAAAAAAAAAAAAAAAAAAAAAAAAGAAAGAAAGAAAGAAAGAAAGAAATGTAATTCACACACAGAGTTAAGGGCTTTGAATGCTTGGTGATACTGTGTACATTTTATTCAGAACCAGTAGAGTACACTTGGTCAGAAAACCAGTCCTGTGTCCCTTAAAAACAGGTTAATAGAACAGTAACATGACCAAAACCAGTTCTTGAGATTCTCTGCTGATTGATTTTCCAATTGCATTTTCCCTTTTCTCTTCCCCTACTCCTTCCATATAAACATTTCATTGAAGTCTCCAAGTCATATTACAATCAAAGTTTAAGCAAAAGGGGGACTAAATGCATTGGGTCAGGAACCAAGATGATTCCCATAAAGGCAGATTATGCTGACATGATGAATATAAAATGAAACAGCAGATATTAAAGTGGGAGAATTGGTGCACCATGCCTTTTGGCAGTAGGCTGACTCCAGTGCCTGCCTCCCTCCCACCCTGGATAGCTTGGTTTTATATTGGAATCATAAAGAAACACAGGGATTGCCTTTTCACCTTTTTCTGCTCTCCCCCATGGGCTGCAACTCGTGAAATATTCAACAGGCTCAAATCCCCTCAACTGCCCCACAGAAGCTGAGAGAGAGGATCAGCCTTCATCAGTGATTCTGGGTAGACTGCCATCCTGCCTCGGTGGCCACTGATGCCTTTCAGCCTCCCGGAAAAGAAATAAAAAATCCCAAAGGCATGTTGTGCTTTTAATCGGCTTGTTCTTCCTAATCTATGGCACTCATTGTATTTTTATTTAATTCCTGAAGGTCATTAAGAAAATAAGCAGCTCTTCTCATCACCAGCCATCTTGGTAACATCTCCCAAGTGGCTAACTAACCGGCCTTCTGATTCTACAGCACCAGCTGACCCTCCAGCAGATTATTTGCTGAAGCCCAGAGAAAGCTTCCAATGAGTTTGCAAATGATCTTTTTCTCACTGTGGGGAAAGCAGACATTACATGAGATGAACTCACCGCCCGGGCAGAAAGAGTTGGGAAAGGTAGTGGTGTTGACTTTAACCAACCTTGCCACTAGCTATTCCAGCATTCATGGGTGATTGTCACACATCAAGTCTTGCTGAGTGAGCCTGGGAAATAATCGCAAATACTCATGCCCTTTTTCATCTCTAAAATGCTTAATTAATGCAAAGCTTTATCATCTCTCTCATGGGCTATTGCAAATGGTTCTGTGCCAGTCAGGGTCTCATCAGAGAAGAGGAGACATACTCAGGAAGGTCAATGAGAAGTGTTTAATGAAGGGAGCATTTACAAAGGCTTGGGCTAGGTTAAGGCAAACTAATGATGAGCAACGAAGTACTCCCACATTGATAACAGCAAGGAATTGTTACCACCCTAGGCCTGAAGGGGCAAGGGATGGTGGGGATGGGGGATTATCAAACCCTAAAAATGCCATAGCTGTAGGAAAGGGCTACCATATAGCTACCAGATAAGAACTATAGCTTTTTCTAAAATAATCCAGCCACTGCCAATGCACAACCTAGGATGGAAGCTTTCAAGAGGGTAATTTCCCAACCTCATCCTCCTTCTACCCACCAATTTTTTGCAGGTGTCTCACACAAGTTGACCTTGACTAAACGCCCAAGAATGCTTAAATGAAACAAATCATATAAGTCAGCCTTCCTGGGTGCACAGCAGGTGGGAAAGGGGATCTCAAGAAGTAAATGAATAGGCTCCTTAACAGGTATCCCTACCTTCGGGCTTCCTTCCTTCCAGCCAACCATTAAATGGCTACCAGGATGAAATTTCTAACTTGTCAAACTGACCATATAATTCCATTGCTCAAAACCCTCCAATGTTTTCTACTATCCCTCATAATAAAACCTAATTTATTGAACCAGACACACAAGGCCCTTCCTGGCCTGTTATGTGCATTTCTCCCCAGTCTGATCTCTTCCTATGCCTTTCCTTGCACTTAAATATTAATTCTCACCAGATATTTATATAACGTACCACATATACTATGTGTTTTTCCTAATTTAATATGTTGTGCTCCTCCATGCTTTCATAAGGAGGAATATTGCATGCTGCATAAGATCACAGGGTCTGGAGACCAACTGCTTGAATTTGCATCCCAGGTCCCATGTGTTCAACCTGTGTGTTTTTGGGCAAGCTCTTCGCTTCTTCATGCCTCAGTTCCCCCATCTACCAAATGAGGATAATAACAGCACCTGCCTCACAGGGTCGTTTTTAGAATCAAATGAGATAATACAAACAAATTAGCTGTTAGGTTGGTCTTGATACTTAGACAGCACTCCACAGTTACATTTGTTATATATTACTTCATATACATAGTTATAGTATCCTCTTTTACTACTGTCTTGGTGTGTGTATATATATATGTGTATATATATATATATATATATGTGCATATGTATGTGTGTGTGTGTGTGTGTGTGTGTGTGTGTATATATATATATCTTAAAATAGTCTATACAGCTGACTTCCCTTATTGGATCCTAGTGCAGGGACATGTCAGAATTATTTGTGTAGCCTGGTGCCTGGTACAGTGGCTGAACTGAATAGGGGCTCCATAAATGTTCTGTATGTTTAATTGAGCCGTCCCATATTTGAAGTCAGATGAGTGTTTCCAGAGGACAGAGAGAAGAGACAGCAACTTGGGGTGTCAATAATGGCTGGATTCCCATACAGCAACTCTACAGAAATTTACCTAACATCCTGGAGCATGCACATGAAAAGAAAGAAATGTTAATTTTCAAGGAGCTTATATTTTCATGAAGTGAGATAGGGGAAGTTCATATAGAAAATGGACTCTGTTATGATTCTGTTTAGACATGAGTATGTGTATAAACAGCTGGAAAAAAAATACACTGGACCACGAAGAATGGCACTCACTAAATAGTGGGATCAGAGGTGATTTTAATCATATTCTCATTCACTTTTCTCTACGTTTTTTATACTGACTATATTTTACCTCTGTAGCAGATGCAAATACTCACTTTAAAGATTCATTTAGTCAACCAACCTCTTCTGAGAGCTGGCATTGTGGGACTCTGTCCTCAGGAGCTTAGTCCAAGGGGCTGAGAAAAGACATGCTATAAATAGCTATAAAGCAAAGTAGAAAGCTTAGAGGAAAGGAGATTACTTCTGGCTGGATCTAAAAACTCTTCATGGAGGAGTCTCAAAGAATTGGCAAGATTTCAACAAATGGCTGTGTGGCAAGAGGGCACTTCAGATGGAGAATTGGCACAAGGGAAGGAAGGCAAGAAGGTCACAAATGTACAAAGGGATACAGTGGGGGGAACCGGTATAAAACGCAGAAGCCACCATTATAGAGAGAGGCTGGGGGTTACCAACTCTTGCCCATGGAGCATCACCTAGCAGAATAATACAAGTGCCAGGTCCCACTTGGGGCTCCTTTATGCAATCAGACCAAGCCCGAGCTCAGAGGTTAATAAAGCTCTCCATATATCATGAATTAAGATGACAAGGTGGATGGACTGATGGGTGAATGGGTGAATGGATGGACCACAGTCATTCTGACTTAATTAAACAGCCTGGGTTAGTGAAGAGAATACTAAATTTTGAGTCAGAAGCTTATATTTTTGTGATCCCTCTACAGCACCTGACTGGTATCCTGGAGCACAAATTACAGAGCCTCTATGATTTTCTTTACTTGTAAAATGGGGGTCACAGTCTGGCCTACTTACATCACATCTAATGTAGAACTGAGAGAAAATAAGGCCATACATAGCAACATGCTTGGAAATCTGCAAAGTTTTACAGTTAGTACTGAAAGCAAATGCAATCATCCAACGACATACTTCATCCATCAATATACCTTCCAATAATTATCTACTGACTATCTGAAATGTGCCAGGCACAGTGCTAGGTCCTAAGGATAGATTGGAGGAAAAGATCAATTTGACTACTATCCTCACAGACTTTCCAGTTTAGTCTGGATATTCCTTTGTTCCCTCTAAGCAGCAGCAAGCATTTCCCCTTGCTTCAGTTTTTTCAGTCATCCACCCATTTAATCATTAATTCATAGTAGAAGGCGATGCCTGTCTAGGACATTACAGTCTTCATTATTTAGCATGCTGCAGGTGTGCAATAAATATTTGTCAAATCAATGTATCACTAAATGTACATTTTCTGAGTTTCTTGTCTTCAAGAAAGTCACAATCTAGGAGAGCAGAAAAAGGAAAGTCAGCAAAGATGATAAGTGTGTGGTAATGACCACAAGATAGGAGGTACAGCTTGTTACAGGAACACACGTGAGAGGTCAGTTAATGCTCCTCATTTATCAGGAGATTGGACAGGGCAAGCAGGGAGAGTCTATAATCTGGACATTTCATAATTCTAAGAGATCCTGATGTCAGGCCAGGTTAAATGCCCACAGGATAATGCCAATGGTATGCTAGGTTTGGGAGGTCACCCGTGGGGACAGAAGGTGGAGAAGTGGCAGGGGCCACAACATGGCCAAAGCCCTCTGGCAGCAGCTGGAGAACAGACTCAAGCTCTTCTGGAAAGAATGGTACTCTTCAAATAGTGGGATTAGAGTCTCCAGACTCCAGAGGTGCCTTAGACTCCTCCTCCCCAACCCCAGCTGTCAGCGCTCATCTCTGCCTCTGCCTCCAATCTGCCCATTACCACCTCCTTTGGGAACTGCATCTTTTACATGAAACTGTTTTCCCAAGCCACTCAGTGAAGATAAATAATACAGTTATACCCAGTTAAATAAGGGAGGGGAAGAGAAGAATTAAGAGCTATTGGCAAGGGAGAAAAGCATATCGTTTCAGATTAGATTTGGAAATAGATAGAGGGTTGCTGGAATTGATTCTCATTACTCCTAGTTATTCTCTCCCGTACCATTTCCCTCTCTCCTTGCTGTATTTCTTTGCTTGGTCTTTGTCATTTCGCTTCATGATATGCCCTTGGTTTCTATGTTTGCATGCTCTCTCTGTCTCTCTTTTTAAAAACACAGCCCAATGTCAATGAGTTTTTCTACTTCTTCTTCTCCTCTTCCTTGTCCCACAACATTGCAAACTGATGCAGAGAGTGGGTGACTAAAGAATGGAGACAGGAACTAACCTTTGCTAACACCTACTTACGTGCCAGGCTAAGGGCTTTCATTCATTGTCGCATTTAGCCCTCATAGGAAACCCACATAGGTAAAGTAGATAGTAGAACACCGAGTTTTCAGCTGAGATGTCTGAGGCCCTAAAAGGGGACTACACTTTTCCAAACCCTGATTCACAGATTCCAAATTCAGTGTTTTCACCACTGTCCTACATAGGCTGAGAAAGGAGCTTGCATATTTGAGTAAAGAGATCGAGGAATCAAGTGTATGCCAGGAGGTGTGATATGATAAGTACCAGGGCAGTAGGCATCCTTCCAGGTCACTCAGGTGCTCTGCCTATCCATTTCATCATAGTAAAGTCCTTTGTTTCCTCTGTTTTTAAGATGCAAATATCTCCTGGGAAAGAGGTATATGAAGCATTCTGTCTTACGGTGAATGAGTTTTTAAGATCACTTTGCTCCTTCCTATATTTCACTGGGTTGACCTTTAACAAATTAAGTTCACCTCTCTGAGCCTCACTGGCCTCACATGAAAGAATGGGAATCATAAAATCAATCTCTTATGATAGCTGTGAGAATAACAGGAGATAATGCATTGGAAGGAGCCTAGAGCAGCATTTAGCCTATGGAACTCCCTGTCAGTTGTCTGTCTTCTCGTCACTCTTTTCTATCTCACCACTGTCAAGGCAAGAAGCACCTGGTTGTTTTGAGAAAAGTGGTGGGGGTGGGAGGGGGGGTGACAGTACCAAATATAAAGAAAAAGGAGGCAGCAGTCACAGAGATAAAACTTCCTACTTTACTTGTAAACAGTTTCCAAGACCCTTCCACCTTGTCCCCAGTGCCCCGTAAACCTTTTAAAGTTATCCCTACAGCAACGATCTGGAATCATGGAAAATTACAACAGGAAGAGAGTGTAAAGGGATAGAGATCAATGATCTATCCCACCCATTTTACTAATATGTTAAATAAGGACCAGAGAAGAGTAGCAACTTGCCTTAAATCACACAGCATCATGATGCAGTGTTCTTCTGATCTCATTGTTTAGAAGAACAACGAGACAAGGATTCACTGAGAGGAGAGGCAGAACCTCCTTAAATCCCAAAAGTAATTTAGCAGTATGCGGGACAAGGAGTGGTAAAAATCCCTTATAATGCCAGGGCCCCTTCCAACTCTCCTGAAGATGCTGCCAAGAGGGCATCTTAAGTCTCTGTTTCTAAGTCTGACTTGTCAACCCCAACCCCCACACCCCAACCCAGGGGACTCAGCATCTGAATGCCACATGCATGGATTCAGACCTGACATGTAAAATGCAATGAGTCAGGAAAGCATGGCACCATGCAGTGTGATGTGTGAGGAGGAAAAATGAAACCTGTAAAACCCAGTGACCAAACAGAGCCTAGAAGAATAAACATACTTGACATTAAGTCCAACAGCTATTTGCAGAAAGATGGGAGAGGCAAGGCTTAAAGGAATACCTTTATATGATGAATTAATCCCCAGGGTCAGACGCTGGCCTAAATCCATTGCTTATGGGAATCATATCATGGTCCACTAGCCCCAAGCAACATTCTTACCTCTTAGCCTTTGTTCAGACCATGTCACCTGCCTGAAATGCCTTAATCTTTTCTTCTGCATACATGGATGTTACCCATCATTCAAAACCCAGCTGAAGTGACCCTCTAAGAGCCCAGTTCAAAATGCCCTCTCCCTCTCCTGAGCCCTCAACTCCCCTGGCAGGCTTCTACTTCCTTCCCTGACTTCACGAACTTCACCCATCCCTAATTCTCATGACTTTTGCTAGATCATAAGAGTCTTCTGGACCAGGAATTGCTTTTATCTCCTCTGTGTCCTTTTTGGTAGCTCAGCAATTTTTGCAACAGCAGGAGCCTGACAAATATTGACTGATACAAGATTAAAATAGAAACCCAAGTAAAGAGGACAGCATGGTGAAATTCCTGACTCCAATTTCACAGATTGGAATACTGAGGTAGAGTGTGCAGGAAGGGGACTCGGAGAGATTAAGAACGAGAAGTGGGAAGGACCAAGTAAGAGCTCCTCAGACTAAGCACACCTTGTTTTACCTGTCCCCTACCCTCTCCTTCACCCCTGCTTTATAGCCCCCTATGCCATCTATCCAAACGGCACCAACCTGGACCAAATGACATTTGATGCAGCCAAACCAGGACAACTGAGCTCTCCTGTGCCTTGTCTATCTCTGCTCTGTCATTCCTCCATGTGCCCCTGCCTTTATGCTCATAGATCCATATCCTTGTTTTTCACTGTTCTCTGTTTCACTGTTTTTTACCAACCTAACTCTTAATCTTCAGAACTCAGATGTAAGTAGACTACACAAACAGTCAACAGCTCTCCTCCTCTTTACATCTAAACCAGTGTCATGTGACATTGCAGATATCCCTGTCAAGAGGTGAGTCTGTTTTTCCTCCCCTTGAATCAGAGTTGGCTGCAGGACTTTCTCTAGCCAATGGGAAAATGACGAAAGTGACACACTCAGAGATTTGAAAAGCGTTTATGTACTGGGGCTTGCCCCCTCTTGATGCTCCTGGGATCCCTGCAATTGTCATGTGAGATTAGCTTGATGGAGGCAGAGAGAAGGATGGCCCATCTGCCTATGCTGCCCCAGACAAAACCTGCTGCTAACCACAGAATATGTGAGAGAAGCCAACCTGGGTCATCCTGCTGCTAGCAAACCTGCCGGCTGACCACAGATGCAGGAGAGAGCCCATAGAGATCAGCCAAGACCATACGAAGTGCCCAACTAAGCTCAGCGTAAATAACCAGCCCATATAAATAGGAGCAAATCAATTGTCATAAGCCACTAAGTTTTGGGGTGTTTGTTACACAGCAATAGCTAACTGGAAGATGCCGCCTCCTTTATGCAGCATCCCCCCTCACCCCACCACAAGATGGGGTTGGGCTTTCCTGCTCTGTGCGTGTCACGCTATATGTAATCATTGCTTCAGTTATTTCATGCTTCACCTACCCTCTCCTCCCCAAGTCTCTGAGCTTCTTAAAACTAAAAGCCTTGTCTCTTTTGCTGCCCACTACCTCCCTAACACCTAGCTCAGAGTTGGTGCTTAATGGGCATGTGTAGCACAGAACAAACTGATGTTGAAATTTTGCCCTAAGAGGGATCCTGCCGTATTTCCCTCAGCCCCTCCTCCTTCTAATCAAAGTCTCTGTGGCTCTGATTTGAGAGTGAGTGAGTATTGATTGGCTTCAACAGTACTGCTTCAGGAGTGTAGTCTGCCTCTATATTCCTTAAATAAGCTCCATGCCTGTTCGGTGTGTTCACAGCAGCCTTGATTGTAATTCAGCCTCTACTCCATTACCCTTATTTATGACGTGGTGCTGGAGCACAGAGCCCCAGGCCGTCAGTGGAATGATTACAGGACCCTTTTGACTTGCAATTCCACACCATTCAGTCCAATTTAGGCCGGCCACAGATGGTGCCCTGTGGCAAGGAAGGGGTGATTACAGGATGCCAGGCTGAGGGTGGGGAGGAGGGAACTAACGACCCTCTTGATTTTCTCTCTGCATCAGAGAAAGATGAAAAAATGGCTAAGGTTATTTAATGTCCCTTCCCACCAGAACAGTGTGTGCCTGAATTATGACAGATCAAGCCCCTCTCCGATGGGGTCAGACACGAGAAGTCCTGGGACCACTGTGGGGACACCTTTTAATTCAGTGCAAGATGCCAGACTCCTCTCTGCAGGTGACATGACAGAATGTTGTTCCCATATTGCCAGGCTAGCAGTAGGAAAAGTGGAATTCCACTCTTGTCTTTGCTCTGTGACCTTTGGTGAGGCATTCATTTCTTTGAGCCTGTCTTCTCATCTGTCAAATGTGGGGACTGATCCCTCCTCTGACTCCTTCCCTAGGTCATTGGAGGCAGTAAAAGGAAAAATTCACCAGAAAGAACTTTAAATAGAATGTTCCCTGTGCAAAAGTCATGGTTATGATTAATGCCAATCAACCTGGTGGAAGATGTCTAGAAAACTGAAACCAAGAGGCTCAACAGGAAAGGCTGAAATTCCCTGCTATTTTTTTAAATACATCAGCTCCCCAATATAGCACAGGGCCAGGACTCAAGCTCTAAAACCAGCCACCTGGATTCCCACCTCTGCCACTCTATTAGTTGAATAACCTTCCAGAAATCACTTAACTTCTCAAAATCTCACTTTCATCATATAAACTGGTGAAAGTAGCGTCATAATAATCACTGGAGCATGAAAGCCAGGAAGGCAAGCACTGGTTTGTCTTAGTCATCATGTATCACAGTACCTAGACAGTGCCTGGTAAAATGTAACCACTTAATCTAAAAATAATAAAAAGGCTAACACTTATTAAGTGCTTACTCTGTGCGAGTCTCTGTTCTTAGCTGTGTGCACATATCTCATTTCAAACTCCTGACATTCCCATGACTTAAGGATAATGATAAAGCCACAGGTAACAATGCTGAGTTACTGTGCCAGCACAAGAACCAGCACATGTCTGTGCTCAATAATGTCTGCAGCAGTGAATGTTGCTACTACTATCTCCTCTGCGGTGCTACACAAATAAATTGCTTTTACTCCAGTTAATATAGACATCATTTGAGATCACTTGCTTTGAAGCAACAGAGCCTGTCTTTGATTGTAAATTCCTGGAAAAAGGAAAAGATACATCCTTTGAATATCCTCTTCAGGCCACTGTGGTTACAACCTGGAATATCCTCAGGGTGTCGGACTAGAAATCAAGACATCTCAATTGTCACACCTCCCTCTGGCTCCCACCCCACTTGGTTCTTTCCATTTCCAGAATCACAGAAACTCTAAACTTAGAGTAGACTTTGTCAACTCAGCAAATGTTTCCAGAGAGCGTTTCCTGCACCAAGCCCTTTGTGGAAGCTTTTGGGCATAATTTTCCTGGGTCTCCACTTCTCATTTAGAGTCAAGAAAGCTGAAACTCAGAGAGAACAGGGGAGTTATCCCAGGTTACATAGCAAGTCAGGGATAGGGCTGGTGAGAATCCAGCCTCTTGACCTCAAGGACACGCTCTCTGTACTCTACCTGCCAGATTCTGAGTAGCCTCCTTGCTCTGCCACTGATGTGCTGTTTCACCCGGGGAACGCACTTCCCTTTCTGAACCTCACTTTTCTCACCTGTAAAATGGGAATAGACATGGCATCTTCAGAGGCTGTTCAGAGGATTTACTAAAGAATGCTGTTAGTAAAGATGCTTTGATCTCACACTGTCTTAATGGAAACTGTGTTATGCTATCAGAAAACAGCGACAACTACACCTTCCAGTCTACATGATAAACCTTATACACAAGTCTCAGCTCTATTATTTATCTGAGAATAGGAACTAGGAGAAGGGGGGCCCATCTAGCTGGTGTCCCATCCACTCATCCCATGCACCTTTTTTGAATGTTTTTCTTTAATGACCACTGACTCAGGGCTGTAACTCTTTCCCTCATAACCACCACCCTAATTCCTATCTACTATGTGATGTGAAATATACTAGAAGGAACATGTTGCCAGAGCCAGGAGGAATGTCCTTGTGATGGGCAGGTGTGCCTATCACAGAGGGAATCAGGCTGTTTACTGGCATTGGGAACATTGGGAGTGAGGACCAAGTTAGATAAATCATCTCTAGGGCGTATATACATTCAATCAGGCTAAATGGATCATAGGTACACAAAAAGCCATGTTTATACAACCTAAAAACCCCTGTGAAAATGTTCAACCGGGGGAACACACCCATTTATATGTCTGTTCTCTTAAAGTACAAGTGTGCTCACAAACACATGTACTTCCTTGTGAATCTATGCATCTGAATCTGACAGGAAAGCATTCATATCTCCTCCTATGCACAAACATATATGTTCACATATGGCTGTTTCCTCATACGCATGCATGTCTGCACAGACTGATGTGTTCATGTATGAATACAGACAATAATGCTACAGAGTAGAAGGTTTTGCATGTAAAACCTCACACACACATTCTATAAAACTGCTCCCTCCTAACACTGACATCATGAGTATTTCTGTATGTGTGCACATTGATGCATTCCATGACACACGTAAACTTGCATCCTCATGTAGATATGCACATACGTATGTGAAAACTTTGACAACACAGTGTTCACAGGGATATGTAAGGCCCTCCCACATGCATGCTCCTGTAATGTGCTCACTAGGTTCGCCCACATATGTACATCATGCATGCTCCATTGTGAATGTTCAGACCAGCATATGTGTGCACTGGTTCTTTACACAGGTAGGCACATGGCCACCTTCATGGGCAGACATATGCATATGTGCTCAGGCATGCACATGCCTGCCAAAACAGGTTTTAACCCAAGGGCATACCCAAGCCCTCATGTGTGTCCTCAAATACATGGGTACATAAATGACATCAGGAAATGTCCTTCTGAGCCTCTGAAATATCTCTGGATCTTTCTTCCTAGAGGCCACGTTTTGCACTCAAACAGAAAGACCAAATCCTCTCCTGCGGTCTCCTGAAAGCCTGTTTCCTCTTTTCTGGTATGACTGACAGACTGCTGTAGAGCACAGAAGAGCAGAACAGCCTTGTTCTCGAACTGTCCATCCACTTAATCCTTTCTGATTTTGTTATGGGAAAAAAATTTCCACTGATTTGCTATTTTATCCCCTCAGCCTGGTGTCCTTGAAAGAGAGAGATACTGACACATGGCAGAAAAAGGTCCTCTGATTCCCAGCTCCAGGCGGCCCAGTGACCTTCCTCTGGGACTCTGGCTTCCACACACCATGCAGGAAACCTGGCCAGGAAGCCAAAGCTGATGTCCTGGATGCTGGGGCAAAATCAATCAATCAATCAATCAATCAATCAATCAATCAAACAAACAAAAAGGAGAAATAATGCATTAATACTCCTTCACTTTCCATACAGCCAGACATTATGCTTATCAATGTTGCACACTGCAATTCATGCTCAACACACCCTCGAGGGACCTATTAGCAAGCCCATTTTACAGAGAAAAAAACTGAGATTCCCAGAGGTGAAGGCACTATTCTAAGGCACTAAATGCAGTTAGTATGGAGCACATCTGCTTGCCTCAAAGCATTTTAAAAACTCAGGAGAATCTGGAAGGAAGCAGGATGTGTTACTACTGCCTGGCCTCTGGAATCCTCCTCATTTCAAGTGCACTTTCAGGAGTTTCACTCCCTGGAAGAGGCCAAGTGCACTGCAGAGTCATTTTTCCAGGCTGATCAAGGAACAGGGACCTGGATAAGAAGAGAAAGTTTGGGGAACAAAAGGAGAAATAGAGTAGGACAGGAGAATGGACAGGATTGGCAAGAGGAGGAGAAAAAGGAGAGGGAGAGGACAGCTTTAAAAGGTGGTCTAGTTCATCTACCTTTAAAAAAAAAAATAACAAACACTGAGCCCCTTCTCTGTGCTGGACTTCATAGGAGATGCTGGCAGTGAGGGGACAGAACAGGATTTTTCATCCATGAAACTCCTAGACTAGTGCGGCTAATGCCTGTTGCATATGGCATGTGAAAACTTGAGTGAACTTTCCAAATCAGTGAAGAAAGAGAGATGAAAAATGACCTCCCCTTCCATAAGTCAGCTTTTACCACTATGGGCATTAATTATCCATCAAGCCTATTATGCATGTTTTCCTGCATAATCCTCACAACTACCTTTCAAGATGGTTATTATATCACATTATATATTCATTTATGTATGTGTGTATGTACATGTGTATATGTACACACGTTTGGCTCAGAGAAGTGCAGACACTACATGAAAATCACACAGTATTTCAGCAGCAGAGGTGGCATTCAGACTCCCTCAGCTGTACTTCTGGGTCCTTGGCCTAAGCCATTCCTTTTACTGCCCCTTCTGCCACTGGCTGCATCTACTACTTATGGTAGCTGACACAAAATCAGTTATTTAGCCTAAGACAGCAGAGCTAGATAGACCTTAAGAGAGAATCTAGACTTAGCAAAACTGAGGTTAAAAAAGATGAAGTGGCTTGGCCAATGTCTGAACTAGGACTAGAATCTAGCCTTCTGACCCCTAAGATCAATACTGTTTGCAGAATGCGCTTTATGGCAGGCCATGCGTTTTTAAGAATGACAACTCTTCACCCTGATATTGCTGACCCAGAAGGCAGGAAGATAGATGCAGGAACAGTGATGCCTCCAAGTTCTTCTCCAAGTGCTAGAGATAAAGCAAACCTTCCATCCCTAAGGTTATAGGATTAGCAATCCTAATTTACAGATAAGCCAACTGAGGCCAAGAGAGGGAAAGGGATTTGGCTACAAAAAAGTGGGGCAGCCCTCCTATACCAAATCTAGGACCCTTTCCCATAGAATTCACTCTGAACAGCCCTGGAAGCAGCTGGGTGTAGAGGATTAGAAGACAAGTGTGGGAGGCAAGCAGATGGGTGGTTCCAGAGGTACCCCCTTAATTGCTCTGGAATCTTGTGAGGTCACATAGGGCCTAGCATTTAGAAAGGTCCCATGCTGAGTTTAAGGCTCTGCTGTCACCATCTTGAAATTACAAGCAAAGGCCCCCACGTTTTCATTTTGCACTGGGCCCTGCAAATTATGTAGCTGGTCCTGTCTTTGACACTTTTCCTTTCTGAGCCTGTTTCTTCATCTCTGGAATGGGGTAAATAATGGGGTAACTTGACAGGGTGTGCAGCCAATACTGTCTTCCCTTCTCTGAGCCAAACATATATGTATGTGTGTACACATATACACAAATACATACATGCAAACATGCATCAATATATAACAGGTTTGAGAGGGCGGCATCACTTTTTCTCAGTCAAACACCTTTCCCTCACTTGTCCTCAGTTAACTTACCTGTAAAATAGGTTTGCTAATCCTATAGCCCCAGGGGTGGAAGGCTTACTTTCTCTCTCGCACTAAGAGAAGATCTTGGAGGCATCTCTGTTCCTGCATCTATCTTCCTGCCTTCCAGGCCAGCAATATCAGAGTCAGAATTTGTCATTCTTGAGGTCTTTCCCACCTCTTCCTTGGCGCTCGTCTTTCTAGTACAGTGTAGTAAAGCATTCTCCTGAAGACACCTGAAGTCCCTGCTTTCCTAGTCCTCATGCAGGGCAGGCCAGAAATGTCATGGAGTTTTAAGTCTTCCACCTATCTTCACCCCAACCAAGAGCAGCCCTTAGCCAAGGACAGATGGGAGGTGGAGGATAAATGCCCTAGTGTGGGATAATTCCTGGGCACGGTTTTGTTGTTGTTATTGTTTGTTTGTTTTTTGAGATAGCGTCTCCTGCTCTGTTGTCCAGGCTGGAGTGCAGTGGTATGATCACGACTCACTGCAGCCTGGACCTCCTAGGCTCAAACAATCCTCGCACCTCAGCCACCTAAGGACTACAAGCACGCGCCACCACACCCAGATAATGTTTTATTTTTTGTAGTGATGGAGTCTCACTATGTTGCCTAGGCTGGTCTTGAATTACTGGGCTCAAGCAATCTTCCCGCCTTGGTTTCCCAAATTGCTTACAGGCATGAGCCACTGTACTCTGCCATTTGGACATGTTCTATCCTGTCTTCCAGAGGTCTCCAATGAGATTGAACCCCAGTTGCCCACAGCAGTCCTTGATCAATTATATGCCCTTCATTGGCTCCCCTTCCTGCCTGTCTCTCTTCCCCTACTGGGGCTCCCTGGGACCACCTCCAAAAGAAATTACTTGCATTCATCTCCTCAGCCTAGGGTCTGCTTCTGGAGAACTCAATTTAAGACAGGGCTGCTCCAAGCTTAATTGAGATAATGCATATAAAGTGCTTAGTACTGCATCAGGCATAGAGGCAAGCCCTCAATAAATGGTAGGCTTACAGAAAAAAAAAAAAAAAAAGCTACTTTACGAGAAGACATGAGGAAGATGACAGAACGTTTATAATTGATTTCTAAATTTATCCTCCTAATGAAATCATCTCCGGCAGACCCTGTTAGTGACCGGTCTGGAATGATTTTCAGAGCCCTGTTTCCCACCAGAGGCACATACCAGTTATTCTGGCTCCTAGGACCCAGCCCAAAGTGAAAGCTCATGAGATTGCCATCCACTCTTTTTCTGGCCTTCACACCAAGTGAGAAGGGAGCATAGCCCATCCAGAATCTCAGAGCCTCAGCATCAGAGTCTCATCTATCGAACCCTTTGTTTTACAGATGCAGAAAGTGAGGAGCAGAATAAACCCAAAGTCACTCAGTATGTAAGATCAAGCTCAGAAGAAGAAATCAGGCAGCCTGCCATTCACTCTCCAAAAAAAACCTCTTTATTGACTGATATATTCATTCTTTTTAATTGTCCCACACACACAGAGATACACACTAGAAAGTAAGCCCCACAGATATAAGGGGTTTTGCCTCTTTTGTTCACTGCTGTGCCCTGCCTAGAATAGTACGTGGCCCACAGTAGATGCTCATGAATGTTCGTGAAGTGAACAAATAATTTTTCCATGACACCCATAGTCTATCCCTGTTGAAGCTCTTCCTAATTTGCCTCAGGAAGAACAAGTCCAAAGGAATCAGAGCCCACCCCCCATTATGACCAGAATAGCATGGTTAGAGGAAGCTCCAGAGCTCCACCACCAATGTGAACCCCAGCTCCAAAAGTAAGTCCCCAAAAGGCCTTAGTCAAGTTACCATTCCCTCCCCATCTTGCAATAGTTTACTGTATTTATCAAAGGAGGTACCCCATATGTAAAACACTAAAGCACTAGACACATATCAGCTATTACTAAGGTAGAAAGAAATGCCCTTCTTCCCCCCAGAGACTTCTCTCTTGTTGCTAATATATTCAGGAAAATTTTTCCAAAGAGTGGGAAAATGCACCTATGCTGGTTAAGAGGATGACTAACATGTAGGCTATTTTCATCAAAGTAATAAATAGAGAATCACAAAATAAAAACGTTACATCCTCTCCAGTCCCTTTCAGTTTTTTGTTAACCACCAGGAGGTGGTTAGGTGCTACAAGGTCTTTAACAAGCCAGAGAAAGCAGGCTTCAGGCTCAAATCCCAGGCGGACTGTTAGTCTCAACTGGCTAGAGTGTCAAGGAATTGCTTTGCTTTCACCGGACTTGTTTTTATAGTAGCCTTCTAATTTTAGTAAGTGATATTAGTTTTCCAATCATCATTATGCTATTGAAGTTTCCATTTACAATACAGATATTACTTTAGAAAAATTAAAAATCAGAAGCAAAAGACAGAATGCAGACATGGTCAAAATGATAAGGATGGCCCTGAAATGCCTGAGGTTTGGGATTCTCTGGTCTAGTCTTGGTTCTTAAGTCATCAGGACAAAAACTCAGGGTCCAGGGCTCCATATCAGCTCTGCCATTCACTTCTGCTCCGTAACTTTGAACACAACCATTCCCCTCCCTGGGCCTCAGCCCCTAACCTTTGAAATGAAAGGATCAGATGTCTAAGGCTCCATAAGGCCTTTCCATTTTGGAAACATTTTGAATCCTTTTAGGAAACCAACAAAACCGTAAAAAAAACCCATGGAAAATGCATCAAGGCCATGTGGGTGCCCCTGCCTGTCTCAGTGATATCTCACTCCCAAATGAAAATTTGCAAACCCCAGAGTCTTGTTGACACCCATTTGTTTATTTACACGGCTTCACTTTTTATGTGGCTTTCCTTCTTTCTGCCTAATGCTTGACAAAGGAAATAATGCCAGAATTTAGGAACCCACGTTCAGAATCCTCACTCATTAGAGCACTTAAGGTGTTCACACGTAACACCAGGGTGGCAATCTCAATCTCCTCTGCCCTCACTACCTGCACTAGAGTCCCCTGTGCAGTGTTTGATGGAAAGAGCCTTGAGGAGGGCACACAGGTGCTTCTGACAGATTCTCAGGAAAGTCAAAACCTGGGCTTTGGTTCTGACCTGGCTCTTCCGTTTGGATTTTATCATATTTACTAAGCTCCAGTTCCAAGGCAGCCAGAGACAGGGAGGAGTCAGACAAGGTCTTCTGCTGCTCAATGGGGCCTCAGGGTGGTCAGGTGGACATTCAGCTCATCACATGCACTCAAGGCAGCCTGAGAAGTGCAGTCCCAGAGACAGGAACATGACAGAGAGGTGGCGCAAAGAAGAAGATGCTTAATGATGCCTTAAGAAGCAACCATAGGCAGTTTCCTGGGCAGATGAGGACTATGTGCAATCATGAAGAATGGACAGGTGTTTACCAAGTGAAGTGGGGAAAAGCTTTTCAGGCACAAGTTGAGGATATACAAGACATTGAGTGCCACTGATTGATAAATGGGGGCCAAAGTCACCAAACTCCCCAAGCCAGGAGCCTCCAGAACCAGCCAGTTAGACACTTGGAAAGGACTCACATGGTAAGACACAGAGTTTTCATGTGAATAGATGGTTTAGGACACAGTCCTGCATGTGCAAGGAGGAGCAGAATTTCACTGCCTCAAGGAAAATTGAAAAAGCTATAGAAAGCCTTGAAAACCAGACTCAACCAGACCTTTCTTTCTCAACCTTCTAAATTGTATCTGAATTTCTCCTTTATCCCTTTGTACTTTGACACTTACCTCCATGCTTCCTAAACTCTCCTTCCCACTTCTCCCTTCCTAAAAATTCCCTCCTTGTTTTGTGCAAAACAAAAGCATTATGTATCTTTTCCCTAACTAACAGGCAGAAGCTTTTAACAGATTTCTAATGCACTGCTAGATGATTCCTTAAGGCTTAAATCCCCAAAGACACCTTGCTGAAAAAGATAGAGACATCTGTAGTTACTGGTGCTTTGCATTTGATTGTTTTCATAAAACACTGCTAACAATGCATCCGTTTCACTCACAGGTAGACACACACAGAGTTAACCTCCCCACCCCCACCATGAATGTTTGCATGAAGTGACATATAGATGGGAAGTCTTATTCATGCTGAACAAGCAGCATCCTGGGAGGAAAAGGGTCTGCATTAGCAATGAAGACACAGGGTTCAGACAGTGAGTGCTCTTGGCCAAACCTGGAGGAACACTTCCGAAAGCAAGTTCACTTCTCTTGTGCCAAGATCTAAATATAGCCCACCCCCCCAATTTAAAATATGAGCCAAGGACCTGTGGCCCTGCGGTTGCTGTCTTAGCTGCTGGATTTTCTCAATATACCCCCTACCCAGATCTAAACCAAGTAGGGTTATATATTATCATATTATATTATATTATATATCATAAAACACATATTATCATATATTTTATATTGTATTAATTTATTTTATAATATACAATATATAATTATAATTATTATATAAAATATGTATAATTATATATGATATGTTTTTATAATTTTTATGGTATATTTATTATATTATATAATCACATATAATTATATGTCATATAGTAATGTAATATAATTATATGTAGTATTATATGTAACATACAACTATATATAAATTATATAATATACTATATATTTTATATAACTATATAATTATAATTATAATCATATAAGTATACGTAATATTATAAATATATATGTACAACTATTTATATAAATATATTTTTATTATATTGTAAATCTAGCATGATATATTAATATGTAATATAATATACACATAACATAATATTGGTATGATGAAATATATGCAATATATAATAATATATTACTTAATATATATAAATATATAATAACTAATTCCTTCAAGGCATATTCATGACAGTAATACCAAATGCTTACTCCAACATACCTGGAGATGTTTTCTATCAAAATCTCCTGAATTTAGCACCTCTAGCCTTGCTAAAACTATAAGTGATTACACCTCCCTAAATGACCTAAAGCACTTCCAGATGTTTCATGAACTTTAAAATATTATACAAGGTATTTTTCTCCTCTTTTCTCTATTTCAAGGAACAAGCACAGTGGTGTTTAAGAAGGTCTTATGTAATTCTCAGCAATGACACAGCCGTGCCTATTTTCCAGTTTCCTTTAAGAATCACAATTAGAGGCACTGCCTGCGCACTCAGCTGAGTTGTTAGAACAGTGAAGGTGCACTGCTTTGCCAGCCCTCTCCCAGCCGCCAACCATGTGAGTTTAAAGCCAGCCTGGATCATGATCAAGGTAATCCAACTAGGCTTCTTACCAGACCTGAGAACTTGGACAAATCACTGGCACTGTCCCAGGCTGTTTCCTCATTTATGAAATGGGAGTAAGAACACCTTCTCAGCCAGGGCTGCTGTGATGTATGCATATTCTGACATACAGCAGTTCTCAGTAAATGCTCATCTCCTTTTTCTTTCTTCAAAATGTTGTGCAATTGGTTTTCTTTGGACCCATGAGCAGAACTTTTCATTATGTTGAGTTTCAGTTCCTTAAATTCAGCCCATCATAGAATGGGTCAGCTCTCCCTGATTCTCGTTGAGATTCATGTTTGCCTGAAGGTCTTTTTAATTTAAAGTGGGAGCACTCCACAATAAGAAGTGAAAAAGAAATCCAATATTAAGTATTTGGACATTGAAGAACTTCAGAGAGTAAAACCTCCAGGCACATAAGTATAGGCTCCCCTGACTACACAAAATTGTGGGCAGATGGTAGTCATAATAGGCAACGTCTATTGACTGCTCGCCATGTGCCAAGCACTCTTCTAAGTTATCTGAATGAGCTATCTCATGTAACCTTCACAATACTAGGAGGTAGATACTCATATTAAGCCCATCTTGCAGATGAAAAAACTAAAGTGCTCGAAGATTTGACAACCCATCACAAATTGCATGGCTTAGACTCAAACACTCCACTTTCTCGCTCTCCAGCCCATGCAATTAACCACTCCTCTGCAATAGCTTCCCTGATTATGGGCTTCTGGAATCAGGCAGCATTGTGATGTGTGCTGGCTTCAACACAGATGACCTGAGTACCTTCTAGTAAGTCAGCTCCTGGTCTGTGCCTGGGGATATCTCACTAATAAACTGAGGATAATTAAATCTCACTTGCAGGACAGTGTTGAGAATTGGAGGTGGGGTGAGCGGTGGGAGAGGGAGAGAATGAATGACAGATGGATGGAGGGAGGGAGAGATAAAGAATTGTATGTTGGGTTCTCACTAAATGGTAGTTTCTTCACTCTCTCCCTCATGAGAGCCTCCCAGGGTGGGGAGCGATGGAAGGGGTCATGTGACGGCTCATCGACATTGGTGTCTTGACCATGGTACTATATATAAGTGACCATGAAGGAGCTAGAAGCTCTGCCCTAGAGGAATGTGGGAAGATGCTCAATCTGCTGGTATGCACTCTGGCTGAGGACATCACTCCCTCAGAATTGTGTTTCTGCCTCCATTGAATGACCGGAACACTCTAACTCCTTAAAATCAGCACAATGCTGGGCCTCCCCATTTCAGGTTTCCATATGGGCCTCATAGGGAGAAGAATAAACCACAAACTGCTATGGGGGCGTGAGCAGTTTCCTGACATCCAGACAGCTTATAGATATCTCGCAGATGTTGCCTTGGGCCTGGGGATCCTTTGGTCTGGGCCCAACGAAGGTCAGAAGTTGTCCAAGAAAGATGCAGTGAGGCTGAATGGAGACCAGAAGGAAACACACTGGGTGTATCTGGGCCTCAGGTATATAAATGGAGAGCCCTCTGGCTCTGTTTAATTCTCTCTGCTTCTCTTATCTTTTTGCCTCTCCCCTTTGTGACTGCTTTCTTATTTCTTCTGCTGTTCCTTCTGTTTTCCCTCTACTTTCCCTCCCCTATCTGCTGCCACTCTCCTCACTCTCTCTCTCTCTGTGTATGTCTCTCTCTCATACACACATGCACACACACATAAACACACACAGAGAATCCCATTTTCCTCAGGAGGCTGAAATGGAACAGATTTGGAGCCTTTTATGTTGAATAGCTTTGCACTTCCTGAAGGTATTTCAGAGCCTCAGGAAGCCTCCCAATGCCTCTGCCTCCTTCCGTGTTTCTCATCAGCTCACCATAAGTCCCAGTGGTCATCTGTAGACCCCTCAAATGACAGGACTAAAATGGAACTTAGGGGTGGCCCTATCTAGATATTATTCTGTGCTGAGTCAGCAGAGCCCGACAATGCCTGGGAAGGAAGTAGCAGCTGCTTGGTGCAGATTTGTTGAATGAATACACTAATGAATGTAAGTTCTTGACTCCATTTTGCAGGTAGGATAACTGGTTCCAAGATAGCTAAGTCTCCTGCCCATAGTTAGTTAATGGCAGAACTAGGGTTTTAACTCACATCTCCAGATACCCGGCTCATTCCCCAATCCCTATGATATCAAGAGTGTCAAGCCCAGGGCTCTTTTTAAAGATGCTTTAAGTGCCCCTGGGAGTCTGTAGATTCTCCTGGGAGGAACCACACTTCCATCCATCACCAGCCATTGACATCAAAGAAGAGACTGGCTCATGAGAACCCCAGGAAAAACTGATGAGAGGATGCCCCAGAGAGCCCAGCCCTCTACACAGTGCACTCACAGGTCAGTGCACTGGCAGGTCCCTGACTCCCTTAGTGCCAGCTCTTATCTGTCCACTCCAGAGAGGGGCTGTGACCCAGGACAGAGAGCTGGCAGGACTGAGATGCCTAAGGTGGTCACACACCTGGTCAGAGGAGCTGGGAACTCAGCAAGGGTATCAGATCCAAGAGATCCAAGGGTATCAGCCCTTTCCCCTTTGGAGCTCATCCTTCTTTCTTTTGAACTCCTGTTGAAACCACAGTGGGATGCAGGCAGAATGAAACTGTAGGACAAGTTGCATCATATTCATGAGTGAAGCAGCATAGCACAGAGATAAAGGTGTGCTTTCTGGAGCCAGCCTGACTAGGTTCAAATCCCACCTCTGCTACTCATGAATTTGGGTGCCTTTAGAAAGTTGCTTGTGTTCTCTATGCCTCAGTGTTTCTATCTGTAATATGGGGACACTGATAATGTCCATCCTTATCACTAAGTTTTGTGAGGACAGCACTTAAAAACTTGCCTGGCAGAAAAATCAACATTTAAAAAATGTTAGGTATTATGGTCATTATTATGGTGCATCTGAATCCAACATGACCACAGCGATCTTAGAGTTTGGGCTACTACAAATTCTGTGGGGTTCCCATCCAGGCTTGGTTAATCTTAGGCTTTTCTTCTTCCTGGCTTGGAGGAGAGAGACACCTGTGAGAGTTATCAGATGTTGAAGAGCCTCTGGTACCAGGGAGGCCAGGAATTTCAACATCGAGGTTAATTTAGTCATGCTGTACACTCTGAAGAATAAGCCACACCTTTCCTGTTTGCCCAGCTTGACACTCTCACAGTCAGACTCAAGGTACAAATGAGCTGACCTGGCCACCAAATATGAAGCCAGAGGGGCTTTAGAATGAACACATCCAATGTCCTCTGTCTGTGAAGGAAAATCGAGGGCTCAAGCAGGTACACGTCTCAGTCCCATGCCTGAGCAATCAGCTGCTGCTTCTCCCACATGGTACTCCCTTGCAAAAGGCCTGGAGCTGCCCAGGTTCTGAGATCTTATTGTTATAAGGCACTTCATGAAAATAAAGTACTCCTAAAGGACCAAGAGGTGCTGGTTCAGCCGCTCCTCTGAGCTGGGGAAGCGGGGGCGAGTTTCAACTAGTCACTGCGGGAGGCAAATTAAGGCCCATTTGTTTTCTACAGGGCACCTCTTGGAAAATTGCTTCTTCTGAGGACTCCTGGGAAAAATTCCTTCTCTTCCAAAGGTGAACAATTTTCTCCAAAAGAACCATTTATTCCGATAAGATTGAAGTAATCATTAAAGGCTGTGCTCCTCTTTGTATGGATGAGCTTTTTTTTATTAAATATGTAGTGAGGCCCCATAATGGGTTGTTTTATGCAGATCTATAGTCTCACCTTCCATGTGACAATCTAATACTCAATGAATGCTCACCTCTATTTTAGTCCAATTCTTCCTCCCAGCAGCACAGTGGGACACTTAGCATAGTAGAAATAATAGTAATAAAACCTGGGTTCTACCACTTAATAATTGTATGAATTCAGGAAAGTCATTTTACTTGACTCAACTGTAAAATGGGGATAACAAATTCATCCCAGTCTACTTCACAAGGCATTAATATTATTTTTCTTTTTTTGAGACAGCATCTCACTCTATTGCCCAGGCTGGAGTGCATTGGTGCAATCTTGGTTCCCTGCAACCTCCACCGCCCAGTTCAGGCAATTCTCATGCCTCAGCCTCCAGAGTAGCTAGGATTACAGTCACATGCCATCATGCCCAGCAATTTTTTTTTTTTTTTTTAATGTAGAGATTGGAGGATTTCGCCATGTTGGCCAGGCTGGTCTCAAACTCCTGGCCTCAAGTGATCCACCTGCCTTGGCCTCCCAACATGCTGGGATTACAGGCATTAGCCACCCTACCTGGCCTTCACAGGGCATTATTAAGGCTCAATGAGGTATTTGAGTTTCCTCCCTGTCAGCAAGACCCCATTAGACACAACAAAAAATGAGGCCAAGAGATCTGCACATGAAGGCGGTAATTCCCAAAACCCATCAAGACATTTAGTGGGAGACATAGGCTGCCCAGTTCCCAACCCCTTAATTTCTCTACTGCACCACAGGTTTAAGTCAACAACATCAGAATTGATTCACTGAAAGTGGATTCAAGTAGAATTTCTTTTAAATGAACTTTATGGTTCTTTTGCCTCCTCCAAAAAATGAGGACAGTGATGATACCTACTTCACAGGGTAGCAAAGTCAAATTAAACAAGGAAGTGAACTAGTTTTGTCAGTAGTGAGGAGAGGCATTGATCTTAGAGATTATTATTATTTCCCCTGTTTGAGCACAGAGAAAACTGAGGCTTAGCAGCAGTAAGGATGACTGGGATGCTCACCGAAATACAGATCTCAAGGCCCACAATGAAATGAAACACATAACTGAAATAAAATACAGAACTGAACTGAACTGAAATGAAATACAGAACTCAGGAATCTGGCAGAAGCCCAGGATTCTGCATTTATTCAGCTTCTGTCTGGGTTGACTTTATGCAATACTCAAGTTTGAAAATCCTCAAACAAGACTGTCTTGCATGGCTCTTTTCACATAAAACAGCTCACCACAGGCCAGGGCTTTTCCATATAGGATTATATTTGCTGCTTAGAATCATACTGAGGGGTAAGGATTACTATACTGTCACAACCTATGAGGAAATAGGTTCAGAGAGGTTAAGTAACTTTCCAAAAGTCACAGAGTTGAACTTCATATCCCAAGTTGGTCTAACTTTAAAGTCTGTATTGACTCCATAACATGACTCTGCCCCTCCTTAGTGACTAGAACCACCACTTTGTGCCTCCTTTCAAGGCACTCTGGGGAGCATTCACGGACTCTGAGCAGCACTGTCACATGTGCTAATTGCCTCTCTCATAGCCCTTTGATTTCCTTACCTACAGTCAGGTGATCCTTCCTCAACCCCAAACTCCCCGTAACTGCCACCCCCACCTGATCATGCTGCATAGCCAATCAGAAGAACAGCACTGATTTCCACTTTGCATCCCAGCCTGGGACAAATGTGATGGCACAGATCAAAGGAAGTCTTGGAATTAAAATGTGAAACCTGCAGAGGCATCTTGGGGTGATGGACAGCCTGATGTTCTGGTGTGCTGCTTGCTTGTGCACATTCTAGATGTGTAAAAATGCCCATCTCCTCCACAACTCTGTCAAGCAAGGACACACAATGTGCCCCATCAGTTTTTTTTCACACAGTGTTGTCCACTACAGACCAAAACCAAACTTCTAGCCCAGGTGGTGAGAGAAACACGCCTGCCTAAATTCATAGGAAGGCAACCATGAGGTCCAACACTTTGAACAGTGGCTGTCATACAGCGGGTGCTTAGTGAATATCTGTGGATGCAGTAGAAGAATCAGGCAGGTCTGCAGGAAATTATGCAGTGGCATGCCTAGATCAGTACCAGGTTGAGAGCAGATACTCAACAAAATATTTTTGTCTCCAGAAAACCATAAATCTTTCTGGCTGCAGGGATCAGTCTCAGATTTCAGGGCCTCTCTCTGGCCTTCCCAACCTTCTCTCTAAACAAACCAGTTCCAAAATGTTATAGACTCCTATCCAAAGCTGTGTGCCCCACTCCCACCATTCTTTGCTAAACAACTGAATAATGTCATGAATAAATTCAGGCTAAGGTATACATAGCTCCTAGTAAAAAATTCAGAGGAATGGAATCAAGTTATAAACACCATGAAAGTTCACTGTCATGCATCTCCAACTCCAAGACAGGAGGGGTCACCATGGTGACAAAACTAGCGGATATTTGGGCAAGGAGTGGGGATGTTCTGTGATTCATCTTAAACCAAATAGGTAACCACCTTCTCTGCCAGGCCAGGTTCTGATGCTCTAGAACAGAGCTTCTCAACATTGGAACTATTCACATTTTAAGCCAGATAATTATTTGAGGTGGGCGCTATCTTGTGCATTGTAGGGATGTTGAGCAGCCTCCCTGGCCTCTACTCATTAGACACCAGTAGCATTCCCTGCTCCACCAGTTGTGACAACCAAAACTGGCTCCAAATATGGTCAAATGTCCTTTAGGAGAAAAATCACCTCCTGTTGAGAACTACTGCTGTAAAGAGAAAATGATGAAAATTTACTAATCCAATTAATACAAAGCAAATTCTTTAAAAAAGCCATGGTGTCTTTCACCACTCTAGCCTGTGTATTCTGGTCCCTCTGTTTGGAATCTTCTCCCTCCCTCCCTCCCCATCTTATCCCCGGGCAAGCCTTTATTGCTCCATAATTCAGGGATCACTTCTTTGCAAAGCTTTCTAGAATGTCCTATGATGGGATAGGAGATAGACCCCTCCTCTGTTTGACAGCAAGTTGTACTCCCCCTTATCACATTATGGTTATCCCTCTGCACTCTTGAACAAAACTGCACATTTTGAGGGGAAGGTCTCTTCTTCATTCATTTTCAAATTCTAGTTCTTAACACCGTGCCCTAGCACTGAATAAATACGTGTATGAACAGAAGGCTAACACTTAATGATCACCTGCCATGTGTCAGTCCTACTGTGTATATCCTATCTTGGTATGTCTTTATGTTAATGTTGCATCATAGGCTACTACTATTACTCCACGTTTCTAGGGAGTAATTCGTTCCCAGAGAGCAGAGATAACTCATCTAACATCACACAGGCAGCAAATGGCACAACTGGGCATATGGACTTAAGTCTGCATGGCTGACATTCTGCCTTTCTGACCTTCTGTCTTCCCATTTGCATGCTTGCCATCTTGCTTCCTACAGTAGCCAAAGACAGAGCCCTCTGCCTTGGGCTTTTAGGTCTTGGGGAGGTGCACCTTGCTGCTTCCTCCTTACCAGGCCATAAATCCTGTTGAATCTGGGCAGTGAAGTGGCAGGCAGGTTGGTATGAGCTTTGTTGATGTGTATGCCTGGGCCCCCAGCACAGGCACAAGTTGGGCTGGAGACCCAGGGCAATGGAAGATTTCTTTCCACAGCAGCACAGACCAAAGCAGAGGACTATGGGCATTTTCAACACTCTCCTGTCTCTGGTGGTGTTATTATTTTCCTTCAACCTTTCCAGTAATGGGGACCTTCGGGGCTGAAATAAGAACAATAATTTTTTTTTCCTTCTACTCTCCTAGAGTCAAGTCCAGAATTTAATAAAGGTAACAAAAATACTACGGTATTCCAATTCCTCTCTGCAGATTTTTGTTTTAATTTAGTTTTAGCCCTGATGTTAGATTGACAGTCCTGGGGTCTGAAGTGTATCCATTCCCATAGTATGTCTGGTGCAGAGACAGAGTGACTCATTTTTATGTGTGCACACACACACATATACATATACACACAGAGATACCATGAAAAGAACAATTTCTCCTACAAAATCAGAAAATTGTCTGCATTAAACTGATCTGTGCACAGTCTGTCTGCCCCACCTCTGACCCCCCAAAGCCTCATTCTCAAATATAAACTGGCATTCCAGGCAATCAATCAAGACCTAACCCCTCAAAGACTACCACCACCACCACTACCATTTGATCCTAACTGCATTTACCCAACGTCTGGAATTAACCTCTTTGCTCCGGCCTTAGATAGAGCCTCTTCAGGGAACATGGATCTTAGCTTCCGAAAGGTTTATGGCTTTGCCAGCCTGAAGACTTCCCAATATCTCTGGCAATGGCTTTACTCCAGCCCCCACCCTTCAGAACACCATCCCACTCCCTGTTCTTACTCTGAATCACTGACATTGGATTCATTCAAAGAGGCTGGAGGTGGGGGCATGGAAGAGGCTCAACAAGCACAAAGAAACCTTCAGTATTATAACTCAACAATGTTTTCAGTGTGAAATATGTCCAGGATTCACCCTCCTTCTAATACTAATTATTTCCCACAAGGTTTCCTGTTGCAAACATTCTAATTTCTTTTCTTTCTTTATATATATATTTTTTATTTTAGCCCTTGTTGTAGCTAGGCAGTTATTATGACACACATACTTTGTTGATGAGGAATGAACACTCAGAGTAAAACTGAGTTAAATCTACATCTGTGTAACTCACTTCACTTAATCGACCAACAAATATTTACTGAGTGCCCAAATATCGGCTGGACACCATGCTAAATTCAGGGGACACAATGATAAATAAGACATATGTAGTCAGTCATGTGCCCTCCTAACTAAGGAGAAAGAAGTGCCAATCAGCCCATACAGTACATAATCCCATGTGAAAAAAATGCTTGATGGGACGAGCAACAGGTGGCTATGGAAGGTGAAAAAGGAAGCCCAACCCAGCCACACTCATGCAAGCTCACAGGAGGCCAGGACACCTATGCTGGGAGCTATAGGATGAGTAGAATTTTCCAGGGAAAGAGAAAGGACAAAAGTGTTCCAGCCAAGGTGAACAGATATGTGAACATAAGGAAACAATAGATCCAAATATGGATGGTATTAGTCCATTCTCACACTGCTATAAAGATATTACGTGAGACTGGGTAATTTGTAGACAAAGGAGGTTTAATTGGTTCACAGTTCTGCATGGCTGAAGTGACCTCAAGAAACTTACGATCATAGCAGAAGGGGAAGCAGGCACCTTCTTCACAAGGCAGCAGGAGAGAGAAGAGTGAGTGAAAGAGGGACTTGCCAAACACTTACAAAACCATCATATCCTGTGAGAACTCACTATCATGAGAACAGCATGAGGGAATGGCCCCCATGATACAGTCACCTCCCACTGGGTCCCTCCCTTGACATGTGGGGATTATGGGGATTACAATTCAAGATGAGATTTGGGTGGGGACACAGACAAACCATATCATGGATCCTTCAAAAAACTAGAAAAAAAATTATGCAATCCCAGTACATAGATTTGGGGAGGCAGGGAGAGGCCATAGCAAGTGGTGAGGCTAGAGAGCTGGGCAGAGGCTGAAGCATGCCAGACCTCCCAGGCCATGCTAAGGATCTGGAATTTCTCCTGATATCCATGGGTAGCCACTGCAGAGATTTAAACAGTTTAAGGAGGGATGAGATACCTTGGATAGCTCTCTGTCTACTCTACCCTCAAAAGGAAGGGATATATCTATGGGCAGTGGGAGTGAAAGGGAGTGCTATGGGGAGAAATTTAATGCAGAGGCAGAACTTGTCTAGGCCCCTAAAGCTGGGAATTCTGAGAGGCGGTGATGGGTCTGGGACCTGGCATGCTGCATTTCAGGAGCACTGAACTTGTTTCAATGTCCAGGAGAAGTGGGTTGATAACAGAGAGTGGAATCATCCATGTAACATATTTATTAATAAAACAAGCAGACAAGAGACGCCATCTGAAGCATAGACTTTTCACCCTGAGCCCTGAGGGAGAGGCTGATGACAGGCTAGACTCTGGCCAGTCCAACACAGATTCTGGCCTCCCCTTCCAGATGCCACAAGACAATTCTGGATTATCCACATGGGGATGTCTGGGCCAGAGTGTACAGGCTCACCTCTCAGTTTCTGACCCTATAGCCAGATGCAGACAGTTGCCCTCCTCCTGTCTTTTTCATTGCCATGGGCTCTTCAGGCAGCCTCTCTGATGTTCATTAAAACAGTCAGTCTGGCCAGTCTCAAGTCTGAGCTGGGCAGACTGAGATTGATCTCATAACAAAGGAGCTGGACACCTGGGCTTGAAACCCCCCTCTCCTCCCTGAATTTGGAATCTCCTTTTCCCCTCTTCCCTTTCCAGCAGACTCCTAAATGATGAAGAGTGTCTCATCAATTCCCCCATAATTACCTGCTGTGTGTCCTCACGGAGACTGATAAGGAAGTAATTAGGATAGACATGCAGGGATTACAGGAAGGGAAAAATGTTCTGTTGTCAAGATAATGCCACTTTCCCTCACGCCCTCCCAGACAAATAACTGGGCAGGGTTTGAGGATTGTTAGAGATGGAGAGGCTGGAAAAGGAGTGAGGTGAACAGAGGTGGAAGAAGAAAGTGGAAATATGCATTTCAGACCTGAAGGGGTCCTTAATAATCATCTAATCCAGGAGTCCCAAACTCAACGCTGTCAGTCCCCAGGCAGGTCATATAAGTGCTTGGAGCAGAAGAGATGGAAGAACAGCCATAGTACATGCCTGATGACAAATGACAACTGACACTTGGCCTTAGGGAGTTACCCTGAGGGAGGGGTGGGGCATTCTCATCCCTTTCAGAAGAGGCCACACAGCGGAGCTTCACAGCACACATTGCCATGCAGGAAGGAAGCCCAGTTTTGGCAGCTCTTCTAATTTTTCAAGAGAAGCTGGAAATCCAGCTGTTGTGTGAAAATTCTCATTTTTTTCTCACTTTGGAAACTTCTCTGTTTTTTTTTTAATTTAACAAAATATGAGCCAAACAAAATGATATCTGCATGCCAGATGTGGACTGTGGGCAGCCAGTTTGAGATCTCTAATTTTAGTCCAGTGCCTTTTTTATAGACATGGAAATGAAATAAGTATTCGGAGAAAAAGAGGGTTTTGCCCAAAGTCACAGAGCATGTTAATGGCAGAGTCAAGACTCAAACAAGCTTTAGCTCCTTACTCTCCCATTTTTCACAATACTTAAAACTGGAGGCTGAGCACAGATCATAAGGAAAAAAAACAGGCATATAAATAATACCAGTGAGTGCAAGCAGAGATATCGAATTGCCCAAAGAAAATTCTGCAGTGGAAAATGAAAACATCATTTCCCATGGTAGTTGTGGGAGAAGGGAGAAGAATGTACAAAAGGCTTAATACACAAGGGACTAAACCATTTCTTGCTTTGATAGAAGAATCAGGAGCACCCACTTCTGTATTAGAGGATTGAAATTGGGGATACGAACACAGTCCCGACCCACTAAGCAGCTAGGAAACTGATATGTGGAAAGGCAGACCCATAAATCAGTATGGGTGATGAAGTGTTCCAAGTGCCAAGAGAGAGTATCTTCAAGAAATTAGGGTGAGCCAAGATAAAAGAGTGCTGAATCTATATGGAAGTGATGGTGATAAGTAAGTCCTCAAAGACAAAATGACACTTGATATGGAATTTGAAGGATAAACATTTTACCAGTTAATGGAGCAGTGGATATAAGTTAAATCCTCAAGGACGTAGAGCAATGGTCCCCAACCTTTTTGGCACTAGGTACCTGTTTCATGAAAGACAATTTTTCCACAGACCAGGGGAGTTGTGGGGGACTGGTTTTGGGATAAAACTGCTCCACCTCATATCATCAGACATTAGAGTCTCATGAAGAGCATGCAACCTAGAACCCTCAAGTATGCAGTTCACAATAGGGTTCGTGCTCCTATGCATATCTAATGCCATGGCTGATCTGACAGGAGATGGAGCTCAGGTGGTAATTGCTCGCTGCCCACTGCTCACCTCCTGCTGTGCCATCTGGTTCCCACCAGGCCATGGACTGGTACTGGTCTGTGGCCCAGGGATTGGGGACTCCCAACACCGACAATTGAGACATTTGAGGACACCCTAATTACTTCCTTATCAGTCCCCATGACAACCTACAGCAGCACCTGGAGGGGATGGACTCCAGGCAGTGAGAGCAGATAAGCAACAGTCCCATGGTAGAAATGCATGGAAGTATATAAAGCAGGACAGTGGGGGTTACAGTAGATAGGGTTTATGTTCAAGGAGGTAGCCATTGGAGGCAGGCTGAAGAGGAGAGTTGAGACCACATCTGAGAAGGTCAAGTGTGCCAAGCAAGGAAGTGTGCATATGTTAAGTAAAAAATGGGCAGCTGCTGAAAGTTTGTGAGCAGGAAAGGGAGATCATGACAGTACTGGTGTGTCTGGGGAAGATTCACCTGGCAGTACATAAAGAAGCTTGAATAGCAGCTTGAAGAAACCGATGCAGAAGTCCCTAGGGAGGTTGTGAAGAGCTCCCTTATCCTCCCTCCTTCAACAAATATTTGCAATAAGACACTGCAACAAGCATCATGTTACAAGCATTATGCTAGAAGCTTGGGATCCAGTGATAAATAAAGCAATCATTCAACAGATTTATTTCACACATAGTATGTCCCAGGTACTCTTTGACGGCAGGGTTTTGGCCTCAATCATTTCAGAGCCAACAACAGAGTTTGGCGTCTAGTAAGTGCTCAATAACTGTTTGTTCTATCTAATTTTCATGAAAAAGCCCAAAGGGAAAGTTAAAGGACCGAGCTTGGGAAATTTCAGTAGAGCTCAAAGGCATGGATAGGAGAGAAGAGGGCTGTGGAATGAAAAGATTTCTGATTCTTAGATCAGGATTCTGAGTTTCATTCTCGAGTCCTTGCAATTGTTCTATAACCCTGAACAATTCCCTTTCTCGGACTCGGGGTCAGTTTCTGCATCTGCAAACTCAGGGAACTTGGAGTAGTTCCCGAAGGTCATCCATGAAATTGAAAGCATGATCAGATGGGATAGGTTGCACGCATACACACTAAACATGATCAAATGGGATAAATTAGCACAGAGGAAGATAGTATAGAATGTGCAGAATCTCTCAGCCTAGGAGGATAGAATACCAAGAAGAGAAAAAAAGACAGAAAGAAAGAAAAGTAAGATTTGAGAAACTTTGGGACTGTTCAGAGCTGCTGAGCTGAGTATCTGTAAACCTCTTGAATCATCTCTCTGCCATGACCTGCCCCCTGAAAGACCTCAGGCTGAATGATCCCTTCTGTGTCCTGCCACTTTCATTATTATAATTACTGAGTCCATTGGTATTCTCTAGATATGCTATATGCGGTGGAAAAGCACTTTCCCAATGATTGTTAATTAATCCCTCACCACTCCTATGCCTGAGAGGGACTGCTTAGTGGCCTCATTTTTCATCCCAGGGAAATGGGCACAGAAAGGGGTTGAAGGTTGACAGGGTCACTCAGCCAGGCTAAAGCTGAATCAGGACTAGAACATGGGGCCTTTCTCTAGCCATTCATCAGCTGCCCCATGGATGACCCAGCCAGAGTGCCACAGAGTAAATGGGTTTAGCAACAGGTCGCTGTGAGAAGTGATGGCAAATCCCCTATAGAGTGGGTGACGGAGAGCCATCTCATGGCGAGGAAAAGAAGAGTGGAGTGGATGCCCTGTGGAGGTTAAAGGGAAAGGAAGATGAATTAAGGTTTGGATGCCATCGAAGGAGTCTGAACTTTATAAGGAAAGCCTGGACTTCTACTGGGATTCAGAGAAGGAAAATGTGGCCTCTTGCTGTAGAAGCAAAGTGACCTTCTGTCAGGTTAACCTGCAGCTGGAGGGCCAAGGAAGTGTGACATTCCCCAACAGGTCAGGGAAGACTTCTAGGAAGCAGCTGTTGCACCTTCTTCCAGGCCAAGCAGGTAACCTACTGCACTTCCAAGTTCTTTTTTTTTTTTTTTTTTTTTTTTTACTTTTTGAAATTTTTATTATAAGCATTTGCTACCCTTTAAAATAATTGAAACAAGATTTTTTTTGAAAACACAGGTATGAGGTAGATACCATTCCTTGTTCCTTGTCCACTTTCCTCTTTTAATGTAGAGATCAAGTTTTGGCCAGTGATATGTGAACAGAAGGGAAAGCTCATTGTCCCTCCAGTGCTGACACAAGAAAGCCTGAATAATAATGTAGACAGGAAAGGAAAGAGGGAGAGGAGAGGGAGAGGAGAGGGAATGGTCCCTCCCTTGAAGGTAGAGACTAAGTTCACTTTTTCACATGGATTCAGGGGCCCTGGCACTGGTGGGTGAAGATGAATTAGGATTGGGTTTTAGAGGAAGGGGAGAGGAAACTCTGCTATTCTTAGTCAACCAAATGACAAAGGGGGGTGGACATGCAGTGGAGGTGAGAGGAGAAACCAGATGCAATTCCTTCTCCAAGATCACTTGGCAAGAAGTTCTAGCTCTCAGGACTCCATATAAAGTGGCCATACTCAGTTGCTGCTGGGGTCATAAATTCAGAGCCCAGAAAAGATAGACGACTGTGATGAAAATAGCTACCATTTATTGTTTACTATGTTCCAGGAACTGGGCTTGACACTAAAATAATAATAGACATGACTGCCATTGCTAAGCACACATTCTCCTAGGAGTTGTGCTTGGCACTTCTCATGCACTCTCCCTTTTAATTCTCAAACTGCCCCATGAAATGGGAACTGTTATCGTTCTTATTTTCCCATGAAGAAACTAGGACTGAGAGAGGTTAAGTAGTTTAGCCAAGGTCACCAGTAACTGGCAAAGCATGGACTCAAGCCCAGGTCTTAGTGACTCCACAGCCCTTACACTTAATCCATCTGAGGACTTGCTTCTCTTTACCCATGGTTTTCTCCTTAATAAGGGAAGCTGATGGGGCTGGAGTGCCTGAAGAAGAGCCTGCCCAAGTCAACCTGGATGCTCCCATTATACCCTCCCACCAGGACACTCCAGATAATGCCAAAGAGGGAACAATTCTCAGGCCTAACTCCTGCTCATTTTCACACACTTCAGCCTGAGGCTTCAAGAAACCCAACTGACACAACTAGACACAGTGAAAGAGAAATTAGCCAGATGTTGGGGATGAGTGGAAAAACAGAGCAAAGCTCTTCACCTGAGTCCCTCTCCGAAGCCCCTCTCTGGATTGGTTCCTGGAGGGACTCCCTGAGCATTGGTTTGTGATCTCCATGCAAAGAGCAGAAGAGAATAGAGGACGGCAGGGCTCCAGGGCTGAAAGGAGCCAATAGCTCATGTTCCTCCATCCCGACTTCAACACTTCAGCTTGACCATTGGTGTGAGACCCTGCCTCCAGCTCAAATAACTTTTCCTCTTCGCCTCCTCCCCACCTACCCCTTCCTCTGTGTCATTCTACATGAACACATGTGGAGAGAGAGAATGTAGCAGACACAGCTCATCTTTCCTCCCCAGCTGCAAATGCAATGTACCCCTTTTAACAATAATAGGAAACCCCAAATTCACTGGGCAATTCCCACCTTTCTTTGTAGCTAGTTGTAACCATGAAACTGAGTCCTGTCTAAAGGGATATAAATGGAAGTTAGTTTAACTTGCAGAAAATTCCTGAAATGAAGGGGATGTGCCCTTCTCCGGATCTTCTCTCCTTTCCATGGCTGGAATGAGGACACATTGGGTAGAGCTAGGATAGGCCTGTTGGCTCATGAAGTGAACTTGAGAATTCAGGCCATGCACAACATAGCAACAGGCAGAGGGACCCTGTGTCCTCAGCAGTGTCCTGCAGCATGCAACACCTAAGACAGAAACAAACACCTACTTGTGTAACCCACTTGGGTTTTCCGTCACTTTTGGCTGAATCACTTCTAACACAGCAAGGGGGTATTTGATAGTGAAGACTCTAAGTGTCCCAATCACAGAAGTCATATGTCCTATGTCTTCTGTAAGTTGGAGGCAGAGTCTCACACTGATGGTCAAGCTGAAGTGTGGAAGTCAGAATGGGGGAACCTGAGCTATTAGCTCCTTTCAGGCTTAGAGCCCGAGGTTTCCTGCCTTCCTCTTTCCCTTCTGTTCTTTGCATGAAGGTCACTAACCAATGCCCAGTGAGTCACCCAGAAACCAACACAGAGGGGCTTTGGAAAGGGACTCAGTTGTGTGTGCTTCCAAACAGTAGGGTTTGATAGAAAGAAGGGCTTTGGAGACAGAATATCAATTGAGCCTCGGTGTTCTCATCCATTAAATTGGGCTCCGAGGGTTAAATATAACAAGCCATACCCTCCTGAAGGAAGGGCTATGTCTGTCTTGTTCATTGACTTATCTATCCACCAATGATACAAAACATGACTGACATACAGTGCTGGATAAAGAATTGATAAATAAATGGGTGGTGTGCACCAAGCACATGGCCTATGGTGGGTGCTCTTGGAATATTAGCGATTTTCAACACAATCCTGACATACCTTCTCTATCAGAACTTTTGACTCTGATAGCAGCTTGTGAAGATTAAAACAAAAGCCCATCGAAGATTTAAAAACCAAAAACGAAGTCTGTGAGTTAAATTTCTGAATTCCACTGCAAAAACACTTAGGGAGGGAGGGTCTCATCTCCCTTTTAAAATTGGAATGCAGAAAGATAATTACCTTCCTCTTTCTACAGCCTTCTTAGTTCCTCTCTCCTCAACAACCCTCCATTCATACCCCATTTAATTTTCACACATGTTCTTAGATGCTAATTTTCTTTCAGACTTCACTGGGCAGGCTCCTCAGCTTCTGTCTGAAAAGGACAGAACCCAGAAAACTAGAAAATGTAGGGCCCACTGGGGAGGGTGTCAGCTCCCCACCACCAAGGAAATGTAGATTTAATACAAAAGGGAAAGAAAGGAAATGAATGAATTCTTTTTCTTCAACTTGTTTTCTTTTTTTTGAAAACCTACTTTGCTTCATAATAATAATAAATAATAATCAGCTATCAGATATCTGCTCTGTCAGGCTTTAGCTAAATGTGTTGCCACCCTTTATAGCATAACTTTCACAACAAGCCTACAAAGTAGACAGGATTGGCTGGGTGTGGTGGCTCATGCCTGTAATCCCAGCACTTTGGGAGGCCAAGGTGAGTGGATCACTTGAGGTCAGGAGTTCAAGACCAGCCTGGCCAACATGGTGAAACCCTCTCTCCACTAAAAATACAAAAATTAGCTGGGTATGGTGGCACACGTGTAGTCCGAGCTACTCAGGAGGCTGTGTGAGAATCGCTTGAGCCAGAGAGGCAGAGTTTGCAGTGAACCAAGATTGCACCACTATACTTCAGCCTGGGTGACAGTGAGACTCCATCTCAAACAAACAAACAAACAAACAACAACAACAAAAAGGACACAGGATTAGCCTATTTAACAGATGAGAAAATGAAGGCTTGGGGGCTTAAGTCACTTGCCTAAAGCAAGAGCTAACACCTGCTCACATAGATGCATACACAAATGTATATAACCGTACTATTCACAATAGTCACAAGGTGGAAGCTACCTAATGTCCATCATCTAATGAACATTCAGCTCAATATGGCATATCCATACAATGGGATATTAGTTGGCCTTAAAAAGCTATGAAATACAGATGCATGCTAAAACATGAATGAACCTTGAAAACACTATGTTTAATGAAAGAAACCAGTCACAAAATACTCTGTATTATATGATTCCATTTGTGTGATATGTCCAGAAAGTAGACTAGTGGTTGCTTAGGGGAGTGGGTAGTGCTGGGGAGATAGGGAGTTGATAGTTAGATTATGGGGTTTCTTTTCACGGTGATAAAAATGTTCTAAAATTGACAGGTGATGGTTGCATGTATCTGTGAATATACTAAAATCCATCAAATTATATACTCTAAAGAGGCAGATTATATTGTATGTGAATCATATCTCAATCGAGCTATTTCTATTTAAACTGATGCCTGAACCCATGCCTGGAAGGCTCCCAACTCCTGTTAATTCCACCTCATCACCTGCCATTGACATGTGCCACCTCATTGAATGTTCAGAATGATTCTGTGAGGTGTGCATGGCCGCTCTCATCTCACAAATGAGGAAATTGAGGGCCAGAGAGGAAAAATAATGTGTTCTCTTGCAAAGGAAAATTTAATTTAGAGGAAAAAAAACCTGATTTTTTCAACATCTCTAATATGAGGAAACCACCCAGGTTCATTATAAAGAGAAAATGTGAGAGCAGCAACAGACTCTAAAATGATCTAGCCATCTTCAAACTGCCTCCAAAACACCATAACCAAAAGATGCCCATGTAGGTGCTCCACAGTTATTGCAGGGGGGGTTGGAACAGTTTTTAAATTATATTTTAGATACTGGGCTTCCACATAAGACTTCAATAAAAATATTACTAAGAGAGTTTGGAAGCCACCGATCTTGTCCAACTTGCCCATTTTATTTTACTTTATTATGCTTTTTAGTAGAGACGGGGTTTCACCATGTTGGCCAGGCTGGTTTCGAACTCCTGACCTCAAGTGATCTGCCCGCTTCAGCTTCCCAAAGTGCTAGGATTACAGGCGTGATCCACTGCACCCGTCCATTTGCCCATTTTAAACATAAGATAATTGAAAGAGGAGAGAAACAAGGTCTCTCTGAGCCACATGGTGAGTTAATGTCAGCACTAGGCCAGGGCCTGTGTTTCACTGCTTCCATGTTGTGCACTCCTCTTGTCCAGATTAATGGCCTGGTGCATGAAGAATAGGCTGCAGAACCTGGTTTCACTTCCAAACCATGCTGCATACCAGAGGTCAACAAACTTTTCTTTGTAAAGAGCCAGATGGCAAACATTTTGGGCTTTGCAGATCATATGGTTTTCCACAATTAACTTGGTTATTATAGTAGGAAGGCAGCCAGAGACACATAAAAAAGGGGTGTGGCTATTTTCCAATAAAATCAGTAGGGGGCTACAGTTGGCCTGAGAGTCATCATTTGCTGTCTCCTTCTCCAAACAGATCCTATACTCTTCTTTCCAGGGATAAAAGGGCTGGCATATGATGAGCAAAGTGGTCACTCTTTAGTGCCTTTGTAGGAACTGTCCATGGTGGTAGTGCCGGGTGGTGGAATCAGGAAGTTCTGCTTTCAGGTGCAGGCTTACCTTCACTGACCCCTGAGACTAGGATACATCAGCCACACCTTGAGACATTTATTTTTAATATGCGGAAAACAACATTCACCCTCAGGGTCACTGTAAGGATTACATGAGAAGTGGTATATCAGGGCTTTTTTTTTTTTTTTGACGGTGGAGAGAATAATGATAAGCAAAGCCAGGCATACTCCTTGCCTTCATCTCCCAGCATTCTGCCTCTACCACCTGGTTCCAGCCAAACTGCCCTCCCTGCTAAATGCCTTTTACACACCAGCCACAGTGGCTTCATAGTCCTCACTCCCTCTTCTTGGAATGCGTTTCCTAAGAGCCTCCTGTGGCTCACTCTTCTCATTTTTCAAGTTTTAGCCCAATTACCACTTCCTGGAAGTTTTCCTGATGATTATTTAAAATAGCAACTTCAGACCAGGCATGGAGGCTCACGCCTGTAATCCTAGCACTTTGGGAGGCCGAGGCAGGTGGATCACCTGAAGTCAGAAGTTTGAGATCATCCTGGCCAACATGGTGAAACACCATCTCTACTAAAAATACAAAAAATTAGCCAGGCGTGGTGGCCTGTGCCTGTAATCCCAGCTACTTAGGAGGCTGAGGCATGAGAATAGCTTGAACCCGGTAGGCAGAGGTTGCAGTGAGCATAGATCATGCTACTGCACTCCAGCCTGGGCAACAGAGTGAGACTCTGTCTCAATAAACATAAAACAAAATAAAATAAAGTAAAATGGCAACTTCTACCTTGCACCCCCAGGGGCTCACTCCATTGCTTTATTTTATTCATAGCCCTTAACTGCTATCTTAAATTCCATCACTTGTATATTTATTTACATGTTTATTGTCAGTTTTTCTTTAAGCTCTAAAAGGACCTTTCTGCTTTTCTAGAATCCAGAATGCTGCCTGGAACATAGTACACATGAATAAATGTTTGTTGAAAGAAAAATGAAGAAATGATATCTCCAAATTGCTATGACTTTCTGAATTATTTTCTCCACCATAAGCTCCTATGTTTGGCAAGTACTAGGCTTTAACACAATACAAACATCTCCATGTTAGGAAGACAGTCTGATCATATATTCCTCAATTCAGTGTAGTTTTACCTGGAACATAGAAAATGTATGATGCAAATTATCTGAGCCTCTAATGACTCTGATTGTCAAGAGTTGGCCTTGCAACTGAATTGTAGGAGGGTCATTTCATTAATTTCCATAGTAAGTTAGATCTACAGTTTAACTTCATTCTTACTTATATTTTGTTAATGGGGAAATCAAGGTCCCATAAAGGAGAATGGATTTTTTCACAGTCTTGTTCTTCACTGAATGAGGAACCCCTTAAATCAATGAAGCCATAAAATCCTAGTGCCACAGGCCCCTTAAAAATTACCCCATCTAATAACATAGATAAAGAACTCAGAGCAAGAAGAAAAAAAAAGGGACTTGCTCAAGATCACCCAGCACTTCAATGGTAGATTTAGGAATGAAATCCATATCTATGTGTACCCAGAGTTGGAATCTCACTACTCTCCCTTCATGCTGCTATTTGGAGAAAAACAGAAATGGAGAAAAGGAAATGAAATTATTCCAGGCACACATTTAGCAATGCTCATAAATCCTGACAATATTAACAACACACGACAGCTTCGTTGAACAAATTGGCAGTGAGTGTAGGCAGCTTAAGGAGACAGGAGGTCTGGAAAGGAAAAAAAAAAAAAAAAAAAGGACCACCAGGCATACACAAAAATTTTCCCATTCTGCTCTTTTCTAAGTCTGTCTGTAAAACAAGGCCTCAGACAGGAGGTGCTGGGGAATGGTAAGAGTTTGAAGGAGGTGCTTGCATGGAGTGTGAGTGTATGTATGAGCACACTGGTGCACAGCTCCCAAGAGACTGTATGGGGAATAATCCTTTGTAAGATGTCACTCATCCTTTATACAAATTAACCTCCACCTCCCTCATGCTGGGATTAATTTGCTCTTTGTTTCCTTGACATTCAGCTAGGGAGATCTCAGAAGAATTAAAGAAAGTTCTTCAAGAGGTGAAAAGGGGAAGTCAGGGCTTCTGGGGCCTGGAACCCTGAGGAATCATCACCCGATGCAGCGCTTCCCTACAGGGACAAAGAGGGAGATCTCTTGATCCCCATCTCCTATCTGCAGGAGGAAGCCCACCTCAGCCCCCAAATCCTGGTAAGTAAGAATAATATATCCTGTTTATTCTGTGCGTGGTCTATGCATTCCGTTGAGTACTTTGCCAGCGCCATACTAAATTTCACCAACTCACTGCCATGAAGGTTCTGGCTAGCCTAGGTTTTCTGCCACATTCCTGACCTTGCCTAAAATGTTTGATTCTCTAGCCTCCAGTCAAATGGGTTCTGGTTTAAAGGACCATCCACATGATTCCTCAGACTTCCCATATGGCCCCACCCCTTTGTTCTCTACCCCAAAGTTTCAGGTTCATGTCAGTCTATGTCCTCAAAAGGTCCAGCACTCTCCCAGAACTCGAAGCTTTAGCCATTATGAAAAGTTCTGACACAAAGGGAGAATGTAAAAATAAATATAAAACACCACAAGATACATGCTCAAAGGTATGGCTCCTCCGTTTTTCCTCTTAGCTGTGTATCTGTTTGCTGTCAGTTTGCATGAATAAATAAGTCACCTAACATTACTTCTGGAAAGAGGAGCAATATAAATAAATGCATAATTAAGAATAAATAATGCTAACATCAAATTAATGAAGAGGGGTTTTAAAAATACATGTATGCAAATCACACCTTAGGTGAGAAATCTAAAAAATCACACATACCCTATGGTACCTCTGCATCAGTGCAACAAATTACTATGAAATGGGGAATTCCCATTTTATACATGGGTCTACAGAGGCCAATGGAGAAAAAATAGTCATGGGTTAAATGGCATATTCAAAGACAAAATTATTGGATTGGTCACAGGGCAATGACCTGTGATTTCTGGGTTGCAGAGATCAAAATTCCTGCACATTAAGGCCTATCCTAATAAACTCTGAGAAGTTAGAATGCGGAGAAATAAAAAGAGAGGTCATTTTTAATTCTTTATTATCTACCATATGTTTCAAAAGACCAGGTATGTGATTATGCCTGGCATTGGACTGGGTGGTTGCAAGCATTGTTCTTTTCATTCTTATAACAGCACCGTTAAGTAATAACACTATGTCAGGTAAGCACAGTGAAGAGTAGAGAAAGAAAGCAACTTTCTGGAGGCAAAATAACTCTTAAGTGTATTCTGTGCATTTGTATAACTTCAATATGTTTGAATTTTTACTGCTGGGATTCCCTTTTAATGATGAGATTAGGTAATGAGGTATCATGGAGAGAAAAGTGGGGAGCTTCCCTTTAAATAACCAACTAGTAGACACTGTTTTAAGTGAAAACACTATATGGGGCACAATGAGTGAGCTCATAGCCAAGGGGAGAAGCAGAAGCAAACACAACTGACCTAATATCCAAGGCATGGGGGTGGGAGGCCAAGGTGCTCATGACCTCGGGCAAGCCAATAGCAGGTACAATAAATTAGCTCACCTTCTCTCACACAGCTAAGTGAGGTAACAGATGTGATCATGTTTTGCCATGTACAAAGTGCTACCAAGAATCTGTATTCCATGGAATTATCAAAATCTAATTTTGTCCTTATTCATATAAAAAATAAGGAATCGATGATTATCTCGCATTTATCTATCTACAACTTCACAGTGTTTAATACTTCCTCATCATCCTCTCATCCTCACGGACATATGGAGAGAACAGAAGGATTAGGAAAGATTGCCATTTTCTTCCAATGCATCTACTAGTCTTCTATGCAGCATCTGACTATTTGTTAATTATTATTTTCTACTCAAATTACTATTCAGGACAACTAGTGTCCTGATCCAATCTCGTGCTCAATATAACCTCAATGGATGTGTCTCCCCCAACCTTTTAATCCCCCAAATAAAGCATGCCCACTTAGCCTCTATTTCTTCCTAGACCTGCATCTAAAACCTCCTTTCTTGAAGCATATAAGCACCTTCAATCCTACAGATCCTATCCATTTATCAGTTCATCCATCCATTCAGCCCTCCTCCCATCTTCAAATCTTTCCAAAAACTTTTTCAGATGCCCCATCTTGTGCTGGGCACACATAAGAAAAGGTCCTTTCTCTAAGGAGCTTAGCAATTAATTGGAAAAACAGAGGATACTTAAAACATACCCTAACACGTAGAAGAAAACGATCAATCATATAAGACAAAATAGGGGAAGGTGCTTCTTCCCCCCTCCACCCTACTGGCACTAATCTACCAAGCTTTAGCTTTTTAATGGCTTTGGTAGGCACTGAATACGGGTGGATTATTGGGTTGGTGCAAAAGTAATTTTTTTTTTTGCCATTATCTTTTTTTTTGCCATTATCTTTAATAGCAAAAAAATGCAATAACTTTTGCACCAACCTAATATCTTAACTTTCAGGCCTGGTCATCAAAACTCAACAGCACACCTGTCCATGGGAACTCTCTTTTCTACCTCTCCAGACCTCACAGCTGTGTGCGTAATTTTAGTCCCCCAGCTTTGATTGCTATCTCTCATCAACCACATGAGTTAATGCAGTTATCTAGGGGACAGGTAGACACTAGGATGTAGACTGACTGCGGGTGATGATGGGGGAGCTGTAGACCTGGGCTGCTGCTTGAGCTGCTGTTTGATCCCAGCTTTCCCTCAGGGCAAGCAGAGGTAATGGGCACAGCAGGATTTAGGCATCTGTGGTTCCTGACTACAACACCATCAAACCCCCAATTTTCTCTCACAACTGGTATTAGTATTTCACATCTAGCCCATGAGGCAACTGAGGCTCACAGAGGGCAATTGACTTTGTTCCAGGTTACACAACTATCAAGTGGCAGAATCAGGGTAGGAACTTCAATGTGTCTAACTCCACGAGCGCTCTTTCCACTATGCCACACCGCATTGGAGCTGAGATTTGAAGGGTACACATGATCTGTGTGCCGCAGAGGCAGAAAGAGGCAAGGTCACCCTGTCCCACTTTAAAAGGTCTGCTGAGATCTCACACACATGCACATGCACACACACACAGTCCGCTGCTGCCACACCTCCAATGTCATCAGGCCAGCTGTCTTTACAAAAGCCAAAAAAAAGGAACTCCTTTGCCAACACTCCGTTTACAAAGAATAAAAAGAGAGAAACATCATGCCTTTTCCTGAAGAAACTTTTTCTGTTAAGAAGCAAGAACCCAACAGCTTCCCTGAGACCCATTTTTCATACGATTAATGTCAGGCCTCTCATGTTTCCTAATGAAACCTGACACTAACTGAGAAAAATGGATACATTAATATTGAGTTCATTAGTAAATAGATTACCCAAATGTTTGGGGTGAGGGGAGGAAGAAGGTGAAGGAAGAAGGAGAAAGGGGAAGAGAAGCACACATACCACTCAGCTATTCTGGCAAGAGACTCTCTGAGGACCACATGCTAATCAAATATTTATGGATTTTAATGCACCGATCTGTTAAGCCAGGAAATAGTCTCTTTTACAAAAAAAAAAAAAAAAAATTTAAAGAGGCCCACATGATACCATAGCGTTTTATTTAGATGGGAACTGAGGCCTGTTGAGGAAAAGGCATGGCCCAGAGTGTGGCCTTAGTTACCTGGACAGGGAGAACAAATGACAGCTCTCAGAGACATCAGACCCTCCCTGTCCTCATCCCACACACACCTCTTCATGTCAACAGAAAGTGTCATGAAGCATTCAAGACCAGCCTAGCCAACCTGGTGAAACACTGTTTCTACTAAAAATACAAAAAAAATTAGCCGAGAGTGGTTGGTGGCATGCACCTATAATCCCAGCGACTCGGGAGGCTGAGGCAGGAGAATGGCTTGAACTGGGAAGGCGGAGGTTGTAGTGAGCCAAGATTGCGCCACCGCACTCCAGCCTGGGTGACTGAGAGAGACTCAGTCTCAAAAAAAAAAAAAAAAAAAAAAAAAAAAAAGTGTCATGGAGAGGAGGAGGGGTATGACTACTTCGGGGAAGAGATGTAGCCTGGCAGGAACACCGGTTATAGAAGAAAAATGCCCGGTGCACCCTGCTAAATTTTTCTGCCACCTCTAAAGAATACATCAAGGGCTCAATAATAACTACTCTCTACCACGCTAAGACCTGTGGGGGGAATGAAGGCAAAATGGAAACAGAAGAAGCTTGTTATTGGAGCCAGTAGAGCAGAAGAATCTGGCTCTTCCCCTTCCTTAGTGTGAGACCTTGGACAGCTCTCATAAAATCACTGTCACTGAGCTCCAGTGAGGTCACAGGCAGAAATGCTCTTAATGTAAATTGTCAAGTGCCATAAAAGGCACCATGTTGCTCTTTTGACAAGATATCCCCTTTTCTTTATGTCTATGTGATGAGGCACAAAGTAAGGGTGAGGAGGCTAGGACCCCGGTCCCAGTTCCAACAGTGATTCATGGTGTGACCTTGTGCAATGCCCTTCCTCCCTCTAGGCTTCAGTGTGCCCATCAGCAACATGGCCAGGCAGGACCACTACTCAATAACCATGTGGGGCCTTTGCATGGTCTTGTGCCTATGACAACCCTGAGAAGGCTCTAGGAGGAGGCCCTGCTCTTAAGCAGTGCCAGCATGGTGCTGGCTCCTCTAGGGACCCAAGGTTATCCTTGATTACAAGGTCAAAGTGAAGAGATATACAGGATTGAATTATCTCTTACAACTATTGTAGTTCTCACATTTTGTGTTTTTTAAAGCCCTTGAGCAAGGAAATCTCATGTCATGCTCTGAAGAGAAAACAACTTAATAAAAGTGAGGACAGAAAGAAAGAAGGAAATAGTCCAGGTAGAAATGGACCCCAGAGAAAGTAAATGTTCATGAATCAAATCGTTTTTTTTCCTGGTTGCTGCATTTCTCTCTGTCATGGGTACTTTATTCACTGAGATAGGAATGATCTGCCAAAGCATTTTTACACACAAGAGATGGAGATACACAGACAGATGGTGAGAGACATAGACAGACACAGCCTCTAAGCTAGGGGCAGAAACTTTCCTGTTCTTTGTGAGCAGGAGGTTAAGAAAACAAAAAGAAGGAGAAAGGGATAATAATAATTTTTTGAAAAATCATAAAGTAGCAAACGATCAAGCAAAAGACAATGCCAGATTCAAAGAAGGATCTTTGTATTCCAAACAGCAGTGACATTTCCTTAAACAGCAAAGTGGATCCTTTTATCTGGGTCTTTTTATGGGCCTTTTGCCACCAGATTTATCAGCAGAGAGAGAAAAGCATGAAAAGGAAAGTGTAAAGTGCATAGGAGGATACAAAGCAGGAAACAAAAATGCATTTTTCCCCCAAATCTTCTAATGAGACTCACTAGCTCTATTGTGACAAAGTGAGAGGTCTCTGTGGAGTTCATTTCACATCTCATCCATCCTCAGAGTAATGGGAAAATCCTGCCTTGTTTCTGCAAAATACCAGCACACACTGTGTGCCATATACACTCAATTCCATTAGAGGTAATGGAAGAAGATTGTTCCAGAAGTTGTTTTCAATTGCTTGAGTGCACCCTTCATTTAGGGAAACAAGAATATATGAGCTGTTTGACTCAAATTGAAGTATGGACCCAACTTTGCAGCTATAGCTATGGTTATTCTCTTCTGGATGCCTAGGTGAGGACCTGGTCAAATATCACCTCTCCCCATGGTTGAAGAGATAATATTTAGCATCTCCATTTCATGTCATGTATTACAAAGCAGCACACAGCTATTCATTAACTGTTGTTAACGGAACTCAGGTCCCCGAACAAAGGCATCCTGGGTCTGTGAATAGGACAATCAGGTTCAGAGACAGGAGAACCCACATGCTAAAATGCCAGATGGTTGGGAGCTTGAATCCCCCATTCTGCCACTTCTAGATGCTTTACTGTTGGCATGCCACTTAGCCTCACTGAAACTCAGTTTTATCAGCTGAAAAATGAAACAAAAATAATACATGTTTGTTCGAATAATTCAATTTATGTGGCAAGGCTGGTGAAAAGTCTGTTAGAAATCATATAGAACTTGGGAAATGCTAATGAGCAGCAGTGAATCGGAGTTTCCCAAAGTGAGTCCTGCCTCTGAACCATCCTCTTCTTTGTGTGATTTTGTGAATTTAGAAGGTCAGGTTTTCAGAGTAGCCCAGGGATCGTTTGGTACTGCCACTAATAAACTAGGAACATTTGGTCATTTGTTTCCTCTGGCTAGGTCCTGGTTTCCTCACCTACAAGGTCCTGGCTTCTTCACCTACAAAATGAGGGGAGACTGACTTAACACGCAATATTACCATTTTCAAACTGTGTTTTCAGAACAGAATTGTTTCTTCCAACACGGTTTTATATAGAAGAAATAGAATATCCATAACAAATAAGAATGGGTTAACAAATAACAATGCGGACCAGGAACCCTGCATATTTCCATGTCCCTGATGACCTTCAGTGGCATCTCTTCTGGGGAAGCCAAGGGTACTGTGGCATACTTTGAGTCTTGACAACATTGAGTCGCCATCAAATGACATTCTGGGAGGCCACAGACCAGAAGTCCCATGGGAATTTCAGGAGCTTGGTGGGTTGGATAGCTTTTTCCTGATTGGCTTCCAAAGTTAGGCAAGGGGAATAGTTCCCCCCTCACTGCATCTCACACTCACTTCAGAAAAACTAAAGTAGGAAGAGTCAGAAGTCTAACATCAGTTTAACTGGCCAAAATCAAAGTATGTGCAGGGCTGCAATTTCTCTAGAGGCTCTAGGGGAGAAACTATTCCTTGCCTTTTCCAGCTTCTGCTAGCTTTCCTTGGCTTGTGGCTGCATCTGTTCAATCTCTACCTTTCTGAATGTGCCATCACCTCTTCTGTCTGAAGTCAAATCTCCCTCTGCTTCCCTTTTATCAGAATTTTATAGTTACTTTTGTTCAAACTACATTCTGCTCTAAATTCACTTGTACATAGCTTACTCATGCTGAAGAATCAATTTGAAAGCTCATCCAAGAAGCTTTCTCGGATTCCTACAGTGCATGAACTTGCTTTTCCCTGGAATAGAGTCACAGAAAACATTTGAACTGCTGTGATGTCATTGACAATAGTAACAATAGATAACGTTTGTGTGGCACTCCCCAAGACTCAGGCATTGTGATAACTAACACTTTCCATGAATAATGTCATAGAATTCTCACAAACATCCTGTGAGATAGACACTATTATTTTCAACCCCATGTACATATGAGAATACTGAGAGTTGGAGAGACTGAGTAACATGCCCTAGATGACTCAGCTAGCAAGGAATGAAAAGCACATTCTAACTCCACCCACATATATAGTTCCAGGATCCCATCTCTCTACCTCACATTAATTAGTTCTATACCAGCTTTATGTTTCCTACTAGAATGTGCATGTTTTAAAGGCTGAGCTTTCTGCATTTTTATGCCCCTCCTGCACCTGGCACAATCCCTGATTCCATGAATAATTAATTGAAAAAGAAATAAAAATATAAAAGAAAGAAGAAAGAGATCAAGGAAGGCAGCAAGGACAGAAGAAAGTAGAAAGTAGAGGGAGAGAAGAAGGAAGGAGGGGGGATGAAGGAGCTGGAAATACTCTGAAAATGTCACCCAAAGCATCTCTGTCTTAGATGTTACTCCAAAAATTCCTGAAGCAGGAAAAGCATCTCCCAAGGTGGCCCCATCATTAGTTCCAGTAGAGAGACATGGGGAGGTGGGAAAGGAGATCTCTCCAGCACAGCATGCCTGAAAAACGATGCCAGAACTACACAGCCTTCCACAAAAGCACGTGGAGAAAAAAAAACCCATCCCCAAAAGCAGCATTAACAGGAGAATATTAAACCCTCTACCATGGCACAGTGAATAAGACTTCAAAGCCCTCTACGTATGGAAATGAATCCTGCAGGCAGGTTTGGGAGCTAGAGCTAGGATGCCGGGCACCAGGGCTGATGAAAGCAAAGGCAGTGTGAAGATTTGCTCAGCCATGATAAGTCCAGGTCCCCAAAGACCCTGCCCCTCCCCTGCTTCATTCATTCCCAGGACCCTGGGAGTTCCAGAAGGAAAAGTGTTGTATTAACGCTCAGTACCACAAACCACTTGGTAAGCTACCTGGCTTCTGGAAGACAGCAGTGCCCAGGGTTGCCTGTGTTTGTCTTTGTGTACACACACAACCTATGCGCACACACCCCATAGAGTGACACAGAATCATGGACAACATAGCAGCTCCTTGTATGAGAAGAAGCATGTTTCTCTTATGCAATTCATCTCCTTACTCCTCAATGATTTATTTTGTTTTCATTTCTTCATCCTTGAGCCTAAAGCTAAGGGAAGAGGAAAGAATGAACACGGGTTTCAACTCTAGACCTAAGAGTAATGAAAAGGGTGAGGCAGAGGGAATACAGGGGAGGGAAGCAGCCCAGGCAGAGGCATTGTGTGCAATACTAATGTGAATGCTGCCCTTCCATTGCTCATTTTTCCTAAAGGCCCTGATGTATTTTTCATCCAAACATAAATTAGTTTTATTCATTTATTTATTCAGGAATGTTGATATCAACACTGACACATGCCGCCTGTACAAGAGTGGGGAACGTTTTTCTCCCTGGGGCATGAACAGGTTGGGGCTAAATGAAAGGACCCAGGAATCTAAGGAAGCCAGGGTTAGAGGTGGGAGGGTCCATGGAGATAAAAGAGCCCAACTTGGAGCTGTGTTTTCTGCAGCACAAAGGAGCCCAGGAGAGGACTGCCAGGAGCCAAGCCTGTAGTTAATTGAATCCTCCAGCCAGCAAGGCTTGCTCTTGCTACTCATGCTTTGTTTTATTATTTTACATTCACTCCTGTGAATGTTCAACCAGTATATATTGAGTACCTAGTATGTGTCAGCCACAGTCTAGGTCCTAGGCCTTCAGTAGAAAATAAAGAGTTAAAAATCCCTGACCAGATGGATTTACAACCTAAAGGAGCATCAGATGTAAACAAGTATGAATCATAACCACAGCTACTTTCTGAGAGCTCTCAATGTACCTTGCATGACTCTAAGTGCTTCAGACATAGTAAATCACTTAATCTTTACAAAATCCCTACCGTAATCCTGCAATGATAGATAAGGAAACTGTGGCTCAAAGAGATGACGATCTTGCCCAAGGTCACACAGCTGATAGGTGGCAGAGCTTGGTTTTCAAACTCAGGCTGTCTGGCCCTTACTGAATTCAAGCAAATTGAAACTAAACAAAAACAAATGCAGGTTACAACTGGTGTTAAGTGCCATCAAGGAAATGAACAGGATGCAATGACGAGAAATAACTGAGGCAAAGGGCTTCTCTGGACAAGGTAGTCAGGGAGGGCTTCTCAGAGGAGGTAACATGTAAACTAGAGAATGCTACAGATTGTTACCAGAAAATACATACACTTCCCTAGTCCACTTTCTTTAACCTTTTAACTTCTTTTTCTCTTCCACCCCATCTCTTCACCAATATCCTCAATTCTGCAGTTTTCTTATTAGACCTACTTACTCTCATTAATTAGTTCTGTCTATCCACTATTAAGGTTTTCTTGTAACTCCCATTCTGCCCATTCTGGCCTATATTTTAATCCTCACATTGCCACTTAGTGAACTAAGAGGCAAAAAAAAAAAAAAAAGGAAAAGGAAAAATTATACCAGGCATTTTCCAGATGTTTTATTGTCTAACCCTCAGTGGAGGCTCAGGGGTGTTACAGAATTTTTCCAAAGCTACCTGGCCCATGGGATTACAAAGAGTAAAGATGAGACTCACTTGTACTGACTCTTTGTCCAGAGCACCCTGTTATTCCATCAAGGTTTTAGTTACTTTTTTAAAAGGATTTGCATATCTCAAATCAAGGTAAGGCATAGAACACTAGGAAACAGTATAACCAACGTAGAGTTTACTAACTTCTGTGCTAAGTTTCTTGGACAAATGTTGTGTAAATGCTTGGTCAGGTTCAGGATCCAGTAGAATGTACAGAATTCAGATCTGTATTATCCTACAGAATTCAGATCCATATACTCTACTGAATTCTGAACTTGACCATGCATTTAGATAGCATTTGTCCAACCAACTAACCAAACTCCTAACACACTCACCTGTGCTTATTTGCTACAATCCTATTATCTTAGTGCAGTAAGAGTTGCCCAATTCTTTCATTTTACAGACATGAAAATTGATACCAAATCAAGGACAGAATCTGGGTTTCCTGACACATCGTTTAGCAGAAATAAGCAATTAAATATGGGGAAAAATAACTGTACCATCATATGTGAAGTGGTAACATAGATATCTTAGATGTTCTCCTGCCAGTAGTGAGAGTGAACCTGTTCAGGGCCACCTCTATTCCCTCAAGGTGATACATATGATACATGGGTATTAAAATCATACAGACATGGGTTCAAATCCTATCACTGCTAACCTCAATATATTCATTTCTCTGAACTTAATTTCCACTGTCTGCAAAATGGGGGCCCTAATACCTATGGTTTAAGGTTGTTATGAAGATTAAACTGGAATACACATAAAGAAATAAGATTAATGCTTGACACAGCATTTGGGCTCAATACACACATTCTTTTTTGTTAATTATCATTAAATTAGTCAAGACTTACTAGTCTACCTACAAGGCTAAAGGGCATCCTGCTGCTTCTGCGGTGTGTGTTATCTGAGGTGGGATGACCTGGTATATCTGGCACTGGCCGACATCCAAGTAGGGGGCTTTGGAGTGAAAACTGTGGAAAATATAATGGGAGTGAGGTCAAGAAGAAAAGGCACATGCAGTGTTTCTCCAAAATCATGAAGAGGTTGGCGGTTGAGAAGCACTCTCTACAATGACTAATGGACTTTGTGGAGAGGTGGGCTTTTGGAGTGAGACACTTTAGAAATTCCTTCATAGATACATTATACTGATAGCGCACACATAGATGGCTGTCAACAATGAGAGAGCGCTTCCTGATTTAGTCTCTCATTTGCTCTCACCACCACCTGGGAGGTTGCCCCAGCTCTTCACTGTGCATACAATATGCTAGACACTGCATGCTAGATACGGCTAAGTCTCCTCACGTTCTCACAACAAGCCTGTATGTAGGTCTTATCATTAACCTCATTTTATAATGAGGAAAATCATGGTTCAGAGAGATTAAGAGTTTGCCCTGAATCACACAGCTAGCTAGTAAGGCCTTCTGCTTTGTCTAGTGCAATTCTCTCTTGTAACCACACCCAATTATCTGTTCTTTATGTAGAAATATAAATATAAAGCAAATGTTTTTTCTGAAAATCAGAAATAGGTAATAAATTAAAAATGAGAATGTGGTGGCTACAACCACACAAAGAAAGCAGCGGATTCTCAAGGGCTGGGAAGGTGTGAATTGCTAAAGAGGAACAAAAAGACACATCTGACCTCACATCTCTCCTTGTGCAAAGTCCCCAGCACTGGATGACAAGGGCACATGTGCTAAAGGGCAGTGAAGGCCTAGGGACCTAAGTGTTATATGTCCAGCTTTCTGAAGACTAACATGGCATATTAATTTAGATTTCAAAACCCTGTGCATGCTGCTTAGTTGGAAACTAAAGGAAATGAAAAGAAATTCTAATCAGGGTCTATTACCAGATAAGAAGATTACACTTAACTTACATTCTCATTATTTTTAATATTTGCAACCAACATTACACCAAGCTTAAAATCAGAGAGAAGCATAATCCATTTATAAGCATGAAGGTAGGTAACTGGGGAGGCCTGTTCAGCCTAGGCCTGGCACTTCAGGTCAACCCGTCTCCCAAGGTGGGGAAGATTAAGCAATTTGGTCAAAGGCAAAATGAAGTGGATATTCAAGGCAATTTTCCAGGTAGTTCAGTCTAAAATTGACCACTCTGACTCAGGATGCCAAACAACTGAGAACATAAACAAAATATTGGGGATTAACTCTATTTCTCTTTTAACTCTACCGATACTCATTTCAATTTGCCATTCTTAGTCTGCATAGACATAATCCAAGAGATGTTAGGCAGTGTCAGATACAAGCATGTCTCTGAAAATGTGTCCCATGACACCCTATATCTACATGGCATGAACAGGAAAGAGGGTGTTCTATCGTTAAAGAAATTTAGGAAATGTTGAGATAAGCAAAGAGAAATGGATCTATTTACTGTAAAGTTGCTCGGAGCCTATTTACTTGATATGCTGATTTGTGTTCTGTATCCTTAACATGTGTATATGTGTTTGTTTGGGTGTGGGTAGTCATTTGTCTACAGCCTTATTCTTGACCAGAGCTCTGCAAATCTGGGCTAAGATTCTTTCAGCTCCTTTTTACTGTGAGCAAAAGGGAGGCAAAGAAAGACATCTCAACTTGTATTTTATAAGTGCCAAACACTTTGTATAAAGCCAAGGGCTTCATTGCTATAACATTAGGTTGGAGTATTTCATTAATAACAGATCTCCTAATTCATTTTTTATGATCCTGTCAGCACATAGAGGAATTTGTCTCTGTCCAAAAAAAAAAAAAAAAAAGTGTGTGTAGCATCTAATTGTGTGACTCCCCTCCCTCTGCCCCATTAACTTGGAAAAGAAGAATTGCTGGAAAAGGTGGAGGAAAGTCAAAACAATTGAGTTGTCTTTTTATGGATTTATTGAGTGGCAACTGGTGCCATAGAGAGAGCTAGGCAAGGGCGGTGAAGCATGCCGGGAGGCCCATTGATCATCACGGACCTGGGTCAAAAAGGATTTTATCTTCTGTCCTCAAATCCAAACGGTATGCTCATGCACACGCACAGCAGACAGGAAGCTGCCGGGGCGGGTGAAGGCTCAGTCCTCTCCACTCTAGTCCCTCCCAAGGAGAGATCACCAAGGTCATAGCAGGGTAAGGAACATGATCGTCTCTGCCTGGCCTTAGAAGTCATTGATTCCAGTTTGTTCCCTTATTAAATGAGAAAAAAATGAGGGCCAGTGTGCATGGCTTGCCTCCCTATCTAAGAAAAGTTAAGTTTGCTTCGAACTTGTTGAGAATCTATCTTGGACTAAATTCAGCAGAGATGGAGAAATTAGACATGGCCCCCTGCCTTCAGGAATCTACTGTTAATGGGGGTGGGGGAAAGAGACAAGTGAACTTATTCATGCTGTGGAGAGAGGAACACAAAGGTTCAGAAAAAATACTGAAAAAGAATCGTTCACTAGTCCTTAAGAGACCAGGCAGCTCTAAAAATAAGATGGTTATTCCTTCCTCCAGGAAGTGGAGCTTAATTGCCCTCTCCTTCAGTGTAGACTGGACTTAATGACTCACTTCTAATGAATAAAGTAAGTAAAGGGAAAAATAATTGTCTTGCAGTGGAAAAACCCAATGGACACTGCCCCAAATAAATGATGAAGACTAACATCAGCAATAAGTCAGGATGATATCAGAGACTCCCTGATATGATATGATACAATATGATAACAAAGGGACTTCACCTCTGGCCAGTGCTTTTCATAACTGTTAAGATAATTTTTAAAGGAAAACCTGAGAGACTGTCACATAACAGAGGAAAGCAAGTAGACATAAGGATTAAATGCAACACAGATTGAACACTGGGACAAAAAAAAGGACATTGGTGGAAACCGAGTAAAATCTGAATAAAGTCTATAGTATAGTTAACAGCAACATACAAATGTTGATTTCTTAGTTTTGACACATGTACCATGATAATGTAAGATGGTAACATTAGGGGAAGCTGGGTAAGTGGTATATAGAAAGTCTCTGTATAATCTGTGCCAATTTTCTATAAATCTAAAACATTTCCAAAATTAAAAGTCTAAGAAAAAAGATATAGTACTACAGAAGGGTTCTGAGAGATTAATTACTCCTGCAAGAAAGGTTTGGAGAATAGAGAAATAAAAAACAAGGCTGGCACAGTGGCTCAGGCCTGTAATCTCAGCACTTTGGGAGGCCGAGGTGGGTGGATTTCTTGAGGTCAGGAGTTTGAGACCAGCCTGGCCAATATGGTAAAACCCCGTCTCTATTAAAAATACAAAAAATTAGCCAAGCGTGGTCGTGGGCACCTGTAATCCCAGCTACTTGGGAGGCTGAGGCAGGAAAATTGCTTGAAGCTGATAGGGGGGTGGTGGTTGCAGTGAGCTGAGATTGTGCTACTACGCTTCAGCCTGGGCAACAGAACGAGACTCCATCTTAAAAAAAAAAAGGAAAGAAAGAAAAGAAAAGAAAAAAGAAAAGAAAAGAAAAATCAGAGACAGTGTAGTCAGAGGGAAACATAGGTCCAGAATGAGAGAAAATGTGCTCAGAGCACTTTGTGTATTTGATATGATGGCAGAGCACGCTGGGCAGTGGGGAATGAGGCTGGGAAATGAAGACAATACTGTAAAGAATCTTCTACGTTAGGCTAAGAATGTTAGCAAGTTAGCAAAGCATTTAGAGCAGAGAAAGCTTGTCATATATGAACAAAATGTCTAGAAGTTCGGTGAGCTGGGAAAGACATGCAGCAAGTTATGTTCAGTACTCAAGTCACAAAGTGGAGATAACAGCACGTTAAATCACAATTAAGCCATCCTAGGGGACCCTGCTTTGGCACGACCGCCATGTTGCATGGTGGATAGGTGAAAAGGGGATTGCTTTATATGTTTTTACTTGAGAGACTGAAGGTGGAAGCCTGCTTGCTCTCCTTGCACCCTCAACGTCTACACTGCTACTCTCTTTAACAGAAGCGCATGACAGAGCATTTAGGAAAAGATATGGGCAACTGGGAGCAACTGAGAAATGAAGTAACAAAAAACTTAAGATACATCCATGATGGCAAATCTAAGCTATAAAGAATTGGTAGGATTAAGGAAAAGAGAATACGGCAATCCCAGCTCAAAAACCTTAATACCTACCCAGTGTCTCCAGAGCAAAATTCAAACGTCTAAGCATGGCGCTCAAGGTCTATTATAACTTTCGAGAAACTTTTTGTATTTCACTTCTTCCTTTCTTATTGCATTTTACCACAAGTATTCCAATACCACATCTTTTAAAAACTGAAACAAAACAAAAAAAATCTGAATTCCCAAATCTCATGCTTATGCTAAGCTGTTTTCTCGGCCTAAGCTGCCTTTACTTGAGTCAAAATCCTACACTACCATTCAATACTTCATGCATATATCACTGCCCCCAGGAAACCTTGCCTGACTACACAAACAATAAAAACTGTTTCTCCCTTCAAGTCTCTACAATTTTCAAATTTCTCTCTATACAAAATGAAAAGGCTTCTCTGCATATATAGGTGGCCAATCATAACCTTTTGGTTAATGAGTTATGAGGTGGAATCTTTGGAGGCACTTCTGGAAAGGTTTTGTTGTAATAAAGGAAAAAGTTCACAGGGAAAGCTCTGTTTTCTGCCCCTTTTCTTCATGTGTGCTTTAGATGCTATATTAGTTCATTAATTTGGATGGGGGGTGCTATAGCCATCTTGGAGCCCCAAAGAGAAGGCCAAGACAACCAGAGAGATTCTAGTCCTGCACACTGACATCTGGAGCTGCAAAGTCACCTATCACCAAAGCTTTTAGTCACGTGAGTTTATTAAATGTCCTCATCGTCTAAGCCCCTGGGATACAGATAAAAATGTCCTAAGTAAACACCGCTTACTATTAATATCTTTTTAATTGAATCAACTGTGAAGATTTCCCAACATTTGAGTCCATTTTGAGGAGGAAAACCTGGACTTCTCAATATACCTTTATCAGAGAGAAACAGTCCCTTGAATCTCACAGGCTGTGTCTTCAGCCCTGGGCTGAGGAGAACACAGGTCAGACCCCAGAAAACAATTACTCTCTCATGAGAATTTCTAATCTGGCCCAAGAAACGCTATTCAAGGCCAAGTCATAATCTTCTTATGACTTCATCTACCTTTAAAATGTCAAGTACTGATTTCCGCTGTACTTTCCCTGAGAGCAATTATTAGTTTAATGAGGAACATGGGCCACCATCTGCATCCCAAAACTTGTGACACTTGAGAGATATTATCTCCACCAACCTGGAACCTCCTACACATTAAACACACAGAGGTCAAACAAAATATTCTCCTCACATTTTACAGTCCAAGAATCAGAGCTGAGCTAATGAGACCAGAAAGAATCCACAATTGGCCAACAGTTGTTGAGCTTCCAATGCACAGGGATTGAGGCACCAAGGGATAGTAGACAGAAGTGGACAAAGAGTGGTAGGAGAATTACCAACTACTGAACTGGGAAAGCCATCCCAAGCACTTTATCTTTAGTGTTTCTTCTAGTTTATCCAATAATTCTAGAATTTAAGGATTAAGATATCCATTTTATTGAAAAGAAACTCAGAGAAACTAAGCAAATTGTTCAAAATTTCATCGCTCGGCCAAAAGGTAAAGACAACCCAAGTGTCCATCAACAGATGAATGGATAAATAAAATGTAATATACACATACAATGGAATACCATTTAGCCATAAAAAAGAATGAAGCTTTGACATATGCCTCATCATGGATGAAGCTTTAAGACACTAGGCTAAGTGATAGAAGCCAGATACAAAAAGATGGAGTAAGTGACTTCACTTACATGAAACATCTTGAATGGATAAATTCATAAGGACCGAAAATAGATGAGAAGTTATCAGGGTTGGGAGGTGCATGGAATGGGGAGTTATTGCTTAATGATTGCAGAGAGTTTTTATTTGGGGTCATGAAAAAGTGTTGGAAATACATGGTGTTGATGGTTGCACCACACTATGAATGTAATTAATGCTGCTAAATTGTACACTTAAAAATGGTTAAAATGGCAAATTGTATGTTACATATATTTTACCACAGTAAAAAAAAAATCACAGCACTAATAAATGTTTCAACAGCAATTTGAGACCTCACTCTGGCTCCAAAATCCAGAGTCTTTCTAGCAAACCATAAAAAGATTCTCTAAGATTTAGTGCGGTGCTGTCCAATAGAACTTTCTGCAACAATGGAAATGTGTTACATCTGTACTGTCCAATATGGTCAACACTAGCCACACAGGGCTACTGAGCACTTGAAATCTGGCTACTGTGTGCTGGGCAACTAATATTTTAATTTTATTTAATTTTAATTATTTTAAATGTAAATAATAGCCACATGTTGGGTAGCACAGGTTAAACTGAAGAGTTGAAGCATAGGTTCCAAAGGAGGCCTTATAGCAAAATGATGACACCTTGGTGCTAAAAAGATCAGTCTTTCAAGTTAAGACTTCAGCATTGAAAAATGTGGCCCCAATGTTCCAACAATTACCAGCACAACCTCCAACCTGTTTTCCTTGATTTTAGTTCACCTTTACCTCCAATCCATCCATTACATGGAGTAACATTGCCCTAATCGCGCCATCTGCTTTCTGAAAACCCCACTAAATACGACCCTTAAATGCATATTACTAAGTGAAAGAAGCCAATCTGAAAAGGCCACACACTCTATGCATCCAACTATGTGACATTCTGGAAAAAAGAAAACCATGAAGACAGCAAAAAGACCAGCGATAGCAGTGGGTTAGCATGAAGGGAAGGATGAATAGGCAGAGCACAGAGGATTTTTAGGGCAGCGGAACCATTCTGTATGAATAACAGTGGTGAATACACATTTTTATACATTTGACCACACAACACCAAAAGTGAACCCCAATATAAACTATGGACTTTGGGTGACAATGATGTGTCTATGCAGGTTTGTTAATTGTAACAAAAGTACTACTCTGGTGGGAAGATGTATTGATACTGGGACAGGCTATGTGTGGTGGGGAAGGGCGGAAGGTACTCGGGAGTATAAGGAACTCTCTGTACTTCCTGCTTAATCTTTCTATAAGCCTAAAACTACCCCCAAAAATGAAACTGTTTACAAAGAAAACACCATTAAAACTCATTATTCCATGGCAGATGAGGCCCCTCATCATCTGGCCTCTGCCTCTCCTCCTGTCTCTTTTCTCATTGCCCCCTCTCCCTGTGCATGCCATATGCCAGCTCCCTACACTCATCAAGCTGTTTCTCACTGCAGGGGCTTTGCATATGCTAGTCACTCTGAATTGAATGCTGCTCACCTTTCTACCAGAACTGCCTCTAGAGCTTTCAAAACCCAAATCCCCCTTTTTGAATACTTTCTTGAGCCATGAAAACTGAGTTAACTACTCCCTCTTGTGTGCACCCATGCACTGAGTAAGTATCACAGCTCATATCATTGTTTTGTTACTGATCTGTCTTTTCTAACAGTCTCTGTGTTGCTTCAGGTAGGTCTTACTCCTTCCCACCAGACCTTATATGATCTGGCTCCAGGCAATCTCTTAAGACTCCATCCCTCCTCCTTCCCTCCCTCCAGCAACACAGGCCTTGCCTGATCCTAGAACACACAGAACTCCCCACTGCCATAGTCTTCCCAACATCTCTTCCCCGTACTAGAACCTACTCCACAGTGAGCTCAAATGCATCCTACAGCTCAAACCTCAACTTTTAGGAAAGACTTCCCTGAATCCCCAGACTAAAATAAATGCCCTAGTTATAAGTTATCAAAATACTCAACGATTCTTCCTTCAAGGCATTTGCCCTAAACACATCTATACTATTTATAAAAGTATTTGTTCAATATTTGTCTTCTCCACTATATTTTAAGCTCCTTGTCCTGTTTTTTTTAATCCATGAGTCCTTACCCAGTGTATATTTCTTTAATATGAACACCTTATTAAAATGAACAAATTTCCCTTTACTCCAGGGGTCAGGGTGGGTGCTTAATAATTATTTGTGAAATGACTGTATTTCATTTATATCCAAGATCTAAGAGAGTCCCTGACAGATAGTGAATAGTCAGCAAATTCAGTATTTGTTGAACAAACAAGTGAATGGAAAGTTCAGAAATCTTGGCACAAATGAAATATTCAACTCCTTTATGGTAAAAATGATTCAAACCCATATTCAGAGTTTCAGACTGAAGAGGCTGCTGCAAGTGAGGACAAAAATAATACTATGTGTGTGATAACAACATTTATTTTCATTTACCTAGTATTTTCAAGCATGCCCTCCTACCTTACTCTTTCAGTAACGCTGTGTGCTGGATAATACAAACCCACTTCTAGAAAAGGGCAATGGAGTGCAGAGAGAGGACATGGCTCGCCACATGTAATGTACTGAGCTAGTGGACAACCAGACACCAGGCTGCTTAGCTCCCAGGCAAAGGCAGAAGGTGGGAGTGGAGGCTGAGGGGCTGCCAGGACAGAAAAGCAAAACAAGTCCTCAAGATTCCTGGGTACCAGAGCCGGATGGGGAGAGACAGAATGGACTCTGATTACAATCTGAGGAGGATTCATCTGCTGAAAGAGAGTTGATTGGATTGTGCTGTGATGCCAGAGTCTGTCGGCAATCAAACACCCTCTGGCTACCTCTGAGCATCTGGAATTGGAAAGCTGGAGGCAGAGGCCGGCTTGCAGCTGGGGGCCATGCTGGGGGACATGGGAGCAGCTCAGCTTCAGGCTGCAGTAAAGTGGTCAATGGCATGCTTGTCCATTCCAAGCACTTGCTAATGAAAAATGTTTCCCCCAGAGAACCCAGAGAAGGGGAGCAGCCTACACTGGAGATCAGGGGACAGAGGGAAATGGAAATATTCCTTACAATTGCAGAGTGTGCCGGTGCTTACAAACATTTAACTTATGCTATCACTAGATCCTCCCCCAAACCCTACTGAATTCATTGCCGTCATCCCCATTTTGTCTATGCACAAATCCCAAGTTAGTAGAAAGGAAATGTCTCACTCAAAGATACAAGGTATAAGTAGTAGAGCCAAGATGAGAATGCCAAGTATGTCTGATTCTCTATTAACAACTTTCTTGTAATTATAATCCAAAGCAAAAGTCTTCATCATAAAGTCAAAATCTTAAAATATGCAGGGGGTTAGACTTTTCCAGGGAGATAAATATGCATCTCGATTCTTCTTGGACACCTACTGTGTGCTGGTAGATATGCCACATGGGCCATGACATATGTGGTGAGATTATTATCCCATGTTTGATACGATGAAATTAAGTGAGAATCTGAGAAATGAAATCATTTACTGCAAGTGGCATGGCCATCAATTAAAATCAGACCAAATTCTTTAGATTTCACTTTGAGAACTGAGGAGCAAGAGCAGTGCAGGAACATAGCTTCTTTACCCTCTCTCAAGAAGTATGCCAGCACTGGCTCTACAGTAAAACAGTGATATCTTTTCTGTTCAATCTGATCTTCAATTTTAATGCGCTTCCATGTAAAATACGGGTGCTTAAAATATAAAAAAGAAAATTAGAGTATGTCAAAAATGGTTAGGAAAGGGGAATTTAGAGAACAAATGAAGGAAGGTAAAAAAAATACTGGAAAACAATCTCTCTTCATACCATCTCAGGAAAGATAAAGAATTGAGTATGGGCCAAGTGCAGTGGCTCACGCCTGTAATCTCAGCATTTGGGAGGCTGAGGTGGGTGAATCACTTGAGGTCAGGAGCTCAAGACCAGCCTGGCCAACATGGTGAAACCCTGTCTCTACTAAAAATACAAAAATTAGCCGGGTCTGGTGGGCGCATGCCTGTAATGCCAGCTACTTGGGAGGTGGAGGCAAGAGAATCACTTGAACCCGGGAAGCGGAGGTTGCAGTGAGCCGACATCATGCCACTGCACTCCAGCCTAGGTGACACAGCAATACTCCATCTCAAAATAAAACAAAAAAAGAATTGAATATGAAGCATGTGCTACCAAGGCTGACTTACCCATCAGGTACAGTGTCCAGGGCTCATAGTCCTTTCAGGAGCCAACAGAAATGTTTTAATTTTTCTTAAAACTACATGCAAATTTAAAAATGTATTTTTAAGTCAAAAGAATTTTTAATATAAATATGAATATAAACATCTTTGACACAATTTTACAATATTTTAAATTAATCATAATAATTTCGTAATGTTTTTATTAAGGAAGGATCCACAAAGGTAAAGGTGCCTAGGCTTGCAAAAGTCACACAGTGAACCTGCATTATGACTTTGAGATTATCACCGTGGCCACTGAGTGTGGAGCACAAATGAACTAATGAGGATTCACAGAGTTGAGGAAGAGTGTTTTCAGCTATGTTCTGATGAACATTTGAATGGAGTTTCCATGGGCACAGCAGGTTCAGAGTGTTACCAAGAGAATTGGAAATACTCCTGGATGCAGGTGAGCATTTCTCCCTTAGCCAGGCCAAGCAGAGAAGGTGGAATTAAAGTCACCTTTAGTGTTATCATTTTCTCTATCTCAAGAGTTTATTATGGATCCTTGGAACCACAGGAGATTGGAATTAATGTCTAGTCTTGAGTTAAGAATGTTATATCATGCCTAACTTAAATCCTGCCTATTTTGACTAGAGTCTTTAATTTTGCTTTTTTAAAGAATGAAAATTTACAAACGTTACTTCTCCTGTAATTGCTGTGAGGATTTACTTGCAATAAGGTCCTCTTGGAAGTCTGGGTACCTAACCCTTTGGAGGGATGAACAGAGTACCTGAATGGTGATAAGAAGGCAAAGATTGTAGAAACAGCTAAATCATAAATTTTTGTGACGTGGGCAAGTCACTTCTCTTTTTTGGTCTTAGTTTTCACTACCTGAAAAAGTCAAGTTATTTGTATATGTAAAGTTGAAGTTTCTTTTAATACTGAACACGTGGGAAATCACAGATGGTCCTATCCCAGACCCCGATATGGTAAAGTCAGTGATATAATGAGGATCGATCATACTTAGCGTTTAAGAAGCCTTCTAGTTTCCTCAAAATCCAGGATATGCCTATTAGTTTCCCTACAGGAAGCATCATTCCTAAGAATTTGCAGAGGGAGAGAAAGTAAAGGTCAGACAGGTTAGGTAATACATATGCATACATGTGCAGACACACACACACACACACACACACACACACACACATACACATCCACATCCACACACATACCCAAGGCCACAAAGCAAATCTGGGGTATTGTCAGTTTCAATCTCTGGCAACAGGAAAAGGTGAGGGTGTGGCTCCATCCCCTGAATGAGTGTAACATTACAAATACCTTAGTCCTAAGGTTGCAAACTCTGATTTTGGGCCTGATAGCACAATGAGAAATCCCATTTCCTTCCCAATCATTTGAATGCGAAAGGGGCCAGCATTAAACTGGGGGCAATTGTCTTTACATCACCCTGGGCACCATTTCTAATCACAGACTTGTCGACCACCAGCCTCTTGTGGCACCTAGATGGAGTGCGGAAATTATCATGTAATTTACAACAGGCAGTGCCTGAAAGTGACTTTCTCAGCATCTGCTCTCTAGTAGTCCCAAGAGCAGAGAAACGAAGAAAGTTCATGGGCTGCTGGAGAAATGCAATCTCCTCCAGTTGCATCCAACTGTTCAACAGCCTCCCTCCAAACCCCTCAAACAGATCCCTTACCTCTGCTTCTCTCATTCTGTCGTTCCTCTCCCCATCCCTGCTGCTTGAAGTTCTATTCATCCTTGAGAACTTCCCTTCATATATCCCACCTTTCTGCAAAGGCCTACCCAACCAAACTCACCTCTCACTAGCTTCTTCCTGAAACGTTGATCTCCAACATCGGTGAATGGTGGGAGGTTAAGCAAGGTTTAAATTTGATCTAAATATAATTCCTCTAAGAGTAAACCTGGATGGACTCTCAGGTCCCTCAGAGCCCTTTTCTCTGTGCAAAACAATGCATAGATTCAACATAAAACAGTGTCTAATGTGAAAAGGATCAAACTTGTATTCTGGACAATTCCATTCCAGTCCTCTTTCCTGTTCTGTACCTTCCTAAACCCGTGCTCTTGAGCAAGCTGCTTCAAACTGAGAACCTCAGAGTCCCCATCTGTAAAATGGAAAGTGCTTAAACCTTAATGGTTGTTTTGAGGATTAACAGGAACAACAATAAAAAAAGATTGTAGACATGACACAATGTAAATGCAAGGAATAATTATGGTTATCCCTCCAATAGGAACAACTGATGTGGCAAGTAAAGTAACAAATAAACTTGATATTTTCCATTTTTGGCTCAAGAAAGGCAAAAGCTGTCTTCACGATGTATCTGTTGCATGCTGAGATAAGGCTTTAGTCATTCTACTATGAATTAAAAGATATTGTTAAGCATCTTCTATGTACGCATGTAGGTCCCAGCAGTAGGGAAAGTACCATCAAAATAAGATGCAAAGAATTGTCCTTTGTGCCTTAACTTTGTTGAACCATATGGTTCTTGAAATCTGTGGGTGCCTGTCTGGTTATGGGGAGTCTTCTGATCAGTAGCCAGCACAGTGTAGATGTCATTCTAATGTCGTCTATACATTGAGGAAAGAACACAGGAATTGAGGTCTTTAACTATCAGAGACAGGGGGAAGGAGTGGAGTCAGGGATTGCAGATTCAACTGTGACATGGCCACTCAGCTGTGGTGTGAGCCTGCATCAGTAACTGTACTTTTCTGAGCCTCTGTTTCCCTGAAAGTAGGGAAAGAGAGAAATGATGACTAGATCAAGCAATAATAAGTGGATGAAGAAAACATATAGAGGCAGGAGTTAAGAAGTCAGATGGCGGTGAACATCGGCTTTTCTCAGAAGGAATAAACCCAAGAATAAGAGAAAGTAGATGCAAGCCCGTTGGCTTTGACTGGTTGCTAAATATAAAGTAGTAGAAGCCAATGAAGATCTTATTGACTCTGACCCCTAGTGTGTGTGTGCAGCTGTCCGGCACATAGAGATTCTTGGATTACACTCTGAGGTTAGGACTGTCTTGGTTTCATTCTTCCATGTAACTGTCAAACATTTGCTGAATATGTTTGGCTCTGTGCTCGGCAAACTTACTGGAAAAATAAGAGGAAAACAAGAATGTCACAATCCCTGCTATCAAAGAGCTTATGGTTTAGTGGGTAATACAGGCAATTAAATAGGTAATGAGGGTGAAGTGTAATGTGGAAATCAAGAAAGAGTCCAGGGAATATGGGAGTATACAACAGCAGGTGTCTAACCGAGCTGGTAGTCAGAGAGGGCCTCTCATTTTAAATGTTATATGGTGTGAGAATTTAAGGACAAACAGAAGAGATCCAGGCAAAAAAGTGGAAACTATACCAAAGCAAGAAAAGAGCAAGTGCGCTGGGGATATGGAGATGAGCAGGGGATAATTCCCACCCTCGTGGAGCTGCTGGTCTAATGGAGAGAGTATTGAACAAACAGCCATCCTAATAACATATCGTATGAGCTGTGCAGATAACCAGAATTGATGAGGTTTCTTTCCAAGTTCATGACTCCATGGTGAGCATGCTATGTTCTGAGGGTCACTGGAACTGAGCAGCCAACCTGATTTCAAGGCCTGGCTTTACTAGTGGCACTCTGTGTGACTATGGACAAGGACCTTCCCCTCTCTACCCCCAGTCTCTCCATCTGTAAAATGAGGTACTTATATTAGATAACTGTGCATATACTTTTGTACTCTAAAAATCTGTGCTTTAGAATGACTTAGCATTTTTCTGGATCCCTTCTTTGCTTCTAATAGAAACAGTTTTTTTCCCCCTTCCACATTATGCCCCTTTATGTAGAATTGGTGACATTATTTATTTCTCATATCCTCAGGACTTAAATCCCCGAATTATTCTAAATCTTGCCCAGACCTGACACCACAAATAAATTCTCAATCTCAGGGGGATTGAGACAAATGGGGGCTTGCCACTCCTGTGACCTCCATCAGGGATTTGGCTCCAACATTCTACTCAAGGAAAATGTTGCACCAAGTCAGGCTAGAGGGGAAAGGAGAACATTTTTTAAAAAACAGCCGAGCATTTGTGAAAAGACAAAAGAAGTGGCTTTCCCCTGGATGCACATCCAAGACCTCCAGCAGATTGGAGAGCATTTAATTTTGAGTCTTTGCTTCTTGTTCTCAAAAGGAAACAGGATTCACCTAAGTGGGAGGCGGCCAGCATAGCAAGTCGCTCCCATGCATGGGGTCGTGTAGGGCCGACTTGGAATCCTAGCTCCAACTCCACCCTCATTAAATTCTGTGTGACCTGGACAAGTCATTTCATTGTCTCATAGACTCAGTTTCCCCAGCTGTAAAGTAAAGATACCATCACCACCTCAGGGAGTTGCTGTAAGAGTAAAACAAAACTGCATAGGTTGAATACCTACTACAGGGTTGCAACACATTGAGTAATGAAAAGCAGGCAAACTAAACCAGAATGAGGGCTCTGCAGAAAGCTGGCAGGAAATGTCAATGGCGCTCAGCTCACTGGTGCCAGATATCTCCCATGGGGCAGTTCCCTGGACCCTAAAAAGGCAAGGGAAAATATATAGTCTAATAGAAAGCATATGAGCATTGGAATCTAACTGTTGAGTGTAAATTTTATCTATACCAATCTCTAGGACCCTTCTCACTCCTCTAAACCTCAGCTTCCTCATATATAAAAAATAGTACCTATCTAGGTTGTTTTGAGGATTTAAAAATATATATATTGCATATCAAGTTCTTAATATGATACCCAGCAGATAACATGTACACAGTGAATGATGGCTAAGATTTAGGATCACCCTGCATTTTGTTTGATTCCTATCACATGCTTGGTTTTGTTTGTTTGTTTTGTTTTGCTTTGAGATGGAGTTTCATTCTTGTCACCCAAGGCTGGAGTGCAGTAGCGCAATCTCTGCTCACTGCAACCTCCACCTCCTGGGTTCAGGTGATTCTCCTGCCTTAGCCTCCCAAGTGGCTGGTATTACAGGCATGCACCAACAGGTCCAGCTAATTTTGAAGTTTTAATAGAGACGGGGTTTTGCCATGTTGGCCAGGCTGGTCTCAAACTCCTGATCTCAGGTGATATAACTACCTTGGCCTCCCAAAGTGCTGGGATTACGAGCGTGAGCCACTGTGCCCAGCCTTTTTGTGTGTGTGCTTTGAGACAGTTCCCATGCTTGTTATCTTCCATTTGCTCTGTCCCATACTAAACCATTTTCTGCAGTGCTCGTTGCCCCCGGAAAAAATCAAAACCTGTGTCATCCAAGTTATCTTGCCTGCAGCTTTCAGTTGGGTTCTGCTAAAGAGAGGCCCTGGTGGTAGATCAGTGGGCAGGTAAGGGAGAGATAGGTCAGGGTATTTATTATCCTCCCTCCATCCCTGCTGACCTGTGGCCTCAACAGTGGGTGAGGGGGTCCTATGGCCAGTCTCTATAAGGGAGTTCCTCTTTCTCAAATCAATGTTCCCTTTCCTGGCTCCTTCAGGATGGCAAGAGCTTCCTCTTGTAATGAGAAGTCTGATTCCTTGTTTTGATGTTTGACTATAAACAGCTTTTAAGTCTCACCACCTCCCTCTTCACCACCACCACCACTGTGCCCCATATCTGGGCAATCTGGTAGGAATGACTGGACGCTCCCTCCTTTGGTGTTGGCTGAGGATTCTAACCATGAAAGTCCTGCCTGAGTGTGGAAACTCTCACTCTGGCCCCACTCTCGTGCCACAGTAAAAACCCACACCAGTCTCTTTTCCTGGCTCTCTAGTCATTCTGGAATTGTGTGAGAAGCCTGCTCTGCTCCCTAGAAATTTCACTTATATAACTAATAAGCCTCTTCCTACCCTCTTGGTGTGTGTGTACCATCATTAGTTTCAATATCCAAACCAAATTTGGGGTGGGGATCTCTCCTGCTTTTACAATGACCAAAATACCCCTGATGCCAGCCTGCAATGCCTCATTGCCCCGGGTCCATTCCCTTAGCCCTGCCCACACCCTTCATTAAATGCTCTACTGTTACCTCTTCTGAGTATGTTCAGAAGGGAGCTATCTGTTTCCTGCCAGGACCCTGACTGATGTAACACCGAAGGTCCATGTGTACGTTCATTCATGAAGCATCTGTTAATCACCTACTTATACAAGTTATACTGTGTCTGAGGGGAGTGTGTAGTGAAGGAAGGCTTTACAGAAAGAGAAATAAAACAAATACTTTACACACATTATCTCATTTCGTTCTCTCAACAGCCCTGCAAATTGGCATCATTAGTCCCATTCTATAAGTAAAACAAAGCGCAGAAGAAATATGAAAATTGTTCAAGGTAACACAGCATCTTTATGGTGGAAGGGAGGTAAGAATCTAGGACTAACTCCATTCTAACCTCCCGCCTCCCTTTATGGAGACACAAGCACCCGTGATTGCAGTACAGAGGAGAACATGTATGAAATGCCAGCAGAACATGCTGTGAAAGATCAGCAGATAGAGAGGACATTTTTGGTTACAGTTAAGGGCCTCAGAGAAGGTGGCATATTTAATAGGCTTAAAAGTATGGGTAGGATTTGAAGATACAGAGATTAGGAGGAGTCAAAAGGGGATAAGGCTACATAAAACAGGTCTGTTATCAGTGCCCAGGACATGATGTAGAGAGGTGGGACAGGTAAGTTGAACCTTGGCATTAAAGACCTCGTATCACCAGCCATCTCTCCTTATTTCATGCAGTCATGCCTCAGCCACCGGCAGACATCTATCTTTTCTCTTGACCTACTAGGATTGTGTAGTGCATAGGAATTCTTTATGGAATCTCAGTTTCCTCATCCGCAAGCGTGGGCTGTTTTGTTTTGTATCCACCTGTCTAAACGTGGATTAAATCCATTAGTAGCATGATAGTTTGGAATGGTTCCTAATAGTTAACATTTTCTGAGTCATATTCACAGTAACTGACATCTTGTTTTCTCTATCCCCCTCTACTAGCCTTTAAGCCATGTGATTGAAGATGGCATGACCCACATATATTCCCTCTACAACACCCCACAGAGTAGGCATCCAATAATTTCAGAAGAGTAAATTCATGTAGTCCAGCTTCCCCCTCTGATAACTTAGAAAATTCAAGACCAGGGAGATAGTGACTTGTTCAAGGTCTTAGCCAAGCCGATTAATATCTCTACCCAAGCATCAACCCAATAAAGACCAACTCTTAGAACTCATCATGAAGGGCTTGTTTTTCAAGCATTGGGCTACATTTTGCCAACCTCTGTTTGCCACTGCAGATGTAAGGTTAAAGAAAGAAATGGGCCAGGTGAGTCTTTCTGTGAGCAAAGAAAAATATGAGCCTTTTGAACTTGCCTGAATTATCTGACAAGTTTAATCAAGTATGAAATAAAAAGCAGGCATGATTTACTTAGTTTTCCAAAATGCAGTTGATGAGGTACCCCACGAAAGATTATTGAGGAAGATAAATAGCTGAAGAGCGGGGTTTAAAATGAAGTTGTGGCATAGGAGGCAAGTGAGGCTCAGGACTCAAAGGTCTGGCAGCTATAGAAATGAAGAGATGCTAGTTTATAACCCTGAGAAAAGCATCCTATGCTTATAGAAGCATCTGGGCTTAAACTTAAGTTACGAAGTCTATCAGGAACCATGGACGTCCACACTGCATTCTATAATGAGACACAATAAATAAGAAAAGAGGCACATTAAGTAAATAAAAAAGAAAAGAGCCAGGCATGGTGGCTCATGCCTGTAATCCCAGCACTTTGGAAGGCCAAGGTGGGTGGATCACTTGAGCTCAGGAGTTTGAGACTAGCCTAGGCAACATAGTGAGACTCCATCTCTACAACACACACACACACACACACACACACACACACACACACACACACACACAAAATCAGCCATGCATTATGGCATGCACCCGTAGTTCCAGCTACTCAGGAGGCTGGGAAAGGATTGCTTGAACCCTGGAGGTAGAGGTTGCAGTAAGCCAACATCACTTCACTGCACTCCAGCCTGGGCACTGGAGCAAAACCCTGTCTCAGACAAAAACAAACAAACAAAAACAAAAACAACAAAAAAAAGAAAAAATGAAGGGAAGGAAGGAAGGAAGGAAGGAAAAAGAAAGCAAGAAAGAAAGAGAGAGAGAAACAGAGAGAAAAAAAGACAGAAAGAAAGAAAGAAATAGAAAGAAAAAGAAAGAAAGAAAAAGAAAGAAAGAAAGAAAGAAAGAGAGAAAAGAAAAGAAAAGAGAAAGAAAGAAAGAATTAGAGTATGCTTCAATTACAACTTCCACATCTCAGGTTTCACTCATGCTATATGTTCATTCCAGGTTGGCAGGGTGTCTCAGCTCGTCATTGTCTCAAAATGACCCAGGCTGATGGGGCAGACAATATCTGAAACATTGCCAAACTCCATGTGAGAGGGAAAAAAGAAAGGGCTCTGGAGAGCCCTTCCTTGACAGGTAAATGCTCTGGTCCATGAGTGGCATTCACCACTTCCACTCACAGTTATGTGAGCCATCCCAGTAAAAATAGACCAGGAAGTGCAACCCAAGCGTGTACCCATAAAGGAGAGGAATCAGAAATATTTGACAAAGCAATGCTAACAGTTTGGCCAACAGATCCTCCCATGAAAGTCCACAATGTTCTGATGATGTGGCGAGGCCCCAGGAGCATCTGAGCTTTGCCAAGGGTGAAGGCAGCTTGTATTGGACAGTGGAAATGCACTGGCCTAGGGGTTTGGAGGTATCTTAGGCAGGCCACTTCTCTTATTGCTGTTTGTAGGTGATGCTCTATGAGCTCCTTCCCAGCTCTTTCCAAGGAGCAGATTCACCATTGCAGAATGTGACAAGTTAACATAGCATTCTGTTTGTTCTGCGCTCCTGACACATTACATAACTCATCCTGATCTGCCATTATCCAAGGCCTCTGTTCGTTTCCCCTTGTAAACTCCTTGAGGGCAGAGGCCTTGTCTCACTCATCTTGCAAAACCTAGCACCGCTGCTACATACTGGAGGCACTCACTGTGTGTTTATTGAATAAATACACAGATAAAGATTTCCAAAACCGATGACTTTCAGGAGTCAAGCCAGTCAGCTCAGTAGATGTCCCAATTAATACACTCAATGATCATGCTGACAATGGCAATGACAAGCTGACAATGTTAATGATAAATATTAATAATTTAATAAGTAATATTAAACTATATAGGGCACTTTCCAATGTACAGATCCCTTTTACCTCTATTCTCTCCTTTGATGCTCTCATCAACCCTGTGTGGGAAGCAGAGCAGAAATTGGCATCCCTGTTTTATACAGAAGGGAAGTGAGGTCCCAAAAGGTTAATGGGACTTTCTCCAAGATTACCCAGCTCATCAATGTAGATCTGGGACAAAAATTTAAATCTTTTCATTCCCTGACCATGATCTTTTCATAAGAAATCCCCCCTCTCTCTAACTCCTCTGAGAACACAGGAATGAGCCCTTATTGTACTATGAGTACCCAATTTTTCCTGCATCTTCCTGATTAGACTCCTGAGCCATCTCATGACCTCAGTATTGGTGTCTGAGCTCCTGCACCCTCCAAGGCTGCCCACTGTGCCGCCCTGCTCCAGCAACTGTAGCTCTCTGGAAACACCTGCTCTGAACCACAAATAGCGTCTACTTCATCTTCTCTTTTTTTTTTCTGAGACGCAGTCTCACTCTGTCTCCCAGGCTGGAGCACGGTGGCATGATCTCATCTCACTGCAACCTCCGCCTCCTGGGTTCAAGTGATTCTCCTGCCTCAGCCTCCTGAGTAGCTGGGACTACAGGTGCACACCACTACACTCAGCTAATTTTTGTATTTTTAGTAGAGACAGGGTTTCACCATGTTGGTCAGGCTGATCTTGAACTCCTGACCTTGTGATCCACCTACCTCAGCCTCTCAAAGTTCTGGGATTACAAGTGTGAGCCACCGTACCTGGCCATTCCATCTTCTTTTTCAGTGAGCACTCTACTAAGGACATTCTCACAGCAGAATAGAGGCTGTCTTACATAGACTTGCTATTTCCCCATTTTGTGTGCTGTTTTGTGGCAACAATAGTCAACAGAAGTGAACTACAACAAAAACAAGGCATACTATTGTGCAGGATTCTCTCAGTGATTCCTTGTAACAGCAAGGCCACCCACTTCACAGGTGGCAAGCTTGAAGTCTATAGCAATTAAGTGACAGAAAAGGGAGTACAGTGATGAGTGGGGAGCATGAGCTATGGAGCAACAGCCAGACCTGTGCTCTCATGCTGGCTCTGCCACTTACCAGCTCTGTGACCATTTGCTATTTACTAATACCTGTATACTTCAAATGCGTTTTCTGTAAAGAAGGGACATTTTCATGATCCTCTGGGGGTCATGGTAAAGAGAAGGGTGTGTGTGTGTGTGAAGCTTTTGCAGAAGTCCCTGCTCATGGTAAACATTGAACATATGAGTTCCTTCTTCATTGTCTGCCTTCCCTTCAGACGGTAAGCTCCTAACAGGTAAGGTGCTCTGTCTGTGGTCACAGCTGCCTCCCTAGGGTCTAATACAGTTCCTGAGCTAGGATGGATGCTTTCTAAACTCTTGTAATTATTATGTGACTTAATCAGGTTTGCAGAGATATTTATCTATAAAATCACTGAGGCTTTTGCTTCTCAGACATATAGAACTTGGCTACCTCTAACCCAGTGTTATTTTTAGCTTCAGTTAGAATCATAGAAACCTGGAGGAAGGAGGGACTTTAGGTCAGCCCCTGTTCATTTGCACGAGTTACCTCTGCAATGCCCTATCTTATTATCATATGAGTTCTGTACAATATTTCACTCCATGGTATGGAGTATGTGCTCTTTTCACAAACAACTTCCACTTGCAGCTCCTTAGTTTCTTGCTTGTAAATAGAATGCCAATCCCAGGTCCCAGCCTGACCACCAGAAAAGTGAGCTTGAATAGAAGATGATGTTCTGGAAGCTAACGATCCGCAAGTCAGCAGACTTTAAGCAGCAACTAAGGATAAGGGATTCAAAAAACTAGTGTAATGTTTATGTAGCAATTCTTCATCACCCTTGAAAAGGCACAGCAACAAAAATAGCTTCCAGGGATCTAGAAGTCTTATCAAATAGGGGGGTTTTGGAAATATACCAGTGGGTGTGCATGCACATGCGCACACATGTGCATGCACACACACACATTCACAATTTAATCTTATACTCAATACAAACAAAAGAAGTTATCCATTGGAACAAAAACACAAAAAGAATGTTCCAGAAACATTGCCATGGTATTGAAATTGAAGAAAATGATCATACCCATTTTCCATTACAAAATCTGTATCTAATTTTAAAGTTTAAAGAACAAACGAATCTGCTGTGTTTGAGTAGGATAAGCATAGAATTATACTTTCCATCTCCCTTCTTAATTTTTGCAATGTGTGTAACAGGTGAGTTTTTCCATTATCATTGAGTTAACACACAGGGGTGAGAGACAGTATCCTAATCTTGTACTGAAAGGTGAAGGTAAACAACTTTCTTTTTTTCTATACTATTCGTCAGAACTCCCTTAGTTTCCAGGGGACCAGAATAACAATTGTCATGTGCTGTTTAGAAGAACTGATCTGAAAAACTCATATATAAAAATAACATACATTTTTAACATGTTGGTTTATAAATATAAAAATCCCATTATCACAAAGCCACAGTTGGCCAAGTCCCCACTGACAAAGGATTACTGTGCCTTTAACACAGTATGAAGAACAATCATTTATAAGCTTAAGGAACGCCCTGAACCTTGATTGCAGGTGTTGGCACAGAATAGTTCTGCTTGAACTTAGGTCAAGTAAAACGGGGTAAATTGATCTAAATCATCATTTACTTAAGGGAAACTAAAGTGTTGCTAATGAAGATAGAAAATCTTACAACAAACACAAGATAATACTTGCCAACAAAAGCACAGGCCAGCCTGGATTAACAAATTCTCTAAGTGTTTTTCCCCATCATGGCTATTTGTTAAACCTGGAAGAGTGCTATTCAAATGCAAAGCTCTTCTACTTGTTGTTAATTATATTATTTTCTTTTTCTAGGCACCAGTGATCCTGATTGCTCTTGGAACCTCTTGGGAAATAAGCCTCCATGTAACATGATTATAATGATTCATTATATTTGGGTAGGTTTTGTAGCTTAAAAGTGCTTTTCCATCTATTTTTAATATTATCATTATTAATAATAATAGCTACCATTTATTGTGTGCTTTTCAGGGGCCAGGCACCATTCAGTGAACAGCAAACACAGTATCTCTACTCTTTACGATAACCCTGCAAGGAGGTTGCAATACCCATTTCATATGGTAGAAAACTGAGGCTCCTACAGGTCAAATAGCCTGCCCAAGATCATATAGACCCTGCCTGCCTGACCCCACAATCCAGGCCATTTTTGCTTTAAGTATGACATATTATATGATCTTAAAGTCATCTGTCTACTATCTATTATCTGTCATTCTTTTAGACTAAACACTCTTTGAAGGCAGAAACTATATCCTGTTCAGAGTCATAATCTCACTACCAAGCACAGTCCCTGGGACACTGTAGGCACTTGATGAATACTTGCTAAAAGAATAAATGAACACATGAGTAAGTGAGTGAAGTCTTATAGGTTCTTCTACTGAGGCAGGAAGATCATTTGGTACTTTTCCTGTTAATAAACTGGGATGCAGAGGCTTTAACAAGAGAATTGATTTCCCTAAGGGCACACACTGTTAAGCATTAGAGGAGGAACCCCATCCACACCCTTCTAACTTCTGGTCTTTTGGGGATTCCACAGGCCCAGGTTGCCTCTTTATTACATTAAAAAAAAATTCATATTTGTCATGGCACGCTAGTTAACAAGCGATGAGCGGGAAGCTACAGGTTGGCCCTAAGTCCAGGTATATTACCCACCTCCCTCCACACTGCCACCCTTCTATTAACCCCACTTGGAAGCCCATGAATGATTATGAATATAAATGTGAAGGCTCCTCCTTTGAGGTAGATGAGGGCGGGGAAAGAGAAGATGGAGAACAGACAATTCAGACAGCCAAATTCAATTTGAGGGAATTTGGTTCAGTGCTTTCCATTAACAACACTCAACGAAAAATATAATTCCCAGGACAAAAGAAGAAAAGGGAAAAAACAACAAAAAACAAAAGCAACTTTTCATCATGCACAGTCAATGGAAAACAAATCAATCACCCTGTTTCTCCCTGGCCCAGCAATGCCTCGGTGAACACCAAAGGCACACGGCCTCTAAGCTGTTGTTGAGTCCTCAGGGTGGTACTGGGAGAAAGAAGTATCTGAAAAAGAAATAGATGGCCAAAAATGTCATCCATGTTCTAGCCTTCTTCAATCTTCCAAAGAACATGTTACAGTTTAGAAAGCACTTTACCTAATTCAGTCATCTGATACTCACAAAACCTTTTTAAAGTAGGTACTATTATAGCTCCTATTTTATTAAATATAAACAAGAAAATGAGTCAGAGTAATTAAGTAATCTGCTTAAGATCAGGCAGCTAATAAGTGTCCAGAAATTAAATTCAGGTTCCTTTAACCCCCACATGTCAAACTCTTTTTTTTCCCCCTAGAGACAGAGTCTTGCTCTGTTGGCCAGGCTGGAGTGCAGTGATGAAATCATAGCTCTCTCAATGCAGCCTCACACTCCTGAGATCAAGTCATCCTCCCACCTCTGCCTCCTAAGTAGCTGGGATACAGGCATGAGCCACAACTCCTGGCCTAAGCTTAAATTCTACATTATCAAATGCCCCCAACAATCCCAAGGGAGGGCAAAAACTAAACCCAGTTGGATGTCCCTACATTATTAAATAACCACAACAATCTGAAGGGAAGGCCAAGACTAAATCCAGTTGGATGTCCCTACCTTATCAAATACCCCCAACAGTCCCAAAGAAGGGCCAAAATTAAACCCAGCTGGATGTCCCTACTTCATCATATACCCAAAACAATCCCAACAGAGGGCCAAGACTAAACCTAGCTGGATGTCCCTACATTATCAAATACCCATAACAATCCTAAGGGAGGGCCAAGAGTAAACCCAGCTGGATGTCCCTACATTATCAAATACCCATAACAATCCCGAGGGAAGGCCAAGACTAAATCCAGTTGGACATTCCGCACACAACTGGGGATTTTTCATTCCAAGTCAAACTCATCCCAACATAAAAACTAAAAGGGTCTATATATTTTTAATATGGTAACATCCCTCCCTGCCTTGCCTCCCTAATCCAAGCAAAACTTGAACAAAAATAGCAAGGCCTCAAATTCTCGTAGTGCTATTCCTGTAAAGTGTCCTTTCACCTGCTGACAGCCAGTTGGGGAGCAATGTTTCCAAGGAATGTTTCCAAGGAAGTTAAAAACACAAACTTAGGAGCTGGATAACGTGGATTTGAATCCCATCTTCCCCCCAATAGTTGTGTGACCTTCAGCAAGGCTCAGAATCTCCTTGTGCCTCAATTTCTTGATCTGTAAAGTCAGAATAGAGTCACATCTCATCTCATAGGGTTGTCGTGAGGATTAATAATACCTGAAGCACTTAGTGTCTGAAAGATGGAAAGCATTTCATAAAATTGTTATTATTGCTAGGTGTCAAAGCACTGATGGATCATCAGTGGATTTAGGATGCTAAATTAAGGAGGCTCCTGTAGAGTGTAATTTTCTCATTCTACAGAGGAAATAACTGAGACTCAGAGAGAAGAAACCCCACCCGCCACCTTTCACACAGGTTCATTCAGAGAGCCAGTGATGATCTCCTACACCCAGGCAGGGCTCTTCGTCTGCCTTGCATACCTGTCTCAAAGTTCTTGCATTTCAGGAGCATTCACCCGAAAGGAGCTTCCCTTCTCTCATTTGTGAGAAGTGGTAGACTGGTCCTAACTGAGTAGGGTTTGCAGGGAATCTTTAACACTACTTGGCAAAGTAGATACTGATATTTCTAGTGCCTTGTTGAGCATCCTCAATATAGAAGCTGTAAGAGGCCCGACTGCAGTCCCCGAGGCCAGTGTGTGCACATTAGCATCCAGTCAATGCAATGACTCAAAGGGTGATTATGTCCTTGGCACATTAGCCCTGCACCTGCCTCTTCCTCTCTCTTTCCAATGCCCTTTGATCATTTACTGGCTCATTGAATCTTCCCCCAGAGGGTGAAGAAGGAAGAAGGAGCCTAAGTCAATGATCAGTCAGATATTGGTACTAGTTAGCAAGTCTTACCAAACCTTCTGATGCAATGGCTAGATCTGCACTCCTGGACCCCATTCATATGGCCATTTGAGAGGTGAGGGATGTTTCCATAATCACAAGCTAGAATCCTGAATTGGAAGGCTTCAAATGCTAATGCTGCTGCCTATTAGCTATGTATATTTAGGTAACTCACTTCATCTCACTGAGCCTCAGTTTCCTTTCATCTGCAAACTGGATATAATAACAGTACGTAATTCAAAATGTTACAAGAATTAAATGAGATGATAAATACAAAGCATACAATACAATAAAATGCCTGGCACATAGCAGGTTCTGAATACATGATATTGAATTAATTTTATCTATTATTAATAGATTTAAAAATTTTTAAATATGTTCTGGCTAATCTGTGCACCAAACCCTTAGGGTTTGCAGCTTGTCACTTTTTCCCTGCTAACCCCTGGATGGTGTTGGCTGCAGGGAGGAATCCTTTGCAAATTCCTCAAGCAGATTCTTGTTTGTAAGCACATTGGAACAAAGAGGAACAAAATAAAAACTTGGATTTGGAACCGGAATATTTCTACTTGATTCTCGTGGTTCTAACACTTCTTAGATGTAGCATCATGTCTGGTAAGTCACTGAACTTCTCTGAGACTCAGTTTTCTCATTTCTACATTGGGGATGATGGTGCTCCCTGATTTGCCACCTGAAAGTGAGCATGGGGCAAGGTTCATTGCTGTCATTCGCATCATTGTTATTAGAGGAACACACTCATTATTATTGAGGGCTAAGTATGAGCCACGCATTTAAAATTTATCTAATTTTATGCCCATACTGAAAAGTCAGTGTTAATTATTCCATTTACAGATGCAGAAATTATGGCTTATAAACAAACTCCTTAAAAGACTTCTATAGATTTTTGTGATACCCATCTGCTTAAACTCCGTTAAGTCTTGCTTGTGTTCCACTGGCTGCTAAGATGCTTTTTAATGACATTTTATTATTTGTTATTTGAGAACATGTTTATCTGTGTGAGGTGCTCAAGCCAAGGAAAGGGTTATCTTTATTTTGGCTTCCCTGGTACCACCCAGGGTGCCTTGTATTTAACAGATACCAGTAAACTATTATCCATTGTAGTAGAAAACTTCAAGGTCAAACTAAGGGATGCAGACCAGTGAAATATGCTCTTGTAATGTGAGGAACATCCATTCAGAAAGGCCTCTTTTGAAGGGGAAATGTGATTATAGAGATGCAGAGATTATCAAGAGTTCATAGAAGGAACCCAGGTGGGAAATCAGACAGCAAACTGGAACATATTCCTGCCTTCATAATGAGGGAGAAAGGAAATTAGTGATGATTCTAAGGTGGCAAAGGTCCTGATCTCATCTTTTATGATCTGTATTTTGCCAGAAAAAGAAAAGAAAAGAAATGTGGACAATTAGGAAGTAATTAAGATCTCACAGAAGTATCTACGACAGAAAGCAGTTAAGGAAATACTTAGGGATTTGGGGGAAAACACAAATTAGCAGGTTGGACAGCACATATCCTAACATGTTCCAGGGAAGAGCTAATAGAGTTACTGAAGCACTTAATGATTATTTCTGAGAAGTCACTGAAGAACAGCAGCAGAACATACGCTTAAATTTTTTACAACATCAAATGTCATATTGATCTTTTAGACAGAAGGGGAAAAATACATGAAATAGAAGCTTTAAGAATGAAGAAAGTGGGGGAAATACTTGCAACTGTTATGTGGCAGATATTTTCAGATATAGCAACCCATTCAATCGTCCACTTGTAAGCCAGCCCTGGATTCTTCCCATTTTCCAGACTAGGAAGCAGGGCTTAGGATGGGGAAGCAAATCATCCAAGACAGCCACTAATCATTGCTCGAGCTGGGATTCACCCCAGTCTCTGCCTCATGCTGGCAGGACCCATGTCTTGCCATTTTTATTGCTCTTCTATAACAAGGATTAACAAATTGGACACAACCCAGGAAAACAAAAGAATTATGAGGCTGCATAAGGGCAGGGTTAAAAAAAAAAAAAAAAAAAAAAAAGCACAGATCGCAGCCCGCAAACATGAGAGCTTTTCAATAGAATTACAAAGACAATGGATGAAAAGATCACAAGATGACTTAATCTGGACCACAATAACTCAAAAATGTTTCTCACAAAATTAATTCAAATGGACTGGGAGAGGCTGCATAGCTGCAAGGCTTGAAAATTAACTCAAAGGCAGTAAACAAAGAATAATGATGGAAATAATTCAAATACAAAAGAAGGCACCAAGTCTGGTAGAGCTCAAAGCCCCTTGCAATGTCATTTTATTAATCCTCCTGGCAAATTGACAATGCAGCAGGACTGGGAGAGGTATAGTCTTGCTGAATAAAGCCTCATTTTGAGACCTGGGGTTAACAGAAGTAAGGTACAAATAAGGGCTAGTTTCTCACCAGGAGCACCTACCAAAGGAAAAGAGGAGCTGTAGGCATTGCATGAAGGAGAAATAATCCAGGTTGACCAGAAGCCTGACTATCTGGACAAACCGAATACTGTCAACCCAGAATTGAAGACCCATCATTTCAGATCCTGCTCAGCTTCTGTGGTTCCCCACCCTGTCTTTTTCCAGTTGACTCAGCTACCAAGATCATCTTTAGAACCAATCCTTCTTCCTCTGGATCTCCCTAATCCCAAATCCTTACCTAGACTGGGGTTTACTTAGTTAGTACTAGATCAAATTCCCTCCCAGCACGTTCAGTTTCAACAAGAAACATCCTCCTGTACATGTATGCACCACACACTGTTAGTTTGTAAGGACAGAGAGATGGACAAGGGAAGAGTCCTTGGCCTGCCCTCTAGGGCTCAGTCTGGAGGGAAATGTCTGGGCCAGAGTTTGCATGGTATATTCATTTAACCTTGCCTGAATTTGTGTTTGGAAGGTCATCATCCTTCACAAAAGTTCAAGTTTATTCTCCAAGGGTCAAAGAGTTAACAAATACCACAGTCCAGCATTCAAAACTCTGTCTCTCTGGCACAAAAGCCCATGTTTTCTCCATTTGACTACACAAAGCTCATCAAAGCCTTCCACAACCAATGTCTGTACCACCAGTTCACAGTCGTAGGTCAAGGAAAATAATAACTTCCACGAGCAAGCATTTATTTTGTGCCAGGAATTTTGTTTAACACATGATCTTATACAGTCCTCATAAATCCTATTAGAGTCATCATTAACCACGTATTGCACGTGAGGAAATGGAAGTTCAAGAAGGAAAAAGTGAAACACAGCTTGCAAGTACAGAAGCAGGAGATTCAAGCTCAAGTCCATCTGCCCTACAGACTTTAAGCCCACCACTTAGTGAGGATGTGTGTGAGTTTCCCATTGCTGCTGTAACGAATGACCACAAACTTAGTGGCATAAAACAGTGCAAACAGTTTTGCAGGTCGGAAGTCCAAAGTGGGCTTTTGTGGGGCAAAATCAAGGTGTCAGCAGGGCTGCATTCCCTTCTGGAGGCTCTTGGGGATAGCCCCTTTCCTTGTCTTTTCCAGCTCCTAGAGTTTCATTCCTTGTCTCCTGGCACCTTCCTCCCACTTCAAAGCCCTCAAGTCTCTCTGTATGTCTATCTTCACATCCCCCTCGATGAGTCTAATGCCACTGCCTGATTCTTATAAGGACACAGTGATTACATAGGGCCCACCTAGATAATCCAGTATAATCTTTTCATCCCAAGATCTTTAACCTAATCACATCTACAAAGTCTCTTTTTCCATATGGCATAGAATATTCACAGGTTAGTAAATTAGGATATGGACATCTTTGGGGGACCATTATTGAGCCCACCACAGGATGGCAGAAGCACACTTAACTGTAGTAGAAACCCTAATAAGCTCATTTTGCTAAAGAAGACACTGAGGTTCATAGAGGTAAAGTGAGTACTTTGGGACATGTGTAAGTGGCAAGATAGGAATCTGAACCCAAACTAGTACAATATCAAACTCCATTTTCTCCCCTTCCCATAGTATGTCGCCTCCAGGAAAATGTCAGACAGATAAACCATTTGGCACTTTCAAATGGATAAATGGCCAATTCAAAATGAATAATCCTTATGAATGATTTTAAGACAGATTTGGTGATTCTCTGGGTTGATGGGAGTAGTTGTAGGTGATCTGCCACTTTGCATTTTAGGAAATACCAAGAAATATTTAGGGGTTAGCTGAATGTTGATAAGTGTGACAAAAGGCAAAATTTTTCCTTCTCAGCAGCCAGGCAAAGCAGGATTTGTGGGAGGAGCGAAGCCTGAGCTAAATAGACTAGATATGGATTCAAGCTCCAGATCTTCTGACTGTAGTCACAACCAGGCTGTGTCACATTTCTGGGATCAGTTTCTGAACTGGAAAATCGGGGCTATGATGTTTTCTTGGGAAGAAAAAATGAGATAATGCCTGTGTGGTGTCCAACATTGCATCTAGCACATCATAGGAGCTCAATAAATGGTAGGCATTTTTATTTTCTCTCCTCTGTCCTGATTTCAGGTTTTAGAGTAAGAAACAAAGACATCTGGCCTTTGTTTGAAGACAGACCGCTAGCTGTGCAACTAATCTTTAAAAAAAAACAACCACTCCCTTCTCTTGCCTATGCTCAAGGTACAGCTGAGAGCTTAGAAACTCCAGGCAGACAAACGAAGGAAGGCAGGTGGATAAAGGAAAAGCTCAGCCATCCATCAGACCAAGAGGGGATAAATGCAATGCATTATTCAGGGAGTTCAGTGGTGGGCCTCTGCTAGGAATGGATGAGGGAGTTGGAGAGGTCTTTTGAACTCCTCGGGATTTGGCCGAAAGCCGAGAGAGGCCAGATGCCACAGCACCTATTAGTCAGCTGTTGGCCAGCCCTTGGCGATCCACTGGGACTGTTTCAGGAAGCCCAGGGCTCTGAATAGGGCAGGAGGTTAACCAAGCCACCTCCCCATTCTGCAAAGCCTTTTCTAAAACCCTGTTTTGGAAGCTATGCAGGCACTAAACTGCAGGAAACCAGGCAGAGAAGGCCCTTGGGGCAGGACCCGCCTCACCTGTAAACAGAATTGCTAATGGCTTGCAGAGGGTGGTTTGACTGGTGATGGACAGCATCCTGAACCCATAAACGTCCCATGCATTTGTTGCCATATCTAAAATTACACCTTGACTCTCTGAGTGTAAATTAGGATCGCTTTTTAAGAGGGCATTTCAGCAATATCTATGAAAATTAAAAAGTCCATATTTTTGACCTCATAATACTGCTGCTGAGTAACTTACAGAAATGCACATGGCAAGAAGCTATATATAAATATATATATATAATATATACACAAAAAAGTTCACTGTAGCATACTTTTAATAACATAAATGTCCATCAATAGGAAATAAATTATAGTAATCAATACTACAGAATAATGTCATTACAAATAATGATATGGATCCAAATATTCTAATGTTGAAAGATTTCCAATCATTTTAAAGTAAAAAACAAAGATACACATACAAGTGTCAAAATAATAGCGCAATGATTCTGTATTGGAGGAAATGACAGATGCATATTTGGATTTATCCATACATGTGGCTATAATTAAAGAGAAAAATAAGTGAGAAGAATAAACACCCGTTACCAGTGATAGTCTCTGGGTAGGAAAGTGAGAAAGGGGATGCAGAATGGAACTATCACTTTCTACCCCACATGATTTTGTTGCGTTTATATTTTTATAAAAGGAATGGCTTTATATGTTAATTCTGTAATTTTGAAAAGTATAAATTAAACAATGAAATTCATTTCCACAGGTGATGAGAACAACAAAAGGCTTGGCAGGTAGGTTCACATCATCATTTCTCAGATGGGAGAGCAGACAAGACAGAAGAAGAGACCTGTCTAACATCACAGAGTGGGGTCAGGGAGTAGATCCAGGGCTCCTGGTACCTAGTCCAGAGTGTTTCCACCATCTTCAAGGTCTAGATCTTTGGGTGTCCATGTTATGGAGGCAGATTTCCACTGGATAGCAGGGGAACTTTATATGACACAATACCTGGGAATAATGTGTTGTGGTGGTCTTGTTCAGGATGCTATCTCTGCCACTGGCTGGCCTGTGGCCTCGGCCAAGTTGCTTTTCCACACTGAGCCTTTGACTCCTTATTTGCAGTATGAAGAAAACACCATTCTCAGGGAGACATTACGAACATCAGTTGTTCCCTTTCCTCCTTTTCAACAAACACATATCCACTGCCCCCTTCTTGGGAAAAGGTGGGAGAAAACCAGACTGAGTGTGTCTTAAAACTAGGGGTTCAAGTTTCTGCTCTGTCCTTGACCCACCAAGGCAGTGTTTAAGAACCTCTGGAAACCTTCTCCACACTTTATCCCTCCCAAATTCTCTGAATACCTTTGGGTCCTTCCTACTCATCAAGGGGAAAAGTAAATATGTCTTAGATATGTTTTAGATCTGTGTCCCCACCCGAATCTCTTCAACTGTAATCCTCAGTGTTGGAGGTGGGGCCTAGTGGGAAGTGATTGGATTCTGGGGACGGATCCTTCATGAATGGTTTAGCACCATCCCCTTGGTGCTGTTCTAGGGATAGCGAGTTCTTACAAGATCTGGTTGTTTAAAAGTATGCACCACCTCCTCCTTTGCTCTCTCTTGCTCCTACTCCTGCCGTGTGAGACGTCATGCTCCCTCTTTGCCTTCCACCATGATTGGAAGCTTCTAGAGGACTCCTCAGAAGCAGAAGCTGCTATATTTCCTGTAAAGCATGCAGAACTGTAAGACAATTAAACCTCTTTTATTTATAAATTACCCAGCCTTTGGGGTACTTCTTTATATCCATTTGAGGACAGACTAATGCAGTCTTTGAGTCAAACTGCTGTCATCAGAAATAAAGAGTTTGATATGCTTCCCCACCACGACAGTCTAGAGCCGGGCGTAGGCAGCGAAAAAGGCTTGTGAGGCAAGACGCCCCTTGCAGGAGCAAAGGGACCCGGTGTTCATTTCGGCTGGTGAGGAGAGTTACTAAACTACCACCCACTGACTCAGGGAGAACTAGCCCCAGGTTTATGTAGAAGAGGCAGCCTTGACAAGGTGAAGTGATGGTGACTGGCTGGCTCCAAAAATCTCTCTCCAGTCATCCTGCCTTAGATGACTGGAACTCCACCCTTAATCCTTCCAGTTAAGCCTTCGAAGGCCTCCATTAGCAGTGTAAATGTTTCTCTTGGGAGGAATAATAAAATGTAATTGAAGTAAACAAACATTTACTGAGTTTGCTTCAAACCAGGCACTTGTGAGCCATGGCAGGGTGTCCAAGGATGAATAAGATGCTATCCTGTCCTCCAGGAGCATGTAGATCATTAGAAGCACTGAGATGTATGCCAAATTACTTAAAACGAGAGAGAAAATTCAAAAGAAGATAAAATAAGAAGAAAGTTCCATAATTGTTCTCTCATCTATATATTTTATCAGAGCTGGATGATAGGATTTATCACCTTGGGGAATTTCCATTAACATGGCTGAAAAGTTTGTACTTTATTTGGAATATAATAGATAGCTATGGATATTTTCTGGGTGAAGGGGAGGGAGTGGCATATTTTTTAAAATAGTACTTTACAAAGATCAATCTGACAACTCTGTAGAAGATGGATAAGAAGAATCAAGGCAAGAATCAGGAGAAAAACATGAGACACTAATGTGAAAGGTTTTAGAGAACGAGAAACAACAGGATGTGAGAGGATATAGCAGGAGAAGGTGGGCTCTGAAAAAGATGAAGGGATCCATTTATGTTTTTACTCCACAGTACTTACTTCAGGCAAGGCACCGTGCTGGAATCTGAAAATACAATAGAAGGGTTCTACCTTCCTTGAGCTTAGAGTTGAGTGTGGTGGTCACATAGTAATCGAGCATCATAAAAACAAACGTATAACTCACAAAGCATGATAAGTTTTCTGGAGAAAGAGATCACAGGATGCTATAAAAGAATGATGACCAGGCCAGGCATGGTAGCTCATGCCTGTAATCCCAGCACTTTGGGAGGCCAAGGTGGGCAAATCACGAGGTCAAGAGATCAAGACCATCCTGGCCGACATGGTGAAACCCTGTCTCTACTAAAAATACAAAAATTAGCTGGGGGTGGTGTTGTGCGCCTGCAGTCCCAGCTACTCGGGAGGCTGAGGCAGGAGAATCACTTGAACCCAGGAGGTGGAGGTTGCAGTGAGCTGAGATCACACCACTGCACTCCAGCCTGGCAACAGAGCAAGACTCAAAAAAAAAAAAAAAAAAGATAACCTGCTCTGGTCAGGGGTGGGGCTGCTGGGTACATCTTCTTTGACTGAAGTGATATATGATGTGGGTCTAAAGGATAGGTAAGCATGAACTAGGCAAATGAGGTACCACTTCACCCCACTAGGGTAAAGACAGACATTAGCAAGTGTTGGTGAGGATCTGGAGCAAGTGGAAACCTAGTAGCTGATGGAAAGGTAACATGGTGCAGTTACTTTGAAAAACCACTTGGCAGTTCCTCAAAAACTTAAACAGAATTACCATATACCCAGCAGTTCCATTCTTAGGTATATACCCAAGGAAAATAAAAACCTATGTCCATGCAAAACTTGTACACAAATGTTTATAGAGGCATTATTCACGATAACCAAAAAGTGGAAGCAATCCAAATGTCCATCAACAGATGCATGGATAAATAAAATGTAGTCTATCCATACAGTTGATAAAAAGAAATAAAGTGCTGATAGATGTTTCAATATGGATGAACTTTGAAAACATTTCTAGGTGAAAGAAGGTCACAAAAGACCACATATTGTATGATTTCACTTATATGAAATGTCCAGAATAGGAAAATTTGAAGAGACAGAAAATAGATTGGTGGTTACAGCATGGGGAAAAGAGGAGTGACTGCTAATGGTTGTGGGGTTTCTTTGGAGGTCATGAAATGGTCTGGAAGTGGATAATGGTGATAGTGGCACAAGTGATATGGCTTGGATATTTGCCTCATCCAATATGAGATACATTCCAACATGTATCTCATGTTGAAATACAACCCCCAGTGTTGGAGGTGGGGCCTGGTGGGAGGTCACAGAATCATGGGGGTGGATTTCTCATGAATGGTTTAGTGCCATCCACTTGGTACCACCCTCAAGATAGTGACGGAGTTCTTGTGAGATATGATCACTTAAAAGTGTGTGGCACCTCCCCATTTTCTCTCTTGCTCCTGCTTTTGCCATATTAAGAAGCCTGCTCTTGCTTTGCCTTCCACCATGAGCAAAAGCTCCCTGAGACCTCCCCAGAAGCAGATGCCACCATGCTTCCTGTACAGCCTGCAGAACCATAAGCCAATTAAACCTCTTTTCTTATAAATTACCCAGTCTCCAGTATTTCTTTATAGCAATGTGTGAACAGACTAATACAACAAGTTCATAATTATATGAAAAACCACTAAATTTTACACCTTTAATAGGGTGAATTTTATGGTATGTGAATTATATCTTAAGTAAAAAGTAAATTTTAAGAAAAGAATGAATGAGGTAGAGAGGGTAAAAATAAGGATAGTGTTCTGGTCACAAGAAAGTATATGTAAATGACCAAGGGAGAGAAGATATGGTTCACAGGGAGAATAGAGGTCAAGGTCAATGTGGCTGGAGTGCTGGGAGCAAGAGAGAGTGATAGCACTTAAGTCTAGAGCTATAGGCAGGGCAGATCATGAGTACCCTTTAGGCTTGGTTTTTGTCCTCAGAATAATGGGATGCTGATGGGGAATTCTATGCAAGGTAATAACAATTCTATTACTTGGGCTGGTCAACATGACTTGGAGGGAGTCAAGAAAGTGTAGAGGGTGCCCAGTTGTAGGAGTCCAAGTGAGAAAAGCGAGGTCAAGAGTGGGTGATGGGGTTGGCATGTGTGTGCATGGAGGGAACAGAGTATGACTAGGTGTGGAGGACTAGCATTATTCTGAGTTCAAGAGCCAGGAGGGACAGCAGGTTTGGGAAAACAGAACAAGTCTGATCTGCAGAGACATTTATTTTGCACCTAATATGTGCCAGAGACTGAACAAGGCATTTTATATCCATGTTTCTTTTTATGCTCACAACAAACCAATGAGGTTGATTATTCACACTGTTTAGGACGGGAAATTAAAGCTCGGGGAGACTAACTTGCCCAAATGCACAGAGGTGGTAGGTGGCAGCATAGGGAGTTAAATCCAGGCTTGATGCCAAAGTTCTTTGCATCTTTGCTCTACACTAGAATGCTCCTAGGCCAGGGATGGTAAATGACTTTCAACACACACCCAACTCGAATCTATTAGTAGTGACTGCTTTGGAGCACTGGGTTAAGACCAGTTCTGAGCTCAAGCCCAGGCCCAGCAGGAAAATAGACCACGATTAATCAGGAATGAATGCCGTGAGCACAGAGAGAGGCAGTGGTGGGGAAAGTGAACCCTATTTGCCATTCCTGCTGTACGAGTTCAAAGGAGGAAAACATAATATCTAGGCAAAGGACTAAAAATGGCCACGTGTGAACCATCCATATACACAATAGATGACTCTCAAAAATATTAGACTGAGAAAAGATGTCAGAAACAAAAGAATGAATACTATATCCAGAAGGCAGAACTTTTTTAGTGAAGGGCCAGACAGTAAATATATTAGGCTTTGGGGACCAGAGAGTCTCTGTCACTACTCAACTCTGCCAATATAGAGTAAAAGCAACCGCAGACAATACGTAAACAAATAAGCGTGGCTGTGTTCAAATAAAACTATTTTTAAACACTGAATCTGAAATTTCTTATAATAATTATGGGTCACAAAATATCATTCTTCTTTTGATTTTCTTTCTAACCATTTACAAATGTAAACACCATTCTTTGCTCACAGGACATACAAAGAGGCAATGAGCCATATTTTGCTCACAGGCCATAGTTTGCTGACTCCTGTACTGTTTGTATCCATTTATAGCAGGTCAAAAATAGACAAAATTAATAGTTAGAGATATCAGACCAGTGGGTGCCTACAAACTGACTGACTGGAAGGAATTACTCAGGAACTTGCTGGGGTGATAGAAATGTTCTCAGTTACATGAATATATACATTTGTCAAAACTCACTGAAATGTGCACTTGAGTGTTTACATTTCATTGCATGCAAATTCAACTTCAATTTAAAAAGTGTGTTGCTTTGAACTGTAACACTTGTGGGGGCTGGGGGTGGGGAGAATGGCTGCCTGGAAGAGATTTCATTTGATGAACTTGAAGAATGAATTCAGCCTCCAAAGTCAGGAGAAATATATTGAAGGCGAGTAGAGGTAAAATTCAATCAGGGCTCAAATGCTAACAGAAAGTGGAAAAAATATATATATTTAACAAGAAGCCATGAAAGTATACCCCAACCCACATGCCTCATTGTCCAAAAGCTCCAGCTCAGAAATAATTGCTTTGCACAATAATTTGGAGATGCAGTCTGGGAGCTGATACAAATGGAGCCGGGTGCAATTTGGGGAGATTTGTTACGCTCAGCTCCCTTCTATCAATTCCAGCTGCTCAGATGTTCCTAACCTGTTGCTTGGCATATTGTAACAATGGCTTTTATTTACTGCACTTCCATTAAATGATGAAATCCACGAACAGGGGCTCACATGGCAGAAAATCACCATTTACTTCTCCACTTATCTTGTGTCAGCAGCCAAGATCTTCATCTCGGCTCCTGGGATCTGGCTTCAGCAGCCAGCTGCAGTGCTACCTGGGAATATCGGTAGAGCAGCTCAAATATGGGCGGTGGGACTGAGCTGCTGGGCGGGGTTGCGTGACTGCAAATCATAGTCCTTGGAAGGTGAGCAGGCAGTGTGGCCATATAGGATTATGCTGGGTTGCCAAAGAAAGAGATGGATGTACACTCAGGTTTTACCCAGAACTCAAGGTATCTTGGGAAGTTTTGGGAAAGTGAGGTGGTTGATTAGGAGAAATATTGGATGGGATGTTGATTCAAAGACAAAAGCGAAACCCAAGATAACCTTCACCTGAGTGAATCACTGGTCCTTTTACAGTATAACACATCTCGGCCTAACCAAGCCAGGAGATCTTCACTCCAATGTTAGTTTTGCTACCAGATAAATGACTAGAGATGTGATACGAGTCCCTTCCCACCTCTGCACTTTGCTCTCCCTTCTGTGAAAAGAAGTTAAACTGAGTAATCTATTTCAGCTCTAATGTTCTTTTAATCCAACCTTGGTTCTCCCACTAACTTGATAAGTAACTCTCAGCAAGTCATTTCCTATGGGCCATGGCTTCCACATGATACACTGAGAGGGTTGACTGTGACAATCTTGAAAGGCCCTCCCAGGTTTAGAGCTCTCTGATCTCATCTGCTAAGACTCAGAACATTTATCTCGTTGATTTTGTCAAATTGTACTTTGGGGTTAGAGTTGAGTATACATCATTCTTCCCAATCCTACTTCAATCCCTAGCAAAGGGAATGGGTGGATAGATGGGTGAATGGATGTTGGATGAAGGGGTGGAAGGGAGGATAGGTGGATGGCAAATAGATGAATCAGTGGTAGGATGATCAGATGGATAAATGGATAAAAGGGAGTTTGGGAAAACTGGAGAACAGATAAATGGGATGATGGAAATCCACAACAAATACCTCAGTATTTCCTTTCCTGTCCATAGTTCAGTTCCAGTGTACTGAGTACCCATAATGATGAACTCCACTATATATAGTATCGAAGTTTTTGATGCTTTCTGGATTCTTCACTTCAGGAAAAAAAGAATCATAACATTCTTTTTATTTCAAAGTATGCACATGAATTATAAGTACACATCATGCCTATTAATATATTAACTGTGAAAGGAACATAAGGGAATATGCCTCGAACTCCTGGCCTCAAGTGATCTTCCCACCTCAGTCTCCCACAGTGGTAGGATTATAGGCATAAACCACTGTGCCCAGCCATAAGGGAATAGATTATCCCTTCACCTACTGGGAACCATAACTCAAACTCAGGAAACCATACAGTGTTAAAAAATAAAATAATTTTTAACTGTTTCTAGAGTATGTGGTCCACCCAATAATCATTGAATATGGATTTTAGACAGAGAGAGATCTGTGAGAACAAGGGGAGGCAAGGGGAGGGGAAGGCTAGGTGGAAAAGATTTCCCAGAGAAGAGCCTTGAAAGATGGGAATGAAACAGGCAGTCAGGCAAGGGATGAGTACAGACAAGAGTGAGGGGATGCAGGAGTAGGAGGATAGGAAACATTGACAACTGCTTGATCAAGACCATGGGGTGGCATGGTTGGGTAAGGACTGTTCAGCTCAAGCAAGCATGCACAAATCTCTAGGCTTCTGTGTGCCCCTAGGAACGACAGAGGGAAGCAGGGAAAAGGAGGGGAGGAAAGAGAAAAAGAAAGGAGCAAGAGAGAGGATATGGAAAGAGTGATAAAAAGGGACAAAAAGGAAAAAGGAGAGCTAAACTGAGACAAAAGAAGAGAGAGAAAGGAGTAAAAAATTCTCTGCACCTAGGAGTTATATTTCATGATCAAAAGAGGATGAAGCTGGGGGTGAATTTCTGGTGGCAGCAGGGAATGCCCAGGAAGCTTTGGGGCCAGCCCCAAAGGGGCAATGGTGGGGGATGATAATAGATGAAGGGGATATGGTACCTTGCCAGGAAGGCCCAGTGCTCAGGCAAGTGGGGTCCCTGGAACCCTGTCCCTTTCTCCACTGCCAGCTCTAAGTTGCTAAGGTTACCTTCTTAACTGCCTAATTAGAGAAGCTGTCACTCTTTGACAAAGATCAGGAGGAAAGGAGGGGAAAAAAAAAAGCAGACATTTCATACTCAGACAAGAAGAAAATAATAAAGCCAGTCCCACTGGCTTTCACATAGAGTTTCATAGAAACTCTGCCAGCAGTCAAAGAAGACTATATCTTTATGAGGACCACCCTCTGTTACTAGTTTGGAGAGAACTGGAAATGCACCGCTATTCGCAGTTAACATGGAGCAGCTGACAGCCTCCAGGTTAAATGGAGTGGAAGACATGCGAGTCAGGAAGACATGGATATGTACCCATTCTGCTGCCATGGTCTGACAAGTCTCAGGGACCTAGGAACATGGTGCTCTTCTTAGCCAGCAGGAGCTAACCTCAGCTGATCAGCCTTAATACACCTCAGGAGCCACCATTCTAGGGCCAACATTTCAGGGACCAGGATGGACCACGAGCTGTCTTTGGACTGCAGTTCTGGGAAGGAGAGCTGAAAAAGACATGGGAGGTGAGGTGGAGCTGGAAAGGGGCAGGTGCAGGAAGCAGGAGGTAAGTTCTGTAAGGTCCTAGGACGGCAAGGTCCCAGGTGAATGCCTCCCTCTCTGAGGGCAGAGTGCATGCCACTCTGGAATGCCAGCTCCTCAGCCCCTTGGGTGTCACTCACCCTTCCTGGACTATGAAGACCCACATGTGCTGCAGCACCCTCCTTGGCTAAGCTCCTGCTATTTTCCTCCTCCTACACCCACAGAGCTTACTACTTTCTCCCTAGGAGAAAGAAGAGCAACACTTTGTGTTGTAAAAGAAAGCCCATTTTCACTAACTCCATTACTCTATGCAAGAATGGGAGAAGCAGAACAGCAGTGGGTTAGGGGCCAGTCCTGCCACCAACACCCTCTGGGACCCTGGGAAGGTCCCTTGACCTCTCTAGGCCTCACAGTCTACACCCTGTTGATCTCCTGGGGTTGGCTGTGGATTAAACAGGAGAATAGGAAAGTTCTTCTTACCAAGAAAATGAGCAACACAGGGGCTTGTATCTATATACTATTCAGAGATTCATCCCCAGCTTCTAGCTGAGCACCTGGTATACAGAAGGTGCTCAGTATATCCTCACTGAATTGAAACAATAATTTAAGTACACTATATTCTGTATTTATTTCTTCCTTCAACAAATATCTTTTTAATACAAAATAAAGACATAATTCCTATCTTCAATGAGTTTTCAGTGAGTGAATGTAGAAAAGACAAACATCAAATAGAAACAAATATATAATTAAAATCTGTGATTAAGTGCTGCCAATAGCAGGAACTTATATATAAAACAGGGAGACTGGCTCTAACTAAGAAGTCAGAGAAGGCTTCTCTGAGAGAGTGACATTAACTTAGAATCTGAAAAATGAGCAGGAGTCAGTCAGGCAAAAAGGGGTAGAGGCAAGATGTTTCCAGGAACTAGAAACAGCCTGTGCAAAGGCCAAGAGGCAGAAGTGGGTCTGTTACATTAGTGGGAAGATAAGATCAGCAGAGATGGAAAAGCAAAGAATCACAGGGAGAATGGCAGGATACGAGGCTGGAGATAAAAACAGAGCTTGAACCAGAAGATCCACAGGCTTCCTAGCATCATTCCCCTAAGGCAAATCCTCTTTGTTTCTGGAGAGAAATGCGGAGTCCTGACTTCTGGACGTGGGTTGTGGCATGCAGAGCAGGCCACAAGAAAGTCATCACTTTTGCCAGGCACATAAAGATTATGAAATCCTAAAACTACTTCCATGATCACCCTCACCTGGTCTTTATAGAGCCCTTGATTTGATGCTCTGTTTTGCTGCAAAGGCTAGAGCTGAAAGGGGCCCTGGAGATCATAGAGCCTAGTGGTATCTCACTGTACTTCACAAAGCTCAAGAACCACTTCAGAAAGGGGAAGAGAAGGCCTACAAGGAAGGGCTTTGGGCCCCTTCACCCTTCCCTCAGCCAGAGAAGTTCAGCTTTGCTCTAGTTTTTACAGCACTCTTCACAGTGGAGCCATCCAAGATTCCATTTGAAGAAAGGCTTTGATGACAAAATAGGGATTTTGAAAACCACTACCATTGTGCAAATGAGAACTCTGAGGTCCTAATGAGCACATGTCTTGCTTTTTCTACCCAACAATATTTTAGTATTGATTCCTAGACCCACCTTTCAAAATCTACCTCTTCTCCATTTATGTATATCCCAGACGGAACATCAATCCAGGTATCATCTTCTTCCCTAGATGAGACATATATATCAGGCCACCCTGGGCTAATGAGACTCTCCCAAGAATTCTGAATTCCGGTGAGGTCATGGGAGTGAGGAAAGGATGACAGACACTTGGATCTCCTTCATCCTAGTGGGAGTGCTCTGATGAGACTGTGTGCTGGTTATTGCTCCCAAGATCCCCAGAGCAAGCTCCTTCAGCAATTCTATCCTTCCATGAGCCATCCCAAATAGAAATATTTGGATATTTCTTAAATAAACAGAGTTGGCTTCTATTGGTTGCAGACCAACTGATAGACCCTGTAATCTATGGATGGCTTGGTTAGGGTGCTCACAGAGTTGGGAGTGTAGCCAAGATTAGAAGTCAGAGCTCTTCAACCACAGCCTGTGACGGCCTGGGCTGGTGACTATTTGCAACCTCATGTTAGCTGGGTCCTTAATCCCTAGAATTCTGCCTTGTCTTCCCAGCCTCTTTCCCCAGAGTCTCATGAAGAGTAAAATTATATCCTTTCTATATCCTCCAACAGAATTCACAGGCTATCTTGCCCTTGGGGTCCTTCTTTATAAATATGACATCAGTCACTCCTCATTGACCATAAAATAATTTATTCAATGTGCAAAGAAACAAGTACAGATATTATGCCAGGATCTGGATCTCAAGCCAAACAGAAACAAGATGAATGTTTAACTAATCCTTACTGTGCTACTCCAATAGTATGCGTGTGCCTTTCACTTCAACCTGAGCAAGGATTAAAGAAATCATTTGCAATATACCCTGCTTCAGAAAGCACCTGTGAATGTCCTGGGTCTACATCACTCTTCCCTTTGCTCACAATCCAAGCAGGTTAATTTCCTATATGAAAGAAGCTGCAAAGGGGGTGGGCAAGAGGGGAGAAAGGGCTTTTGGTTTTTCTTCTTTAAGCCTATTGACTAGAGCTGCTTCCAACAGTAGCAGAAGTTGCTCCCAAGGCATTTGAAGGAGATGGGAACACACAAACCTAATTGCATTACACTGCAGCTTGACCAAGCGATCACTAACTTGATTGCAGAGAAAGGAAATGAAAATGACAGAGACAAATTCAACTCAACCGTTCTCTTACTTAAACTCAGGACTCAGGCCACCAGCTGGAAGGCAAAGGGAATAGAGGCAAATGCTCATGGATAATTGAGGAAATTATTTCTGTGGTCTGTAGCCCTTTTGAAGGAGTGGAAGTAGGGTATGGGCACCCTTTGTCTTACCTACCTCCAGCCATTTAGCTCTTCCCCAGTGGTCTACTCAGACTTGACACTATGGAGGCAGGAAGAAGGACCATATTCGACACTGGTATCTATCCATTTATTTGCTCCTTCACTCATTCATTCATCCAGTGAACATGTACTGAGTACTAATTGTGAACCAAATGCTTGGAGAAGCACTAGGTATGCGGTATTGAAAAAAAGAGACAAAGTCCCTGTCCTTGAAAAGTTTAGTCTGGAGGGGCCCACAGACAATTAACATGAACAGATACCCAAATGCAATGTGGCTACTGAGTGACAAAAAAAAAAAAAGAACAGGGTGTTGTGAGAAAGACAGTGTATTCGGGGGTAGGTGAACATGGACTCTAATTAGGATGGAATGGCCAGGGAGGCCCTCTGGGGTCTCTGGAAAGCAAAAGAAATGCACCATGAGTGAAGGTGGAACCAGGCCAAGCCTTGACAGCAGTGGCTCTCAACCCAGGTTGGCACTTTGGAATCACCTAAGCCACTGGGAGAGATTACAAACAAAAACAAGAGAAAACAGCAATGCTTGGGAACAACCCTCAGTTATTACAATTTAGCCTAGGGTAGGGCCCAGATCCTGAGATATATACAGATATTTTTTAAATTAATAGACTTTATTAGTTTTAGGTTTAGAGAAAAATTGATGAGAAAGTACAGAGAATTCCAATATCCTAACTCTCCCCTCCACAAACAGTCGTCCCTATTATTTACATCTTGTGTTAGTGTGGCCCATTTGTTATAATTGATGAGCCAATATTAACTCACTGTTATTAACTACAGTCCATGGTTTACATTAGGGTTCAGTCTTTGTAGTGTACATTCTATGGGTTTGACAAATATCCAGTAACAGATGTTCATCATTCCTGTATCATACAGAATCGTTTCACTGCTCTAAGAATCTTCTGTGCTCTGACCCTGCTCATCTTTCCCTCCCTACTAGTCCTGACAACTGATCTTTTTCTTGTCTCCATAGTCTTGCCTTTTCCAGAATGTCATATAGTTGAAATCATATAGTATGTGGCCTTTTCAGATTGGTGTCTTTCACTTAGCAATATGCTTTTAAGGCTCCTCCATGTCTTTTTGCTGCTTGATATTAATAGCTCATCTATTTTTATTTCTGAAAAATATCCCATTGTCTGGATGTACTCCAGTTTGTTTATCCACTCACCTCACAACAGACATGTTGGTTTCCTCCACATTTTGACAATTATGAATAAAGCTGCTATAAACATTCATGGTGGACATGAGTTTTCAACTCATTTGGGTATATACCCAGGAGTGCAATTACTGGATCCCATGGTAAGAGTATGCTTTGTTTTACAAGAAACTGCCAAACTGTTTTACCCCTAGTTACACTGATTTAATTGGCCTAAGGTAGATCCCAGGTCCTGGTATTTTTAAAAGCTTCCCAAGTATAATTGGTCCTCCATATCCATAGGCTTTGCATCCATAGATTTACCCAACCATAGATGGAAACTCACAGAAATGGAGGGTGGACTGGACTAATTTTCTATCTGAGGTTAGTTGACTTGGAGGATAGGGAACCCTAGGAATCTGAGGGGCCAACTGTAAGGATACGGAGGGCCAACTGTATTCTAAGGGACAGCTAAAGCTGAATATCTTGTAGGCCTTGATTAGGAACCATGTATTTCATTATAAGCACAATGGGAAGTCATCATGAATTTAAGTATGAGTCCATTTTCATGCTGCTGATAAAGACATACCCAAGACTGGGCAATTTACAAAAGAAAGAGGTTTATTGGATTTACAGTTCCACATGGCTGGTGAGGCCTCACAGTTATGTCAGACGGCAAGGAGGAGCAAGTCACATCTTATGTGGATGGCAGCAGGCAAAAACAGCTTGTGCAGAGAAACTCTCATTTTTTAAAAGCCATCAAATCTTGTGAGACCAATTCACTATCATGAGAACAGCATGGGAAAGACCTGCTTCCATGATTCAATCATCTCCTACTGGGTCCCTCACAACACGTGGGAATTATGGGAGCTACAAGATGAGATTTGGGTGGGGACACAGAGCCAAACCATATCATTTCGCCCCTGGCCCCTCCCAAATCTCATCTTGTAAGCACATTTCAAAACCATTCATGCCTTCCCAACAGTCCCCCAAAGTCTCAACTCATTTCAGCATTAACTCAAAAGTCCACAGTCCAAAGTCTCATCTGAGACAAGGCAAGTCCCTTCCACCTTTGAGCCTGTAAAATCAAAAGCAAGTTAGTTACTTCCTAGATACAATAGGGGCACAGGCACTGGTTAAATACAGCCATTCCAAATGGGAGAAATTGGCCAAAACAAAGGGGATACAGGCCCCATGCAAGTCTGAAATCCGGCAGAATAGTCAAATCTTAAATCTCCAAAATGATCTCCTTTGACTCCATATCTCACATCTGGGTTATGCTGATACAAGATGTAGGTTCCCATAGTCTTGGGCATTCATTATAAGCACAACGGGAAGTCATGAGTTGAAGCAGAGAAGAGGCATGATTTGATGTACATGTTTATAAAGTCATTCTGGCAGCATGTGAGAATGGATTGGGAAGGCCTGACGGGGGATTAAGAGCAAGACAGAATCTGAGAGACCAATTAGGAAACTATTGAATTATAGGTCAGAGTTGTTAGTAACTTATAGCAAGGTAGAGATGGAAAGAAATACATGGATTCAAAAGCTACATTGAGAGAAAAATCAATAAGCTTTGATCATAGGTTAAACATTGAAATGAGGGGAAACAAAGGGAGAAATCCAAGGATTACAAGAGATACTTCTAATCCTTCTCTGGAAGCAAATTTAAATCTACCCTGCAGATAGGCACAAAGGTTACTAGCTTATTTTCTTTTCTGTCATGGTCTTCTTTTCTCTTTCTTCTTTGTTTTGTACTGTTTGTTTGTTTGTTTTGTTTTTGAAGTAAGAGCTCCTCTTAATACCGATTACTATTTTAAGGGATTACTAAACTCTTACAACCTAATTGGGCATAGGCCTTTAAGGTCAAACTCAATCTCCTTTGCCCACATCAGAAGGCTACATGATATTTTAGGGATATGTTAGCTTAGCTCAAATGCTTTTCATTGTCAGTTACAACCAAGAGTTGAAATTTTAGAAGGGATAGTCTCTTAAGAGAGTTTATCAGTCTTGGAAGTTTTCTTCTGAAACTACCCAGCAGATGTTTCCAATGCCCTGAGGAAAAAGGCTTTAAGAAAGAGCTGGTGATGAATAGTGCAAGAGCAGCAGAGGAGGTTGAGAAAGAGGAGCCCACCAGAGTTACAGAAAAAGAGCTTTGCAAAACAGGAATAAGACACTCAGGTCTCTACCAGCTGCTCTCAAAAACCCACCTCACATTAAAAATCAAGGTCATGGACAAATTGGCACAAGATGGACCAAGTGGTCATGGTGGCCTCTAAGTTCACTCAGGACATTTGGAGTCACATTTGGTAACAGGAGTAGACAAAGAGGCTACCTGTCAGGAATGTGGAGGTTCTGACCTCACATGAAAGCTAGAGCTGCTCCCTGAAAGGCCAGCCCCTCCTCAGCCAAGAATCTCACTTCTACTCTCTCCTTAGCTGCAAATACCATACTGGAATGTCTGACCCTGAGCAGAAGGAGCCAGCTTTAAGCTGCAGATGGCGCCACGCTGGTCAACAAGGGACTTTGGCTGGTTTCTCTGGTTAGGGTAGGTGGACAGGAAAGACTTGTGCTCAGAGATTCTAAAGAGAACTTGAGATTGTTGGGGACAGAGAGACAGAGACTGAGAGAAAGTGATGGAAAGACAGACACACAAACACACACACAGATGTAGAGAAAGAGGAGAAAAGAGACATTAAAAGTAAATAGAAAGCGAGAGAAAAAAACACTAAAGACAGAAAAGAGAAGAAATTTAAAAAGTGGAAATGGAAAGGAAACTGAGGAAAGCAAGGAATGAGACAAGGATGGGGAGGAGAAAAGAGAGGAGAGCCTCTTGCATTCCATTCTCGTGCCATCACTCACACGGGACAGTTTTCAGGAGTTCTCTCTGGAAGAAACACTCATAAATCTTCCATAAAACAATGATGAAAGAAAGCTCAAACCTGTGCATTCATGTCAGACAGTTCCATCCGCTCCTGTCTCGCAGGGACTGAGAGCTCCTGAGACCCTCTTGCTAAGGCCTAGGAATGGGCAGGCTCTGAGGTGGAATGGGCAGGCTCTGGGGCTGGATAAGCAGACTCTGGGGTGCAGTGGGGAGACTCTAGGGTAGAATGGGCAGGCTCTGGTATGAAATGGGCAAGCTCTGGGATATGGAGGAGGAGGAGGAGATGGGAAGGGAAGGGATGGCTGAGAACAGGCCCATCAAGGGTCCAGAATTCCTACTGGTAAGTGTGATTAATAGGATTCATCTAGGACATCCTGGACTATAAGATGCACCAGACTTTGCGAATGCAAGCTTATGATGCAATATTTGTATTAGCAACCCTTGGTGTCTTTTCAAAATAAATTGCCTTAAACTTGCATTTTCAAAGTGGATCTCTTTGGGGTTACTGGTTACAGTCCTGTCATGAAAGTCAGTGCTACCAACATTAATTGGTAGCACCTATTCAATAACAGATTCTGTACCAGGCAACAGGAGACAGAAAAGGCAAGAGTCCTTCCATCCCCTCAAGGCTTTCATAGGCAGTGCTATCCAACATAAATTTCTGCAATACTGGACACGTTCTATGTCTATGTTATTCAATGTAGTAGCCAAGAGTCACATGTGGCTATTACTTAAATTTATAAAAATTAAGTAAAATTTAAAATTAGTTCCCCAGTGATCCTAGGCACACTTCATATGCTCAATAGCCACATATGGCTAGTGGCCACTATATTGGATTTTGCAGGCAGAGGATGAGATAAGAGAGAGACATCAATATATCAATATAAGGGAGGAGGCCTAAGAAAGATAAATAAAGTGTCCTGAATAAAGTTAATCAAAGATAAATAAGGCAAAGAGGGAAAGCGGGAGGAGAAATAAGGAATGAATGTTTCTGTGAGGAAAGTAGCTTATACGAAACAGGTAAGTTCCACCAGCAGAAATTCAGGAGAACAAGGTTGTCCCTGACAGAGGACACAGCTCGAGCAAAGTCACAGAAATGGGAAAGTAAAGCTTATTTTCCGGACAGTAAAAACCCCAGTTTGGCTGAAGTGTAGGCAAAGGAACTGTGAGAGAGACAAGCAATAGAGGCGGGTTGGGTCCTTATGCAGAGGACTCAGCTGCTAGGGAATTTACTCTTAATCCTGTAAAGCAGTGGGGAGCCACTGAGGATTCCACATGAGAGAAAGACAACCTTTGGGAATGATTCTTCAAGTATCTACTTGAAGAAAGAAACTGCAGCAGTAGAAACTGCCAAGAGACTGGGAGAGTGATGAGGGTGGTGGAAACGAGGAAAGAGCATGGGGGAAATGAGGAAGGAAGAGCTGCTACTGGATTACAAGACAGAAAGCTGTATGGGACCCTTATTTCTCCCACAACAAGAATGGCATCTAAAAGTCTAACTATCACTGTGAAAGGCAGATCCCTGAAGTCATTTCCTGAGCCAATGTCTTTTCAGAGGCAGAATCATCCAAGAAAGGAGTGCTTTCTCATAATCATTTGTCAGCCCATTAACCTATATAGCAGGACTCCTTCCCCAAATGCCGCCCCCACTGTGTCCCCTCATAAGCCACTGGGGCAGGGTGCCTGAGAATTGGATAGAAGAAAGGAAACACAGAAGAAAGGAAAATGAGATGGGGAGAAGAGGTCTTTAAAAAAACATGCTGGGGAAGTCAAAACAAATTCCCAGCCATTCCTGCTGGAGATTTTATGGGGCGAGACATCCCCAAAATAGGTTTTGAATTATACTCTGCACCTCATAAAACACAGGAACTCTTGGCAGCCCGCTCACACACACTGCCCTCTTGTTACCTGCCCAACCGTCCCTAAAGGTAGGCATGCTGGGAAACCCAGTGGAGACAAAAGAACTCAAGGCTGGTGTTCTGAGTTCTGTGTTCATAAGTAGCCTCACTCCCTTGACGTCAGGAAATGTAGTAGCCTTCTCCCAGCCTTTGCCTCCCTCTGTGCAATAAGAAAGCTGGATGTGGCCAGAGGGCCCTGGAGTTGTGAATTTAGATAATCTGGGGAATTGGGGTGCAAATACGCAGAGTTACACAGAACCCCCATGAAACCATACATGTACAAGGTGAGGGCAAAAAGGACTTGAAAGAGAATGCCTGTTGAGGTGTGGTCCCAGATGGAAAAAATATTTGTTAATGTTTAATTATTTTCTAAAAATATTGAAAGCTACTGCTGAACAACAACAAGAAGAATCTATAGAACATTCCTGGTCTTTGGGAAGTCAGTGTGATCTGGGAATTTAACAGCAGCTCTAACATGCTCGGCAACTTTACTATTGGAACCACAGTTTTCTCATCTATAAAATAGGGGATAGTGTGGGGTGCCTCCCTAAGAAGGCCACCCCAAAGCATGAGGACATCAATGGCAATTGCTGAGGAATCCTAGGAAGGGTTATGAACTACAACAGTCAGGAGTTCCTGGCTCATCTCTGGGATTCTGTTTCCTCCTCTTTAAATCAGAATTTTGGACAAATGATATCTAAAGCCTCAGCCACTAAAACTGCTATGACTTAATGCCTCTGTCAACCTGAAATGTATATATTTCAAAAGCTTACAGCTGGCCTTCTTTCCACTGACTGCCAGATGAGCCTGCGTTTCATGTTATCTCTGTAGAACATTTCGGGCCTCCCCAGCTATGAATGCTTACACTGCTAAAGTGCTGCCTCTCCAGCACTCAGGACTTTGCCACCCGTTAAGTTGTATTTTACAGGAAGCCAATTTGTTTTCCAGACCTGCTTATGCTCATTATATTTCTTATAATTACAAAACTTAAAGAAATAGTTTACTTTTTATTTTTTATTTTTGTGTGTATATTGTAGGTGCATATATTTATGGGGTACATGAGATGTTTTGTGTTGTTGTTGTTATGAGACAGAGTCTCACTCTGTCTCCCAGGCTAGAGTGCAGTGGCCTGATCTTGGCTCACTGCAAACTCCGCTTCCTGGGTTCAAGTGATTCTTCTGCCTTAGCTTCCTGAGTTGCTGGGATTACAGGTATGCACCACCATGCCCAGCTAATTTTTGTATTTTTAGTAGAAACAGAGTTTCCCCATGTTGGCAAAGCTGGTCTCAAGCTCCTGACCTCAAGTGATCTGCCCGTCTTGGTCTCCCAAAGTGCTGGGATTACAGGCGTGAGCCACCACACCCAGCTATATGAGATATTTTGATACAGGCATGCAATGTGAAAAAAGCACATCATGGAGAATGGGGTATCCATCCACTCAAGCTTTTTTTTTTTTTTTTTTGAGGGGGAGTCTCGCTTTGTCACCCAGGCTAGAGTGTAGCGGCCCAATCTAAGCTCACTGCAACCTCTGCATCTCAGATTCAAGCAATTCTCCTGCTTCAGCCTCCCAAGTAGCTGGGATTACAGGCATGCACCACCATGCCTGGCTAATTTTTTGTATTTTTAATAGAGACGGTGTTTCACCATGCTGGCCAGGTTGTTCTCCAACTCCCAAAGTGCTGGGATTCAAGCGTGAGCCACAGCGCCTGGCCCATCCCCTCAAGCATTTATCCTTTGAGTTACAAACAATCCAATTACACTCTTTATTTAAAAATGTACAAAACTTAATGAAATATTCTGCAAATTAAAAATTTATGAACATCCAAGAAAGTGGTTTCTAGGAGGACTAAGTTGATTATACTATTTAAAAAAAACAAAGAAAGTCACTTAAATATTGCTGTTGAATTAGGTCAGGTGCGACAACTATAAAAATTTAGAAAGGAATCATAAAACTCTAGAAAAATTACTTGGCAAGCATCTTTAGGTCCTCAGTCTCCTTTAATGAAACCAACACTGGAGATCATATCTGGTGTATTATGAGCATGGTTTATGGAAGACAGATGGCATGGAACTCCAATCAGCTGATCCAGCCTCCAAGAGGCAGCCTTGGGCCTACATCTAATAATTGGCAAATGTATGCACATTTACGTATTTTAAGTTAAAATGAAATGTTTACGGTGCGTCTATTACTTTTTATGATTCTCCACTTTAATGGACTTTTTCTACTAACTGACCAACTGCCAGTCTAAATGGCTTCAAAAACAAGGATTTCTAGGGCAAGGAATTAAAATGAAATGTAGTTAGCCCTCCCCTGAATAGTTTGTCTCCCCACACAAATGAGAAGTTTAACGAAGAAGAAGAGAAGCACTGATTTAGCAATCATGTCAAATGCCATGCCAGAGACACCCACCCCCGACAGGTTGTAATAACTAGTCCCTTTCTAGCTTCTCCTTTGCTGAGTTCAGTTTCTTCTACTTCTCCTGACAGAAGAATCATCATATTCCACACTCTCTGTGTCTCATATGTATCTGCATGTATGTATGTATTTGTGTACATGTACGAATGTTTCTGTTACATATTATGTATATGTGTGTGTGTGTGCATCTTTATGTGTAAATCAAGCAAAGGAAAATAAAAAAAGAAAATTCCCTAAGACCTACAGGAAATCTTGAGATAGTTTCAGGGGCCTGAACATTCTAGGGGTGGTTTGTAAAGCTGGCTTAATGTTAATTATAAGACGGACAGTAAGATTCCTTCAATCACACTACCACCAAAAAATGTGGAAGGAACATTAACCATCTCCTTTCCAATATATTGTACATGGAGAATGGAGGCCGATGCTGTGGTTTGGACATAGTGCCATCCTTCTAAAATGTTTTTTAAATGTCTAAATGCATGTTTTGTTCAGATGAAATTGAAGCTCCAATGTTACAGGCAGCTAAGAGTGGAGCACCTCTGTAACAGAAATCCAGAGCAACTCATACTCCCCTGATCTATCATGGAGGCCAGCTATAGAAACCAGTGCCCTAATGAAAAGACAATTTTATCAATATCTCTGTGCCGCCTGCAAGAAACTTCAGAATGACCTTGGACAAATCTCTTCCCCTCTTTGGCACCAAAGGTGGCTATTCACAAACATATCTATTCCACATTCCCATAAGCATTCCAGCAAACTGTTTGTCATGGCCACCTTTGAGGAATGTGTTTGGGTGGAGGAGAGACTTTCAGGTTTTCCTTTACAATATCTCCGAATTGCATTAATGTGTTACAACAACCTTGTATTCTTTCTGTTAATATTTTTTGAGATGGAGTCTTGCTCTGCCACCCAAGCTGGAATGCAGTGGCACGATCTTGGCTCACTGCAGCCTCCGCCTCCCGGGTTCAAGCAATTCTCCTACCTCAGCCTCCCGAGTAGCTGGGACTACAGACATGCGCTGCCACATCCAGCTAATTTTTTGTATTTTTAGTAGAGATGGGGTTTCACCACATTGGCCAGGATGGTCTTGATCTCCTGAACACCTTGTGATCTGCCCACCTCGGCCTCCCAAAGTGCTGGGATTACAGGCGTGAGCCACCGCGCCTGACCCAAAATGTAAAATTGAGGTTGGAAATACAATAAACACACGTGTACTCTCTGCTGGAGTTACAGATATTAAAGAGAAATGATGTTTAACTTAGAAAGCTTACATACTAACAAGAAAGGCCGACATGCAATCAACAATATTTCTATGAAAATACTGACTGCACTGAATATACGAAATGCTTGGGAAATAACTGTTTTGGGGGGAGCCAGGAAAGTCATCTTAGAAGGAGTGAGGGAATATTCACGCTGGATCTTAAAAGATGGTAGTTATGAGGCAGAAAAGATATTTTTAAAATATATAATATTAAAGATAATCTGACATTTAAGTGAGCAAAATTTGAATTTTAGAGGACTATCTTCGTCTCTGTGCTTGGGTCGATCAACATTTTCCAAGTATTGAACCAGAGATGAATTTAGACGGCACATGAGTGTTTTAACTTCGATAGAGACATACTTACTTTTGCAGGCTATCTTCCATTTACTGAAAGTTATTTTGGTGTTTCATTCATGACAGTGATACAAAGTTTCCTTTTTAAAATAAATACAGCTAATCCCATTACTACTGACCTTATGCAATAAGGGTCTATGAGCACCCTGCTTTTCTATACCACTAGAGATCCAGCACAGGGTCTGGGATGGAAGGACCACTGAAGAATTACTAAAAGGTCTTAACACCAGGCAGAGATGCCAAGGTTTTCGGGTTGAATTGGTTTAGATTAGGAAATGGGAATAAAATTCATCCCCTATGCTAATCCCAATTGACTGGAAGTGATTGATGAGGCATTGCATTGAGAAAGAATCTCAGGCTATCATTAAATGATTGATTAGCAATGTCTGTCATGAATACAGAAGTGGACAGTGGCAGTATGGCCAAACATAATTTCCACTGATTATTCATTTATTCATTCAACAAATATTTATTGAGTATCTACTATATGATGGACACATCTGTAGGCACATGGGATTCTGCAGCAAACCAGACTGGATGATTTCTCCTCTCTCTTGGAGTAGCCTATGCAGCCCAATCTTCCCCTGCTTTCCTGAAAGAGACTTGGCTCTTACAATATTAATCTTCCCTGAGGTCAAAAAAGGACTGCCATTTATTTAAGGTCACACAACAAATCAATGGCAGAAACAGGACTAGACTCCAGGCACTACCTCCAAATTCAACACAGTTGTGTACTTACCAGACTTGAAAAACCTGTTTGGTTTTCCTAGCTCTGTAGCTGCCCTTTCTCAGCCATCAGTCTTTCCACCTGCTGTCCTTTTGTGGGGAGGACAGAACGTCTGTTCCCTCCTGGAAGCAGGGAGGCAAGTGAGTGGGGGCGATTCCCTAGAGGCTTCTGTGGTTTGGAGAGATGGATTAAAGAGGTCAGGACAATAAAAGAGAGAGAGAAAAGAGGGGAGGGAGGGACAGTAGGAACCCTGCCATTGGCAGACCAGTAATTGGTTACTTTGGGCAGTCCCCCTCCCTGGGGAAGGCTAGAGAGAAAGTAATTGAAGAAGATTCCCTGATAAATTAGTGCAAGACTGGGCTTGAAAACTCTAGTCGCACCTGGGTTCAGAGCTGAGTGTTTGATCTTCAGAGGCCCCAGAAAGGATAGAGAAGGAAAGGAGAAAGCTTTAACTGTAACTCCAGCCTCAGAAGTTCCCAGAGGGAACCCTTCTCTCCCTCCTGGGCTCCTAGGATCACTTAGTTTAATCTCATCACATTAGAGATGAGGGAAAGCCTGAAAAGAGGAAGAGACTTGACCACAGACACCCAGCAGAACTGGGACCAAAACCCACGATTCCTAGTTCTAGTCCTCTCCACCATATTACACTGCCTCTGGGTTCCATGAGATCTTTAACCACATGACTTGCTTCGAGTGATCCTAAGCTCTCTCCAGCTGCAAAAGAGGTAGGGAGGGGGCTGGTATTAGGGATTAAGGTACAGGCTTATTTACTTTTGTTTATTTAACGAGCACATAGGTAGCATGTACTAAGTGCCGGGTACTGCTGAACATACTTTATAAACTTTAGCTCCTGGAATCCTCCTCCTAATAAAAAACAGAACAACCTGATGAGGTAGTGATCCATCAGAAGTGGTGTTCACAAACTATCACCCTGATTTCTGCCCATTTTGTCAGGAAATATCTACTCAGAACCTACTATGTGATGTTCCTCAGCTACGTAGCTGAGGGAGCAAAATGATGAACAAGACACACTCCCTGCCTCCAAATACCTGTCAGGTAAAGGCTTTTAAAAATAATTGAGATAGCTGAGAGTGTGGTGTATAAGGGTGCTACTTTGGTCCGGGAAGACTACTTGGAGGAGGTAATATTTGAGTTTTGTGAGCAAGGGAGGAAATGGTAGAAGGCAACTCAGAGAAAAAGGCAAATTATTTAGGATTTTGCAGACACTGAAAAAGAATGAGGATTTTATCCTAAAAACAATGAGAAACAATTGCAGGTCGTAAACAGGGGAGTGGCAAAATATAATTTATTTTTTGGAAGACATCACTCTGGCTACTGTGTAGAGCAGAGGTTGGCAAACGTTTTCTGTAAAGGGCCAGTTAATAAATATTTTAAGCTTTGCAGGCTAGACACTCTCTATTGCCACTGCTTGACTTTGTCATTATAGACCATAAGCAGCCACAGGCAACACATAAACAAAGGAGTGTGGCTGTGTTCCAGTACATTTTTATTTATAGGTACTGACATCTGAATTTCATATGATTGTCACATGTCAACAAATATTATTCTTCTCTTGACTTTTTGTCAACTATTTTTAAAAAGTTAATAGTCTTATGAGCTGAACAAACAAACAAACAAACAAGCAATTGTTTAGATTTGGCCCATGGGCTATATATAGTATGGCATAAAGAAAGGACAGAGAAGGGAGAGGCAGCAGGAAGACCGGTTAGGAGGCTGATATGGGAAAGGATGGCAGCTTGGATGAAGGTGATGCCAGTGGAAACTATGAAAAGTTAATTCTGAAAATCTTTTCCTGTTGTTGTTTTTTTGAGACAGAGTCTTGTTCTGTCACCCAGGCTGGAGTGCAGTGGCACGATTTCAGCTCACTGCAATCTCCACCTCCCAGGTTCAAGAGATTCTCCTGCCCCGGCCTCCTCTGTAGCTGGGATTACAGGCACCTGCCACCACACCTGGATAATTTTTGTGTTTTTAGTAGAGATGGGGTTTCACCATGTTGGCCAGGCTGGTCTCAAACTCCTGACCTAAAGTGATCTGCCTGCCTCCGCCTCCAAAGAGCTGGGATTACAGGCGTGAGCCACTGCACCCTGCCTGAAAATCATTTAAGAAGCAAAACCATCAGGGTTAGCTGACTGAAAGGATGAGAGGCAAGGAAAACGATGAAGAATGACTGCTTAGCTTGAAAAACTAGGCTAATAGTTTGATTTCCTGAGATGGGAAGATGTGGGTAGAGCAGGTTTAGGGGGCAAATCACACATCAATAGTGTGATCCCAGACAAGAAGGAGAGAAACACAGGTTTCCTACGGGCTTCTGAATAAAATAAAGGACGCTCAGTTCACTTTGAATTTCAGATAGTCAGCGAGACATTTTTAGTATAAGTATGTCCAAAATACTGCATGGAACATACTTATACTAAACAAGTATTCATTATTTATCTGAAATTTAAATTTAAGTTGGCATCATGTATTTTTATTTGCTAAACAGAGCAACCCTACATGGAGTGGGGTGGGGTGGTGGTGGTGGTGTGATGGAGGGTATATAGGTCTCCAGGAAAAGAAAACCTAAGCCCAAGAGGAGAAAGAGAAGGCTCCTTAGAGATGACACCCCTTAGAGCAGATGCTAGAGCTAAGTCTAGGAGCTGGCCAGGTGAACGAGGAATACAAAAACAATCTAAACAGAGAGAAGAGAATAAGCATGTTACCCTCAGACATTTGCAAGTAATTAATGAGGCTAGAGCCTCGAGGGAGGAAAGGAACATTGGAGGATGAGGCTGAAGAGCTTCTAACAGGGCTTCACTTCACAGAGGTTTTCTAGGTAAAGGCCAGGGTGTCAATACACTTGCTGAAGTTCAGATTCCCAGGCCTCTCCCCAGGAGCCTCAGCAGGTCTGGCCTTGAGAGCCTGAGGTCTACCGTGATTCTGATGATCAGCTAACTTGAGGAAAGCCTGGGTTAAATAATCTGGGAACTCTTCCACCTACAAATCCTGGGAGCCAAACAAGTTGCTGCTGGCTGTAAAAGTCTTGAAAAGAGTAATTCAGATAATCAGAGGAAAGGAAGCATTGAATAAGTGTGCAGCCTCCCATGGGGACCCTCTAGAATGGAGCTCTGTCCATTTGGAGGACAATAGGGAATCCAGAATGTTTGTCAAAGGACCAGTCCTGCTCCTGAATAGTCACCCTGTCTGGCACCTGGCTCTAATTTGGTGCTATCTCCCAGCTCTGTGCAAGTAGACCAGACGTCTTCCTGTGCCTTCCCCCGATGCCCCACCCCCTTCCCTCCTCCGCCCTCAGCCACCACTGAAATGATTCCCCCAAATGCAGCTATTACTGTGACTGGAAATCTCTTTACTGCTGATTCTGCTAATGGAAATGTTCCTTCCCTTTTCGGCTGCTTGCAAAGCCACTCGTGACTTCCCTGGGTGCATGAGAGCAAGGCTTTGTCAGCCAGCCACCACCAGAAGGGAGAGGATTCTGCCCCGCCTGCTCCCACAACACCCACCTGCCTTAGACTCAGTCTCTAAGAGCTCTTCTGTCCCAACTGTCCTCAAACAACCCCGGAATTCCCTGCTTCCCCCAGCTTCCCCCAGCTCCAAGAGAATGAGCAGACATCAATGGTCAATTTCATCCTTTTTTGCCTTGCTGGGGAGGAGGGGAGGTGGAGAGAGGAGGCATAAGAGGAGCATGAGGGAGTGGAAAGAGGGGGAGGGGAAAGGAAATTTACATTCATTATTGATTCATACCTCCACCTCCTTCCAAAAAAAGGATTCCAGGTGGCGAAGAGGCACAGAGCCCAAGCTGTGTGCCAGATGCTGCGCTAGGTGCTTTGCACACACTATCTCCATAAGGATCACACAGCTTAGTGTAAGTAAAAAGTTAGCACAGTGCCCAGTGCTGACTAAAATGTGGTTATGGAGGGCTCTCCAAAATTAAGTGACTATTATGTTTTCTTCATGTTATTGATGGGTAAGCAGAGGCTCAGAGAAGTGGCATACATAAATCTAAAGCTAGGAATTAGCACATCTGGGATTTGATCCCAGGGCTTTTGGTCCTCAGACCTAGCAAAAGTCTCACTCTAGCACACTGCCACCATCAGAGGACCTGAGCTAGAGACTTGGTTGTGCTGTGGATTAGCTGCAGGACCTTGGAAAATGTATTTGTCTTCGCTACATAGATGAAGGAGTTGGGTTGGATCTCAAAGGCATCATTTTACCTCATTCTAATAATCTAGAAGGATACACTATATATTTGGATTTATATAGCATTATAATATATTACGTATGTGTGTGTATGTATGTATAATATAGATCCCACATTCAAGGAGGAAACACGAAAACTGCACAATGATGCTAAGGAGTACTGAGTGGAAAAATTTGACAAGGTTGAGCAGGAGTGAGAAGCAAGTTCACCTAGCCAGATAGCGGCTACATCTCAGACTCCAGACACCCTGATCATTTCCCAAAAAAGGACATAGAGCTTATACAAATTTCTCAGAGGACAAGATCACTGATCCCCTAGTAAACACTTGGCAGAGCATGAGGTGACAACTCTCTAAGAGTTGGGAGGAAGGAAGAAAAGGGGGAAAAAAAAGAAGGAAAGGGGATGGGGAAGAAAGGAGGGAAGGTGGAAAGAATAGAGGGAGGGAAGGAGAGAGGAAACCAAGAAGGCACAGAAACATAGGAGTTTGCTTGTCAAGTGGGTCCAGGAGTAACAAGAGGCATCTGGAGAGTATGAGACAAGGCCTAGATGCTGTCTTGGCAAAGCAGCAAGGAGCAAGCAAAGGGGCCTGGGGAGCTGCTAAGTCAGCTCCTGGCAGCACAGAACAAGGTGCTCAGTCCCTTGGGCCTGTGAGGCTGTCACACCTGAAGTTCCTATATAAGAAACGCCTGCAGCTTCTTGGTCATGAGAAGAGGATGACATAAGAAGTAAAAAAGTCTAGAGATGAAAAGTTGAGAGCATCTCTTGTTCTATGCAGCATGCAAGGCAGACAGAACATAGACTATGGAACCAGGCAGACCTGGATTTGGACTGAGCTTAGCTGTATAATAGCTGTGTGATCTTGGGTAGGTTCCTTCACTCCTCTGAGCCTCAGAACTCACCCTATAACATGGGATGAGCTACATCTGTCCTTCAGCACTGTAGAAAGAATAGATAACAAATGTACCATCATGGCACCTGGGACATAGTACATGTTACATAAAATGGTCACGGTTTTCATAGCCTATCCTATGTAGGATGATAAAGTCCAGTTACATTACAACTCTGGAATTCCAACTCCTCCTGTCCCCAGTTTCCCAGCTGCCCTTCCCTAAGATGGAAGGAAAACACATAGGGGTCAGTAGATCTGGGATCTGGCATCTGCTTTACCACAGGCTTGGTGACCTTGATTTCCCCATCTTTATATAGAAGTGTTTCAGTTAGATAATGTCCTAAATTTTTCCATTTCTGATATTTGATAATCCTGGAACCATGGTGTATCATTTCCCTGAAACTTGTATTGTCTCTTCGTTTGCTACAATGCAAAGTTTCTAATCATTTACCTGGTTTCCAAGCTGCTCAAGACAGAGTCTTCTCCAAACACAATGATCTTTCCTCTAATCACATTGTTCTCATTAGCCATCCTGCAATCACCCCAAAATAATCAGGAGACAGGAGAAGGTAGCAGCAATGGCTATGGGTGCTTAGAAGAGGGAAGGCTCTGTGGGATGGATAGTGTTTAGGCTCACTCTTAACAGGGTAGTGCAAATTCAGCCCATCTCAAGTTTTGTCTACTGTGGATTCTGGGATGACACTTAGCAAACACAGAGTTCTAGTTCTCTAAGATCTCCTGTACACCTACAATGTGCCAAGTAAAGGGTGAGTCACCACAGCCCCAGAGATGAAGGAGGTACATTAGCTGCTCACAGGGTACATAGGCAAACAGCGTGAGACACATGAGGAAACACACAGCGTAAATTCTGGTCTCACTCTGCTCCAAGCCACCATTACTTTTCATCAGTAGAGACTCCTTCAGGCTTTCCTGCACCCATCGTTGGTCCTGTACAGAGCAGCGTAGGGAATTCTTTTGAAACATAAGTCAGACCTTGGCACTGTTTTGCTTAAAATTCTACAGAGCTCTTGATTTCACTCAGAGTCAAAGCCCAAATCCTGACAGTAGTCTGTACAGCCCTACATGACTGTTCTTTTCTTCTCTGACGTCTTGTCCTGCCACCCCCCTCCTCCACCACCACTTGTTCACTGCATTCCAGCCACACCGACCTTCATGCTGTCCCTTGAAAGGTCCAGGTGTGCTCCTAAGCTAGATAATCAGCTAGGATTATCTAGCTAGGAGCTGTTCTCCGCCTGGAATGTGCTTTTCCTAGATGCTGCTTGGCTAACTCCTTCCCCTTCTTTTAGCCTTTGTTCCAATCTCACATTCTCAATAAGCTCTTCTCATTCTATCCTATTTAATATTAAAACCCGTCTCCTTATCTCAGAACTCTCGATTCTCTTTTCCCTTAGTTTTTTCCCTTTTCCATAGAATTTTTCATCTTCTCACATACTACATAACTTATTTACTTATTATGTCTGTTGTCATTGTCCCCTAACACACACACACACACACACACACACACACACACACACACACAACACAGAGGGATAAAAGCTCTCTGAATGCAGAGATCTTTGTCTTTTGTTCTCTGATGTATCCTAGGCACATAGAACAGTGACTCTCACATCACTGGTGCTCAGTGATTCAAAGGGCCTGGCTATGATTATAGCAGTCTTTATTGATAGTGGGCACCAAGGCTCAGAGTGTTCAACTCTGGTGCAGAGGGGTCAGAAAAGGCTTCAAAAATAAGTTGACACCTGAATTCGGTCTTGAAAAGCAAGAAGGAATTTCCCCAGGGGATGGTGAGGTAGAGGTGCCAAATAAGAAGGAAGGGTTCTTAGTAAAGGACAATCTGGCAGAGTGTGATCAGGGACCTTGTACTACTACAATAGGGAGAGGGAAATTCAACACCTTCAGAACAATGGGGAAGCAGTGAAGTGCTTTACAAGAGGATGGCCATTATCAGATTTGGGCTTTTAATAAAATCACTTTGTCTGCAAGTACGGAGGATGGATTAGAGGGGATAAGACTAGAGGTAGACAGATCAGTGCGTTGACTGTTGTAATTGTAGTAGAGAGAAGTGTTGAGGCCTGACCTTGACAGTGACTGCAGTGCTGGGGATGAAGAAGTAGTTTCCCTTCATAGTTTGTAACCTACAACATGCTTGTCAAATTTCAACTCACAGACTTGGATGCTTACATATTCCAGTATGCTAGTAAGAAAGCTACACATATTTCAGTTTTGAATCTTGCATTGTGTAGTCATCACCCACTCCTTTTCCATTCAAAAGGGAGTTCTTTTGGGGGGCTATTGTCCAAAAGAGCTATAGTCAGTAGAGAAAAGCCAGTGAAAGGAGAGAACAAGTGCTAGAAAATAGAACAACTCTCATTGAGCATTGCTGCCTGCCTCTTTCTGGGGGCAGAGAGGCTGTCTGCTCCATTGCAAGGAAAGAAAAACCAGCTCTCTCTCTCTCACTATAGTTAATCTTTTGTTGCCACTAGCTGGTCAGTATGAGAACGTGGGAGAGTATCAGCTCTGGAAAGGAAGCCTCCTCTAATGCTGCTCCACCCCAAGGTTAAACCCGACTCTTTTTTTCCTTTCCTGAAAAGAGCAGATTTCCTCCACCCACCCCCAAAGGCAGCTAGGGTGAGAGGCAGTGAGGCTTCCTTCTGCCCCAGAACAAAACCCATCAGCCCAGGTGCTTAGGATAGATTGGAGCCAATCAGTTGGATACTCAGGCAGGAAAACCAATTCAATTTCCCTAAGGAGATTTTTCCTTGTAGATTTTTTTTTTTTGGCAGGGGGAGAGGAAAGAGTGTCCCCCTTTATGATGCTGAACTAACTTGTAGAATCTGTGATATGTTTAAACCCAATGCCTTCTGTGAGAGGCCCAGCAATGTGATAGAAAGAGGCAGTGTGGGCTTCAAGACAATTGGGCTTAAATTTGGACTGTAGGGTAGGTTTCTTCCCTTATCTAGGCCTCAGTGTTACCATATAAAATAGAGGGGTTGAATTCAATGCCTTGTGAGTCTGTGATGCTGGGAGCCCATCAAAGTCGACGGTTGTGGTGACAGTTTTCCAGACTTCATTCAAGAGGTCGCTGTCAGTCTATCCTCCTCTCCCCACATCACACATATTCACAATGGCCTATGGCAAACAAGGCTTAGTGTATAACAAAGCAAGGAGGTGAGAAGCAGGAGGCCTTGCCAGCCAAAGGCCTAGTCAATCCTCCTGCTGCACCTGCTACAAATTAAAATCACAGAGTAATTTTGCAGACTGAGGTCCCAGTTCAGGAAAATGATCAAGCCATGGGTCATGCCAAAGCTTGCAGATCTGCCTAGGTTGGTATCACTGACCCCCCAAGAAACAGCAAATCTGGTCCACCTTGACCAAATCTAAGCCTTGCTAATGGTTGAAATGAGCTCTCCCCTCTCTCTGCCCTACACTGTCTCAATAACATAGTACTTTCTGAAGGAAGACAACGTATTTCACTCTGCCCTGAGCATTAAATAAATTTCATCGGCTTTGAGATGGAAAGAAGTGGGGTAGGGTATGGAGTGAGGGAAGTGAGTGGAAAAGAGTAGAAGAATTAGATCAGAGGCCACTAAACACCACCTCCCCCAAGACCCTTGTTTATAATGTCCCAGAAACCTAGACCATCACACCAAGATGGGAACTTGAAGTTTGACTGCTAACCAAATATCTCAATTAGCAGTAAAGGACTTGGTGACCAAATGAAGAAATAACATACATTGTTTTAATCCTATCTTTCTCTCAAGAAATCAAATTTTCTTGCTTCTCCATCCCAGAATCTTTCTCTCACACATAAGAAAAAAAAGTGGAATTGATGCTAATGAACATTCTGTGGTCAGAAACCCCTAGAGAAGACACAGCTCATGACTATTTATAAGGATTTTTTCCTCCCTCCAAAAAAATTACCATCTGCTTTGATTCAGCAAAAGGAGGTAAAAGCAAAATTGAGTAAGCACTCATTGTCCACCTTTAGAACCAAACCAGAAAGCAATAAGGGTATACAACGGTCTGCAAGGAAGTGGGTCCATTCTTCGAATGTCTGCCAAACGGAGGTCCAGTCTGTGCTTGAATACCTACAAGGTGGATTGTATTACCGTTAGGGGTCAGCATACTGGGTTGTTGGACAGCTCCAGGGGACACAGCCTCCTGTAGGGCTCAGCTCTATCCTCTCAGATCTTTCAAGACATTCGTTAGAATCAGACACCCTCCCCTTCTCCAACAGAAAACATACTCTTAATTTGTGTAGACTTTTCTTTAGGGACAGGGTCTCCCCCTGCCACACAGGCTGGAGTGCTGTGGTATGGGCACAGCTCACTGAAGCCTCAAACTCCTGGGCATAAGTGATCCTCCTGCTTCAGCCTCCCAAGTAGCCACCACACTCAGCTCATTGTTGACATTTAAAGGAAGCTTCTCCAGCCCTCTGTGGCTAAACTCCCTTCTCCCAACCATTCTTCTGGCCAGGTTCCTGGCACCTCACTCCTTCAAGGAACATTTGCTGACCTGAACAAGTTGGCATTTCAAACCGTATCTTCCTCCTTCTTCCAGGCCATCAGCTTCTTGCATAAAGCAGCCTTTGGGATGGTCCTTTGGGACCCCGCCAGCTCTACGCATGCAGGTGTACTTAACACAGACTAATGAATAGCTTTTCTTTCTTCACACTCCCTCCCCCAAATACAGATCACACGCCTCTCCTGTCAGGTTGATATGGCAAAGCAAATTACTAAAAAATGTTGACAATGAGTGCTTATTCAATTTTATTGCTTTTTCCTGCTTTTGCTGAATCAAAGCAGGTAGTAAACAGTCTTGCCTGACCACTATCAAGCACAGCAAGAAGGATGACATTTCCCTACCTGTGGGCATGAAAGCTAAATCCACAAGCAGACCCCGGGGGCTGCCTGGAGGTAAGTGAGGACTGAATGACATACAGGTTCACCTTAGAAGCCCTGGGCTGGCAGTTGTTCCTGCTCAAATTCTTTCTTTTCTATCAGTCCTTCCCACCACCCTCATGTTACCAGTAAAGGAAAACAGACAGTACAAAGCAAGAGGAGCTATCAGAGTCATGGAGTAGGTCAGGGCACTTCAAGTTCATAGAATCTTTACACGAAAGGATTATTTTAGAGCTCATCTACCCACTCATATTGCAGCAGAAAGAATTGAAGCTCTGGGGGATAAATGACTTATTCAAGGTCACAGTGAGCCAAAGCTGAGATTTCCAGATCCTAACCAGCGTTAAATTTCTAAGCTGCATTTTAGCATTCCACTTTTCCTCATTTTGCCTATTAAATCCTCCAAGGCCTAGTTCAGGTTCTTTCTGGTCCAGAAAGTGCCCCCAGTCTTCTCCAATTCTACAGAGATGCCTTCCTTCCCTGATGCTACAGAATGTATCATCTCCATCACTCATTGGCACCAATAAATAAAATGCCCTTTGACATCCAAGAGTCATGAAACTTTGAGCTGGAAGGGTCATTGGATGTCATTTAACTCATATTTCAGTTTCAAACTTACATAGGTCAGCTCACCAAGGTAGCTGAAGTTCCTTTGGAGAAAAGCTCTTGTCTAACAATCTTGATGATTGTTATCCCTCTCTATTCAGCACCATAACCTGCATAAACTTCATATTTGGTTCAGAATACCAGTTTAGCAACCTACAAGAATGTAGGTGTCTGGCAGACCAGGATTCCAGTTCCAGGTCTGCCATTGATTCCTGGCATGACTTTGGATTACGCGTTTGACCTCTCTAAAAATACTTCCTCATCTGGCAAATGGGAGTAACAGTAGAGCCCACTCCATATATGTTATGTAAATTAATAATACAAGGCAGGAAGAAAGCTCTTAGCATCACATTAAGGATTCAATAACTATTTGCTATTCTTTGATCACTTTCAGGGAGATTCACTTTGTCAATGTCATTGACTTATAATCAGATTCTAAAGAAGAATCCCAGGCAAACAAACTTTGGAGATAGTTCACAACTGAAGGAAACTTCCATTTACTTAAGGCAGGCTGAAATTTGATAGGGAGACTAGAAATACAAAAAGGAAAGGATCTGCAAAAAAAAAAAAAAAAAAAAAAAAGACTTGCTTCCAGTCTGGGCATTACCAATAACAGAAACAAAAGAGGCAGAATGGAGGGAGCCAGGGTTAAATATGAAGGTGACCTTGGTGCACGCAGATGGGAGATAGTGCATGCAAAATTACCTTGAGGTCCCCCACTGGAGTTTGAATAAACTAAGAATTCTTCTTTTTGTTTGTCCCCCTTTAATACCAGGGATGGTTTACCACCACTAATTCTGGTCCCAGGACCCAAAGTGACCAGAGGGCTTTGGTGGACACCATCACCCCCTAGTGGTAGCTCCACACTCCCCACTATTGGCAGAGTTTGGCATTTACCAACTTTGCATGCTCAGCTGTGGCACTGGCCATGTCCGTATCCCCTGAACTGATAAGCTGATAGTGAAAGCTGCCCAACTCGCCAGAGACAAACGTTAGGCAGGATGTTTAAAAGTCTGGGGATGGGATGGGGCTGCCTTGGGACACTAGAAAGAGATGGCCATAAATGTCTCATAGTATCAGCCCCAACCCCACCCCTACCACCACCCCCACCTCACCCCTCCCCCCCCCAACCCCCAGCGGGCACCAACTCTCATTTCCGGCCAGCTAGGTCCTCCCAGAACTCATTGTGCACTCTGTGTTTACACACAAACAGTGGAAGACCAACACAAATAAAAATCCCACGTCTCCCTACACAGCTCCTGCTATACCCAGCCATCTGGTGACTACCTCGCTAGCCAAATCCCCGTTGAGAGCGCCTAAAGCTGCCAGCCCAGGGCGCTAGGGGGAAAAGGAGGAGGCAAGAACCCAATCCCCCGCATGCATCCAAAAGGCTCAGCGCTGCCAAGGAGGCCAGCCCCGTGCTCTCCAAGGGGCAGAGGGTCCCAAGCTGCCAGGCTCAGGGACCGTGCATCAGAGGAGGGGGAAGTCTCCATGTGCAGGTTGTTGCCAGGAGACTCTCAAGCAACACATGGGTCCTGGGGGAATCAAGACTTCTAATTCCTCGCTCAGGTCCTCACTCAGCTTGTCCCAGGCTCACAGGCACCCATCCTGTTTGAAAGCCAAAGTTAAAAATGGCAAAGATTGTCAGTTCCAGGAATCCCGGGGCACCTATACAGATGGTTGGAGCAGGTCCTCCATATCCTCGAAGACTTGAAATGCTCTGTGGTCCTCACTGCCAAGTCAGGCCATACCCAAGGACCGTCTCATCCCTTCACTTGAATGGCCGTTTGGGGGGCGGGAGGATTTCCACCCCTCATCTCTCAGAGTACCCCGGAGTAGAGAGATCTAAAGGATGAAGGGAGAAGGTCAGGAATGGAAGTGGTAGTGAAGGGATACCTTCTGTGTCTCTAGAAAGACCCTTCCCCACGGGGAGGTGGCAAGAGCCAGCTGTGAGCCTGAGGTTAGTCCGGCGGCGCTCTAAGGAACACCACCTCCACCCTCCTTCCCTTTCTCGGACATGGGCAGCCCCACAGGTGCACGTGGGAAGAGCTACTGGTTTGTGTGTGTCTGTGTGTGTGTGCTTGGTGCGTCGCACCCCAGAAGCGCCGCCGCGGGGAGTCCCCGAGGAACCTGCAGGACGCTCCGCTGCCTCTCCTCCCGGAACGCTCGGCACGCTCAGGTTACAGCCTGCGAGGGTGGGTACAGGGGCTCGACCCCCGAGGTTCAAGCTCAGAGCGGGAGAACCACTGGCACTCGCTCAAATCCCCAGAGGTGGTAGCATGAAAGGATGGGGAGTGGGTCACAAAAATACTTTTAACAATATCAGGGCTACCAGGAGAGTGGAGCGTAGTCCGCTGATTATTCTGTGGGTCTTTTCAGGCGAGCAAGGAGTTAACCTCGGAAGTTCAGGGATCGTAAAGGTTCTCACCTGGAAGGCCCCTCACCTGCGGTGCCCGAGGCGGATCCCGCCGAGGAAAAGACCCGGGGAAGAAGAGCTCCGGGTCTGGGCGAGCCCCTGGCGCCTCACGGGCGCTGTTGTTGGCCAGACTCCGACAACCAATAAGGCCCCGCGCCCCCAAGAGGGGAGGGGAGAGCGAGCAAGCAGCGAGCGCGGGAGAGCTAAGGGGAACAACATTTTTGTAAACGCTCTCCGAGATAATTAAGCTATCAATTACCCGGGTGGGAAATCAGCTGCGCTTCCCACAGCTCCACTGAAGGGCCGACTCCTCCGGGATTCGCGCAGGGAACCAGCAGGCAGCAAGCTGCTGGCGAACTTTTCTGATTAACTTTTCCGTTGGAGCCCCCCACCCACACCCATCTCCTCTCCTCTCCTTTTTCTTGCCTTTAAGTAATTATTATTAGCCCAGGGAGTGAGCTGCAAGGACAAACCGGCTCTCTGCCTGGAGGTGGGTAGAAAGGGAAGGCGGTAACGGGGGTAGAGGGAGGCTCTAAACGTGGAGACCTCGGAGTCGGAATCCCAGTTCTCAGCAACCACTCAAGTCTCTCCAGCCCTATTTCACAGATGGCCAGAACTGAGGCTCAGAGAAGGGAAGCGACTTGGCCAAGGTCACTCAGCCCATGCGGAAGCCACGCTTTTGCGGGTTGAGCGATTCCACACGGAACTACTCCATTCCTACTCTCATGAAAATCCATCTGGAAGGGCAGAACCCGCAACTCCGAGGCGAGAGCGAGGGGGCGGTGACGGCGGGTGGCCAGTGACGGTACCCGGAGAAGTGGGAGGCTCGACCTGAAACTGGCTTAGGATCTGGGATGCTCCGGCCCCTAGCCAGAGCACCTTCAGTGAATGGGGTCTCCGGCTTCCGGGATGGATCAAGCAGAGCTCCAGGTCGGGACTGAGAGGCAGAGGGGCAGGTTCCCACTGCGGGAGGGTTGGCACGCCCCCAGGCTCCCGCCGCGCGCTCTCCAGGACCTCCTCCCACATGCTCGTTTCCAACCACCTGTGCGACCTCTGGGCCCCTCCTCTACCCTCTGCCAACCCCACTCGGGGCAGCCCCGGGCAGGGATCCCCAGGGCGCCCCCACCCGTCCGGCATGACGCAGGGGCTCGGGGTTCCTTGGGATCTAGCGCGTGCCGGCGCCCAGCCTTACCCAGGGTGAAGAAGGGCAGCTCGGTGTTGTCCAGGTCGTCCTGCACCGCGATGCGCCCCGGCAGCTCGTTACGCACAAAGAGCAGGAGGCGCGACTCGGCGGCGGTGCCGGCAGAGCCAGGAGAGCCCGGGGACGCGGCGGCGGCGGCGGCTCCGGCCCCGGTCCCAGCCCCGGCCCCGGCGCGGGCGCCGCTCCAGCCGATGTCGCTCTCCCGCAGGGCGGGCAGTGTGGACACCGTGACGGTCTTCAGCCGGCACGGGCTGTCGGGCTCCCGCGAGGCAGCGGCGGTGGCGCCGGCCAGCAGCGGCGGCGGCGGCAGCAGGAGCAGGAACAGCAGCAGCAGCGGCAGCAGTGGCGGCGGCCCCGGGTGGAAGCAGAGCCTCGGCCGCCCCCGGAGCCCCGAGCCGGGGCCGGGGCTGAGCCGGGCGCCGGCGGCGGCCATGGCGGGAGGGGCTGCGGTGCTGCGGGCGGCGGCGGCGGTGGCGGCGGTGGCGAAGGAGGAAGAGGAGGCAGCTGCGGAGACGGCGGACGCCGAAGCGAACCAGGACGCCCGAGCTAAGGAGCGGAGAGAGCCGCTCGCCAGCAGCCCCCAGCTCCGGGCTCCGCCTCCCGATCGGCCCTGGACCGCCCCCCCGCGCCGCCTCCCGGGGCCCAGCCGCCCGTCCCCGATCTCCGGCTCCCCCCGCAGACCCCGAGCGTTTCGGAGGCTCCGCCCGGCCTCGTGCAAGTCCCAGTGGCTCCCTCCCCTTTCCCAAGATCCCCCAATTCCGCCCTCACAGCATTCTTTAGCCACAACACCCCTCCCTAAACTCCCCAAATTCCTAATACTTAGGGCCCCCTCGGGCCCCCCCAAGCCCCCCTGACTCAACCCAGTTCTCCTGGCTTCACCCCACCTTCGGCTCAACCCAGAGGCTGCACCTGGGGGCGCGCCTTGGCCCAGCCTTGCTCAAGGCCCCGCCTTCTTGGGGATAGGGAGCCCCCTGGATAGCCAAGACTTAACTTTGTCTCCCCTCAGGCCCAAGAACAAGTCCTTTCTCCAATCTCCTACCCTTTTCTAGTCTCTGAAATAACTTCCTGTAGCCTCAGAGCCCCCTTCCCACCCACTTGGCCACAACTCCTGCATTCATTCTCCCACTGCCCGCAAACCTTCCTCTCCCCTCCATCCAGGCCTTGTGCTAGCACTAATTGCTAATGGACAGAGGGGCGTCGAACTCCACCGTCTAACGCCGACCCCACAACTGACTGAAGCCGGGCTGTTCTGGCCCCCTAGCTGCCGCCCTGCAAGCCAGCCCACTCACGCTTTTTTATTTTGGATCCCTGCTCCCAGCTTGGAGCAGCTCTACTTGGCTGCTTCTGCTCTCTGTGTGAAATTCCTGAAAAGGGTGTGAGGTAGAGACCTACTATTCTGTCTGTCCTTGGCTCCCGGGTCTTTTAGATCCTCTGCCCAAGTCCCAGAGAACGGGAGTGCTCACCAATTCTTCACCTGCAGTCTTTCTAGACTCAAGTTGAGCTAGGTCCTCAGATTCAGCACCCTTTGGTCTTGGGCTGACTCTGTCTCTGACCCACATACCTGAGACCCTCCAGGGAGCGGACACCTCTGCATGGGTCAAGTGCCGTGCAGCCCCTTCCCCACTCCCCTACTTTTCTTCATCTTCCCTGTCTCTGTTTTCTGTTTCATCTCTCCATTCATTTCCTTCCTTCTCATCTTGACTTTAATCTTACAAATGCTTCTTTCCTATAATTTGTGAGCAACTTCTCATCTCTGTCTAGCTTACCCATCTGCACCTTTTGTGCTGTCTCTATGCATTCACTTTTCTCTTAGCTCTTCCCTCTTCTGTCTCATTCCCCTTTTCTATCTTTAACCCTTCATATAAATTGCTTTTCTCCTCTCTCATCATATATTTTTTAATAACGTTGGATAAAGGCAGAGCACTGAAAATAAGGAAAAAAGCAAAAGCTGTTTTGCGACCTTGGACTTAATGTGTTTAAAGCATTCTCCAAATGCTAGACATGTACGTATGTTAGCTTTTTTACATGACCATAATCCAAAAAGATGGATATTATGATTCCCATTTTCCATGTGAGGAAACTGAGATCAGGTGGTCAGGGAGGTGAAGGGATTTTCCAAGGTCGTATAGCAAATGAGCTGAAGAGCTGAGGTTTGAACAGTAGGCTTCAAGCCTTGACTGTTTCCCTTAAATTACACTGTCCTCAGTGACCTTGGAAAACCCCACCCATCAAAGATGCTGTAAAAGGTAAATCTGCATAAGCACAGTTGGATCTACTTCCCTGTGAGGTTTGTAAGGTATACTTCTCCTGTCTCAGTTTACTAATCTGTGAACCCAAAGGATGTGTGGAGGTTGGGGTGGAATCTGGCCTTTCAAGTCCTCTAATTCTAAATGGTCTCCTGCCTCTCTGATGCCTGCTCTAGTTCATTTACTCCTCCAAAATATGTCACCCTGCCTCCCTCAGTCTCTCCTTTGTGTCCTTACAATCCGCCACTATCCACCGCAATGGGGCTTTCTGATTCTCTATGCCCCTTTCTTCAAATATGCTGACATAGTCCATTTACAGAAGAGCACACCAGGAAAAAAGGGCTCCCTTATGTAAGGCAGAGTCTGTGCAAGTCCTTCATGGACCTCTAGTACAAAGGCCTGTCAAATGAGACCAACACTTTCATTCATTCATTCATTCATCACCAAATATTCAGGGTGCCTACCAGGTGCTATATGGAGATGCAGGGATGGATAAACACAACTCCTGCCTTTGGAAAGCTTATAATGATTGGGGTGAGGGGGTGGGATGCCGGAAAGAGACAGGCACATAAATATCTCAGGTAATGGGCAGGCAGGCAGACATGTGTTTCCTAAGATGAGGTACTTGGAGAAATCAAAGAAAGCTTCCCAGAGGCGGTGGCTTTGGAATTGAACCATAAAGATTAGTAACAAGGGAGTGGGCATTCTAGGTTAAAGTTGGCATTTGGCATTCTTTGCAACTGCTTAGTAAATGAATAAATCCCTTTCCTACATCAGAGAATGTTTTATCTTTTAAGGCACAGCCCACCTCCCATGAAGAAGCTAACATTTCTGGATACTTTCTCAGCCTCCACTGCAGCTAGAGCTTGGGCACATGACCCAGGCTTCACCAGTTAGATTCACCCACCCCAGATGCTGAAAAATAAGCCGGAATCAGGCAGAATCCAGTGGCGGCTAAAAGGGCAATAGTTGGGGCAGTTACATCCAGGTGTCTCTGCTAGTCGAAAAGGTTCTAATAGCACTGTTTGGAGCCCAGTGATATCAATGTCAACAGTGTGAAGTGCCTTTTATTTATGCTTGGCTGCAGCTGAAACATATCTTCACCCATACAGTTCTGTGCTATGATTTGGAGTGGTGCTCTTGACTTCATGCACTTTAAACCCAGATCCCATGCCTTTCTGGAGATTCTAAGGAATCTAATAATCACTTAACTGAATTCTGAATTCTCTTTCTGCTTAAATTATTCAGGATTGCTTTCTGTTGCTTGCAACTGAAACACCTGGCTGAGAACACAGAATGTGGAAACAAAGGGAGGGCAGAGACAGCAAGGTGTATGATGGGAAATGAAGCTCAGTGAGGGGGAGAGGGAGTAACTGAAGACAAGACAGAAAAGGCAGACAAGGAGTACCAACTTTATATCACAGACAGTGTCAAATCTGGAATGTCCACAGGAAATGACTTATACTTCTGAACACATGCTCTGTGATCCAAAACTTTTTGTAGCATATCAATGAATGATGATAACAACTGTTGCCTTATGGTGGTTGTGAGGCTTTAGAAATAATTATACAAAGCATTTAACACATAATAGCTGCTCAATAAATTATAACTACTGCTTTGATGTATAATCTCAGCAACATTTGGAGCAAGGCTTTTTATCCCTATTTTATAGGTATGAAATCGGAGGCTCAGGGAAGCTGAGAAACTTGATTTTGGTCATGGAGTTATCAAGTGGTGAAATACAAGAATGCCTGGCTCCCAAATCTTTGCTCTGTCTGTCACAGAATGCCCCTCCTGGCCTCAGCCCTTTGCATGCAACTTATTCCCAGTATACTATAACTTCCCTACTCATACTCGAGTCCCCTGTCCTATGACCACCACTTTTCTCCCTCTCAGCCCCTCACACTCCTTCTCCTTTCCCCTCTTTGTTCAGTTATATTTCATTATTGATTCAATTCTTTCTCTTTTACAGTCCCCTGTACTCCCATCTTTGACTCCACTGATACAAAATTTTTTTCATTCTAACTCCTTTCCAGTCTTTCTAGCAAATACTTCCTCTTCTTTCATCTTTCATATTTGCCTTTCTAGGTAGTTTTGAAATATTTTTTCTTTCCTGCTTCCCCCTTCTCCATACTCTACTCTGTTTTAAAAATCCCTTGTATTTATGCCACCTGACTGAGGCATCCTAATGTAGTTGAAAAAGCCAGAGGCCCAAGAGGCTGGTTGATTTTCGTTTAGAAATCATCTTTGCTATTTCTCTATGGAGTCAAGTCACTTTATAGTTCCTACTAGGTCTTTTCTTTTCTCATTTGTGAAATGGGGAAAGTAGTACCCACTTCTCAGGATCACTGTGTGAATTAAATGAGATGATGTGTATGAAACTGTCTAGCACATATGAGGCTCTCTTGAATGTTGTAAGTAAATCCAATCATCTTACGGATCTCACCCACTGTTTTCCACTCCAGCCTCATGTCCCATAATCCCCACCACCACCACTTGATTCCAACCATATTGATCTCTTTTCTGTTCCCGAAATACTTCAAGCTCTTGTTGCCCCAGCATCTTCAAACGGACTCTTTCTTCTGCCTGGAGAGACCTCCCTCCGTCTTCACTAGCTATCTTTTGCTAGTCTATAAGTTTTGCTAATCAAAGCACTTTCCCTAACGTGACCACCCACCCAGCCTAAGTTAGCCTCTTGCTGTACTTTCTGTTACATCCTTTCATATTTCTTTATAACCATTTTAATTGTACTCATTCCATATTTCAATAATTGTCCATTTATTAGAGCATTTTCTTGGTGCGTATGTTCCTTACTAGATTGGGAGCTGCCAGATATCAAAGACCAACTATGTCTTGCTTACCGCAGTGTGCACACCAGCTAGTACAGTAACCTACATAGGGTAGAGATGCAAAATAAGTATTTTGCCAATGAACCATCACATATTTATTGAATTTTTACTGAGACAGGCACTGTTTTCGCATTAGCTGCACTTTCACAGAGAATATAATTTAAATTTTACAACAAAAACCTTCCCCCATCCTCCGTCTGTCAATTCTTCCTTCCCTTCTTCCTTTCCTTTCCTTCTTTCCTTCCATCCTCCCTTCTCAGCTTCCCATGATTCAAGTAATTCTTTTTAACAGTCTTTCTTCTTAAGCCTCCAGATGATCTCTAGAACATAAATAAACTCTAATTGAGGAAAAGAGAGTGCCATCTTCTGCTCCATCTCTGCTCTATCTAAGCTCAATCTTCCATCAATCCTTTTCCTGTCCACGAATCTCCACCATTTGTTTTCTCTTGTTCAATCACTGCCTTCTCCGTAACTCATATTGTCCTTTTAATCGTGCTTTGCTCTCTGCAGCATGTTGACTCCATTTATCACTCAGCGTATCCCATTTCTCTTCATTCCCTTCAGTCACCTTGCTCTAGACACTCTCTTGACCTGAGTTCTGCCAACCTCTTAGCATCTTGACCTATGCCGAACTCAGCACCGTCATCTAGTTTGGCATCAGTGACAAAACTAAGGTCAATCCTGAAGCTTTTATTTTTATTGTTGCAGGATCCAAAATACACTGCTGTAAATATGGTTATCACTGTTATTTAATTCTTTGAAACCTTCTGGTGAGTTAAGTTCAAGTTATTTTCTCTACCACTTACTAGTTTGCTGATTTTTAATGAGACTCATAACCTCTTTTAGACTTAATTTCCTCACCTATAAATGGAGGTAATGGGAAGGCTGAATGAGCCAGCAGGTGTAAATGAAAGTATCTAGTGCTGACCAGGTGCAGTGACTCACGCCTCTAATCCCAGCACTTTGAGAGGCAGAGGTGGGCGGATTACTTGAGGCCAGGAGTTTGAGAACAGCCTGGCCAACATGATCAAACCCCGTCTCTACTAAAAATACAAAAAAAAATTAGCTGGGTGTGGTGGCATGCCTGTAATCCCAGCTACTCGGGGGGCTGAAGCAGGAGAATTGTGTGAACGCAGGAGGCAGAGGTTACAGTCAGCCGAGATCGGGCCACCGCACTCCAGCCTGGGCGACAGAGCTAGACTCCATCTCAAAAAAAAAGAAAAGAAAAAAAAGAAAAGAAAAAGAAAAAGAAAAAAGAGAAAAAAAGTGTCTGGTGCTGTCTGGCACATAGTAGGTCATCAGTACTAGTAGCTACTTTCCACCTCCAAATGTCTATTTATTTGGTCCTTCTGTGACCTCTGTCTCTTTGCATTCATCTCTCCACTTCTCATTTCCATTTTCAGAACATTTCCACTATGTCTCATTTAGAGCAAACTTTTACCATTGTCTCTAACTTCTCTTTCGTGAAAAATGAAAGAATATTTTAATCACCATTGTCGTTCTTCATTTCCACTTGCATCTGTTTGACTGATTTCTGCTTCAACCCAGCACTTCTCTGACTCTTTCCCTTAACAATTCTCAAATTTATTATCTTTTTTCTCCAGCTCATACCTTTCACTACCTCCCACTTTGTCTGTCCCCGGTCCTCTAAATCAACCCCTTCTTGTTCTGTGATTTACTGCCTTCATTTCATATCCTTTTATAGTCAAAATCCTCACAATACTCCTAAAAGTCTCTTTCCTCACTCATTCTTTTGCATTTTCTTTCTCAAGTCCACTCAAGTTTAATTCATCTTCATCATTCATTTGCTTGTACCCAAATCTCTGTACCTTTTTGCCTACTTAATCATTTAACCTATTCGAGTTTCCTTTTGCTTCTGTTACACTGTCATCTTTCATCTTTAACACATATTAATGAGCAATGTTTCTTTGGACTTTTTCTTCATACAAATTCTAATGCTGGTGTATTTTCAGGATCCTCTTCCTGGGTCCCACTAACTTTAATTCTTTTCTGGAATCTTTTCTCTGGGAATCTGCTTTAGTTAGAAAAAAAAGAAAAAAAAAGGCCTGCAGGATCTGCTCTGTATTTATTCAAGCTATGCTGCTATCGTGGTGGATTCAAATGTATATTACTGGTGAAAAGTGTAAGCTTTATTCTCTTCTATAGAGTACTAGGTCATTCTCCTTTCTGCAGCACACTATTTTTATTATTATTATTACATTTTGAACTGGTCAAGGCGATATCAGCCTAGATTCACTGTTTCCATAACATTTACTGAACACCTACTGTGTGTTAAACACAAGCTATTTTTTTTTTCTTATTTAATGTTTGCAAGCCTGTGAATTTGGGATTTTTAATTCTTGTTTTACATGTGAAGCATAGAGAACACATAGAGAATGCACGGCCTGCAATATGTTGGCAATTTATATCTAATAAAGTCCTTTTAACTTTTTTGAGTGAGACAGTAAAGTGTAAGAGTTAAGAGTTGCATACTTTATAACAGGGATAGTGACAACCACTTTGGAGGAGTGTTATTTAATATTTGTCTTCCCTCCTAAATTATAGTTTCCAGAAGGGCAGAAATTCTATCATTCTTGTTCTCTGCTCTCTTGTATATATTAGGCCATCAATGATTATTGTTGAATAAAGAAGTAGATAAATGAATGTATGCTAAAAGTACAATTTTTTGCATAAGACAACACTGGCTTTGAATTTCAGCTTTGCCATGTAACAAATTTGTGACCTTGAACATACTAGGGAGAAAGCAGATATCTTGTAACAGTCTGCATCTTTAAACTTTGTTGATATATGTCGTCCTATACATGTTGTTTTTAATTTTTATGCAATATTTTTTAGCAATACTCAGAGCCAGGAAAGCCAAGGTTCAAATCCCAGTTCTCCCACTTCCTAGCTTTAATGCCTTAGGCAAGTTATCTATCTCTTCAAGTATCACTTCTTCATCTATAAAATGGAAATGATACTACCTCTCTACTATACTCATGGGCAGGTGCCAGTGTAGTTGATGATCTGGAATGAACACACGAGAATGCCTGATTTCAAGTACTCTGTACTTTTTACTACACAAGAATTCTCGTTGCCCTGACTTCCAGCTTTAAAGACTGCTCTCCTTGTTTCTCCCACTATCTTAAGAGCTTTATATAAACTTAACTCCCAGGACTATGCCTGGATGTTTCTCAAGGAAGCAGAGGCCATCTCCCACTCCTGACCCAGATACCAAGCTCTATTTGATGACTATTGTATGATAATCCACAGACTCAGCAAAGCTGGGGCTCTGCAGGTTCCCTGTGACTCCTGAAGCTTCAGCCTCACTCCATCTAATTCTAAGAGGCTTTCAGAGAAATCTGTGGAAAGTTATGGGAAGTCCCTCTGTTCCTCCTCCCAGATCTAGGGCATTTATTTTTTAAAACTAAGGCTGTGGTCTACAGAGAAAAAAAAATCTAAATTCAAAAGAGCACTCTCTCTTTTCTCACTCCTTCCCTCCCTCTCATTTTTTCATCCTCTCTTCTTCATGGAATATTGGGGAATACTATTTTCCAGGCATGTGGATAACAATGATGAACAAGACTGAAAATGATCCCTGCACTCATGAAGCTTACAGTCTAATCAAGAGATAGACAAATACAAATATCAAAAATAAATATATGATTAGAAGTTTTTAAATACGTTATGCTGAAAAGGTATATGGTTCTATAAAACAGAATAATGAGAGAGGTCTTCATTTATATTTTGGGGCTAGGTAATGTATCTCTGAAAAAGTCACAATTTATTAGAAACAAAGACAGATGAATAGGAATTGTTATGGCAAAGGAGGATTCCCACGGGAATTCAAGGCAGAGGGAGCTGCAGGCGTGAAAGGCTGTTAGAGAAAATGTGGCAAGTTCTAGGAACCAAACATTTAAAGTCAGTATGTCGGGACAGTTGAGAGGGAAGACTAGAAAAGAATGAAGTGAGTCTTAGAAAGTTAGTTTGGCTGAAGCTATTCAGGCTTATGTAGGCCATGATAAGGAGTTTGGATGTAATTCTAATTTAAGTGGAAAGCTATGGACAATTTTAAGAAAGAGAATGACATAATCAGAACTACATTTTTTAAGCGTTACTTTGGATCTATGTAGAGGATGGATTGGTTTAGTGTGAGAGAGGATCAAGGAGTCTAACGTGGAGCCTATCACAGCTGTCCAGATGTGAACACATCCAGGAGGCAGACTTACCCATTACAACCTCTCCCACCATGGGGTCCTGTAGCTTGCTCACCCTAACAGTGGAGAATTCATTATCTCCACTGAAAACTGGTTCCACTTGTGGTTGACCTTGACCAAGAGAATGTACTGATTTATATCTTCTTTATTGGATGTACCATGTATTGATTCAAATTCCATATTCTGGGGAAGCCACATGGAGCAAACTTTATGAAAATTCTCCAAGTCTCTGAAGGCATCTATCTTTTTGTCCCTTTCAAGGAATGACTGTCCTCGTCAGCTGCCTCTACTATTCTCTGCCTGGGTTTTAGAAGCAACAACAATGAGAAACAATAATTAACAATAACTTCCATTTAAATGGAGTGCTTCTACATTCATCATCATGACATTTGATTTCCACAAAACCTTGTGAATCCAACAGAACAGGAAATTTTAGCATCAACTTACAAATCACAAAAAGAACATTCAAAGATGTAATTTACCTGAGATAGGGCAGATAATAATTGGCAGAATCGAGTCCTGAATCAAGTCTTCCAACTCTTACTTCTATCTTCTTTTCATGGTAGAGTGAGCATGGAGCACAGATGGAAGATAAGCTCATAGGTTTTGGCATTAGATTGATTGTCTAAGTTTAAATTCTGACTCTGATATTTGCTGTGTGACCTTAGGAAAAGCACTTAACTTCTCTGAACTTTGGTTTCTTAATCTGAGAACAAGAGTATCTACCTCATGCAGTTGGATGAGGATTAAATGAACTAGTAGATTAAAAGTATGAAGCACAGTGTCTCACCTATATTAATAATCAATAAATGTTCACTATTATCAACAGCTTCAATCATCTTGGTCAAAAGCCACAGTAGCAAAAGAAAAGTTGCTGCAGATTTGCTATAAGGTGGCTTAGCTTAGAATAGTAACTCTGCTGCAGTATCATGAATAAAATGTTTAATCAATGACTTAGTTCTTCATCTGTAAAATGGAAATAATCATATCTAGCTCACAAAGTTGCTGAAAAAATAAGTAACAAGAGAAATTGCCTAGCCCCAAGAATTACATATTCAATAAATGTTACCTTCCTTTCTCTCTGCTTTAACACTATTTCCCCTAGCAAGACTTCTCTGATGCCCTAGACTGGGTTAGGTACTCTTCCTCTCTTTGCTCTTAGCACTTTGCACTTACCTGGAGCAGAATGTAGATCATGCTACAATTAATGTATCTACTCATCTGTCTCCACTTTGAGACTGGAGCTGCTCCATGTGCCTGTTAACTATTCTAAGCACTTTGAAAATAACAACCCAGTTAATCCTCATATGAACTCTGTGAAGGAGTTCATGATCATCCCCCTTCATACCAATTAAAAAATAAGGCAAGGAGAGATTAAATCACGTGTCTCAGGTTGCATGTCTGGCATACAGGGGGTGTTCACTTATTCCTTCTTGTTGGATCATTCCAGATGCCATCGCCTTAAAGGGGACTCTTGTGGCTCTTTTCTCCAAATAACTCACTTATTCACCATAATATCCACATTGACATTTTCTCCATCATAGCTGATTCACTGATTGATTGGTGGACAGACATCTCTCACCAAAATAAAAGCTTTAAGAGGAAAGATATTTTACCTGTCTTGTTCATTGTTGTGGTACCCAGCTGTTAGGATAGGCCCTGACACATAGGAGGTGTTCAATGAGTATTTGCTGAGTAAATGAACACATGCATGCATTTCTTAATTGCTTCACTTATACTGTAACTTAAAAACAATGGCCTATGTCAAAGCGTATGTCTATACATTCTTGTGAAAGTTTGTAGCATTTTAAATTGGAGATGGGTTAGGGATGAGGAAGACTGTAGAGACAGGTAAAGAGTACTCCCTTCTGCTCTGCACTGTCTCCTGGACTCTAAATAGCATCACTTGTCTCCCAGCAGCTGGCCAGCAGGTGGGGAGAGACCCTCCGCTCAGAAGGCAGGAGGAGTTTCTGCTCAAGGTGACAGGAGCAAAGCAGGAGGAAGCTGCACAGGGAAGAGATATACTGCAGTCATGGCATTAAACCTGAGGTTTGCGATGCCCACTAAGATTCACTGGGAAAAAATAATACTGAAAAAAGTGTAATGTCTAGTATTTATCACCTCAGTCTACTGGTAGTTCATTCTCCCTGACATCTATGGAGATTCTTAGGAACTAATATATTGTCTAACACCTACCCTGCCACCAATGCACTATGTACTTTTTTTTTGGTTAGCTTTCATTCTCATCTGTTATTCTCTAATTAATTTTTGTTGCTTTAGGTCTTATGTAACCCATTAGCATGGCATTCAAGTTCCCAAACAACCTTTCTGATCTGCTTTCTTGTTGTTTTTGTTCCTATAACCCATGCTCTCATCAAAATAAATGTCCTTACTGTTCTCTGTACACATTCCAATTTCCCTGTTACCTCAGTCTAAATTATTTCCCTCTGAATAGCACTCTGCGTGCACATACAGCAGCCATCCTTCAGGGGCATTTTTGATTCTCATCATACTCTGTATATGTAATAGTTTTTTCCCCTTATATGTGATTATTCATCACATAACTTATTTATTACATTTAATAATTTCTATCACATATGATACTGTAGTCAAGGCTGTGATGAGGATAACTATGATTAAGAAGACTGAAAATGGTCCCTGCACTCATGAAGCTTACAGAAAATATTCACTCTCTCTCCTGTCACTTCCCCAGAGCCCACTGATGTTGATCTTGGCCATGCGACATGAATCGGCTGGTGAGATACTGGCAGTCATGATGTGAACCGAGGCTTGCATAGTGGGGCTTCCTCTTTGTGTTTTTGCATTGCCGTGAGAGGAACATGCTCTGCCTTGCTTGCTGGTCCGAGTAGGGTAACAGACATAAGAGCAGACCTGGACCTAACCTGAAGTTTGAAGACAAGCCTCGCCAAGACAGTGTAAATCAGCAGATCCCCCCAGCCTGCTTTCAGATGTTTGAATGAGAATAAAGGATTGCCACTTTAATCCACTGTTTCAAGGTGGCTTTATCACACAGCATTATTGTGGTAACAAATAGCTGGTGCAAAGTCTTCACTTCCATCCTATACTCTGAATTTCTTGAAACTAGAGACCATCTGATTCTTTTTTTTTTAACTCATGCAAAGTTCCAAGGCACAATCCTAATGCATATTTATTGAACAAATGAACAAATGAATAAATGAATGATTAAAGAGCTCTAGAGTGAGAGAGAGACTCAAGATCTAGGAGACTAATGTACTTGTAAGTTCAACAAGAATTTATCTAATACTTATTTTGTGTCAGGTATTGTGCTATAGGAAGGGTACTTAGTAGTAAACAAACAGGACTTGGCTTCTAGTTGCCACTTAGTGGTACAGGAAAGCTTGAGACCTGGAGATTCATAATGCAGTCAATTTGCAAATTCTGATTATCCTTGAATTGCATGCAAGGGCACCACAATAATCAGAGAAGTGATAATGGATAGAAAAGAGCAGAAAGATCCCTCTGTCACTGCTGATTCCCATTATCTCAGGTTAAGAGCAAATTCTAGACAGATGGGAGGCATTTGCATCCTTTTGAAGAAAATGAGTTAGTAAAAGCTGGCCCATGGGATAAAATAAAAATCTCTGGGGAAAGGTATTGGTTGGTCATTTTCTGATTGCTGAATGACACCTCTGTCACTTTCTACTATTATCGACAGGCTATCAGCATGCTGAGTCTAAATGTCGTTACCATCTGTGAATCAAAAACCTGGATCCATGACGACCAATCTGACAGTGTGGTCTCAGTGAACACCAGGGACTCTGTCTGAACCTTGATAAAAATTACTATGTGTCTCTTTCCTGAGAGCTTTTCCTGATTGTTAAGCATTACTGTCACACTCTCCTGCCTACCCTACCCACTCACTCCAAAGGTGTTGTCAAGGTAGCTTGTGGCAGATGCCTTCCATTTTCCAACAGAAGAAGCTCTAGGAACCACAGGCATATTGCTGAAATTCTTAAATAATGGAAGGCATCAACAGAGCCAAGAATTAAGTCCAACTTCCCTTGCCCTGGACACTAGCCACTGGGGAGCAAAATTCATCCAACATGTGCTTTGATGTCACCCAAAATATTTTTTTTCTGTTTGTGTCTATCTTTTGAAAGAGGAAGTGGCTAGGACAGATGGACTATTAGAGAGAAAAGGCAACTTTTGCAGGGCTCAAAGGATGGCACTCCAGAAGAAATGCATGGCTGTCTCCACAACTAGCACCTTTCAGCTTGAAAGAATAAGTTGGGCCATTTTACCTTCTTCCATATATGAGCAAATCCTAATGAGGACTGCAGCCATAAAGAAATAAACTTTTAGCTTAGGTAGACAAACATTGACAGAGATCTATTTTCAAATCACTATGCAACTTAAATGTGATAATGTACCTGCAGCATTTAGTATACAATTTGGCCTATGGCAACAATAATAATAATAATAATGATAATAATACCATTTATTGAGTACCTGCAATATACCAAGCAGTATGCTAAATGCTGTCGAAGTACCATCTCAGTTAGCTCCTTCAACAACTTTAAGAGCTGGGAACTTTAAGTATCTTCATTTTACATATGAAGAAGCTAAAGCTCAGAAAGACAAAATTCCTTATCCAGAGTCACATAGCTAGTGATGGGGCCAGGATTTAATCTCATGCTGTCCCACTCCAGAGCTCCTGGTTACAGACACTACTCCACATTTTCTCTCATAATTGAGAAGAAACAAACATTATTATCATCGTCATCATTTTCAATCATAATCATAATTAACAAGTGTCATAACAAGAAAAGTCACTGAATGAGGGTAGTTTTCTAGAATATTATAACTAAAAGAAACTGTTGATTGAAATGAAGATGCAAATTTAAGTGTGATCTTTGGGGCAAAATTGTTGGAGATGTGTGAAAAGGAACGGAAAGTTCTTTTACAGTGCAAAATACTTGGCTTTGACTTCACGCAGTAGCCTAGGCAAGGTACTCCCAAGTCAATTGAAAAATGGAATGCAGTAGATTATGTTATAGCCCCGATTCTTCACCTCTCCCCTGTCTGCAAACTCTGCCCTGTGATTTTGCAGTTTCTCTTACTAAAGAGGCACAGTCTATTCCCCCACCCTTTAAATCAGAGCTTGACCATGTGACTTGTTTTGACCAATAGAATGAGGTAAAATCCATCGTGGGCCAGTTTTGAGCCTTGTGTGTTTCTGCTTACTATTTTATGCTTCTGCACTCACCAGGTGCAAATGCTTGGGCCAGTCTACCCGCCCCAGAAGGAGGATGAGAAATACATGCAACAGAGATTTCCCAGGAAGGGGGCCTCAGCTAAGCCCAGCCTAGAACTGAATCCCAGCTGACTTGCAGACCCATTGATGAGCCCAACCCTGATCAACAGACCCCCAACCAACCCGCTGACAAGTAAACTATGATTATAAATAATCATTGTGTTAAGCCTATGCACTCTGGGGTAATTTGTAATGCAGTAACAGGTAACTGGCACAGAGAATAATCATACATATTCATGCCCAATGCGTGGCATATAGTAGCTGTTGGAAAAAAAGAATAGTCCCCTTTCATACCTTTTCAACCAATCAGAAAAGTCCCAGCTCATCCCAGTGAAAGTTGCAAAATTATGTTAAGATCATTAGTCACAAAGATGGAGGAAGCAAGTTCAGGAATACCATTTATCAATGCTTCTACTTTGGCTCCTTGCTGAGAGGAGAGAAGCAAAGCAACGGCTGGAACATGGACCTCCTGCACTGGGGGCATGCAGCTCCACCATCGACACGCAGGTGGCCTGACAGCCTCAGAGCAGGTTTTCCTGGAATAATTATTCCCATTGCCATGATTGGTTATTTCTATGTCAAAGTCACTTCCCCTTTTCACTCCTGATTTTTCATTTTTGTAAAAATGACAGTGCTTGATTTAGCTCTTGGAAGAGGATAGGGAATTTGGGGAGGTGTAGAGACATGGAGCAGAAAGTTGAGGAAGGGAACAAAATTAGTCATCAAAATGGGCTTTACAAATATAAAGTGCTAATGAAATTTGAAATAACAACAATAATTATGCTTCCAAGGCCGAAGCCTCACATTTCTCACCATGAATATTCATTCCCTGTTATCTTTCTAAGGAATGAAAATTGAGTGAAATAGCAACATGCATGTAGGGTGTTGTTGTTGTGTGTGTTTTCTCTTCTTCTATTTTTACCTGGACCAAGGCCAGCCCCTGGCTTGAGACTGTATTTCAGTATTTTTGTAGCTATGATTTGTTTCACTGGGTGTCCATGTGCAGACATCTTAAGTGGAAGATGCTTCAAAAGTCAATAAAATGTAAGTTAAAAAGAAGTGTGTGGGTGGGGGAGCTGAAACAACTCTTTGTAGCTGCTAAATGGTCACAGGTGGAATATCACTTTGACTTAGAGCTTGGCAGCCAGAAATCTGGACGAGGGGATCCAATGCATCTTTTAACAACTGGCATGGAAGATTAGGAGGCTATTGCTAAGTTATCAATAGACGGTGCAGTTTGCTGCTGGAAGTGGTCTTCAATTGACTTCTAAGTGCAGAAGTTACATTTGTACAACAACAGTCAGTATAACCAACTGTAAATGTATATACAATGGATTAGTCTGTTCAGGTTGTCATAACAAAATCCCACAAGCTGGGTGGTTTAAACAACAGAATTTTATTCTCTCACAGTCCTGGAGGCTCGAGGTCCAAGATCAAGGTGCCATCTGGGTTAGTGTCTAGTGAGGGCTCTCTCCCTGGTTTGTAGGTGGCACTTTGTGTCTTCACATAGCCTTTCCTTGGCACATGTGCTCAAAAAGGGGGGGAGAGAAAGGGAGAGGGGGGAGAGAGAAAAGGAGGGAAGTGAAGAGAGAGTGAACAAGAGAGAGAAAATGAGAGAAAGAGAGATAAGAGAAAGATATCTTCTACTTATAAGGTCACCAGCCCCATCAGATTAGGGTCCCATTCTCATGACCTTATTGACTTTTACCTTCTAAAAGCCCTATCTCCAAATACAGTCAATAAGCTTCAACATACAAATTTTGAGGAGGCATAATTCAGTTAATAGCATACAATATAGTCAACTGTCTCTGCCAGCTCTTGTGAAGGCGGCATGGTTCCCGTTGTCACCAAGAAGAAAATAAAAGGCTCATATAATCCATCTATGATGCAATAACTGGCCTATATTTCATGGCTTGGAGTCACAATGTCACCATTGAGAACACCACTCCTGAGGGGGTTGCAGGAATTGGGGGAGGAGTGGAAGAGTGGCAAAAGAATCACATCCTTCAGCAAGTCCATGGGAACAACTAGGGCTAGGGGCTGTGAGCCAGGGGGTTGGCTCCCTTTCACAGGTCTCTGAAAAGTAGGAAGCTTTGCCTAAGTCAGTGATCAGGCAGACAGCTTTGGAGACAGGGGAGGGACCTTGGGGAATTGCTGAATGCTGGTGTGTTCCGGGAGGAAGAGGCACCTAGGTCAGTGGGCTAATGGAGTGCGGGGGAGAGAAAACATAATAGTATGACATATGTTGACATATTAAGACTTCCTAAAATACAGCTCTGATAATGTCATCCACAACTTTGCTCACAAACTGTCAGCAGCTTTTTGGTACCTTTATAATAATGGCATTAACATGCATTAACATGGCATTCATGGCTCGGCTTGCTATGGTTTCAACTAACTCTTGCAGTTTTAAGGGGATGACAGTCATATCTAACATTTAGAGAATGCTTATTTGGGACAGCCACTCTCATGAGCCCTCCACACATAAAAACTCATTTAATTCTGGTAACAAGCCAAGAAGGTAGGAGTTGTGATCTTCATTTTAAAGGTGAGAAGAATGGAGCTCATGGAAGTTCATGACTCAGCCGAGGTCACATAGATAGTAAACACTGGATCTGGGATTCAAACCCAAACAGTCTAACTCCAGAGCAATAATCATAAATATTACATGATATGCTTTTTCATGCACTTTATATGACAGAATCCCTGGCCTGCTCCCAAACATGTTCCATATTTTCTGTTCCTGTAGTGTTCGACCTCATCCCAACCTTATCCCAGTCTCTGCAGATTCCAATACTCATCAATATTCAAGGCGAAATTCAAGGGCAGTTCCTCCATGAAAATGATCTTTTTTCCTTCCACTGTAAGTGGTATCTCTTGATTCAGATCCCACTAAGAGCTTTATCTTTTCTTCTTTTGTGGTGACTGCCATTTGGGGACTGAAAAGAAAATTGATATGGCTGGAGTTCAGTGTGTCAAATGACCATCAGATATGGCAGCACTGCTGTTCTTCTGCAGGCTATGAGTGCTATGCAGGCATGAGACCCATGTCAGCATGCCCCACAATCCCTAGAACAGTGCTCTGCACTTAGGAGTTGTATCTACTGGAATTAGATTTGATTGCAAATAACAAAGAACCAAAATCAGTGAATTGAATAAGACAGAAATCTACTTATCTTTCAAATAAAACAAGTCTACAGATAGAGTAGAATTGTTCTAACAATTCCATGGTCTTCAGGGATCCAGGTGGCTTTCATACTTCTGCTTCTTAGGCCCCAGCGTGTGGGTCTGGTCTTCATGGTCCAAAATGACTGAGTTCCAGCCATCACATGCATGATCTAAGGAGGAGGATGGAGTAAAAGACTTCATGGAAGTGAAACACAACATTTCTGTTTACATCTCATGAATCAGATTTACACAGTTATTCTTAATGACACAGGAGCTGGGTTGTCTTTTGGCCACTTAGTATGGCCTTCCAGGTTAAAATGAGAATTATGTTACTTAAAAAGAAGGGATAAGTATGACCTACTATGATACAAGGCAACTAGTAATCTCAGCAGAGTAGGTCCTAAGGAAATATTTACTTCAACAACTATTTCTTGAAACCTACTTTGTGTCAGTCCCCATGTGAAACACTAAGGATACAGAATTCAACAAGAAAGCCAAGGTCCCTGTTTGTTAAAAGTTTATATTTTATTTGGGAAGTTGAACAATAAAAAGATTACTTACCAAAAATGTATGATAAAGGGTAAAATAGGGTGAGTACAGGTTGCTGTAGGAGCCCTTAATCTATGAGATCTTGACAGATTGCCTAGTGGAATAAATGAATGACTTGAACACAGGATCAAATAAACCCTTCTTTCATTCTATTCTGGTAGGCATAGATGAGCAAGGGAAGACACACAGGAGCTGACGTCTGTTGTTGTTGTAGTTGCTGTTGTTTGAATGTTCCCTACAACACTCACGTTAAAATTTAATTGCCATTGTGACAGTATTAAGAAGTGGGATCTTTAGAGGTGATAGGTTATGAGGGCTCTACCCTCATGAATGGATTAATGCTTTATTTTTAGAATGGGTTATAGAAGCGGACTCCTGATAAGAGAGTAAGTTCTGCCCTTATCTTTCTCTATCTCTTGTACTCACTTGCTTTCTTCTTTCCACCATGGGAGAATGCAACAAGGTCTTCACCAGATGGCCGAACAGATCCAAGTGTCATGACCTTGGACTGTCCATCCTCCAGAACCATAAGCCAAATAAATTTCTTTTCTTCATAAATTTCCCAGTCTGTGGTATCTATTATAGCAGCAGACAATTGACTAAGCCGGAAGTTTTGGATGAAAGAATGTATTCAGATCTACCATATTCTGAATATGGCTGGACTATTTGTTGTATTTTGGACAAATAACTTGATGCCTCCCAAACTTTGTTTTTGTAAAATTAAATTATATTGACTCTTCCACAGGGTTCTGGGGGGATCTGATATAGTATACAGTAGGTTCTCAACAAATATTAGCTTTTTCATTCAAAGCCAAAGAGATCCAGCCATTACCATACAGTGTACCCCCTTTCTATTTTGCTTCTGCCCTTCAACACCAAACCCAGCTTGAAATGAAGCTGAGATTAATTTTTTTTCTTAAGTTGACATAAAGGGGTCTGTCCCTTAATTACTAGTCATTGCCCTTCACACACACACAAATGGTAACCCGCTCAGCCCATCACAGCTTGCCCTTTGAAATACTGAACTAGACATTGAACAGAAAGTATCTGCCAAAAGGCTTCTTTTCTTCACGAGATAAAAGCAACTTGAAATGCATGTAAGTCCCGTGCCCTTGTTAATTAATCAGGATTCGCATTAAAAGCTTAAATGTCTTTGAAGAAGAAAGCTCAGGGAGCTGGAACCTTTTTTTTCTGCTTGGTAGAGGGGAGATGGGTGGACAGGGCAGCCCAAAGAGGTATGTTTGGGGGTGGGGGGAATAGAGGACCAGGACCGATTAACAGGCAAGGAGGAGACAGGTTCCAAAGTAAGAGACCACCATGTTCTTGCAGGTTCCACCCTTCATTAAATAAAAATGCAGGGTTCTGAACTACCAGTGTTTCTGACACAGTTTTCTTACTAATATTCATTCATTCAGTAGGAGCTTATAGTAAAAACTTCTATTCATTCATGCAACACATGATCAGTAGCCTTCCACTAAATGCCAGGTTGTGATACAGTGGTATTCACTACTTATTCAAGACACAGTCCTTACCTTCTCAATGATCTGGCACAGTCACTCTCAAATGGATGTGACTGCCCCCCCAGGAGACATTTAGCAACGTCTGCAGACATTCTTGGCTGTCATAACTGGGGAAGGTGCTACTGGCATCTAGCGGGTAGAGGCCAGGGATGCTGCTAAACAACCTACCATGTACAAGACAGCCCCCGCCACAAAGAATGATTTGGTCCAAAATGTCAATCATACCAAGGCTGAGATACCCTCAGCAGGAGAGATAAACATTTCAACAAGTAATTTCAGTAAAGCATAATAAGTGCCATATTGTAGCAGTAGCAACTAAGTGAGTATTGGGGAAAGCCTTCCTGTGAAGTGATATGTAACCTGAGACCTCCAAGATGAGCCACAGTGAAGGGCTGAGTCTGGCTGGGTGGGGCTGGGTGGGGCAAGCAGAAAGAATGGCATGTGAGGGAGCTCAAAGGCAGGAAGGAGCAAGAAGCCTTGAGAAGTTGAGTGCTTCCTGTAAGTGGAAGGGGAAGTGAGGAGGGCAAAGGGCTTCTGCCTTTGGTGAGGCTGGCAGGCTAATGGGGCTGGAACATGAGGGACTTGTGGCCTGTATTTTGGAATAGGGTTTTGTCCTAAAATGTACTGCAGAGTCACTGAAGGATTTTAAACCAGAAAGTGACATGATAGAAATTTGTTATAGGAAAATACAAATGTATTGTTAGGCACTATTCTAGGTACTTGGGAGGAAATACAAAGATCATCTGTTCCTTGGCAGTCTGATAAGAAAAATAATATGTGCCCTCAAATTGGATCATTGTGATGCAAATTACATGTTAAAAAAAAAAACATTGAGACAGATCAGTTTCCATTTATAAGGCAAGAGGAAATTAGTCCGTTTGGGGATCAAAAGGAACTGGGATCTTGGTGTTGACCAAACTGGGGAGGTGATTAAGAGGCTGTACAGGAGGGAGTTACAGAGCCCAACATTAAGTATGAAGGTACCAAATATAAGGTGAAGCTGGAAGTAGAGAAATAGGTAAAGAAGTTGGCTTTTGCTTAGTACTTAGCTTTGTCCAAACCGAGTGTCTTTCCATTTCTTAAATGTAACAGGTTCTCCTTTGTTGCCTAGATGTATTACTTGGAACATTCTGCCTTTCTAAACAGACTTTCACCTAATTAACACCTTCTCAGCCCATAGATCTCATATATCTCATACTGGACCCTTTTTGAAAATTTCCCTATAAATTCCTTAGTTTGAAGATTGAAATTGTTTAATTGTTTATAGCCTCATTAGGTTCTAATCTTCAAGAGAGCAAAAGACATGAATTATTGTCCATTACCGTACCCCATAATTTAGCACACTCCTAGCAAATAGCAAGTGCTTGGTAACTATGTATTGACTTGGCTGGAAGTTGCAAGGCAGGAGAATACAAATAGGGTGAAATCTAATCTGAGGAATGACTCAGGGTCAGGCCAGAATTTCAGAACTGAGGCTGCAGACTCTAAGAGAGCTGGAATCCTATTTATTGGGTGCCAGCTGAATGCTGTTGGGGTTGGCATGGGTACGGAAAGTTCAAGGCCACATCGACAGAGTGAAACAAGTACACAGATTCAGAAGAAATTAATTCCTTCAGGAGGAGAAAGAAGCCCCAGAAAGCTATGTGAAGAAAGTGGCATTTGACTTGGCTTAATGGACAGACAGGCTTTGGTGTTGCTATTACGTGGCTCTGTTCTCCTTACCTTGGCATGTGTTGATGTGGCAAATTTCTCTCTCCACACCACCATCTGTCAGAGCACAGGTGTGGCAGAATATCACCTGGGTTATACTCTGGGAGTTATACTCTGTGGGTTACCCCCACAGGGGACACCTATTGTGTGCTGTTATGGGCTGGGATCTCCAGGCACAAGCATTCAAAGCACAAAACACCTACAGCATATTCAAAACAGAGTACATTATGTATTCATGATCATGAATAGTGTATGTGTGTGTGGATCCATAAAAACTTGCATTTTGTTCAGGGGCTTAAAGAACTTCCAGAATGAAATCTCATTTCTTCTGCATAGCAATAATATGAGACAGGTGAGAAAGACATTGTTACACTTACATGACAGGTGAGAAAGCAGTGGCATAGAGAGGCTAAGCACCTTATCAAAGGTCACACAGCTATTGTTATGCAACCAGCGATGGAGCTCAGGCCTTTGGTTGCTAATCAATCTAGCCCTTTCTGCCCAGTGTAGATGAACTCTCTAGATTGTGAGAAAATATGTTTGAATGTGTACTGAGAAGCAACTGCCATTAGCTCAACCTACTGTGGAATATTTACTGGGGTCTTACATTATGACCACTTGACACATGAATCATTTTCACTTCAGAATTTTTATGTGTTTGACCTAATGAATTAATTTCTTCAATATAAAATTGAGATTCTTGTATTTTAGTAACATGTCAGTGTCAATTTTATGAATAAACAAATAATCATTAATAACATAAACTTATATTCATCTAAATTTAAAAAGTTAGTTACATACCTGGCTTACCTTGAAATCAACTGAAATCAGTCACTAAGGAACAAAATTCTCCAGAGAAACTGTTTCTTCCTTGAATCTGAATGCTAGGGCATATAATCATAAGGCTAATGTTGAAGTAACTTGGTTAATGGCAACACATATACACATATCTAGCTCTAACTACTTATACAGCTGCTCAAAATCCTTATAAAGCCTTTCAACTCAAACTTGGTGCAAATGCAAACACACTTGCATTCTCCATGTTCCCCTGCCTCCAGTCTTTTTTATTTTTCCTTTTTCATCTTGTCTTCCACCGATTTCTCTCTAAGATGGTTTCTTCTCTGTGATAGTTTCTATGATAAAACTAATGATAAGGCAGGCTCATTAATTCTGAAAAAGAAAGAAGTATAGCTATGTTGAATTAGGTGCAAATTCATTTATGTGGTCTGAAGTCTTTCAGCATCGAATGTTTTCAAGCATTTGTAAAAAGAAGTGTTCTTTTATGACGTTCACGTTGTCTTTACCTTCCACTCTTGCTGCTTTATGCCCACACTCACATACACACATGCTTGCAGAGACAGACGCTGTTCCTACGCAACTTTGCCCAAACAGTGTTCTCCCACAGATAAATCACTTCCTTCCCAAGGAAGCAAATACCTTTGCCACATGGCTGGAGTGGGCGGGGGACTCTTCCTCCTGAAATACTCACCCTGACTGTCAATCATTTAGCACTGAAACAAGGAGAGCCTCTCTGAATGTTGAGCAGCCAAGAGAGCTGCCCACACTGGACATCAATCAGCAGCAGGGCCTGTCCTCAGGGTGACTCCATTTACCAGTTCTGGAATGACTGAAGGGCCTTGCATCAGCAGACAAATCTGATTAGTGGTGGTAGCCATCCAGGCTGACTTTTATGTCTGTGTGAAGAGCAAAGCATGTATGAGCTTCCCAGAGCTAATGTTGAAACTAAGCAGAAGCCTCAGACAGATGAATTATGGCTGGGAGATCCCATGGAGGGCATCTACCTCCTCCTGTATTACTCAAGGGGGAAAAAAAAATCACACACCCATACAGATAACTTGCAAATATATGAATGCTGATAATGTGCTTCCACTATTGCACAAAGGAAGAAAACACATAAATGGGTTAATTAGCTCCTATGCAGAATTTAATTAGAGTGTCTTTGTTCACTCTGCTTCAGCCAGAATCTCAATTATCCATCCCTGTTTCCAGGATTTTTGAGCATGGACGTAAATTTTCACTTGGAGCTTCCCATCTGAAGCTTGGGGGTCTCAGCCGCCTTCCACATGGCAACAGTAGCCGATTTCAACATAAAATTTTGATTACTTTGAAGTCATCCCATTATTACAGAGAACTCTTTTCAGCACTCAAAAGGTATTCTACATTGCACCTCCCCTACACGTGTTTAATAAACTGGCTTTTAAAAAGTTCAGAATGGAGCTAGGGCTAAGAATTCTGTGATTTTTTTTCCCCATAGGATGAAACAATGATAAGTGACCTTGATTGTGTAATAACTCATTTAACACCCACAGCAGTCCTCGAAGGTAGGTTTTATTGTTGTTATTATTATTATGAGCATTTGCTAAATAAAAAAGAGTAAGTCACACCAAGGCTAAGGGATTTGCACGAGGACTTGAGCCCAGGTATTCTGGATTCTGAGTCCACATTCTTCATCATTAATATGATTATCATTAATATGATTAAGAGTGCTCCTATGTCTCAATAATAAATATTCTCTTGTGAGAAAGCCAATACCAATTCTATGGAAATTGTACATTTTAAAAATTAATTCTTTTGATAGGAATGACATTATTTAGAGCTATTCTGATTCCAAATAACACAAATCAGACACATACTTATATGAAAGGGGAAATTTTTTATGAGATTGGGGGGATAGTTCTTGAGAAACTCAGGGCAGGGAGTGCAGCTAGACCTCAGAAACAAAGGATGCTAGAAATAGGAACAGCATCAGGAAGGCCCTATCCTTCCTCCTTATTTCTTTCTACTATCATTGGTGCCTGCTTTTTTTTTCTTTCTGTTAACAAAGTTGCATCTTCCAAGTCTCCATTTTACAGGGGGAAAAACACATACCCTCAGGTTCTGAGCTTTATTTCCTGTACTCTAGGATCCAAAGAGAGATTAGTCCAAGATTTGCTCCTCATATGTCCAGAGAGCCCAAAAAGAAAAATGATGATGATAATGATAGCTACCACTGAGGCCCTTGGGGAGGATAGCCATATTGATTTGTGTGTCTGGTGTTTGGAATAGCCCCTCTGCAGCTCACATGTAGGTGCTGCTGTGTTTCAAAGTACAAGCATCGCAAGGGTCTCTCAACCTTATTGAGCCAGTAAGGAACTTCCCTGGGCTTTTGACAAATCTATAAGTGCTTTCCAGGATTTGATACTTGCAACAACATTGAGGAGCAGACAAGGTAAGTACATTTACCATTTTTTTTTTTTAACAGATGAGGAAACAGAGGTCACCTAGAGAGGGAATGTTTCTTACCCAATTTTTCACTGCTAGCAAGTGACAGAGCTCTTAGTCAATGGCTCTTTATACAACTAAATCAAAATTCAAAATACAGCTTTTAGTCATGGTCCACCCTACATTAAAGAATCCAATAAAAGTACACCTGATTTGAAGATTAGGAGACAGATCTCCAGACTTCTGGTCTTGCCATAATTTTTTTTCCCACATTCCTAAGGAGTCTGAAGCACACATTATTTTAACAGCTCAGTATTTGGAATTTAACTTTTTCCTAGAATCATTGCTTCTTGGTACTGAACACATATAATTTTCTTTTATTATTTTCTACTTGGCTCCTAGTTTTGCTTGCCAAGTTTGGATTATGAAAAAGTGGCCAATGTTGTAGATGTCAAAGCTTTGAATGTTCAGATTATCCATATAGAAGCCATGAGTTCTTTTGTTCCTTCCCTACCTTCTTAAAGAATATTTCCTCCATTCGACAACCTATCAATCACTGTCATCAATTAATACATGTGGATACCCACTCCTTGGAGATTCACACTGCTCCTGCTCTCTATAGGGGCTCCTTCAACACATTTCCAGGGAAATTAGAACAGATCTCTTGGGTAAATGGTGTCCTACAAATCATGAATATGTAGTTAACCAGCTGTACTGCATCTCACACTCTAAGGCACACAAAGTTGGTTTTAATTCTGCATTTAAAACAAGAGAGATTCAGGTTGAATCTAAAAGAGAACATCTTGATCATCCAAGGGAAAAATACTGGCAGGATCTACTCAATGAAAATGTTGCTTTTTTGTGTCTAGAAACCTGTATTAGTGCTGGCTCTTGTGGTACTCAGCTTCCAGGTGGCCCCCAATGATTTTCACCTCCTGGTATTCATGCCATTGTATAGTCCCCTCCCACCATGAATATGGATGATCTGTGTAACCAATAGGATATTACAGAAATGATGGCGTTTGACCTCTGAGGCTAGGTCATAAAAGACATTGTGGCTCTCACTCTAGTTTCTCTTGTATTCCTTGTTTAGAAAAAAGCCAGCTGCCATGTCATGAAGACATGAAAGCAGCCCATGAAGAGACCCATATGGGGAGAGCCAAGGACGCCTGGTAACAGCTAGCATCAACTTTTAGAAATGTGAGTGAACTACCTTGGAAGTGGACCTTCCAGCCCCAGTCTAGTCTTCAAATGATGATAGCCCCATCTGATATCTTGCCTTCAACTGCATGAGAGATTCTGAGCTACAACCACTCAGCTAAGCTGCTACCAAATTCCTGACCCATATAAACGGTGAGATAATAAATGTCTACTGTTGTTTCAAGCCACTAAATTTACAGGCAATTTGTTATGCAGCAAAAGATTATCAATACAGCTTTAAAATCCTATTCTGCCTATATCCCACCTTAGAGCAGCTACATTTACATAACCCCTAATGCATGAGCACAGCTGAGCTATGTGCCATGTGCCCAGCGAGCTCTTCAGCCTGACCACAGCTGACTGGAACAGGCAGCTGGACCCAGACACAATAGACTAGGCCCAGTAGATTCCCCTTTCAGGAGTTTGGGTTTGAGTAAATGGAAGACGGAGTCAGCTACTGCTGGGCACTGCTTCTGAAAAAGCAATGAAGAGTTGGGGGCTGTGTCAGCCATCATGATTTGGAAAAGCAGAGGGCTATGAATACCTGTGACTGTGGAAGAAGGAGCAGAGGCACAGACAGGAGAGAAAACAAATGTGAATGTAGCTTTGGGTCCCAGTGGCTTCTCAGTGCCTCTTCACAGGGGACTTGACACTAACTCTGAACTGCTCAGTCTCTAAGAAGTTCCAAACTTTATGATTTACACCAATCTGAGTTACACCCACAAAGACCTCTGACCCATAAGCACTTTCCAGGGTCATTTGATAATCACCTTTCCAAATGTTTAGGTATTTACCTGGAAGAATGAAGGGTTCTGGACTTGAGCTCTTAAGAAGTAGTGTTTCGTGGAGGAAATAACATACGTTCTTTGCCATCACTCCATTTTAAAGCTGAAGAATCACTCAGAGAAAGTGGCTTGCACACAGTGCTATGGTGATTTAAAGAAGTAATGCTCTCTCCCTGGTACCAAATAAGAACACAATTAAGAAAACTGTCTTCTCTAGACTTGTGTTCATTCCTTTCTGCTACTAACAAGCTCAAGATCAGAGGAGATTCATGCAGGTTTAGAACAATGTTCTTTTTAGTCTGAACACCATGACTTGCTATGATGAATAGCTGAAGCGGCAGGTTCTAGGAGATACAGGCACATCCCTGCATTGCTTATTGATGTGACCCTATCTCATAGAGAGGACACATCCTCGAGGGGCCCTGCATTGGCTTACACATTAATTTGGTACTGAGACTGAGCCCTCTGTGTGCAGAGGAGCCCTGGTAAGGAGCCTTTAGCTTCCATAAAAGAATAATGCTAAGTACACATTTTATGTGCCAGCCTCCTGCTCCAGACAGATCTCACAAAAAAAGAATCTTTACAGGTGAAAAGTGGCAAGAGCTCCCTTTGCTTTTCATTGCAAGAGGGTATCTCATGCATCTGAGAAAATGAGGTCAGAGGAAGTCAGATTAGGAAAAGGTGGGTGAGGATGGGAGCAGCAGAGGAAGTCTTTATGCAGGAGGTGTGGGGTACGAGCTGCGCCTTGCACAGGTGGAGAGGTGGGAGGTGAGCCCTGCAGACCAGAAAGGTGGAGGAACACAGCTTTAGTGTTAATTTCCAAATGGAGCCTGAAGATGTTTCCATCATGAATACAAAATTATTTCTTCTGCAAGGAATGTTTCATGCTTCCATAAACAGCCTACGCCTGTATGATTTTATGGGAGAAATACTCCATAATAGGGAAAGATTTCTACTTACAGGGAGTTTTTAAGTAGCTGCAATGATGTGCCTTCAATAAAAGAAGAAATGAAACATCAGAGACACTTAACAGGAATGGTCTTGGATCATGTGACTATTCTTTGATGTCTCTGGAGGACATTGCCTTGTTCATGTTTCTGTTTCTCAGCCCAAGGAATTTAAGGTTTGGGGGCTTTGGACCTGTTCATTGTTCCAGTCTCAATTCTCATCATTCCTCCTTCCAAGTCTATGTTCTTGCCATACTGAACTATCACCATTTCCCAGAGGCAGTGCTTTTATAGTCCCATATCCAAGCTTATGCGTCTGCCATTCCATCTGCCTTGAATATTTTCTCAGACCTGTCTTTACCTGGTTAACTTCTTCTCTTGTTTTGAAGCTCAGATGAGATATCAATACATCTGAGAAGTTTTTTGTGTTCCCTTTCACTCTCTGTTCCCCTAAATTTTCCATTAGAGATCTGTACTGGACACTTGCCATGCTTTTTGAGCTGTGCAGTAGCAGCTTTTGAACACACAATTTCTCTGGTTGGACACTATCCTGCCTCATTCTCAACTTGATTGGTGCAGTCTCAGCCTCATCAGCTGAGCATTCTTGGGTCAGGCCTTATTAGAAAGCCAGTGACATGAGAAAGGGGACATGCACAAAGTATTTTTCCTAGCCAAGCTGACAGCAAGTGCACCTAGTGTTCAGGTCAGAGAAAGTGGAAGTTCTGGTATTTGGCATCCACGGCAGGGGCTATGTGCTGCTGTTTTCGGTCAGGGGGCAGCAGGGTGGGATTTGCTGGCATGTCCCCACACTGTGGTTTGGGGGTTGTATGGTGTAAAAACTTGGATGTTAATCACTTTCAGTCCAATCCTTTCATCAATTCATTTTTCTCCTTAAATTACCTTAAAGGGTTATTTTCAGCTAAGAACTCTGAATGAGGCAGTACCCCCTCCTCTGTGCCCCAACAGCCTCCTGAGCTTTCCTTTTTCATTCCACATTGTGATTTATTCCATCTGATTGCCTTCTTACTTGCACATCAATTTCCTGTGGTTTAGGACCAAGTATACATTCTTCATAATTATACCCCAGTTCATTCTGCAATGCCTGGTGAAATAAGTATCCACTGATTAAATAAATGTGCAAATATTTTTCCATATGCCTTTTACTATTGTCTCATTCAAGAGGATACTTTTCAACTACACTTCTATTCAGAACGAGCCAAATGCAGAGCACATGTCTGTGGGCACCAGAGTGTCCTAGGAGAGCCAGTTAGAATCAGGAGTGGACAGCTACACAGAACAGCCAGATATAAAACAGAGAGGCTTGTACCTAAAGAAGGTAGAAACGCTCATTGCAAGGCTTAAATATCAGAGACTTCTGTCTGTTTTAAAAGGTGAGGGCAAATCCTTGGACAGAGGCTAGGGAAACCAGCGACAGGAGCTGAACATAGAAAACAGGTCTCAGGAGTACAGTATCAGCAGGTGGGAGGAAGAATGAACAAACACTTTCCCAGGGATGAGTGGAGGAGGCAGGTAGAAAGGAAGCAGATGTACAAAGGCCTTGAGGTGGAAGGTCTGGACACACCCCAGGAATAGAAGGAAAGCAGGTGAGGCTGGAAGCAGTGATGGGCCCCAAGCCATTGGCACAGAGAATCCATGCTGCCTGAGAAATTCTCCTCGACTTCTACCTGGAAAGCCACTACTCATCCTTCACATCAGCTTGGGTCCAAGATCCCCACCAGGAAACATTTCCTGACCTGAACTTGACTTGAATCATTTACTGGAACCCCGAGACCCTGTTGTTTCTGCCCAAGCACTTATAGTGTTAGAATATAGTTATCTGTTTATATGCCTGTCTTATAATACTAACCAATACTGGTAACAATAATAGTTGCCATTTGCTGTATGTCAAACACTCTTTTCATATCATTCATTAAATTCTCCCCCAAATCTGTACCATTGGCACCATGATTATCTTTACTTTTCAGATGGTGAAAGTAAGACTCAGAGAAGTAAAGTGACTAGCTTAAAGTTGCATAGTCAGTAAATGGCAAAGGGGAGGTATGAACTCAAAGTCTGCTTGATTCCAGGGCCTCTGCCCTTAAACACTAGTTTATAATGACTTAATGCCATATCCCAGCTGGATATCCGAGCTCCAGTTTTCTTACCCTTTTTGAAGCTCAAGAAGGCAAGTGAGGATTTAGGAGTAAGGAAAGAAAAGTAAGTTGTCAGAGTGACACAGTGTCTGGCGGAGCTGAAACTGGAATCCAGATCTCTCAGTTAATCTTTAGGAGAACTATCTAGGAAGATGAGGCTGGCCCAAGTAGACGGGGGTGAGTGTTGGAGGAGGAAGGGAATATTAGTAATTGGCTCTGCAGGTGGGCCAAATACCAGTGTGCAGGAGAAATAATTTTTGCACAGAGAGCCTGCTGGTAATTAATATCCTGTGACTCTGGACAAGCTGCTGCCATCAAGAGCCAGCAAGGCCTGTACAGTCTTGCTGCTCTGCTTAGCAGATATATCCAGACACTAGATGCTCTGAGGGGAAATGCCTCCGATTGGCGTTGGCTCCCCTCCTAAAAAGCCGAGATTTATGGGCAGGCCCATGGGGGCAGAGTGGAGAATGGCTTCAGGCTCAATTTCAGCTGTTCCACAATGGGGCCCTAGTTCCTCTTCTCTTACTTTCAAGCTAGCAGGTAAAAAGATAATAGAAGTATGGAATCTTGGACCTGGTTCTGTCCTTTGAGATCCTCTTAAATGGGACATCCAAACATGCTGGTCCTCACAATTATCTAGGGCATTGTGAAAAACACACATTGTGAGACTCGCTTAAGACCCCAAGGCACAGATATTGGCAGTTTCTAACAGCATCTAGAGGGATGCTGATGATCAGCCAGGTGGAAGAATCTGTGATCTAACCCAATAGAATGATGGCCACATTATATAGATGGGAAAACAGAATATAGGAGGGGAGGGTGCAAGCAGCATAAGAAAGTGGTTAAAACCTTGACTCTGCCATGTGGTTTAGAGAAAGTAACTGAACCTTCTCAAACTCCAGTTTTTTTCATATTAAAAACAAAACAGAGCTTATTTCGAAGCACTCTTGTGAGATGTAAGTGTAAAGTCACACAGTTCCTGACAAAGTAAATGTTTGCTGTTATTAAGCAGGAGGTTGGAGCAGACAAATACAATAATTATAATCTAGTAGGATTAACAGTTTTGGTCATTTTTATGGTTGTTGTTGCTCACCATTCTCTTCTCTGTACTCCGTTAGAGAAAACCTCTCCCTGGACAACAAGCTGAGCACCCCATACACGACTATGTAGATGAACTCCCTTGCTGTGATATGAACTTTTTTTTTCCTCTGAGTTTCCCCTCTTGCCAGATCAGCTTACAAAGACCTAAACAGACCCCACTGCCTGACCTGCCATCAGAGGCCCTTTAGAGTGGAGCATCTGAGAGAATTGATCCATCTCACAGTCCAGGGACCCACAGGCAAGGACATGGATGATTTTCCGGGACACGGGCTCAAGGCCTGGACCCAGGGCGTCTCCAGCTACTACTCCCTGGATCTCTCTTTTGAAGAGACCAAATGCAGAGAGCTGGCCAGTGTGGGTGTGTAGTCCGCGATGTATTTGCATATCTCAATTTCAATGCAGGTACTTTGTGTTGTTATGTGCATGCATGTGTGTACACATATCTGCAGGCACAGAATAGACAAATCCACCACACTGAGATTGGGTGGGAATAAAAGGCACTGAGTTTTACACATCTTCTATGGTGATAAGTATGTAACATGTATTTGTTAAATGGATGGATAGAATGAGTGAATAAATGACTGAACAAATGAAGAAATGCGCAAGTGTCTCAAATGGAAGCCATGGGAAAGCTTTCCAAATCCAAAGTGTGAAGTCAGAGACTGATACATCTATGTCTCTGAAAATATTTGTTCCTTCGTTTGAGATGACAATTTTCAGTCTTCTAAGTTTTACAGTTAGACAGGCTTAGATGAGAAACTCAGCACAAGCTTCTTAGCCTCTCTAAGCAGCAATTTCTTTTTAAATCAGAGATGTCAATATTCTCACTTAAGTTTGTGATGAAGATTAAATCAAGTAACATATGTATGTTATGTGCCAAGCACAGTGCCTGTCACAGGGGAACTTAGTATATCTTTTCTTTCTCTCTCCGTTGCTACTCCCTCTCTGTCTTCTCATTGTCTCTTTCCCTACTTTCCCCCTTCCTGTTTCCTTTCCCTGCTTATCCTCCTCCCTCTTTCCTTCTTTCTTTTCTTTTCTTCCTCTGTGTTTCTTCCCTCAAGGATACAGCAATGCATTATCTTTCAAAACACTTCACTAAAAATGTTGGCAGAATTCCCTGGGGTTGAGACGGTGCCTCAGAAGGTCAGCTTGGAGACAAGAGAATGTTCCAGACGGGTGTGGGCATGCTTTCCAAACTTCAAGCCCCGTTACGAGTTCACTATTTAATTCCTTCTAAGAGTCAGTGTAGTGCAACAGGAAGAAAAAAAAATAAAGTAGACTAATTTGATATTTTGTCCAAGTTCTCCCATTATGGGAGACTGAGCCCTGGAGGTGAACCTTGGATCAATCCCTTTCCCTTTCTGGTCCTCAGTTTTCCTATCTGTCAGATGAGGAGATTGAATTAAATGAGAACTCTTACAACCCTTCATTGCTAGGTGAGAGTATACATATTTTATGTGCTGGAGAAAAGAGTTTCTCCTGTATCTTGTGTACAAGGCTCAGAATGTGAGATGGGGACAGAATTTACAAGGATCTCATTCAATTGCACTTAGCCATATAGAGTGATGTTGGGGTTGACAACTGAAGGAACATATCTTAAGGGTTAAGGCCGTTCAAGAAAAAGAAAGGGGGGCCCTTGGGAATTGTCCTTCTTTTGGTCTCCAGATGTGTGGTGTTAGAAGAACATCCTTCAAGAATGCCTCCCCTCATTAGGAAGAAATAATCATTATGATTACATTAATAACTACCATTTATTAAGCATTATTCAATTCCAAGACCTGCGCTAAGTACTTTATGTACAATATCTGTCATGTCTTTTTAAATAAAATATAGGGTCAATGCTACTACTATTATTTACATTTTATAGATAGGTAAGTGGCTTGCAAGGTGAATGGCAGGTAGGATGTGAACCGAGACTATCTAACTTCACAGACTGTGCTCTTAACAGCTACCATACCCAGCATCTCTGAGAGCAGTTACAACCCAACAGATACTTCTAATGGCACTGCTGCTATGACCAGAACTACTGCAAGGACCAATGGTGGTGATAATAGGCTATCCTTTATGTTGATATTTTGCACTTTTTTAAAAAAATCCTCTCCATTGTTTCTTAACACCATTCCAGAGGAAAAAATAAAGGGGTAATTGGATTTTCCCCATTTCACAGATTAAGAAAATGAGGCTCTGAGAATTTGTTTCTTGTATAATAACACAGTAAGGGACAGAGCTAATACCATGGCCCTTGGCTCTAAATGTAGCCTTTTTCCTTAAGGTGATGTTGAAGGCTCCTTAAATGAAGTGTAATTGCACCTCTAGCAAGAGGGTAAACTGAGACACAGTTTATCTGTTTGCCACATTTTCTATAGAAGTTGTGATTGTGCTAGGTGCAGAGAGTGGTCTCTCTGCTCATTGTCCTCTCTGCTTCGGCTGCCCCATTCTGCGTGCCTGCCAGAAGATTCCCTGGTATCAGGTAAGACAGAAACTTTCCAGTAGATCAGGCTCGGTAACCCACTTGCCTCAGTTCAGCACGCAGCACAGAAAGCTCGGATGTCATTAATCACGGTTGTTTCCATAAAGTGCCATCATCTCGTGTCCCAGGCACAAACGTACATACCCAAGAGAGAAACTCTAGAAAGAGAAGCCAAGGCATGCGCTCTAGCACCAGACAAGGAGGAAGGGGCTGAGGTTACTGAAGTGTCAGAGAAAGGGTGAAATCTTTAGCACTCCTGTTGGGAAAAAGCTTTGCTTAGAGTCCTATCAGACTACCAGAACCTCAGCCTCCAGGAGCAACTTACCCAGAATTAAATCCTGATGCCCTCTGTTGGTGTTTTCCAGTAATGGTAAAAGTTTAGAGATTTAGAAAGGAAACAACAATTTCTGGAACGCAGATATAAACCCCATAAAGCCCAATGAACCCTGTAATTACATATAAACACAAATTCACTTGTACCATGTGTTTATTCTCAGCACCTGCAAAATAGAACCACAGACAGCCCTATGATTAATGGCACAGTGCATTGAGCATGTATTATATGGTGGCAATGTGCCAAGTTCTTTACACACATCATCCTTCCTGCAGTCACAGATAGTAGGCATTACTCTCTCCCATTTACAAAGGGGAAAAAGAGGAGCAGGGAATTCATATAACACACCCAAAGTTAGTAAAACTATGCCCTGGCAGATCTTGAATGTTAACCTAAGTGAATTTGGCTCCAGAATCCATGCTGCCTCCTAACTTAGAAATGGAGTTACAACTTGAACCTGGATCTCCTAACCTTCAGCCACATTACCTTTACATTACTGTGTACAAAATACAGATGTTTGGACTCTCCTAGTCCACATGGAGACACACTGAGCTAAATTTAGCCTTCTGTTCTGGACACCACTGAGGAACGCAATGTTTGATCCAATAAATGAGATCCTGTTTTCCCACCTGTGTTTAGAACCAGTTGAGAGTTACACACGGGAGTAAAAAGGGAAAAATCATTCATTCATTTTTTCTACTGTTAAATCTCTTGGGTTTTATGGCTCTGGGCCTGTTGCCCAAGTGGACCTGCTAGTATTTCATTCCTGAATAAGTGAAGCTCACCTGCTCAGTCATTGGTACAGCGGTCAATCACAGGCCTCTACCTTTAGAGAGATAATCTGTTTGACGAAGCTTAGCACATGACAGAAGCAGAGAGTGCCTCCTTCTTACAGGCAGGAAGACCTGAAACAGACAAATACATAAATAATCAAGGCTGCAGATTGAGCTGTGTATGCCCATTTCTTTCTGCAGAACCCACTAATCAGATAAGTTATTCCTCTTCTCCTGGGGTTATAGAGCAGCAACAATATTATGTTAATGGAAGTTCCTTCCAAATGACATGAGAAGCTGAGTATAAGCAATTTCACTTAAATGCTGTCGTTTCAGGGGTTCACTAATTCAGAATACATAAAGTTCCTCTTAGGATTATCTGCAAAGTTTGGCAAGTGAGTTAAAGCTGAAATCTAGAGTACACAGAACAATTAGATTCCTTGAAAGATGGATTTTCAAGAATTGCATTATAACTAGCTTGTGATATACTAGTTACCAATAAATATTTTTCAATTTCCATCAGCATGTCCCCATAGGAACTTGAATTAAATTCTATCCAAAACATGGGCTTCTGGAGTTTAGACAATCCTTCTTTTAATTAGTACAAGTGATGAGTCTGGCTCAAGGTAAATGAGTTATAGTGTTGACTTTTGCGAGCTACATTCTAAGATGGAAAGTTTTATTGTAAGCCCAACTTTTGCCTGCTTGAAATTCTCTGAAAATCTTCCTTTTGGATGGTAACTTGTCAGACCCATGTCTTGTCATAAGTTGGAGAAAATCAATGCCACTATTTGGGAGTTGGACTCAATCTGAAGGCAATAGGCTTGCAACATTTAATTATTTCACACTCCACTCACCAGGCCATGAAAGTGTCAATTTCACCTGAGGGATAAAGGTACCAGGAAAGAAAAACTGGCCCAAGTGTGGGAAAACAATAAATTATGGTTAACAACAGCAGCAACCTTTAGAAGTTAAAGAAGCAGCTTTCCCCAGAGAGGGACTAGAGGGGGATTGAAAGATATAGACCTGTATATTGATTTTCTCCTAATTTTACTAATAAAAAATTAGAATTCTAGAAAATAGGTGTATAAAGTGACCTTAGAGGTGATTATATCAAACTGTTTTAGTTTATTGGTATAGTGACTAAGACATCTCTGATAGTTTAATAATAATAATAATCACCATTATTTATTCAGAATTGATTATGTGTCCGTCACATAAGTGGGTGAACATAGGACAGAAACTGTGTTTTCCAATTACTATTATATTTATACTAAATTCTAAATTAGTGAGAACCATATAGAAAAGCCTATTAATTTTGTATATTATCCCCCCTCAAATTCAAAGAATTGCAAATGTTCCAATGGCATTATTTGTGTAACTCTGGCATAAACCACAGCATTTAGCTCAGGCATAGACCACAGCATTGAAATCTCCTCCCACAAAATCAAGACTGATATAAACATTGAAAATAGAAAGTTCATAGTGTGATACAATGTATTTGTTCATGTAAGGCTATGACATGAATAAAAAAAAGTCTCCAAACCTTGCTAATCTCAATAGTTGGGGTGACAGAATAGCAAGGTTAAGGTTCTTAAACTACAGGATCTAATGTAACTGAAAATGGTTTGTTTCAAGTTGCTAGATGCTGTAGGAAAAAGGCAAGAGTAAGATTAAAGGGATGTTTCGTGCACAAAATATTGGAATGAATGTGTGTGCCTCCATTGCAATCTGTGATTTCCCATCTTGGGAGTGTAAAAAGGAAGAATGATCTGACATTTAAGAGAGTGCTTTTAGGCACATATGGCTTTACCTGTCACCTCTGTTACTTACTCATTTGTGATTTTGGCAAGTAACTCAATGTCTTTTTATTTTTTTTAATTGTAGTATCATATATTAATTATTTTTTCAATTATTTGTTTCATACATATAAAAATTGCCATTTTAACCATTTTAGTACACAAATCATTAATTACATTCACAATGTTGTACAAAATTTGATTTCTAAAATGTTTGCATCATCCCAGACAGAAACTCTGCACAAATCAAGGAATAACACTCCATTCTTTCTCCCCACTCCCAAACCCTGATAAACTCTAATCTACTTTCAGTTTCTATGAATTTTCCTTATTTTATATAAGTGGAATCACACAATATTTGTCCTTTACATCTGGGTTATTTCACTTAGCGTGATATTTTTAAGGTTCATTCATGTTGCAGCATGTGTCAACATTTCTCTGAATAATTTCTGTTTTATGTGTATACCACATTTTGCACATCCATTCATCTGTTGATGGACATGGGTTGTTGCCACCTTTAGGCTGTTGTGAATAATGCTGCAATGACCTTCAGTGTAGAAGTATCTTTCTGACCTGTTTTCAATTATTTTAGATACATACCTAAGAGTGAAATTGCTGGATCATAGCATAATTCTATACTTAGCTTTTTGAGGAACCGCCAAACTGTTTACCACAGCAGCTGCACCATTTACATTCCTACCAGCAATGCACGAAGATGACAATTTCTCCACATTCTTGCCAAGACTTATTTTTTTCTTCATCTTTTTTATTATAGCCATCCTAGTAGGTAGGAAGTGACTTCTCATTGTGGCTTTGATTTGCATTTCCCTAATGAAGTAAATCAAGATTCTTCTTTGAAAATTTGGATTTTCACTTACAAAATGATTAGAGAAGTGCTTATTTTTTAGGTTTTCTGTGCAGAATAAATAAAACTGTATTGTCTGAAACATAGTAAAATCCACAAAAGGGTAGATGATGGCATCAGTACTGTTGGAGGTAACGATGCCTTTGTCCATTCAGGTACCTTCCTTTTGGAATATCTTCTCTTCCCATATTTCCAGCTGTTCACCTTAAATCTATCCCCCTGTCTGTTCACACAGAAGTAAAGAAATACACATTTAAAGTTAGAGGAGCGATACTGGGATCCATGATTTGCTGGCAAGGATTTGGGGAAACATCAGCCTTGGCAAATATCTATTTCTCCTTATCTTCTTTCACCAGAAATAGGAATGACTTTTCCTAGTCTTTTAACACTTTGCATAGCTACTACACAGAGTCACTTGTTAATAAATCACCCCCCTTCTTTCTTCATAGAACATTTTATTTTGTCTCTTAGATCATAAGTGGGATTAAAGTATTTTTCCTCTATTTCCAATCTATTGAGGTAAGATATGAGCGAGGACTAAATGGATACTATTTGCAGCAAAGGGGTGGTGGGAACAGCCTGGAGCTTCTAATGCGTGTTTTAAATTTCAGATGTCACAGTCTGCATCAAGAAGAAAACTTCCTGGGTGAGAACTTTGAGTATAAAAATCACTGAACTGGAGATAGGGGCTCCTTCTGGTCTTACTCCACTACCATTTCTGATCATTCCTCACTGCTTAAATTAATTGATGAGAGCATAAGTTAATACATTTATTTATTTTTTTGAGGCAGGGTCTCCTTTCCCAGGCTGGAATGTAGTGGCACAAACATGGCTCACTGCCTCCTCAACCTCCCGGGCTCAAGAAATCCTCCTGCCTCAGCCTCCTGAGTAGCTGGGACCACAGGCATGCACCAACATGCTCAGCTATTCTTTAAAAAAAAATTTTAGTAGAGATGAGGTCTAGGTTGCCCAGGCTGGTCTCCTGGGCTCAACTGATTCTCCAGCCCTGGCCTCCCAGAGTGTTGGGATTACAGGTGTGAGCCAGAAATTAAACTATTTGAAGTATTAAAGGTTAAGAGATGAAAATGTTAGTTCTTACACAATTGCGGAGTTCTTTATGGAATGTGAATTGTTATGGTGTTGGAGCTACTGAAATGTGAAAGGGTTATAAATTATACAATAAAGAAATTGTTCTTTAATAATCAATATAATGAGATAGTATTTCGAATTATTAACATGTTCTTACCTTACATTGCCCCTGGACCAGGAGAAGGTGAATTCCACCTTCAAACACTCAGAGAAGCATTCTTTTAACAGAGTGCAGGCAATACAAAAATAAGCTTAGTCTCTGAGTTTCGGAGTCAAATTTTGGAACCTGAAAATCTTCACGACTTTTATAATACTTTAAAAGACAATTATTTAGGCTGAGCACGGTGGCTCACGCCTGTAATTTCAGCACTTTGGGAGGCCAAGGTGGGAGGATTGCGAGGTCAGGAGATCGAGACCATCCTGGCCAACATGCTAAAACCCGTCTCTACTAAACATACAAAAACTAGCATTAGCTGGGAGTAGTGGTGCATGCCCGTAATTCCAGCTACTCAGGAGGCTGAGGCAGGAGAGTTGATTGAACCAGGGAGTCGGAGGTTGCGGTGAGTGGAGATTGCGCCACTGCACTCCAGCCTGGTGATGGAGCGAGAGAGACTCCATCTCAAAACCAAACAAAAAATACAATGATTTAGAATTTCAGAATTCTGGTCACTAAAAACAAAAGACCCCAAATTTGTCTGATGGATGACTGGTGAATTTCTTGCTATCATGATGCCTAAGACCACAATAGAGTAAACACAATCCCCTATGATTCTGGAAAGATCAGCTTTTGCCAAAGCTACCAGTGAAAGCTGAAAACTTGACCATAGTCACACCTTCATGAAAAACTTCTATCATCTTTTGCTGGGAGAATTCACTGATTACTTATGGGAATAAGTGATCTCTCCTGCCCCAGTTTCGTTTGAACTAGTAATTTGTTTGAACATTCCTTAGGGTACTTAACCACGCTGTACATTTTGTTATATTAGTTGGTGCACATAACTTACCTCTCTTCTTAATCTTTAGGACTCTGGAAAATAAGAAATGCAGGTTATAAGTGTTATAAGAATAGATTGAAAATTTAATGGTGTAGATGAATCACTTGGATACTAATCAAAATGTAGATTCCTGGTCTCCACCCACAAAGATTCTGATTCAGTAGATCTCTGATGGCATCCAGGAATTTCTCATAAGCAATTATTCTAGCTGATTCTAATGTAGGTCTAAAGACCACATTTACAGAAATGCTTCTTAGTTACATTGAAAATTGCATCTTGCACATAAAATATATACAGTAAATGAGTACTGAATACAAGAGTAGACTAAGGGGTTAGCAACTTCAAGTATTACTATTTTTGGAGATTTGTGTTTTTTGTTTTTGTTCCTTTGTTTTATTTCAAACAATTCTTAAGCATAAATTAAAATGAAAATAAAATGCCATTGATTGAGTGCCTCCTACTTTGTGCCAGGAACTTTACAATAATCCTGCCAGGTCATTTGTGAAAGAGAAAACAATTTTTTGCTCAAAGTCAAGGAATAGAACCTGACTGCACACTGTTTTGTTTGATTTTAAAATCCCTGCTCTTTTTATTCCTCCATTTACCCCAGGGTACAAGGCTCAGACATAAGGGTTCAGAAACAACCTCTTTCAGTGGTACTAAAACAGTTATTTATCTCCTGTGTGCCTTAATTTACCATCTGCAAAATAAAGTCAAAAAGATGTAAATAAATAGGGTGTATTATTAGAATTAATCAATGAAGTTTTGGAATGGGAGGCGAAAATATAAAAGCAACATCAGATCACATGACTATTATGAACAATAACATCATCAACATTTAATTCATAATTTTATCCATGAAACATTGACCCATGAGCTCTGGTTATTATTATTGATAATTAATAAGGACAAGTCATGAGGTTAATGAGGGTTTTTCATAGCTTCAAATCTTTACTGGGTAAAAGAAGGGAAAAGTTAATTCTTTTCTTTATACCAATGTAACTGATTTTGGGTTTGTTTTCTATTTGTGTGTTTCTTAATCTCTCCCTTAAAATTCTCTGGGGAGCACTTGGGATAATGGAGTAACTGAGTCAGTCTGCAAAAATGCATTTTAAAGTCCACAGTGGTGGCAGCTGCAACAGGTGGTAGTGAGAGAATGGCTTATCAGGGAAGTGTTGGTTCAACCCAAAACTTGGCTATTTTCTGAAATTAAGAGGAGGGTGCTTGAGAGGAAGATAACCCTCTATAAATGTGAGCCTAGGACTTAGGAAACTGCAAAAAGGTGCACTGAGCCATGAGCAGTCTGTGAGTTTAGCTAATCCTCCATGATCTGATCTGCAAAATGGAGGCCATGGCCTTTGTTCAGCTTGCAAGGCTGTTTTGAAGACCAAGTGATGTAATATACATGAATGTCCTCTTGGTCATTACCTGAGTTTGCAAAGTCGGCCAGAAAAAGAAAGCAAGTAATTTGAATATTAGACATACATACAAATTGTATGCTTTATTAAAAGATTCATAATTAGTGAATTATAAAGTCAGAAAAATGATCTAAGTCTTATATTTGGAACTTAGTGCCCCAAAGTGATATCGATTTTGCCTGAAAAGTCATGCCACTCAGCCAAGATATCATCCAGGTCCTATGTAATCTACCTGGAAACACGTGAGCTACTCAACAGAGATCACCACCCCCTCCAGAGCAGGAGAAATTTGGATACCTTGGTGACTTATTGGAAGGTTGTTAGTGAATTCATTTTTTGATTATACTTTGACTAGAGAGGTGGCCCCAGTTCTACATCTTATTCAGTTCTAAATTTAGCATCATCTACACAATATAATAATACCAAATAGCATTTTGAATACTTAGAATAAATAGTTGTTGTTGTTGTTGTTGTTTGAGACAGAATTTCACTCTGTCTTCCAGGCTGGAGTGGTGCAGTGGTGTGATCTTGGCTCACTGCAACCTCTGCTTCCTGGGTTCAAGCAATTCTCCTGCCTCAGCCTCCCAAGTAGCTGGGATTACAGGCGTGTGCCACGGTGCCCGGCTAATTTTTTTTTTTTTTTTTTTTTTGTATTTTTAGTAGAGACAGTGTTTTGCCATGTTGGCCAGGCTGGTCTTGAACCCCTGACCTCAAGTGATCCACCTCAGCCTCTCAAAGTGCTGGGATTACAGGCATGAGCCACCACACCTAGCCTTGATAAATAGTTTCAAAATTAGAAACTTGAAGAGCTAATGCCAAAATAGCCACCATTCTTCACTCTTCCCTGTACCTAGACCCTTTGCAAAACCACTTGGCTGTCTTTTCCATCAAGCAAGGGAGTTTGTTCCTCTATCTCTTGAATGTGGCCTTGCAATTTACATTGGCTAAGAGAATATGATGGAAATGGCAATGCCACTGGTTCTGAGTTTGGGCCTCATGAGTGCTTCTGCTCACTTCCATGGGAACCCAGTCATTGCTATGTCAAAAGCCCTGTGTAGCCTTCTGGAAAATCAGACAATGTATAGAGGAGAGTACAGATGAGTCCATTCAAGAGAAATTTGCAGTCAACAGAGTTGACTGACTGATGCACAGCTGACTCCAGATACACAATGAAGGCAAACTGAGACAGGAGGAGTCATTCTGCTGATACACAAACTCAAGAGTAATAACGTGTGTTGTTTTAGGCAATTACCTTTGAGGTGGTTTGTTAGGCAGCATTTGCTAACTTGTATAAATATACAATGAAGATCTTCAAATATAGCAATTTTTCTTGTGACTTTATGAAAGAAAGTTTTTAAAAAACTCACCCAGCATGAGTTTATCAATAATAAAGTTTTTAACCAATATCTACTTATAGTGGTTTAAAAATAATTATGGTAAAATGTCTAATTTTAGTTTCAGTAGATGGTCATTCCATGGCCTTTTACATTCCATGTCTTAATGAATCAATGAGATGAACAAACAGGTCATTCCATGGCCTCTTACATTCAACTTTATAGATGGTCGAAACAAAAAATTCTTTTTGAGCACCTCACCTGTTCTGTCATATGTGCTGCTAGGTGCTGGGATGTAAAATCAATGAAGACGTACCTGACATTTCAACTTTAGTGAATTATTCTCTGGAAATCTGCTTTCAAATACCCCAGAAATTAATTATTTTAAGCTGGTCTCAATAACCAATACAAATGGAATTCATTGAATATTTTCACTAAACTTTCTCCCCTTCACTAATGATTACTTTTCTTATTTGAAAAGCAGAAGGGCCAAGGTCTTGTCCATCTCTCTAGTAATTGACATGGGTAGATTTCTTCATCTTTCCCAGATAGGATATGACTAATACAATAAGTGATAACAGTGATTTTACTCAAAGCAATGATATTCTAATGGTAAAAATCTTGAACATTGGATTTCGTCTCTGACATGTAGGCAGCTTAGAAATGATCACTTTCATCCTAACAACAAGAAAAAGCTGGGCAAACTAAAAATCAATGACTTTTCTTGCGTCCATTAGAGAAGTAAGGTTGTAGGCTAAACTGCACACTGAAATCTGTAGAAGACTCATCCAGAAAGACCCAGCTTACCTGGAGGAAAAGCTGCTGGAGGCATACATTGATAGAAATATTGAAATTATAATTTTGAAGAACTGCTGGTGGATGAGTATGAACAAGCATGGGAGTGAGAAATGCCTGGGGGCCTCAGACTAAGGGGGACCCTTATACTTTTGTGGGCTTTACAATAAACCTGCCAGGTCATTTGCGAAATGAAGGCCTCTACTGGGAACTCTACTAGGTTTTCAAGTTGAAGATCTGTAGAAGAGCCCCTTGTGTCTCTGGCAGGTAGATGTGAAGTGAAGAGTAATCATGAAATCCTCCCAGAGCCTCTTCATACAAAGGCACATACTCCAGGCAGAAACACTGCCATGACCTTATTCCAGTTGGAAGAAGGAAAATTCTATTACTCCAGCCCCTATAGTATAACTTTCACCTAAGCCAAGGTGGGATCAGTAGGGGTTTGGGGTTTAAGGACATTGGGAATGCTTCAGCCAGGAAAGAGAGTAGGTGACAAGTAGAAAAATGATTTTTGTAGTACAGAGGAGTCACCCAATTACAGTGCTAAGACACAACCTCAGGAAAACATTGAGATTTTGTGAGAATTTTACAGACAAAGAGTGAACCTTGATGTATGTAAATTTAAAAATGAAAATTTAGGAGTTGAGAGAAGCTCAGGATAGAATGCATGTGTAACAATGCATTTATGTAATAAATATACAAAATGACCTCACTGAAGAGGGTGGGGAAAAATGAAGCTAACTTAAGTAACTTTGGAAATGATTGGCGTCTGGAAGTCTAAAGGCAAAGAAACTGTACATAAGTACTGTACTTTTGTTGAAAAAGCTGTTTCTCATGGAGGTACAGGTTAACAATTCTAAAACCACTACATGTGTATGCTGGAATTGAATAATTAAGTAAATGGATGGCAGATGGCGGGAGCCAGGTTTCTCACTGCTGGAGGGGAAGGTTGCAAATAAACAAGGAGAGGAAGCTAGAATGGTCCATGTGGTAATGGATTAGAGTTGAAGACATCAATATGAGCTCGTGTTTTGCTTAACATAGACACAGATGATTAAATACAGAACTATATATAGGTATGTGTACATAAATGGGTTAGTACACAGACATACAGTTCCTTACTCTGTCAGCTGGGTGACTTTACAACCAATGACACCCTAATAACCAGTAGTAACAAGCATACCCAGTGTCTGTATCTTGGTTTCTAACGCCATTCTCCAGTGGTACTTGGAGAACGGTATTGGAATTTCAAAGGTTACTTCGAAAAATGTCTAAGACTGGTGCAGGAAATATACAGGGTAAACCCAGAGTATCTCATAGTACCAGAAAGTATACCACTTTAGAAAAAACACACACACTGTAATGGGGATGTCAAAGGGATGCAGGAACTAATTGCAAGAGCTCTCAATGGTCAATGCTGGAACAATTTGAGCAACGCAAGAGAGTTTATGTAGCATTGGATTCTAATCAAAAGTATAAAATAAATATTCCATGAATCCATATTGACTTAAATCAATGCTGGGGTAGATAAATGAATGGGGGAATATAGACAAATGTCCCATGCAGAAGAATTTTAAATAATTTATATATATATACACACATTCTGTTCTCAAGAAGTTAGAGCCTAACTCCCTCTGTTCCATAGATGTTGGCTATGCATAATGACTTTCTTCCAAAGATTCTAGTATGAAAAGGAGGGGAAAAAAAGAGTAACTTTAGTGGGAAAACATGAAAAACACCATCTTCGCCATGTGATCAAGCTGGACATTATCAGTAATGTCATGTTGAGTGATCAAGCTGGACATTATCAGTAATGTAATATTGAAAGTATGTCCCCTTGATATGAGATGATGAAAATGACACTTTACCTCTGTGATCGTCCTCCCCCAAACCCATAACTCCAGTCTAATTGTGAGAAAAAAACATAACGCAAATCCCAGTTGAGTGACATTCTATTAAAACTGTCAAGGTAATCAAAAACAAGGAAAATCTGAGAAAATGTCTCAGTGAAGCCTAAGGGGACCTGATGAATAAATGTAATGTAGGAGGCTGAAACACAAAAAGCATGTTAGGTAAAAACTAATACAATTTGAATAGTGTGTGTGTGTGTGTGTGTGTGTGTGTGTGTGTGTGTGTTAATGAGTAATAGCATCTTAACATTATTTCATGAATTGTGACATACTAATGTAAAATGTTAATAATAGAGCAACTTGGGTGCGAGTGATATGGAAACTCTGTACTATCTTCACAATTTTTCTGTAAATCTGAAAGTATTCTAAAATGTAAAACATTTATTAAAAAATACTGGGCACTGCAGCAAGCTTGGTGAGAAGAATATTTTTAGGCAGGAGAAGAAGCCAAGGAAATCAGCATAGTGTAAGGATACCGGGCTTTGGAGCTTAACAGAACTGGGTTTCAAGATAAACTCTGCTATGTTTTGAATGTGTGCTGCTAAGCATCCAATCTAACCTGTTTTCCCACGTTAAATAAGTATTATGTGACAATTATAGTTGAATTGCTTTAGGTATGTGGTACATAGTATGTGCTTTGTAGCTGGTACTACCATCATCATTATGACATGAACCTTCTTGGTTTAGATGTCTATTCTGCTTATCAATATCCACAGGATAGTTGTCTGTAGCATATGTGGATGACTATTGCTTTCAGATGGGACTTCTTGTATTCAACCCAAATCTATCTTGTTATCCAAGCATGTCCACTCTTGGGGAGACAGAAAGCAGATGCTCCCCTTTCTCTGAGCAGATGCCAAGTATTTAGTCAGATTTTTCTGCAGACTCAGCACTTCTTCTCTACCTTTGTGTATAAAGTGGTCTTTTTATTATTGCAACTAAGGAGACTGCTGGCTGGAATGATTATTATGCATGTTATAAATAAGTGTTAATGATTTTTTCAGTTTACAAAACCACAGATATTCATTATGGAACACTGACAACATGCTAATAATAATAAAAAAGAAATAAAAATCACCTACAATACCACTGGTCATATGGTTTTATTATCTACTTTGAAAAACCAATATATCTATATAGTGAACATGCAGTCATGTTTGTGTTCCTAAATATTATCACCCAAGCAATTTTTAATTGCTGCACAGAATTTCACATATAACTGTGCCATAGCTTTATTCGTTCATTTGCCTACTTTGGGGTGCTTGGGAGAGCTGCCTTTTGATATTATAAATACCTTGGTGGCGAATATTCTTGTAAATTTTTACCTATGCTTTAAAATATGTCCTTGGGAATAGTGTGTTATTTGTCATTGTCGCATGGGCTGATGGGTACCATGAAGAAGCAAATTTCCATGGCCCTAAAATCAGTGCTGTGCTTAGGCCAGAGGAAGTGTGAGGAGGAGGGGTGGGAAAGAGGAAGATCAAAATGAATACTTGAGTGATTCAATAAAAATAAAACAAAACTTGTATTTATGCTAGACTAGATTTTGAGTCTCACTTAGTATCTAGCCCACAGCCTTATTCTACTGGCAAAGATTCCACTCTGGTACCTGCACCTATAGGGGCAGATGCCCTTTGTAGCTAGATATGCTTGGATAAGTATCTCAATTATGCCACACGCTGGCAGCATGACTCATAGCTCCAAGTCTCATCGTATTCATCTGTAAAATGGGCGTAGTCTTGTAAGAACTCAAAGAGAGAATACAGGTAAAGAGCCCCTACTGGCCCCCCATCATACCTAACAAAGGATCCCATTCACCTGAGTGATGTTTGAATTTTTCCACAGCCCCACAGCTGGGCATTTTTTCCCCTGAGCTTTCATCAATTTACAATATCTAGAGAATATTTTCCTTCTGAGAAAAGCAAAAAGATATTTTTCTCCCTCTTCTCCTGTCTGCATCCTCACAGCCCCAAGCCCTTCTGAGACTCCTATGATCACAAAATCATTTCCATTATAATCAGGGCTAGGAAGAATATCTGCCCCTGAGAAACAGGGTTTTAATTCAGCCAGGGTCCCTGGATGCCTCGGTGTCCAAAATATGTTACTCACATTTCCTTAGCAAATACATGGGTAAAAAGAAGAGGCAAAATCCTACATAGGGTATAAATCTAATAAACCCTAGAGAATTCCACTCTTGCTTTTTTTCCCCTTCATTTTCTTTTGTGAGTCACGCAATTCGAGATAGCCTCAACTTCATATCAGAAGGAGCCTGAAGAAAACAATATAAGCTGGGTAGCCAGGCATATCAGGGTTTCAATCAGTGGCTCTGGCTCTGCTACTTACTGGCTTGTGATCTCAGGCAAGTTAATTCATTTTTCTGCATCTCGGTTCCTTCATGTGCACACTAAGGATAATAACAGCTGGTTGATAATGATTTCATGATTAATAGGAAATGCAGAGTCTAGTGCCTGAGACATTGCAGCATTGCCCCATTTGCTGGTTCTTTTACCCATCCCAAACTTTCCTTACTACACCTCTATTAAAGTTACTGTAAGAAGAATACAAAATTACTCAACAGTAAATCCCTCCATTGTGTCTTCAGAGTGCTTTGATAATAACGGTTGCCCAAAAACCCTACTACAGGCGCCCGCCACCGCACCTGGCTAATTTTTTTTTTTTTTTGTATTTTTAGTAGAGACAGGGTTTCACCGTGTTAGCCAGGATGGTCTCGATCTCCTGACCTCTTGATCCGCCCACCTCGGCCTCCCAAAGTGCTGGGATTACAGGCGTGAGCCACCCATCCGGCCTAACGAGACTTATTTTTACTCAACTAGATGGCGTTCATTCATTTGCTTACTCAGCTGTGCCAGGAATTAAGTTGGGCACTGGGAATTCCAAAACCAACAAGACATTCTCTGTCATCAGGGAACTCACAGCCTAGTATGAGAGATAAACAAATGAACATGAAATTATAATTCAGTAACAAAGAATGAGTGTTATGGCAGAGGGAATGTGTAAGAGCTTGGCAGGGTATCCAGCAGGGATACCTAACTAAGCCCCACTGGGGAAGGCATCCGAACAGAGGGGACAGCTGAGCTGAGTTCAATGAGCCAGTAGGAATTAGGTTGATATAAGTCAAATCATTTAGTGTTTATGACAACTCTGAAAAATAAGTATTTCCATTTTACAGATGTGAAGCCTAAGTCTCAAAGAGTTATCCAACATCATCCAGAAGTGTGGGGACCCCACAATATCCAAGGGAACCTGGCCCCAAAACTCATGATCTTTCCCCTTTACTGTGCTGCCTCTTCAAGACTGAGAATCTGTCCTTGATGGGATTTGTTCAGGTACCATGTCAGGATGACTGTCTACGTAATGGAAGCCCTGTCGCCAGCTTTTCAGCTTCCTTTCAAATTCCCCCAACTCCTTCTTTTTTCACGCAGCAACTTGTCTCTTTCCATGGAAATGCTGGGGATTTAAAGAAGGCGGGGACTCAGCTTTGCTTCCACTGCGCAGCCCCAGATACAGGCTGCAGGAGTCCCAGCCACCTCCCTCTCATCATGCTTTCTTCCAGGGACAGAGTTATGGCCCCTAGGAGAGGTTTTGTTCCACCGGAACAGTCAGTTACTAATGAGCTCATGCTGCTTTTCCACCCCTGGGTCCCCAGCCATCCTCCAACCCTGATCTCCTAGGTCACCTTCATCTGGCAGCTGGAGACTGGTGGGAGTGTGTGTACATGTGGTGCTTAGCCTAGACGCTTCAGCATGCCCGTAGATTTCCCATGAATTCACTGGGTATGAGCCAGCCCCAAAGGAGAGGGCTTTAGCCTCTTGGACCACTGCCCAAAACAGACAAGCCTAGCCTCAGTACCTCAGGCCCTGTGGTTCCCTCTCTTCTGGGGAAAAGCCAATTTCTGATGGGCCACTAAGCTCTGGTCTTTTTCTGCCAGAATCCCAGGACCCTCTGCTAATCCGGTTCCTATTGCACAGATGATTGCATAATACCACAGGAATTCAAATGGGGAACATCAATATCATAGGAGTGAGCACTTACTGGGAACTTACAAGATACTCTTATATACTTTATTTGGGTGACTGTATGTGCTGCTTGCAATAACCCATAAGGTAGATACAATTATTATCTCTGTTTTATAGTAAGAAAATTAAAGCTTATGGGGGTATGTAATTTGCCCATCTTCCTACAATTGAAAGTGATAGGGACAGGATATTACCCTAGGAGCCTGACTTCAGAGCCTGTGACCCTAATGACCAACATGCAGGGAGAGAAGCTGTTGTTTGAGCACCCACTGTGTGCCAGGCACTGGGCTGAACACTGTGCATGGATTAACTTAGTGACTCCTGCCAACTAGCCTCTGAAGTATGTACTATTATTATCCCTATCTTACAGAAGAGAAAACTGAGATTTAGAGAAGTTACGAGATTTTCTGGGTCACACAGTGAGCAAGTTGCAGATCGGGATTAAAGTCCCAGACAGTTGAACTTCTGAGTACGCTTCCCTTGGCACCATGTTATACCATCTGTGCTGGGCTGAATAGTGTCCCCCCAAAATTGAATAATGTCCCCCCAAAATTCGTGTATACCCTGAACATTAGAATGTGATCTTACTTGGTATTACTTGGTATAGGGTGTTGTAGAAATAATCAAATAAAGATGAGGTCATACTGCATCAGGGTAGACCCTAAATTCAATGACCAGGATTTTTATAAGTGAAAGGAGAGGCGGATTCAGAGAAAAAGACACAGACACACACAGAGAGAAGACAGCCATGTGAAGACACAAGCATAAATTGAAGTGACACAGCTACAAGCCAAGGAATGCCAAAAATTGCTGGTAACCACCAGAAGTAGGAAGAGGCAAAGGGGAATTTTTTTCCAGAGACCTTGGCGGGAGCATGGCCATGCCAACAACTTGATATCAGACTTGTAATCCCTACATCTATGACAGAATAAATTTGTGTTATTTTAAGCCACTAAGTATGTGCTAATTTCTTATGGCAACCCTAGGACATTGATGTGCCATTGGAGTAGCCTGTTACCACTTTGAGAACAGGAAGCTCACTTTGATGCTCCCTATAAGATTTTTTTTTGGCTCCAAGAAATATGATTCCATTAATCTTAATTAAACAAAAAGAGGGCCCTGGAGATCCTGAGATGAACAATTATGGGAAGCCACGGCCATCGATGGGGTCAAGCAGCATGAATCCCTCCATCATGACATTGGGTTCTCTGGAACAGGGGAGAAGGGCCTGAGTTTTCCAGCAAGGTGGCATTGGACGAATCCATTAATCTTTTAGACTCAGTGTTCATATCTATAAAAGGGGGATAATTCTATCCTTGCAATGGCAAAGGCTGAATAAAGTAGTGGATATACCATGCTTCACACATAGCAGAGCAAAATATATGCATTAGACTTCCACCCCCATTCTCAGGGGAGTTCCTTTGAAAGTGGTGGTATTTTTGGAAAGATGTTCCCAATAGGTGAGGGGCCAAGGCTCTTTGGGCTTTAGGGCAGATCCGTTGGGTTCTATGGGGATGTTTGTTCAACAGACCTGTGCTTGTGCTGGAGGGGTGTTAGTGAGGATTCTGCAGATCAATGTAGCCAAACATTTACTGACCCTTCACTATGTCCTGGGCACAGGGCTAGGGGCCATAGTAGGAGAGGAAACCCCCAAAAGCTGTGTGCCAGATTGGGTTTGCTTGCTCTGCGGTGGAGTTTAGCTGTACCTTTCTATATTTAGATTCTATCTTTGTCAAGCAAGATGACTTGTTTGACAGGGCTCTGGTTTTTCATCTCTGAAAAGCTACTCATCCACAGAGCTTGGGATTGAGGGGAGAGGAAAGGGGGAGGAGATCTGGCTTCTCTCCCCAACTCTGAACAGATGGGATCAGAATAGGGCCCTTCTACATCCCTAGCCAAGATGCCTGGGCCTTGGCAGTTGTCCCAGGACATAGACAATGGGGTCTGATGGCAGCTTCTCAGACCTGGCTTTCCCTGGGCAAGAGGCTTTTCCTGAGGCTGGCAATGCCATTTCTTCAGACTCAGAAAAGGGATTTAGGGAGAGGGAAATGGGGACTGCAATGAGGCAACTCTTGACAGCTTACCCTGGAAAACTAGGACACAGCTTGTGGGAGCCCAGCCCAGCAGCTCTGCCATCTGACCCTTCTTCTGCCTCTGCCAGGACTACTGTCCTGGAAGACAGGCAGAAATGGCCCAGGGACACTGGTCTCCTGGGTGCTGAAAAGAGAGACCAGGGTCTGGGAAAAGGGGTGAGGAGTGAGGGGAGAAGGGACAGGTTGCTGGGATGGTGCAGGTAGCTAATCTGGTATTTCTCTTTTTGGTGAAGCAGGGCTTTGGGGATAGGCAGGAGCAGGTAGCTTCTGAGCACAGCCACCATAGAAAAGATTTAACATTAGGTAGGGGAAGAAGTTTATGTGCTCATACATCTTAGATACAGACTTAAAAAAATGAAGGGATCAGATCCTAAAGAGGCTTTCAGAGGTGCTTGAGCCCAGACTCCGGCCTTCAGAAAGATGAATTTCAAAACCACCCAGGGAGGATCACTGAACGACAATCCCTCCATTCATCTCCTGTTGACTCCATAATCGAAGCCACTTTTATTCCCCATAAGCCCTCAGCTCCCGCCCTTTCTAAGTAGATGACTTACCCTGTTCTTCATTGAAATTAAGTCCATCTGGCATGATCTCCCTTGACTTCTTTCCTCTCTTTTTGAACATGTGTTGATCCTCAGCCCAGCAGATTGTAAACTCCTCAAGGGCAGGTGCCCTGTTTTAATCCTTGTCTGTGTCCACATAATCAGGCATAAAAACAAGGGGAGGGGAAGAATAGAGAGGAAGAAGGAGGGAGGGACAGAGAGAAAAAGGGAAAGGGAGATAACGTAAATAGAGAAAAATGCAACAACATAATGGAGAAACACACAGAAAGAAAATCAGAAACAGAACCCCAAGGCATAAAAAAAAATCCCTGTTATGTGCTAGGCACAGTGTTACAGGGATGTTAAATGCATTTAGGAGGGGAAAGCAAACAACCAAATACGTCATTGAATTTTCTGTGCAAACTGCTAAGGGCAATAAATGTTGGTTGCCACCTATAAAACAACTCATAGATGAACACAGATAAAACCAGTAATTTTTCCTTTCCCTATACACACCTACTTGACCCCCTCCACATTGTAATAAATATCAACGATTAAGTGTGTTAGCTTTTACCTACCTGGTTTTTCTATATGCTTGTACAAACATTAAGTTTCTTTTTATTCTATTTCTTTTACAAAAAACAATATTCTACTGTAACCATTTACTCTGCATTTTGTCTTTTTCTCTAACACTATATCACAGACATCTTTTTTAGCCAATACACATAGATCTAACTAATTCATTTAATATGTAAGCTGCTCTCCATGAAAGATATATATCAGAATTATTCTACTATTGACAGACATCTAGGTTGTTTCCAGACCCTTTTTATGCTACAATAAACAATTATCTAATCAAAATATTTGACTATATATTTATGTATACTGGTGTTTTCATTTCTGTACACTGGTTTCCTTCAAGTAGGATTTCTGGGCTAAACAGATATAATTTTTAAGTTTTATTACATGCTGCCAGCTTAATTTCCAAAAATGCTGCAGCAATTTATTTCTCACTGGCAATATGAGAGAGTTTTATTTTCTTGTACCCTCATCAGCAACTAGGTGGAATTGATCTTTAGTTTTCATGCATTGGATGGGTGAAAATGTGAATTCATTTTTTCAATTTGCGTTTCTCTAAAACCTAGTGAAGTCTAATTCTACCTTAGGCTTGTATTGGCCACTGGGATTTTCTTTTCTGATTGTTTCTGTTTATATACTTCCCACTTCCCCACCATTTCTTGACCTGTACTGTGATGTTCCACTTTTTCTTATCAATTTGTAAGGGCTCATTATATATTATGTATTATGCATATATTAATTACTCTTTAGCATGATGATTTCCAAAACGAGTCAAGGGTCTCCAGCCAGGGGCCACAGAAAACTTAGAAGGGCACTGAGAGATACTTAACTTTTTAAATTTATGTTTTTTGAGACGGAGTCTCACTCTGTTGCCCAGGCTGGAGTGCAGTGGCGAGTTCCCAGCTCACTGCCACCTCTGCCTCCTGGATTCAAGCGATTCTTGTGCCTCAGCCTCCTGAGTAGCTGGGATTACAGGCATGCACCACCATGGCCAGATAATTTTTTATATTTTTAGTAAAGACGGGGTTTCACCATGTTGGCCAGGCTGGTCTCGAACTCCTGACTTCAGGTGATCTGCCCGCCTTGGCCTCCCAACATGCTGGGACTACAGGTGTGAGCCACCGCATCTGGCCAACACTATTGAGAAGATCTCAGTGACATTTCACATCTACCAGATACCCCCACAGCTATTGGGGCATTCACAGTCCATAGGTAGTTCACGGTCTCAACGTCAGATCATGTTACAATCCCTTCAATGATGTTATATATATGTGTGTAATGCTGGGCTTTACAAAGTTAGTGTATTAAAAAATTAAGTACTGTGCAAAGTTCAGTGTGGAATAGAAAACGGGAACTGTGCTGTCCAATCTGATTCCAAGTTTTGAGAAGTTGTGCTATGTCCACAGGTGCATACAGCCTGTGAGTAAATGATTGCATTGATTTAAGATAAAATAACATGATCTTTCTTTCAGATGATGTGTATTAAATGATAAGAAATACATATTTACTGAATTATTTGGACCAAAATATTCAAGAAAAGAAACTTTTTTTTTTTTTTTTTGCTGCCTAGGAGCAGTGTAAAAAAATTACTGAGGTACTATAGGTGCTTGAATCAAGCAAGTTCGGGGATATCTGCTTTGGAACAATCTAAGGAGTTGGTTGATGGCATCTCTATTTTGTGTCCTTTTCAGGAATGAAGAAACTGAAGCTTAGAGAGGTTGATTTGTTCAGATCAGAGAATTAGAAAGTGACAGAATTAGGATTTGAACCCAGGTCTCCCTTGCTCAAATCCTGAAATTTTCTCTCTCCAGAAATCTGATATGATTCACTCATTGATCCAAATTTTTAATGTGCTTGAAGCCTCAGAGAATTCTGAGAATTCTGAATTGCAACCTTTCAACGTTGCCTTCAATTTCCCTATTGATTATTCTCTCTCCTATATATTTAATCTCTTCCTCTCCACTATATATTTCTCTAGCTCATAAAAATGTTCAATTCTTATCTTAAAAGGAGCAGAGGGAAAATCCCTTGACTTTAATAATCTTTTAAGTCATTTTGCTACTACTCTCCTTTTTGCCACAAACTTCATAGTTTGCTATCTGCCCTTCCTCATCTCCAATTATGACTCCAACACTCATTGTAATCCAGCCTCCTATGCTCTGCTGAAATGGTTTTCACCAAGGCTAAGAAATAATTTTCTAATTATAAATTTCAAGGTTTCTTTTAGGATCCCCATACAACTTGCCCTTGTGTATACTAGAATTGCATGTACTAGATGCTCAATGCATGTTTAGGAACTAATTGGCTCTGCTTGTCTGTCCCCAGCAACTTTCCTCAATTCCAGGCCCATGTTAGTTTCTAGCTGCCTTGTGAGCATTGCTAACTGAATAAAGTTTGAAAAAGACTTGATTTGCTGTGTGAATAAATTTTCCTGACTGCCTCTGAACTCCACATGCCCAACCCTAAGTCCCCTCCTCCCCCATTGTATTGGTCAGGGATCTTCAGAGAAACAAAACCAATAGGATAGAAAGATAGATAAATAGGGGCAGTTGTGGTGACTCACGCCTGTAATCCCAGCACTTTGGGAGGCTGAGGCAGGCAGATCACTTGAGGTCAGGGGTTTGAGACTAGTCTGGCCAACATGGTGAAACCCCGTCTCTACTAAAAAAAAGAAAAATAAATGTAGCCATTCCAGCTACTTGGGAGGCTGAGGCAGGAAAATGGCTTGAACCTGGGAGGCAGAGGTTGTAGTGAGCCGAGATCACACCACTGCACTCCAGCCTTGGCGACACAAAGAAAGACTCCGAAAAATAAAAAAGAAAAAAGAGAGAGAGAGAGAGAGAGAGAGGATAGATAGAAAGACAGATAGGATAGACAGAAAAACAGGGATGGATGGATGGATGGATGGATAGATGGATAGATAGATAGATAGATAATGGAGATTCATTACAAGGAATTTTCTCAGGTGATTATAGAGGTTGAAAAATCTCAGTCTGTTATCTGTAAGACAGAAGCCCAGGTTAGCCTGAATTGCAGTTCCAGTCTAAACATGAAAGCCCAAGAACCAGGAGTGCTGATTTCTAAGGCAGGAGGAGATGGTTGTCCTAGTTCAGACAAAGAGAAAATTTGCTCTTCCTCCCCTTTTCGCTCTATCTAAGCCCTCAAGGGATTGGATGATGCCCACCCATGTTGGTGAGAGTGGTATTCTCTCATTGATTCAAATGCTAATCTCTTCCAGAAACACCATCACAGACACCCCCAGAAATAATATTTTATCAGCTATCTGGACAGGACATCCCTTAGCCCAGTTATGTAGACACATAAAATTAACCAACAACACTTGCTTCCCACTGTTTTTCCTTTTTTTGTGGTTTAGTAAAAATGCAGACCTTTAAATTTATCTAAAACTAGATTTGAATAATTCCCTATGGAAATTATTCAGTTTTTCAAATTATTAAATTATTCAATGGGAAAGTAATTTATTCTGAGCCTCCCTTTGTTAACCTCCAAAGTGAAATAAGAAGAAGTATATTTAATGGCTGTTTTAAGAATTAAATAACAGTGGTCATGGAAAATACCTAGCATATGGCTTGGTACTTAGCAGGATTGAAAATCTGAAGATAATGTAAGTTGCCATCACCATCACTGCCATCATTCTCATCAGCATTATGATCACTATCACCTTATGCCCCAAATAGACCTGCTTCTCCCTTTTCTATTGAAAAAAAAATGTGCTTTAGTGGAAAAAGTGGTGGATTTAGGGTCAGAAAAACATGCATTCAAAACCGAACCATAAATTTACTCTACAACTTTGGGCAAATAACTTTATGCCTCTGAGCCTCTGTTCCCTCCTCCACAAAAGGGGAACCTTATCAGTCACCCATAATGGAGTCACTAATGATGCACTAGCTGAGAAAGCACTTTATAAATTATACATTGCAACACAAATGTAAGTTCTAGCTTGCAGTTTATTATTGCAAGTAGTAGTCCATAGGGGCTACGATTCTCACAGGAGAAAAGTTCAAAGTTATCTTTGACATCAGCTTCCATCACATCAAAGGCACAATGTCCACTTTTCCATTCCTAACCTTGCTCACACTGGTCAGAGTACACTGGATCAGGAAGCACTTCCTTTGGTTTGCATTTACCCTGGACTTGGAATTCACATTTAACCCCCAGCAGGGCAAGAGATTTAGCCCCATGGGTGCTATCCCAGCATCTTTTCCTAACACCATATGCTGTTTACTTGCTTGATAAGGTTTTCTAACAAGGTGAGAATACTTTCTGACTATCTCCATATCTTAATGGAAAATTCTCCTTCAACTTTTCAGACACTTTATCTGTGATTAAATATTAACACTCCCAACCAGCATTTTTTTATTGGAAAGTGTAAAATATTACAAGTTGCTCTCCTGTTGTCTATTCATGTGACTTCCTGAAGCCAGCGGAAGATTGGGAAACTGATTAGAGATACACAGAACATTAAAAAGAGCTGGGAATGCAGAAGTTGGAGTGTGAGAAAGAAGAAAGAAGACCAGAATGCTGACACACCCTTTGATAACGGCAAGTGCTGGCTTGGAGCTGCTCTTTTTTATGCTTGGATTGGCAGATACTTCTTGCTGTTCTCAGATATCCTATCACCAACTGATGTGCCCCCTTGAGATTTATTGATATGAGTCACAAAACAGGGGACTAAAATGCAACTCTCAGGAGGATGTTGTAACCAGAATCTGTTTTTAATGCAAAATCTTTAACTCACCAACTTATCCATCTCCAGAAAAAGGTCTCCCTGTCCAAATGGCCTGCATCAGAACTCAGTGAAATGTAGAGGGCAGAGGAAGGAGTTCACTTTAACCGACAGCATTCACCATTTTTTTATGGTGGTATTCGTCTAAGTGACAAAGCCAGAAGGCAAACCTATACTTCTTTCTGACTTTTTATTGCGTTTCATCCCAGTGGGAACCAGCAGATGAGGGAGAACACACACACAAAAATCCTTCGAATGGTGAAATGTGCTTAAGACTTTTTTCAGAACGAGGGAGGAAAAAAGTGATCAACAAATATGATTCAAGTTTGTTATAGTTTGAAAAAAATGTTGAAGCTTGACTTCTGCAAATTCTACATGACTTGTGTGGATCCAGTTAGAAATGAAGGGACAAATGGAAGCAGCTGCTGTGGCTTGCATTTTGGCTTAATATAAGAGAAGTAAGCATATGGAACTGTGTAAAGAAGGAGTTAGCTTACAAGGTGGTGAGATCCCCATCACCAGAGGTATTCAAGTATAGGTCTAACAGCCATTTGGTGGAGGAGTCATAGAGATAATTTAAACATTGGAGAGGAAGTTGGGTGGATGGCCTCTAAAGACGTTTCTAGGCTTAGGAGTCTATGATTCTCTAAGGTGAATTCAAAGAAGAAAAAGTTCCTGTTGTCATTATCTAGTAAACCACATTGCAGAATTTAAAAAAAAATTGATTCTTTGAATGATGACTCAAAGTGCGATTCTGATAAAATTTTCTCTAATCATTCAACATTATTGAAATGAAGTTGATTTAATTGAACCTGTAAAAGAGATTGCATTTTCTAATCATACCTCATCTGTAGATGCTTATTATTCAAAGAAAGCCATATACAATTTCAAGCACCCTTCATTAAAATAATATATATAATCTTAGATGCCTTTCTCCCCTAGTGATTATTCTAAAGTGGCTCTGGTCTTTCTACCATTTCTCATGCATAGGAAATATTTTCTTTTTAGCACTGAACAAAGGTAAATTTGAAATAATTCATCAACAGCTACACCAGTAATAACTTGAACAATATCTTTGTATTTTGGAGGTAAATGCTAAAACTCAACATCTGGATGGAATTATGTGAAGGTTCCTAGAATTCATAGCAACATCAAGAATAATTCTGGGCTATATTTATTCTTTTTTTGTTTTGTTTTATTATTATACTTTAAGTTTTAGGGTACATGTGCACAACGTGCAGGTTTGTTACATATGTATACATGTGCCATGTTGGTGTGCTGCACCCATTAGCTCGTCATTTAGCACTAGGTATATCTCCTAATGCTATCCCTCCCCACTCCCCCCACCCCACAACAGTCCCCAGTGTGTGATGTTCCCCTTCCTGTGTCCATGTGTTCTCATTTTTCAATTCCCACCTATGAGTGAGAACATGCAGTGTTTGGTTTTATATCCTTGCGATAGTTTGCTGAGAATGATGGTTTCCAGTTTCATCCATGTCCCTACAAAGGACATGAACTCATCCTTTTTTATGGCTGCATAGTATTCCATGGTGTATAAGTGCCACATTTTCTTAATCCAGTCTATCATTGTTGGACATTTAGGTTGGTTCCAAGTCTTTGCTATTGTGAGTAGTGCTGCTATAAACATACGTGTGCATGTGTCTTTATAGCAGCATGATTTATAATCCTTTGGGTATATACCCAGTAATGGGATGGCTGGGTCAAATGGTATTTCTAGTTCTAGATCCCCGAGGAATCGCCACACTGACTTAATGGAAGAAGTTTGAGGGCGATTAAATTATATGTCTTAATCAGTCTGATTTAATATGACTAGTGGATAGAAAGAATTTTCATTTATTCACAAAAGACAACCATCTGAGCCAGTCAAGCTTATAATTAGTGAGAAATAACCCTCAGAAATTAGTGTGCATCTCATATGTGAAGAAGAGTTTACTCAAATAATACACAACCTATTTACCTTGAATTTTTCATTTCTTGTAAAATGTATTTTTATTTTAAGCCATTAAACTGTGTAATATTTGAATGAAAAAAAAAGAAGAAAAAGGGTTGCAGACATCAGTAGTGAAATTATAGCAATTTTCTTATCTCCTTTTGATCCAAATGGAAATGAGTTCTGATCACTTTACTGAGAGGGTATATATCCCATCCCATGATGGGAGGCTCTAATATTAATAATATTAATACTAACGACAAGCACTGTGACAATGGATAATTTAGATTTAGTTTTGGCTATGTGCCAAGCACTGTGTTAAGCATTTTCCAAGCAATATCTTCACTTCTCAGAATAACCCTATAAGGAAAAAACTGTAATTATTCCTATTTAGAGTTGAGGGAGCTGAAATTCAAATAAGTTGTATAAGGTCACTAGGACCTCCTTTATAGTTGGAAAAATTGTAGCCCAGAAAGTTAAATGAGTTATCCAAAGATTCAGCACATCTTTGAGGCAGAAGTATCAGAAAGGAGAAAAGGGCTTGGAGTTAGAAGACTGGAGCTCTTAAGTTCTAGGTATTTACTGTCAGTATACGTCCATCAGTGTGCTAGTTACATCATCTCATTTCATTGCACAACAACTTTGGAAGAGTGATATTATTTTTGTCTCCTTTTTATAGATAAGGAAACTGAAGATCAGATAAGTCAAGTAACTCCCCCAACATTGCACAGCAAAACAGAGGTAAAACACAACATTTTTAGGCTGATTGCCCTGTTAGTACACAGAAAACTTCTCTACTTTAGTCAGATCTCAGGAAAGTCACTCAACATCTTTTAGCCTTGGCTCTCTCATTTGTAAGCATCCCTGTTTCGTCAATTGTCCAGGGTTGTTAGAGATCCCAATAGTGCAGATAGAAGTATTTTGTGAATTAAGTGTAGTGTCCCTAATTATTACAAGCTCCTGGGTCTCCCAATTATAAAGCCTGGGGGAGTTCCTTACTTGCTACTGGATTTCTAGTCTCTGAAAGTGGTACCTGGAGGCCAGGGCCTAGAGTTTCTGAAAGTGGGACAGTGGTCCCAATGTGCCAGGACCACAGTGGGTAGGACCCTGTACCTGTGTATTAGTTTATTTTCACACTGCTATAAAGAATACCTGAGACTGGGTAATTGATGCAGGAAAGAGGTTTAATTGACTCATGATTTCACATGACTGGGAAGCCTCAGGAAACTACAGTTGTGGAGAAGGCAAAGGGGAAGCAAGCACCTTCTTCACAGGGTGGCAGGAGAGATAGATTGTGCAGGGGAAACTGCCACTTTTAAACCATCAGATCTCATGAGAACTCCCTCACTATCACAAGAGTAGCATGGGGGAAGCCGCCCCCATGATCCAATCACCTCCCATCAGGCCCCTTCCTTGACACGTGGGGATTACGATTCGAGATGAGATTTGGGTGGGGACACAGGGCCAAACCATATCAACCTGTAAGCAGGTGAGAGATGTTGGCCTCCTTGCCCAGTATTGTACTTGATGGATCTCAGAAAGCACAAAGTCAGAAGAAAACTTTTTTTTTTCTGGAGATGGGGTCTTGCTCTGTTGCCCAGGCTGGAGTGCAGTGGTGCAATCTTGGCTCACTGCAACCTCCGCCTCCCAGGTTCAAGCAATTATCCTGCCTCAGCCTCCCTAGTAGCTGGGATTATAGGTGTGCACCTCCACACCCGGCTATTTTTTTTTCTTTCCTTTTTTTTTTTTTTTTTTGATATTTTTAGTAGAGATGGGATTTCACAGTGTTGGCCAGGCTGGTCTTGAACTCCTGACCTCAAGTGATCTGCCCACCTCAGCCTCCCAAAGTGCTAGGAATACAGGCATGAACCACCGTGCCCAGCCTGAAAACATACTTTGAATGAGTTCGGCATAATGGGAACAAGGCCTCCCAACTTGTCGAGAGAGGGTTCTCTCTCACACAAGTGGTGGTGTCTCTTTGGCCTTGTTTGTACCTGAACACTATTTGTAGTGAAGCTTCTTCCAGTGCCTCTGCCTGGAAGGTGCTTCCACTTTGGCTTCTGCCCTGAAACCTCTTCTATATGCTTCTGGTTTGGAGGACAGAATCTATGTGCTAAGGTCCCTAAAGGTATGCCTTCTTTCCTCTCTGGCATTTGTAAACATTTTTCCTTAATACATTCAATATTAGATACATTATTCTCAAAATGTGGACTCTACTGAAAGGCCAAGTGGTTGAAGTTTTCAGAGGCCTTGCAATGGTCTGCAACACAGAGAGCCCTACGACTGGCAGTCAGAAGACCTCGCATTTTACTCCTGGCTCTGCCAGGGGAATTTATGTTCATTGAACAATTCCTTATCTACTGAGAAGATAGAAATGCAGTAACAGAAGTGCTTGCAAGAATGAAGCATGGAATGAAGAGCTCAGAGCAGGCACTTGATCCATCCTGGAGTAAAGGATTGCAGACAGTGAAGACTTCCTGGAAGAGGTGTGATGAAGCTGAAAATGGAAAGTCAAAGTTAGCAGGTGAACAGGTAGAGGAATGGCATTCGGTAGAGGGAACAGCGTGTTGAAAGACACAGACTGGCAGTGAAAAGGCCTGGTGCATTCAGTAACCAAACATCATTGGGTGTGGCTGGAGCATAGGGAATCTCAAAATATGGTGAGGCTGGAGCATGAAGAATCTTGTATTTTAGGTAGAGGAGTGTGCCTTTCTTTTAACATCAATGAGGAGTCATCAGAGAGCATCAATTCATCGGGGAATAGGAAAGGTGAATACCAAAAAGGCCACTCTGTCGGCCTTTTAACTGCAGAAAAGAATTCTGCAGTTTGAAGGGCAGATTGCAAGGGGCAGGACAGACTGAAACTAGCCAGGACTAGTGCATACATAATACCAGTAGAGGACAGATGAGGCCTAATTTAATGAAGGAGTGGGAAAGAAGATGAAGTAAGAATTTCAGGGTACAACTTGCTTCTTGGGGTTCATTTGTAAAATGTAGGTGTCCCTGTGGTCTAGACCCTCCATCTTTTCACTACTAAGTCTTCCTTCTGTGACTTTTCTCTCCATAGATTCCCAGTATTTCAAGAGGTTATGTCTACCAACTTACATTTATTTGAGGATAATTAGTTTTCCAATAAGTACCAATTTTAGTTGATATAATTCCCACCAAAAGCAATTAAAGTCTGATTTTATTGGGGAGATATATGATTCCCGTTAGCATTTTTGAAATATTGAAAAGAGTTCATGGACTGCCATTATGCCTTCTGGACTCTTCTTGCCAGAGTGGGTGAAGCAGAGAGTTTGGAAACCACTCGATCTATTTATCCATAATAAGATTCACCTCTGATATTTGAAGTCTAGGAAATAACTCTCTTCAATAAGGACTGTGTAAGTTGCAAATCACAGTATGCAAATCATTAGTGTGAGGGACTGTTATAACTCATGATTATGAAAATTCTCCCAAAATAATAGACCTCAAACGCGTGATGTGGTAAGATGGGAGCTACTATCATTTAACATACGAGAAACTGGAGGCTCAAAGAGGTTGAACATTTGGTTTGAAAACAGCAAATAAGCAGAAATCGCAGCAACTGCTTTCCCTGCTTGACTTCCTTGGGCACCTGCTGATTTTAAAGAATGTTTGAAGTCATGATCTCCCCACCTTCCAACCTTCCCATTTAGCAGAAAATGATTCATTCCTTGGTGTAAGGGAGGAAGGAATCAAATACTGAGGCTAATAAGAGACACAAAGGGGCCACGTGTGGTGGCTCACGCCCATAATTCCAGCACTTTGGTAGACCGAGGCGAGTGGATCACCTGAGGTCAGGAGTTTGAGACCAGCCTGGCCAACATGGCGAAACCCCATCTCCACTAAAAATACAAAAATTTGCTGGGCGTGGTGGTGCACATCTGTAATCCCAGTTACTCAGGAGACTGAGGCAGGAGAATCACTTGAACCCAGCAAATAGAGGTTGCAGTGAGTCTAGATGGCACCACTGCACTCCACCCTGGGTGACAGAGCGAGACTCAGTCTCCAAGAAAAAAAAAATAAAAGACGCAAAGGGAGCAAAGGGCATTGTGGGAATTTATCAGTGGAATTAACCTCAGGGGTGGGGAATAGAGGAGATTGCCTGCACCCAATCCCAGGGTAAGTGAGGAGTTGGGAGATGCTGCAGAGCAAGATCATGCATGGTTAGGGAAGGAGTTTCGACATCATTCAATTCAGCACCCTTGGGGGTGGAGACTGAAGACACGATTACAAAACCAGTAAGTGGCTGGGGTGAAATTAAAGCCCTCTACAAATCTGAAGTGCTTATGGAAGGAATAAATGGATTCTGACCTTAAATATCAAGGTGTACTTACCTACAACTTGTTTGAAATGGAAAAAGCACATTGTAGGCTAATAGATTTAATATGATTCTATTTATATATTAAAGAAATAGCAACTATGCCCCAGTTCCCTTCCCTGTCATTTTGGGTAGAAATAAAACCTGTCTAATAGCATTGCTGTAGAGATTAAGTGAGTTAATACACATAAATTTTTAGAACCGTGCTTGGCATATAGTATTATGAAAATGTGTGTTCTCATATTTATTACTATACTTGTTAATACACCTGTGACTGCATAGGATAGATATGATGGTTTATACAGCTAAGAGTAAACAGTGGCTATTTGTCCGAAGAAGTGGAATAGAGAGATTTATAAAGGTCCTTTTGGCCATAATCATTTGTATATTTTATTTTCTATGCTCATAGTGTTAATTTTTTATTTCTTTTTAGTGAGACAATATTCATGTACTACATAGTAAAAAAAATTGGGCTAAGACTTTGATCATATAACAAATACTTCTGAAAATGCAAAACAAACAAATGATATATTTTCACTTATTGTTTACCTATCTGTTCTTCAGCCCACTTGTACCTATTTGCCTATTTTGTTCTAGGCACTGTTCAAGCACTAGAGATACAGCAATGAACAAAACAGACAAGCCACCCTTGCTTTCCTGTGAAAGGTGTAGACACGGGAATAAACAAGGAGAATATTTACTATATTAGTTGGAGGTTGGTTCTGTGGGGAAAATAAAGCCAGAAGGGAAACAGGAAGGACAAAAGGAAGTAGTGTTTGAAGCTTAAATCAGATGGACAGGAAAGGCCTTGCTGAAAGGAGCCATCTGAGTAAAGAAGTGAAGAGAGGCAGGGAGCTACACAATTATTCAGAAGAGCATTCTATGCATTATTTCATTTAATCCTCTCAATAATCTAACTATAACCCTGGGAGATAAGTATTATTAGTGTCCTCATGTGCAGATGGGGAAATTGAAAGACTCAACTTAGTGTTTTCCTAATGCAATAGTGGCTCTCTTTCTCCTATACCTATCTTCTAAAAACGACTTGTCACTGAGTGTAGGGCAGCTTCAGGCAGCTCAAAGGCTGCTCAAAAGCTGTGAGTCTGGGGAATGAGTCTTCTAGCACCCCTCTTGAACTACCCTGCAATGTTAGAAAGTGTCACAGCATTTCTCCTTCATCCTCCCTCTGCTTCCCTCCTCCTTTTCCTTTCCTGAGCTTAGGTGGGACACAAAGATGCAAGCAGAACACTGCAACCATTGCAAACCTTCACACCAGCCTCCCTCACTAACTTTGGCTCATCCAATGTTCTTCTAACACACCGAGAAAAGAGTGGGTAACAGTGTGGAGATGTGACAAGTACATAGAATTTGGAGACAAAAGACCAGGCATCTTGCCTTCTGCATGAACATGGCCAACCCTCTCTGAATCTTGATTTCCAAAAATTAAAAAGGACTCACAGGTTTATGTTGCAGATCAAATTAGAAGCAAAGATAACTTACTAACAATAATGCACTATATAGATATTTAGATAATAGTAGATGGGCTAATACATGTTCTATTTGTAGAAGTTTAAACTGAAGCTTTAGGTCTGAACAAAAAAGATAAGCAAGAATGATGGAAATATGATCTCATTTAGGGATCCAAGTGCCCAGACTATAGGGCTACCATTTTGTTTTCTGAAACAAAATCCAATGATGTATGTAGAGAGAGAGAGAACAATAAATATTTTGTTTTTTAACTTTGAGGCAAAACTCAATAAATGTGGTTGTACATGGTTCCATGCCCGCTCCACTTTCCTCATCTAGGGAAGCACCTGTTATCATTGGAATTATTTTATAGCACTAGTCTTCTCTCATTTAATCGTGTACAGCTGCACAATAGCCAGAAGAAACTTTATAAAATATCCATCTAAATAGCCCCCCCCCATTGAGAACCCCTCCGTGGCTCCCTATTTCCCTCAAAAGAATTCTTAAACTCCCCAACATGGCTCAAAAAGCCTCTGATCAGGCCCTTGCCAACAACTCCAGACTCACCTCTTATCATCATTATTCTTCCCCATTTTTTTTTACGACCACCATAGTAAGCTCCAGCCAATCTGAGCCACTTGTGGTTTTCCCAATGTGTCATGTTCTTTCTCATCTGGATTTTTCCACATGACATCGATTTTGCACACAGACTGCACCCTCCCACCCCGTGCTGCTACACCACCCTAATTGTCCAACAAAAGCATCTGTCACCCTGGATCACAATTATTTGCAGTCAGTATCTCCAACCAGATCATAAGCTTTATGAGGATCATGCTCTCGTGTTCTATTTAATAACTATTTAATGTCCAAAACCTACCACAGTTTCTGCCATAAAGAAGATATCAGAAGTAGAAAATTAAATAACTACCATTTATGAGACTCTTTCTGTATAGTAGGTACTATGTTAAGCACTTGGCACAGTAAGCATTTAATTGTCATTTTAAGAGCATCAATCCTTCAGAAAGGACCCTGGCTAGTAAGGATCTGGATGCTCAGGAGTACCAGGCATCAACTCTTTAGTAGTTGGATCGTCCAGAGGTCCAGAGCATCCCAGGGGAGGAGGCTGGGGTGTCCAGGTATGTGCATGTGTGAATGTGTGTGTGTGTTTGTGTGTGTGTGTTTGTATGTGTGTGTGTGTGCTGCTGTTTACCAAAGAAACAGAATTATTTAACACAAATTTTAGCCAGCAAAGCTATATTTAGTGTGACCATCCAATTTATTGTCCAGACTGGGACATACGGAATTGAAAGAGGGCACTATTAGTAAAGTAAGTAAATCAGTGATTCAGAATCAAGTGATTCTGAAATGTTAGTATGCATCAGAATCACTTTGGAGAGCTTGTTAAAATACAAATTGCTGAGATCCACCGAAAGTTTCTGATTCAGCAGGTCTTGGGAGTGGCATGAGAATGTGCATTTCTGGCAGGATACCAAGTGATTCTGAGACAGAGAGAAAGAAAGAGAGGAGAGAGAGAGAGAGAGAGAGAGAGAGAGAACATACAAAGAATAACAACTACAAAGTCTAGAAAAAAATGTAGCAACCTAATTTCTCTGTGCCTTACTTACCTTTTTACACTTTCCAGCCTTAATTTTTTCAGTTGTAAAGCAGTTGTTATATTGTAATTTCCTTTATAGAAGGTAATATAGGATCAGTGATTCTCAAATTTTACTTCCTGCTAAATTTTAAAAAATGAAAATAAGCGATTCCTGGGAGAAGAATAACAGCTTCTGGGAGTAGATAATATTTCTAGCTTATTAATTTTAAAAAGTGAAAATAAGTGATTCATGGGAGAGGAATAACAGCTTCTGTGAGTAGATAACATTTCTAGCTTAAAGGCACTGAGAAGGTCTGCATAAAGAGATTTGCATAATTGAAAATCCAATTTTATTTTTTTCCATGAATGCTTTATAACTTTCTTCCCTAGAGCAGTCTTATTTTAAGAAACTAGATTTTCCTGGCACCCAATTTGGGAAATAACTCTGGTGCTGAAAGCATTTTGTAAAATGTAAATAGCCATTTAGGCCATAATAATACTAACATTCGAATGATGTTTTTGTAGTTCATAATAGACTTTAAAATTCAGATGATAATTTGATTATCTCAAAAACTTAAAAACCTGATCAAGAAGGAAGAATCAGCATGAAATCCAAGGTTTGGAAAAGTTGTTGAAGATCATCCCAAGGAGAAATGGCAGAAGCAAGATTTAGAAATTAGGTTTTCTGACTTCTTGACACCAGGATGCAGAAAAAAAGTAAGAAGATGGAAATTTTGATTCACAAAACAGCAGTCAAAGAGGCGTGTATGTTTATGTGGCAGAGAAGGGCATCCTGAGAAAGCAAGTTCCCTCACACCAAGCTTATGCCATGAGAAGTTATAAGATGTTGATCTAATATTAGCGAGGTAATGAGAAGAGGGAAAAGAAGACTGCTCTTAGTCAGAGCTCTGTGAGAGCCAGGGAGTGGGTTCTGGACTGATGACATTTGAATGATGTTCTGTAATTCGTTGGTAAATAGATGCTGATATTTTCTTTAATTGTCTGGAATGTGGCCCCAGGATTGTGCCTCTATCCTGCTCAAGCCAAACATGGGGTCCCAGCTGTGATCACAACATTGAGTCTTTTGATTTCTGGTCATTTCGTACAGACAACTGATTGTACCATTCAAGAGCTTGAGGAGACACGGTGACACCATCACATTGCTCAGTTGCTGCAGCTGATGCTCCATGCTATTGGGTTCCCCCTGGGCCCCTGATTTCTTCAGGAAGAGGAGATTGGGACAACATAGTAAGACAAAATGGAGGGAGAAATAGATAGATCACATGAGTGTCTGATCTGTGCTAGACTGATGCCTGGTTGGACCATTCAATATCATTCTACCTCTCTCACTTTAGAGATGGGAAAACTGAGACACAGAGAAGAAAAGTACTTGCCAGAGGTCTCATACAGAGTCTAAGGCGGAAAGAAGGCTAAGCTGGAACTGTCGGGGTCCCTGCATAGAGCTGTTTTAATGACACCCAACCTCTGTCTAAAATATTTATGGCCAATGATTTCCCAAATGTGTTTTCCAAGTACTTAAGGTTTTAAAGATAGCCTTGAAAGCTAAAAGAAAAGGAAGAGGAAGTAGAAGAAGGCACAGGGTATGTAGGGAGTGTTTGGGATCTGTAACCCTGTCACCATGCACACACTTCAACCAAAACAGCTCCTGTTTTGTATAGTGTGCTTTTGCATAAGATTTTGTTTGGTCAGAGTGTTCTGCTCCTCAAATGAAAGCTGAAAAACAATTGTTCCAGAAGAACTCATCGAAAAATCATTCTCCAACTTTGGATATGTTTGACTTTCTCACATAATGTGATGTTTATCTATCTAGTCAATGTGGACATGGATAACAGTTATCCTGACATTCCAAACTGGCCATTGGAAATGTAGGATTTTTCATTTATTCAACCATAATGGCCCTGCCCAGGGCAAAGAGTGTATAGCAGTGGGCAAAACAGGCCAAAAGCCTGGCTACAGAACTGGTGATTGTCTCCCTGATTTTGCCATAGATAACCATCCTTTTCAAAGGAGGAGTGACTTCTGAGCTTAGAAAGAGCTTCTACATCTCTTACCTCTGGAGAGACTCAGCAGAATGCCTGAGGCAGAGGGAGGAGGCGTTACTATGGCCATTTCCAAAGAAGGAGCTTACAGCACAGAACAGAAACAGGCAGAACTGAAGTCCCTATGTCATCTGAGAAATGATATCTGATTCTAGAGTCTAGCACATTTTCTCGAATATATATTTAGCTGACTGGATGCTCTGTGAACAACAGTGATAATAATGATGATGATTAATATATTTTACTAGTCAGGGTTCTTCAGAGAAAAAGAACTGATAGGATCTCTTTACCTCTATCTATCTATGTATCTATCTATCTATCTATCCATCCAACCATGTATCTATCTCATATTTATCTGTATCACCATTATTATGTATATATCTCCTATTGGATAGACATAGATATTTGCCCATGTCTATTCATTTCTCTCTCTCTCTCTCTTTCTGTCTCTCTCTCTCTCTCAATCTTTCTATCTATCTACTTACCTATCTACCTATCTAGAAGAATAGGAGTTAGGCAGAGTTCAAATCATAGACATTGCAAATATGATGGTAAAGGATTTGGACTGTGGGCATCTAGGAAAGGAATGTGTGAAACAGGGCTTATGCGATTTTCCTAGGGTTTTAGACAAGATTTATGAGGTTTAACAAATATCGTGAACATAATACTTTCTCCAAGCTCCCACCCTGCCCTTAGCACACATACTGGATTCTGATGGTCGTATACCTGTAGCGAAGCACTTAGCACCAATTCTTTCAACTGATCATTACCTCCATCCTCAGCACAAACAGGAAAAGACCACAACTGGAGCATGTTCATGGCTCAATCATCCTGGCCAAATAGAATAAGTCCCTTTTTTTTCAAGTGAGAACTCAGGCCCAGAGAAGGCAAGGGAGCTGTAAGGAAATTGAGATAGATGCTGAAAAAGCCAAGACAAAACCCAGGTCACTTCACACCAGAGGGTTTGCCCTCTGCTCTCTAGAAGGCATCTGACAATGTATGGAGATGTTTTTATTTGTCACAACTGGGGAAGAACTACTGGCCTCTCACAGAGGCTGAGGAGGTTGCTAAGCTTTCTGCAATGCACAGATCTCCTTAAAAAGAATTATTTGGCTCAAAACTTCTATCATGCTGAGCTTGAGAAACCTGGCTTTACATCATGCTTGGATCAAGCAATTGTTGAATGGGGTTCTTGCAAATGATCTGATTTCCTTACAGCTGAGTGAATCAAGGTTCAGCAAAAATGAGTGACTTCTCCAAAGTCACATGGTGAAATCAGGACACATGTCATGGCTTCACTAACTTCCATTTCAGTTCCAACATTAATGCTTCTCACTAGCCTGTGCATAAGTCAGGTACATAGTGTCTGATGGGGAAAGAAAACAGATGTTATCCCAAACTGGCCACAGGAAGTTGTCCTCTGGCAGAGTTGACCAAGGTCGTATAGTAGTCACTAACATCCTAATTAGAAGTGGGCGGGGGGGTGGGGCAACACCCAGATTCTAATGGAGCCAAAAATTATGGTTATAACACATAGACTTAATCCTCATGGGGTGCCTGTTCCTGTTTAGGAATTTTGTTAAGAATTGAGGATTTAGGCTGGGCATGGTGGCTCATGCCTATAACCCCAGCACTTTGGGAGGCTGAAGTGGGCAGATCATCTGAGGTCAGGAGTTCCAGACCAGCCTGGCCAACATGGTGAAACCCTGTTTCTACTAAAAATACAAAATATTAGCTGGGCATGGTGGTACAAGCCTATAATCCCAGCTACTTGAGAGGCCGAGGCAGGAAAATCGCTTGAATCCAGGAGGTGGAGGTTGTAGTGAGTGGAGATTGTGTCACTGAACTCGAGTGTGGGCGACAGAGAGAGACCCTGTCTCAGAAAAAAAAAAAAATTGGGGATTTAATAATGAATAGGACACTGTTGCTGCTCTCTTAGCACATACACATGCTAATAAATACACTCCCCACTCCCTAAACTTTGAGGATTCAATGATTGAAAACCTAGGCACTGGACCTAAATGAACTTATTTTATCACTTCTTTACCATGTACTAGTCAGTGGAACTTAGGCAAGTCACTTTACCTTGTTAAACTTCAGTTTTCTTATCTGTAAAATGAGGAAAATAATACCTACCTCATAGAATTGTGTTAATCATGGAATGAGGCAAACAACATAAAACATTTAACATACTGCTGGGAAAAGCAAGTAGAAATAAGAGCAATAGTCATTGTAATTGTTATAGACAGAAGCCTTGAATCCATGGCTTCCTTCTCCAACTCTCAGCTTAAGTGACCTTAGATAAGTAACGCTCCATTTCTGGGTCTCAGTAAAATGAAGGGATTGGGCTACCCTCTTGTGGGCTATGAATCTTACCTTCTCTCCTCTAAGTGACTCTTGGGTTCATCACTGTTCCCCTCTTCTGAAGGCTGACCATCTATTCCATCCACCCCATGCTAATGTAGCCCAGCCAAGGTAGAGATGGCTGAATCCCCGTGTTTCAGCAAAGTAAAGGAGATGACAAAACTTTGGTTTTAGGCAATCCAGCTAGGTTCCCAGGCTGCCCACTGGCTATCCCTGGCTGCTTAGAATACATATCAGTGCCAGCCTGCAGTGATCATGAACAAAGCCATTAGAGAAAAGATGGTAGTATTTTTATTTTTAACCAAATGACTCACTCCCCCTCCGGCTGTGAGCTGTCAAAGGCACAGGAAGGGAACAGAAGATGTTAGAAATGCAAGTTCATGATACTTTCACCCCCATTGGGAGCCAACCACAGGGGATGCCACACAATCTTGCTCAGCTTAATCAGGCCTAGAAAAAGGTGTTTAAACCAAAGAGACTGTCTCAGGGCTGTAACTTTAAGAAAAAGGAAAAGAAGAGCAATCACATGACCAGTAGGGGACAGTGGCAGAATTAGAACAATTACAACGACTAGAGATGAAGGAATGTGTTAATTAACATTAAGGGCTGAGAACTTCCTGGACTCTGATTTCCAGATGTTGGCTTAGATCAGGAGCTTTTAAGTTGTGCTTTGCAGAGTCCTAGAAGTTCCCTGGGAGCCTTTCATGGGGTCCATGTCTTCTCCTCTGCTTCAGCTGGATTGGCTCTCCTGTATCTATTTCACTTATTAAAGTCATAAGAATTTAATGTAATTATTGGGTCTTTATTATGTGCCAGGCATTGCACTAAACACTCAATAAGTGTGAAGTCATTTAACTTTATAACAATCTTATGAAATATTTACAATTACGATTGCTATTTTACACTTTATGAAATGAAGGCTTAATGCCAAGGTAAATCACTTGCCCTGAGTTAGAAGGCTAATAAGCAGCTTTGAACTAGAAATCAGACCTGTCTATCTGCAAAGCCCATTTTCTTAACTGCAACGCTACTATGGTTCCCCATGCTGGGTTTCCGTGTAAGCTTTTATTTTCAAAAAGTGCTCCATAGTTATTTTAAAAGGAATAAAATAAAAGTCTAAAAGTGACTGATTAGATGTTCTGAGATCCCTCCCAGCTCTAAATTTCTAAATTTTATGATTTATAGAAGAAAAAGCAGAGGCTGCGTTACAAAAACTGATGGTGAGGGACAATGGATGGGGTGTGAGTTAATAATAGCAGCTAATATCACAGCACTTAATAGGTCAAGTGATGCTCTAAACCCTTCATACACATTAACTTATTTAACCCTTGCACCAACCTTCTGTGGTCAGTGCTATCATTATTCCCATTTCTAGATAAGGAAATACAACACAAGAGGTTATAACTTTCAAGGTCACACAAATAGAGGGTAGCAGGCCAGGTTCCAGAGCCTGTATTCCTTGCTACTGTGCTCTGCTGAGATGACTTAGTCTGGGAGAAAACGATTTTCCTTAATATTGGCATTTAGTTTTCAACATCACACCAATGCAAATTTATGTAAATAGACACGCAGATCAGCTGCTATCCTGGCATTGGTGCCAGCTTCCCCTCAGGGACATTGATGCAACAAAATTTGGCCATTGTCACTGATTTGAGCTATCACAGTGGTAGACATTTCAATAATTCCCCACATTTCTTAGGCTTGGAAGACATAAATGAATGTATATTATATAGCTATGGGGCTATACATGCTGAACTTCTGCATCTTTTTCAGAGAAGTATCTCTAGAAAATATCCAATTGTGGATAGTTGGTATGCATCAAAAATGAGATAATGATACCTTGCTTCTGCCTATGACTGCATTTTCATACCCATTGCTGCATTTGGGCCTTGCCGCAGTCCTACAAAAAAGGAAAAGCAAAGGTGATCACTCCTCATACGTGGGAGACAGCAGGACAGAGGACGAAGGGGCTTGCTTAGGATTCTGCTGAAATTTGTTGGCTTGGTTTATCTTCCTATGACTCCTACCCTCTTCACTATTGATTTTTCCATACACTGCCATACTGCTTTCTTTGCTGGATGCAGAAAAGCTAGTGTACAGTTTACCCCATAGAAGTAAAGGGAAAGGAAACTGCCTCACCTGTCCCTTTATCTGCATTCACAGAAGATCAGCATTCAAGTACAATAGAGAGAAACTAGGTTTTGCTGAGTAACTACTATGTCTGGCAGAGTGTCTTGCGTTTTGGATAGGCTAACCATATAATTTATTGCCTTTTGAGAATGAAAGGGGTGCCGTTCACAATTACATCAGGACCACAAGCAAAAACTGAGACCATCCTGGGGAAATCAGGACGTGTGGTCACCCTTGCTGAAAAGCTAATATTCATTTCATATTCACCATAGTCCTCTAATGTAGGTGACTTTTCTCTTTGTTCTGAGTCTCTGAAAGGTAAATCATGCCCAGGGTCACATAGCAGATCTGTCTGTTCGATTCTAAAACCCTGGGTTAAGGCACACATCAGAGACGGGGACTCTTGACACTCCAGCCACACAAGAGCTGACCCTAGCGGTTGCTTGGCTGTCAAGCCTTTTCCTCCCCATCACATTCCCAGCCATCGTCCTTGGCCCGGGGAGCTTGGGTGGGGTGTGATGACTGTGCTGCCCCAGCAGAGGGCAGTGTTGCCATGCCTGCCAAGGCGGAGGGCTACAGGAAACGGGAGGGAGCCTGGGCTACGCAGGCCTGGTGGCCGGTGCCGCGTCCCTAAAACAGCCAGCCTTATAGGGCTGCCTCCAAACCAGCTGCTTTTCTGGCTCCCATCCCCTCAAGCCTCACCGTGGATAAACGTACTGTCCCCCTCACCTGTCTATTGGCTCCCATGATACAACACCTGAACAAATTGAAGAGCTCTGTGACACCTGGGGTGGAAAAAGACCCGGGGAGGGTTTCCAGATTGGAAACAGGAACTGTTGCCATTTTCTTGTTTGCTCAGAATTACTCCAGAGCTGGGAGTGCTGTTGACATATGTGTTACCACTTAATCTTTCATAAGAAATCCTTTTCATGGGGGAGCTGAGCTCTGGATCCGCGCCAGTTTAGATAATTACATTCCCCCAGAAGACTGAAGCTGTGACGGCTGCATTCTTTTTCTGCTAAGAGTTAGGAGTTTCAAGGGTACAGGTTGGGCAAGGGGGCTGGGAGTAGGGGTAGGTGACATCGTGGTCCTTAGGAAAACGATAACCGGGGTTTGGTGAGGAAAAGTTAACTTCAAAGTGTCACCCAGTAACAGTTTTTTTTTTTTTTCCTTCCCTTGGACTTCATTCAGTGTGAAATTCATTTGTAGTTTTTGTCTGTAACTAGAATTCAATTTTTGCTCTTTTAAAAGAAACCTGATTTACAGAGGGTGTGAAACAAAGCAGAAAATGATAAGAGGAGGGAAAAATAACAATTCAGATGGGAAAAAAAAAAGAGAAAGAAAAAAGTCCTTTTAACAATTTCTCTGATCTAAAGTGGTTGGGACAGCATTTTTATATTAAGTTCAGCATTTTGTCAGAAGGGGATGAGAGTGCCCTGTGATCCTCGAATGAAGTATTGCTGGTGATTTTATACCCTCCTGCTGGCATAGATCTTAATCAACCAGAAAACTTCAAAATGACAAACAAACAAAAGACAGCTTTGCTCTCTGAGGTTCATTAGCTCAGGCCAAGGTTGAGATGCATCAGGAGGAGAGGCACCAGAAATAGGCGAGCTTGAGAAGTCACTTTGTGGGTAATTCCACCACCCACTTCCTCCTGCCACCCCCCACCCAGGCCAGCTCTGCCTCCTCCAGTGACCAGAGGCTGGGTCACCGGAGTTGATGGTGAGAGGAGTGGAGGCCAATGGTGCAGCTGATGGGGCAGGAAGGAGGAAGGGACTCTCTGGTGTGCCGCCGCATTCAGAGCCTAAAGTTATTTGCCTCTGCTTTCAAGGATATCTGCTGGCATCATGAGAATCAGAGCAAATCCAGACCAAGCTTTATCTCCTCCTTCCCAGCCCAGTTCCTCTTCTTCTGCTCGTTTATTATGTTTAGAAGGCCCCCTGTCTCCTGGAGATCTGAATTGAAACCTCAGAGAGGCCGGACACAGTGGCTGATGCCTGTAATCCCAGCACTGGGAGGCTGAGGCAGGTGGATCACTTGAGGTCAGGAGTTCGAGACCAGCCTGGCCACCATGGTGAAACTCTGTCTCTACTAAAACTACAAAAATTAGCTGGGCATGGTAGTGCGTGCTTGTAATACCAGCTACTCAGGAGGCTGAGGCACGAGAATTGCTTGAACCCGGGAGGCGGAGTTTGCAGTGAGCTGAGATCCAGTGCGAGAACACAGTGAGACTCTATCTCAAAAAAAAAAAAAAAAAAAACCTCAGAGAAACATTCCTCCCCCTTTTCTGTGATCAGTTTTCACGTCCTATCAAAGCATCATCTAAATCTGTCTCTTTCTTGCACATCTCATCCTCTTTCATAGCTCCAGGTCTGGCCCTTGATATCTTCCTCCTCACTAGTTTCCCAGCTGTTCTCCCTACTTTCCTACTTACAACCACCAAATTAAACCTCATTAAACCGATTTCTGATAGTATAAATTCCTCCAAAACCCTTCACCAGCTCACTACCATGTGCAGGATCAAAGTCCTAGCTCCTTAGCTTGGTATTTGCGGCCCTTCATGATCTAACTCTTCCTTGTCTTTCAAGCTTCTGTTAGCATCCTAGGACTCTCCAATCCCTGCACTCCAGCAAAAAAGAGCCCCCAGCTACTCCTCAGCACCTTTTCCTCCATAGCTACTGTGTTTTCTCAGCTCATTGCACAGATTCTTCTAGTTCCCTTGGGTGATTCTCTTCAAATTCCCCCTACTTGTCATGCTTCAGCTTAAAGACCTCCTTCTCCTGACCAATATACTTCCTATCCCCCACACCTCTGCCCCAAACAAAAGTAAATCTTGTTTTTGGACTTTTACACTTGACTTGTAACACATATTTTGTAATGACCTAATATTTACTATTTTTATCCTAAGGTCTTTTCCCTCCCCTCTTAAAGATGCATTTTGTGAAGATGGGGAATCATCTTCATTCCACACACAGCTTAATTTGGCAGTTTTTGCATGGTAAGCTTTAAATGGCAATTTGCTGAACAGATTAATGAATACATTTAAGAATTCATGAATGAAAGAGTGAATCAATGCTTCATAGATGCATGAATAAATGACTTTGTGCATGGATGAATAAATGAATTCCTGTACTTATGCATTCAAATATATCTTGGGAGGCTACTATGCAAATTAATCTGGGAATAGATGAATGCTTGTATGCATAAATGAATAAAAACATGCATGTATGAATCTGCAAATGAATGACTGGATAGTTGGATTCCTGATTCTAGGGAATGTCTTTCACAGAGAAGTTGGCTATGATACTATCTTGTAGTATGTAAGATACTTATATACTACTGGTGGAATGTACTGTCATCAAGATTTCTTGACTAAGAGTTGGTTTTACTAATTAACAGACTTGAATATGTTCATATATTTAACAAAACAAATAATTTTTTCTCTTTACTGGCCCTTTGCGTGAGGCTGGTCCATCTTTGCACCATATTATTGAAATTGAGCATAAACTATAAAACTAATTCTAGGTGGCTTCTCAAGTCTTCTCCCTCTACACCTTGACTGGGCTTCCTAGTCAACTCTCACATCTGCATTATTTCTTGATTCCAGCATCCACTAGTTTTTAATGAGGGTGGCCTCTGAGAACTGCAGCCAAAGCACCCCACAGGGAATGATATTCTGATCACATTTGTACAAAAGTGCTTTGGTTATTTCCCTGAGAACGCAATAAATAATCAGTTCTTAAGTGTTTCCAAAAGAATGGCATTTTACCTATCTGCATCACATAGCGGCCAAAGTCTATGGCTTTTACTTTAATCCACAATAGAGATTATCTGCACTTTAAGTCCTTGTTAGAGTATTTGATTGTGAATCGAATGAGAGTCAGCACTTCTCAGAGGCTCGTTTACCCTATCTGATGTTTGATAGAGAAAGTCTAATAGACATGCTAACTATCCATTCATCTCCAGTTTTTACCTGAAAGGCAATACCTGAGTCACATTATCTAAGTCCATAGCAGAAATGCTTTCCCTGAGCTACGACTTAATATTTTTCTCTTTGCCTTTATAGAGGGTTGATAGAAAAACTGCCCAGTAGAAAAAAGCATGTATTTTTTAGAAACTGCGAATAAAGATTACTTCCACTATTTAATGCAATGGACCTCAAATTCTCTATATATGTGATACAATCTTAAAATTAAATAATGGGTTGTACCATGAAGCTAAGTAAGGAGTGTGTGATCTATGTTCTACCGTGATGTCCATGCCCAAATAAAAATATATGGCAGAATCAATGACTGATGTGGGCTATGTCTGACATAAATAAAACAGAGAGACTTAGGACCTGGGAACAGGCCTGGGTCACAAGGTATTTGTTGGACAGAATGAGAACTCAGAGGTCACTAATGCTTATTTGCCTGTTTACCTTACTTATCACCAGGTATCAAGGGCGGGAGTCCAAAGAGCATTCTACAATAGCCGTCTGCAAACTGTGGCCTATGAGCTGGCTGCCTGTATTATAAACACAATGGGACATTACTGGAACACGGCTATAAATTCATTTGTTTATGTATTGTTTGTGGCTGTTTTCACACTTCAATGACAGAGTTGAGTAGGTGCTATAGTGATCTTATGGCCTGCAAACCTCAAATATTTGCTATTTGGCCCTTTAAGTTTAACCTCAGCATCATGCAATATACCATGTAACAAACCTGCATGTGTACTCTCGAATCCAAAATAAAAGTTGGAAAGATAAGTTTGTCATTTCCGTATTGAGCCAGAGTTAAAAGACTTTAGTTAGAATCAAAGTTTGTTTGTGTTTAATAGTCTCTGTACCATCTGAGACTCAGTACCTTCAGCTGTAAAGCAGGATTCATAGTTTTGTCTATATTATAGGTTTTTGCAAGAATAAGAAAATATATGTATAAATGACTAGCATGGTGCCATAAAGAGCCACCATGCTACTTTCAAGTGAAGCCTTAGGGACCAGGACAAATGACATTTACTCCAGGTCCGGATACAGATAGGACCTCTTCCAAACAAAAGCCAGTGTTTCACTTTCTTAGCAGGAATGCCACCCCGAGAAAAATTTTCTCCAAAAGCCATGGCTTAGAGGAAGATGACTTTCCTGCCAGGGAGAAAAGGGTACCAACCGTGCTTTCCCTGTCAGCCTCCTTATTGCACAGGAACTAGACAGAGATAATCTCAGGTAAGAAAGGCACAATGCATTTCTCCCAGGGCCTCATATGTCAGGCATGATTTTAATTTCAGATAACTTCCAAACCAGATAAGAATTCTGTTGGTAGTGTGAGCAGATCTCCTGGTGCTGCCTGTATCCATGGCCAGCACCCTCCTTCCCCTACTCCAGCTCTTAACTAGGGGGGAACTCAGTGAGATGTAATTGTATGCAACCCTGCCTTCCCCTCTTGCCCTCTGACACTGGATTCACTAATGAGCATCACCCCTTGTGACCCACGTTTTCTCTAGTCTCTGAGTTAGGCCATTGTTCTTCATCCCTATGAGCAACTGATGGCAGGGATTGGTTCCCCATTGTATCCCCAGTGCCTAGTACAAGTATGTCCAACCCACTTAAACTGTTCAAATGAACCCGGGCCATCCATTGACACAAATGCAGAGGACAGAACCACAGCATTCGGTATATTTCAGAGACCCAGTAAATTCAATTCAAATTGAATTGAATTAAATTGGGTTTGGCTCTTTCTGGGGTGGTGGTGGTGATGATGATGATGATAGCAGAAGTGGTGGTGGTGGAATGATGGCAGCTACAATGAAGAGATCAGGGCAAGGTTTGGAAAAAATTAAAATATTTTAAGCCAGGAGTTGGGTAAATGCTCGGAGTCTATCCTGCTGCTTGTATACCTGGATGGCTCTTCACTGAGGTGACTGTATACACAAGGGAAATGATACATACGGGAGACAAAGCTCTTCTTTATTAATAATTTAACCAACACCCAATAACCTGTAATGATGAATTTTGGTAAAAGCCTACTTGGAATATGAGGCTTAGACATCTAAGCTGGTCTACTTAATCCTTTTCTGTAAATGAAAAGAGGCTGCATCTGCAAAGTAGGTTGTAACCTGAGTTACTCAGTTGTAGGCACAAGTGAAACGATCTAGGTATACAGACTTGCTTATCTTTCTCCAAGGAGGCAAAATGTACCCAGATATGCTTACCCCATAAGAGCAGGAAGTAACCCTGCCCACTGGTGAACATGGCAAATTCAATCTCTTGGAGGAACGACCAATCAAACTAGCTGCTAAAGGGACGGGCGAAAATAGAAGCATAAGATGTAGTAGAAATTTTTCTTTAAGATTTATCATGCTAGAATTATTAGCTAAGCATTTACAATCATATTTTTTCTTTAATCCTTACAACAATCCTAGGAGATAAAATTATTCTCCAGGTGAGGAGTTAGGCTCAGAGTAATTAAGTGACTTGCCTGAGGTTACACAATAAATGGTTGAGCTAGATTTTCAATCCCATGTCTACCTGACTTCAAATCAATGTCCCTTCTACTACACGCTTGCTATTCAAAATGCAATTCATGGACCAGCTGCTCAACCTCACCTGAAAGCATTTTAGGAGTGCAAGTGCCTGAGGCCCACCCCAAACTTACTGAATCAGGATCTGCATTTCAACGATAGCTGCAGGTGAATTGTCAATATATGGAAGTTAGAGGAGCACTCTGATACACAACACTGCCTAGCTCTTACTACTCTCTTTTCCCAGAGAGCAAAACCACTCACTGTGGTCCCACCATCAGTAGAAGGCTGACCTGGATTTGGGAACATCCCCAAGTGGCTAAATTAATGCTACCTGCTGGGATGGTACCCTAAGGCCTGCTAAACCATGTCTGAGCTTTCTGAGGCCACTGGGCACTTTGCATTGACTGGTCAGTTGTCCTTACTGAAGCCAATGTCCCCAAGCCTTAACTTCCTTTACTGTTGTTTAATCTGAGGCCATGAAATCTTAGCAGATGTGGGGCAGTTTCTGTCCAAATATGTCAATGTGTGGCCACCCTTGGCCATCTGAGGAGTAAATAATTTGTTATATTTATCCTTGAGGAAGAATGTACTGAAATGTATATAGAATTCTATGGAAATGAAGTTCCAGGATAACCTAAAAAGAAAGATTATTGTGAATTTAGGGACATTTATTTTCCTTTTTCAGTTTTGATATAGTTTTCTTATGTCTGTATGTAATTTCCTATGGCAGATTAAGATCCATAATGTTCCAAGATACTGTGATTCATGCATAAGAGAGATTTGAAATGAAATTTTATTGTTGACACTTACTGCTCAGGCACTTGATATTCTCTCACTATATCTTCAAAACAAGACTATGAGGATAGGAGAATTAGCTCCATTTTATAAATGAAGACAGTAAGCTCTGTCTCTGGTCACACAAACAAAGCCAGTTTTCAAGTGTATGCTGGCACCATTTCCAAGCTACATTTGTTTGAATTGCATGTTATTGGTAAAGGATGCTTAGAAATAAATAAGACACAGGATCCTAAAATGACCATTCCACTTGGAGATTTGAGGTGGGGGAAATTAATTTAACATTAAAGCCTTTAAAAGGAAACATGGTTATATGAAGGAGTAGAAAGCCAATGCTGAAATTTTGAATGAATTTAAGACAAACAGAAGGCACAACAAAAACATGGAGATTATGGATGGTTAACTCTGCATTTGTGTCCTGAAGCCCCGGGGATTTGCTTTCACTTTTACTGTTATTACAGTAGCAACAGCAGATGCAGCAGGAGCAACAGTAGGAACTGTGCTGAAAGCTACTGTGTTACTTATCTATTGCTGCATAACAAATCACCCGAAATTCAGTGGCTTAAAACAATACATATTTATTATTTCACTGTTTCTGTGGGTCATGAATCAGGACGTGAATCCTATATTTGGCAAAACTGTCCTTTAAAAACTGAGGGAGAAATTAAAACATTCCCAGATAAAAGCAAAACTGAGGGAGCTTGTGACCACTAGCCTGTCTCACAAGAAATGCTCACGAGAGTCCTGCAGGTTGAAACAAAACAACACTAAACAGTAACTTGAAGCCATATTCGGAAATAAAGATTCTAATAAAGGTAAATGAAGCTAGTATTATTGCAACAATGGCTTGTAACTTTACTTTTTATTTTCTACATGATTGAAGAGACCAATACCTTAAAAAAAGTTACTGGTCTAAAAACTAGTATGATTGTAGCTTTGGTTTGGAATTTCATATTTTATTTTCTGCATAATTTAAGAGACTAATGCATGTAAGAGGATTCTAAGTTTATGTTTAAAGATGTAATTTTTTGACATCAACTAAAAGGGGTGGGTATAGAGCTGTAAAGTAGCAGAGTTTTTGTGCGTTATTGAAGGAAAATTTCCAAAGTTAACACATTAAAATGTTATAACTTTAGGATGTTAAAGTAATCCCCGTGGTAACCACAGGACATGACTGGATGAGTCCTGTTCTTCAAGGTCTCAAACAGGCTGTGATCATGCTCTTGGCTGGGTCTGTAGTCTCATTTCAAGGATTGTCTGAAGAAGGATTCCCTTCTAGGATCACTTAGGGGTTAATATGATTTAGTTATTCATAGGCTATTAAACTAAAGGCTTCACTTCCTCACTAGCCACCCTCAGTTCCTTTTTTCTTTTTTAGCTTTAAGTTCAGAGATATATGTGCAGGTTTGTTACATAGGTAAGCTTGTGTCAAGGGGGTTTGTTGTACAGATTATTTCATCACTTAGGTATTAGGCCTAGTACCCATTAGTTATTTTTCATGATCTTCTCCCTCCTTCAACCCTTCACCCTCTAATAGGCCCCATTGTGTGTTGTTCCTCTCTATGTCTCCATGTGTTCTCATCATTTAGATCCCTCTTGTAAACAAGAACATGCAGTATTTGGTTTTCTGTTCCTGTGGTTAGTTTGCTAGCTCCACTGAGGTCCCTGAGAAGAACATGATCTCATTCTTTTTTTATGGCTGCATAGTATTCCATAGAATATATGTACCACATTTTCTTTATCCAGTCTATCACTGATGGGCATTTAGGTTGATTCCATGTCTTTGCTCTTGTGAATAGTGTTGGAATAAACATACACTTGCAAGTGTCTTTATAACAGAATTATTTATCTTCCTTTGAGTACATAGCCAGTATTGGGATTACTAGGTCAAATGGTATTTGTCTTTAGGTCTTTAAGGAATCACCAATCTTCCACAATGGTTGAATTAACTAACAATAGTATGTAAGCATTCCTTTTCCTCTACAATCTCACTAGCATCTGTTATTTTTTGACTTTCTAGCATAACCGTTCTGACTGGTGTGAGATGGTATCTCACTGTGGTTTTGTGTATCTGTAACGATCAGTGGTGTTGAGTTTTTCATAGAATTATTGGCTGCATGTGTGTCTTCTTTTGAAAAGTATCTTTTTATGTCTTTTGCCAACTTTTTTGTGGGGCTTAATTTAAAATTTTCCCAATTTAAATTTGTTTAAGTTCCTTATGGATGCTGGATATTAGACCTTTGTTGGATGCATAGTTAGCAAAAATGTTCTTCCATTATGTAGGTTATCTGTTTACTCTGTTGATAGTTTCTTCTGCTGTGGAGAATTTCTTTAGTTTGTTTTGACACTTTGAATGTATCACATACTGCCTTCTGGCCTCTAAAGTTTCTTATGAGAAATCTGCTGACAATCTTAGGAAGAATCCCTTGTACATGCTCATTTGCTTCTCTCTTGCTGCTTTCAAGATTCCCTCTTCGTTAAACACAGTTTTGACAGTCCATCATAATGTGTTTCATTGCACATCTTTGAGTTCATTGGGCTAGTTGGGAGTTTATATTTATGTTTTAAATCAAATTTAGAAAGTTTTCAGCCATTATTTCTTCAAGTGTTCTCTCTTCCCTTTTCTCTCTCTTCTTCTTTTGGAACACCTACCATGCACATATTGGTCTATTTAATGGTTTCCCACATGTCCCTTAGGCACTGTTCATTTCTCTTCAATCTTTTTTTTCTTTCAGACTCAATAATTCCCATTGTCCTATGTTCAAGCTCACAGATTATTTCTTCTGCTAGTTAAATATTCCTTTGAATTTCTCTTTTCATTTCAGTTACGTTCTTTTCAGTTCCTGAATTTCTTTTTGGTTCCTTTTGAGGTTTTCTTTTTATTGACATTTCTATGTTGTTCATACGTTGTTTTCTTGACTTTCTTCACATCTTTAATTCTTTGAGCATCTCCAAGACAGTTGTTTTAAAGTCTTTGTCTAGTAGATCTTCTATAAAGTCTTTTTCAGGGACAATTTTGTTGATTTTTTTTTAATGGGCCATATTTCCCTATTTCTTTATATGCCCTGTGATTTCTTGTTAAAAACTGGACATTTTAGTAAAATAATGTGGTATCTCTGGAAGCCAGATTCTCTTCCTTCCAAGGGTTTACTGTTTTTTTTTTTGTTATTGTTTTTGACTGTTGTATGGCGTGTTAAGGCCAAGATTGACATGTAAAATTAAGGTCTTCTCAGTTCTTTTCTGTGGCTGCGCCTTTCCCATGCATAGTCACCTCTGATTTTCGCTGTATATGCAGTTTCTTTTGAATGTTATAGTCTTTAATGTCTGGCTCCCAAAAAGGAAAAAAGAGAAAAATGAAGGGAAGTAAAAATAAGAACACTGTAGCCCTTGGCAGTCACTTCAGACAGAGGGTGAGGGGCTTGCAACAATGGGAGGAGGTGCATAAACCATGACTGCTGGCCTCACTGCACCTCTGTGATCAGAAACAGCAATAAGTGATTAGAGCACAGATCCCTGCTATTTGTAGGAAAGGGTCATTTTTGGCCAGTCTGGCTCCTTCAAGCTGTGTGTAAGCTGCCCCAGAATCATATGCACAGCTGCCTGCCACTGGGTTGAAGGTGGGGGATCGGTAGTGGCTACTGTGTTAAAAGCTGAAATTGACCAAATTAACCACAATTTACCACAGAAACCTTCCCCTTGGAATCTGCAAGCCTTTAATGGACTGAGTCTTAAAATAGTTACATCAGACTGATTCTGCCAGTGCTTTAGGTGGGGAGACAGATTTCTGGTGCTTCCTACTCTTCCAACTTCCCAGAATCACTTGAATACTTTTGATGATATGAAGATCAAGTCAGACAAATGTCACGAATTAGAGCATGCTGAAATACTGCAAAGTGCACTATCCTTCTCTTTCCGATGTTTATATCTTTACCATAACTTAAATTTCCAACAGTAACTAGCAATCCACCTACACCCAGTGCTGTCCATTGGGTTGTAGGGACAAGGTCAAGTAAATTTTTCTTAAACATAAATAGATTGAACTAATTCAGATGAGATCAGATTCAGATTAAGACAGAAATGAAAGTCTTATTTAATAAAACAAAGAATAGAGTAGAATGGTTAGAGAGAAGTTATAAAGGGCCACAGCCATGTTAATGAATGCATGGGAGATCAGGGAAAACCAATGCCCTAATGCTGAGGAGAGGAGATGATGTTATAGGCTGATTTTATGTATATAAAACACTGTACTGTTTCAAACCAGCCAAGAGAAATATAGCACACTAGACTCCAGCACATTTTAAAGAGTATTATTTTCAGTGAGCATCCATTAAAAACAAAATCACTCCACTGTATAAAGCATGCTTTGTTACAGTGGAAGGTGTATGGTGACAGTTGATTCTATGGGTAGAAAATGACCTGTGGATGATGTCAACGTGGCTCAGGCCACTTCACAGGCACAGAATGGTGTGGATTTTATGGACAATGATTGACATCACGGAAGTCTGACTGGAAGTATGCATGTACCACCCCCCCCGGCCCCAGATATATTTTGTCTGATAGGGGTGTTTAAGAATTAACTTGCAATTATGCAAATATATGTATATTATACGTTAAGTTTAAAAACAATTTTAAGGGAGCACAATTCCAAAAATATAGTTGCCTTAAACAGAGCAAGTCCAAGATATTCCTTGTAAACTATCTACTGTCTTTTCTCGTCTTCTCTCCTTCCCACCTCTGCTCATTACTTCTTTAAATCTTTGGAGGAAATGCTTCTTAATATCAATATCTATGTGGATTTAAGGACTCAGGAAACTCCCTTAAATTTCATAAAATGTGTACATGGAAGGAAATGCGTTTTTTTCAAGACTAAGTATTTAATATTCACAGATAAATACATAAGAGCATCGGCTCTTCCTCCACCCAGGTGTTAAAAATCATTATGTCAATTGAATGGACCAATGTACTGTGAAAAGAGTCACAGGTTTTAAGAGTAACACACACTTAGATTTAAATTCTAACTTTATAAATTTCTTGAGCAAATTACTAAGTGTTTTAAGGCCTCACACCCCTTATTTAAAAAAAATGAGATAATATTTGCCCTGCAAGTTTATTATGTAAATAAGATAAATGAAATAAATGTTTTGGAGTATCTAATTCAGTACTGGAAAATAATAGGTATCAAAACGACAGCAGATATTATAGTTATGATTATTCTTGCAAATACTATTTCCAGCAGCAAGGAGTCAGGTCATGTCTCCTGATTGCCCTTCAAAAGATTCTGTCTATCATAAGCTCTGCTATTTATTTATTGATACAACCATTCACCTATCCATCCACCCACAGGTACATTTAGGCATTTCTTTATTTCTCTGCTGCTTGCCTACTTTGTTGAGAAGGCCTTCAGTTTCCATCTCAGTTTAGCCAGCTAGCTTAACCTAAACTGTTTCTGACAAAGAAAAACAAGACTGAGTTTATTAAAAAAAAAAAAAAATCTTCTTTGATCTTTAATCACGCCTGAAGATAATTCAATCTGGTCTTCATTATTACAGTGGCTTATAGCCAGCAGCTGTAGCCCCTGACTCAGATAAATGCTTGCCCTGTATTATTACAATAAAACCAACTCCATAGAATGAAATTTTTCCCCCTTCCTTGATGATATCATCACAGAGAATTAATGTTCTGGTTTTTTTCATTACTGCTTCATTGTATGAAATACGGACTAAATCAAATCTCTGGTCAGATAGTTTCATCTACAATATTGAGAAGTGGGTGAAAAAAAATGCAACCCACTGAGCAACAGGTGAAAGTTATAGTGTGGAATAATCAGTGGAGAATTCTTGATCGGTGCCAGGCAAGGGTGTCCACAAACAGGAGGCACAGAGCGTGCTCCGTGGAAGGTTTCTTCTTAAACCAAGACGTTCTCTGCCCTCTGTTTCAGTCAGTGGCATTTCCAATCTCACTAGCATGGAAGTTCAAATTTCACCTTAACAATGTTCACATTTTGGAGCATTGTTGAACAGAGTTTGGCTAGGAGAGCGATGACAATACCTGAACCCTGTTTTACACCATCTATTCACCCTTCCTGCAAGAATCCTAAAGGGCATAAACATGTAAAGACAGCAAATGAGAAATCAAACTCCAGTTTATTTTTGGCAGGGTCTATAAACCCAAATTTCATTTCTTTGCTAAACTGGACTGGATTACTTCGATTAGGACCAAGAACTAAGTGATGGATGATTAGCCTGGGTGACATAATGAGTCCCCATCTCTAGAAAGTAAAAAAAAAAAAAAAAAAAAAAAAAAAAAAAAAAAGCTGGGCATGGTTGTGCACACCTGTAATCTCAGATACTGGAGAGGATGATGAGGGAGGATAGCTTGAGCTTAGGAGGTTGAGACTGCCAATAGTCATGATCTTGCCACTACATTCCAGGCTGGGTGACAGAGGAAGACACTGTCTCTGAATGAATGCGTGAATAATGGGTGGGAAAGGAGGAAAGGAAGCAATTTTTTCCATTAAGTCCAAATCTAAACCTCACTTTTAGACGGTTTTTAACCTTGACTGGACACTGGAATCACCTGGTGTATCAGTCCATTTTCACATTGCTCTAAAGAAATACTTGACTGGATAATTTATACAGGAAAGAGGTTTAATTAACTTACAGTTCCACGTGGCTGGGGAGGCCTCAGAAAACTTACAATCACAGCAGAAGGTAAAGGGGAAGCAAGCACCTTCTTCACAAGGCAGGTAAATAAGTGAGAGGGGGGAAGCACCACACACTTATCAACCAGCCACATCTCTCGAGAATACACTCACTATCACGAGAATAGCATGGGGGAACCACCCCCATGATCCAATCACCTCCCACCCGGTCTCTCCCTCCACACCTGGGGATCATGGGGATTACAATTGGAGATGAGATTTTGGTGGAAACACAGAGCTAAACCATATCACCTGGGAAGCTTTAAAAACACTGTTGTCTGCGGTCCGCCCCTCAAAATTTTGAATTAATGGCTTTGAAATGTGGATTAGTAAATTAGGATTTTAAAAAAAACTTTTATTTTTGTTTCAGAGGTACATGTGCAGGTTGGTTCTATAGATAAACTTTGTGTTGCAGGGGTTTTGGTATACATATTATTTCATCATCCATGTAAAAAGCATAATATCGAATAGGCCATTTTTCTGTCCTTTCTTTCCTCCCACCCTCCACCCTCAGGTCCCAATGTCTATTGTTCCTTTCTTTGTGTCCCTGTATACTCAATGATTAGTTCCCATTTATAAGTGAGAACATGCAATATTTGGTTTTCTGTTCCTGGGCTAGTTCACTTAGATAATGGCCTCTAACTGTATCCATGTTCCTGCAAAGGACGTTATCTTGTAGTGTTCAATGGTGTACATGTACACATTTTCTTTATTCAGTCTACGACCAGTGGACGTTTAGGTTGATTCCAAGTCTTTGCTATTGTGAATAGTGGTGCAATGAATATACGTAAGCATGTGTCTTATGGGAGAATGATTTATATTCCTTTGGGGATACATGTAATCGTGAGATTGCTGTGTCAAGTGGTAGTTCTGTTTTAAGTTCTTTGAGAAATTACCTAACTGCTTTCTGCAGTGGCTGAACTAATTTACATTTCCAGCAGCAGCATATAAGCATTCCTTTTTCTCTGCAGCCCCACCAGCATCAGTTATTTTCTGACTTTTTAATATTAATAATAGCGCTTCTGACTGGTATCTCATTGTGGTTTGATCTGCATTTCTCTAATGATTGGTGGCATTGAGTATTTTTTCATATACTTGTCTGCATGTATGTCTTCTTTTGAAATGTGTCTGTTCATGTTCTTTGCCCACTTTTTAATGGGGTTCTTTGTTTTTGCTTGTTAGGTTCCTTATAGATTCTGGATATTAGGCCTTTGTCAGATGCATAGTTTGCAAATATTTTCTCCTATTCTGTGGGTTGTATATTTACTCTGATGATAGTTTCATTTGCTCTGCAGAGCTCTTTAGTTTAATTAGGTTCCATTTGTCAATTTGATGTTTTTGTTTTTGTTTTTTGCAATTGCTTTTGGCATCTTCATCAACAAATTTTCACCAGGGCTTATGTCTAGAATGGTATGAATGGTATTTCCCAGTTTTTGTAGTTTTAGGTTCTACATTTAAGTCTTTAATCCATTTTGGGTTGATTTTTCTACATGATGTAAGGAAGGGGTCCAGTTTAAATCTTCTGCAGATGGCTAGCCTGTCATTTATTGTTTCAGGGCACTATTTATTGAACAGGGAGTTTTTTTTACTATGGCTTGTTTTTTGTTGACTTTGTTGAAGATCAAATAGTTGTAGGTGTGTGGCTTTATTTCTGGGCTCTGTATTCTGTTCCACTGATCTATGTGTCTGTTTTTGTACCAGTACCATACTGTTTTGGTTACTATAGCCTGGAAGTATAGTTTGAAGTCAGGTAATGTGATGCCTACAGATTTGTTCTTCTGGCTTAGGATTGGGTTGGCTATTCAAGCTCTTCTTTTCGTTCAATATAAATATTAGAATTTTTTTTAATTCTGTGAAGAATGTCATTGATAGTTTGATAGGAATAACATTGAATTTGTAAATTGCTTTGGGCAGTATGGCCATTTCAATAATATTGATGCTTCCTATTTATGAGCATGAGATGATTTTCCATTTGTTTGGCCCATCTCTGATTTCTTTCAGCAATGTTTTGTAATTCTTGTTATAGAGATCTTTAACCTCACTGGTTAGCTGAATTCCTAGGTATTTTAGCTTGTTTGTGGCTATTGTGAATGGAATTGCGTACTCGATTTGGAAATAAGCTTGGACGTTTTTGGTATATAGACATGCTACTGATTTTTGTACATTGATTTTGTAACCAGAAACTTTGCTAGCATTTCTTAACAGATCTAGGAGCTTTTGGACAGAGACTATGGGGTTTTCTAGGTATAACATCATATCATCTGCAAACAGAGATAGCTTGACTTCCTCTCTTCCTATTTTGATGCCTTTTATTTCTTTCTCTTGCCTGATTGCCCTGGCTAAGACTTCCAGTACTATGTTGAATAGCAGGGGTGAGAATGGGCATCCTTGTCTTGTTCCAGTTCTCAAGGGGAATGCTTTCAGCTTTTGACCATTTGGTATGATACTGGCTGTGGGTTTGTCATAGATGGCTCCTATTATTCTAAGGTGTGTTCCTCAGTTAGTTGAAGGTTTTTAACATGAAGGGATGCTGAATATTATTGAAAGCCTTTTCTGCATCTATTGAGATTATCATGTGGTTTTTGTTTTTAGTTCTGTTTACGAATGAATCACATTTATTGATTCATATATGTTCAAACAAACTTGCATCCCAGGGATAAAGCCTACTTGATTGTGGTGGGTTAGCTTTTTGATGTGCAGCTGGATTTGGTTTGTTACATTTTGTTGAAGATTTTTGCATATACACTCATCAAGGGATTGGCCTGAAGTTTTCTTTTTTGTGTGTCTTTGCCAGGTTTTGGTATCAGGATAACGATGACCTCAGAGAATGAGTTAGGGAGAAGTCCTTCCTCCTCTGTTTCTTTTAATCGTTTCTGTAGTAATGGTACCAGCTCTTTTTATATGTCTGGTAGAATTCAGCTGTGAATCAATCTGGTCTTGGGCTTTTTCTTGTTGGTAGGCTTTTTATTACTGATTCAATTTCAGAACTCATTATTGGTCCGTTCAGGATTCAATTTCATGCTGGTTCAGTCAAAGGAGGTAGTATATTTCCAGGAATTTATCCATATCTTCTAGGTTTTCTAGTTTGTGTGCAGAGAGATGTTCAAAACAGTCTCTGATGGTATTTTGTATTTCTGTGGGGTTGGTCGTAATGTCCCCTTTGTCACTTCTGATTGTGTTTATTTGGATCATCTTTTTCATTAGTCTAGCTAGCAGTCTTCTATTTATCAAAGAACAAATTTCTAGTTTTGTTGGTTGTGTGTGTGTGTGTATGTGTCTGTGTGTGTGTTTTAATCTCAATTTCATTCAGTTCAGCTCTGATCCTTGGTTATTTCTTGTTTCTGTTAGCTTTGGGGTTGATTTCCTCTTGGTTTTCTAGTTCCTCAAGGTGTAATATTAGGTTGTTAATTTGAGATCTTTCTAACTATTTGATTTGGGCACTTCATGTTATAAACTTTCCTCTGAACATTGCTTAGCTGTGTACCAGAGATTCTGGTATGTTGTATCTTTGTTCTCATTAGTTTCAAAGAATTTCTTGATTTCTGCCTTAATCTCATTGTTTACTCAGAAGTTGTTCAGGAGCAGGTTAATTTCCATGTAATTGTACAGTTTTGAGTGATTTTCTTGGCATTGATTTCTATTTTTATTGCACTGTGGTCCAAGAGTGTTGCTAATATGATTTCAGTTATTTTTTAATTTGCTGAGAATTGTTTTATGGCCGATTCTGTGGTTGATTTTAGAATATGTGCCATATGAAGATGAGAATAATGTATATTCTGTTTTTTGGGGTAGGGAGTTTTGTAGATGTCTGTTAGGTCCACTTGGTCAAGTGCTGAGTTCATGTCCCCAATAGTTTTGTTAGTCTTCTGTCTTGATCATCTATCTATTACTATCAGTAGGGTGTTGGAGACTCCCACTATTATTGTATGATTATCTGTGTCTTTTTGTAGATCTCTAAGAACTTGTTTTACGAATCTTGGTTCTCTTGTGTTGGGTGAATATATATTTAGGATAGTTACAAATTGAACCCTTTAACACTCACATATGTTTCCAAATTGCTTGTTTTACCTCCCTCTCTTTCAGGGATGCCAATGAATCATTGATTTGGTGTCTTTATATGGTCTCATATTTCTTGGAAGGTTTTGTTTGTTTTCAATTTTTTTCTGTATTTTTTTGTCTGACTGAGTTAGTTTTGTAATGCTCTTCTTTGCCTTTTTTGATCATTGTCGGTTTAAAGTCTGTTTTGTCTGGAATTAGAAAAGCAACTGCTGGTTTTATTTTGTTTGCTTGGTAGATTTTTCTTCATCCCTTTACTTTGAGCCTATGGGTGTCATTGCATGAGATATGGGCCTCTTTGAAGACATTATATAGTTGGTTCTTGTGTCTTTATCCAGTTTGCCACTTTGTGACTTTTTTTTTTTTTTTTTTTTTTGAGACAGAGTCTCGCTCTGTCGCCCAGGCTGGAGTGCAGTGGCGCGATTTTGGCTCACTGCAAGCTCCGCCTCCTGGGTTCATGCCATTCTCCTGCCTCAGCCTCCCGAGTAGCTGGGACTACAGGCACCCGCCACCATGCCCGGCTAATTTTTTGTATTTTTAGTAGAGACGGAGTTTCACCGTGTTAGCCAGGATGGTCTAGCTCTCCTGACCTCGTGATCCACCCGCCTCGGCCTCCCAAAGTGCTGGGATTACAGGCGTGAGCCACCATGCCCGGCCACCACTTTGTGACTTTTAATTGAGGCATTTAGCTCATTTACACCCAAGATTAATATTGATATGTGCAGATTTGATCCTGTCATGGTCATGTTAGCTGTTTATCATGAAGACTTGATTGTGTGGTTGCTTGATAGTGTCAATGGTCTATGTAGTTAAGTGCATTTTTGTGGCAGCTGGTAATGGTCTTTCCATATTTAATACTCTCTTTTTTTTAATTATACTTTAAGGTCTAGGGTACATGTGCACAATGTGCAGGTTTGTTACATATGTATACATGTGCCGTGTTGGTGTGCTGGAATACTATGCAGCCATAAAAATTGATGAGTTCATGTCCTTTGTAGGGACATGGATGAAGCTGGGAACCATCATTCTCAGCAAACTATCACAAGGACAAAAAACCAAGCACTCTCTTAAGGACCTCTTGTAAGGCAGGTCTGGTAGTTAGGAATTTTCTTAGCATTTCCTTGTCTGAAAAAGATCTTATTTCTCCTTCACTTACGAAGCTTAGTTTGGCTAGATATAACATTTTTGGTTGAAGTTTATTTTCTCTAAAATGCTAAATATATGCCCCCAATCTCTTCTGGCTGTAGGGTTTCTGCAGAAAGTTCTGCAGCTAGCCTGATGGGCTTCTCTTTGTAGGTGAACTATATCTCCTCTCCAGCTACCTTTACTATTATTTTATTCATGTCGATCTTGAAGGATGTGATGACTATTTGTCTTGGGGATGGTCGTTTTGTATAGTATCTTGCAGTGGCCCTCTGCATTTCCGGAAACAGAATTTCAGCCTATCTAGGAAGGTTGGGGAATTTTTTAATGAATGATATGGTCAAATATGTTTCCAAGTTGCTTGTTTTATATCCCTCCCTTTCAGAGATGCCAATGAGTCATTTCAGGGATGCCAAGTCGTTGATTTGGTCTCTTTATATAATCCCATATTTCGTGGAAGGTTTCTGTTTATTCTTTTTTTATTTTTGTTTTTCTATATTTTTGTCTGACTGAATTAGTTTTGTGAATCAGTCTTTGAGCTCTGAGATTATTTTTTTAGGTTGGTCTATTCTGCTGTTGATACTTGTGATTGTATTATGATATTCTTTTAGTGTGTTTTTCCACTCTATCAGATTAGTTTGGTTCCTTCTTAAAATGGCCATTTTGTCTATCAGCTCCTGCATTATTTTATCATAATCCTTACATTCCTTGGATTGAGTTTCAACTTTCTCCTGAATCTTGATGAACTTCCTTGCCATCCAGATTCTGAATTTTATGTCTGTCATTTCAGCCACTTCATTCTGGTTAAGAACCATTGCTGTGGATCTAATGCAATTGTTTGGAGGTAAGAGGACACACTGGCTTTCATACTTGCTAGAGTTCTTGCACTATTTCTTTTTCATGTGTGTGGGCTGATGTTCCTTTAACTGTGGTGTAGTTTGAGTATAATCAGCTGACTTCATTTCTGGATGTTTTCAGAGGGCTGAGGCTTTGTGCTTGGGAGGTAGGCTCTTGCTTAGCCAAGCTCCTCTCTATCTCCATGCATTTGCAGCTGTGCTCCCTCTCAGTGCTCTGAGGGTGTGAGCTCCTCTCCTGCTTGACTGCTGGCTGCAGATTTTGACTTGGCACTCCCTGGCTGCACACAGCATCCCTGGGGTGAGCTCTGGCTTTATGTTCCCTCCCCAGCTTGGGGGAACCAGGGACAGGGACCTTGGTAGTGGCAATGAAAGAAGGCTTTTCATTTGTCTCTTGGGGCTCCACTTAAGAGAAATACAGCACCACTATCAATCAGAGCGATAGGCCCGAGGTGGGATGGCTGCCTTGTGGTCCCAAGCCAAGAAGCCCTGCTTGGTAATGAGCCTGGGGAGAGGGCGATCATGTGGAAGACAGACTGGCTTCTTCTCCTTATGGTGACTGTGGCATTCTGCTGGTGTGAATAAAGCACTCAGGGTCTTTGTTCCTTCTCCAGTCTCACGGCAGCAAAGGCAGTGGCAGTGGCAGAGGTTACCTCTGGAAGCCTTACCCCAGGGAAATACCAAGCCACTAGCAGTGGGAATGCTCAGTCAGGGAAGGGGCAACTGTTCTGTGGTCCTGAGCCAAGGGCCCTTCCTGGTGAAGAGTAGGTGGTGGGGTCTTACAGGGAAGAGAGACTGGGGTCCTCTCTGTGTGGTGGTTGCAGCATGCTGGAGGTGCCAGTGATGCAACCAGGCCCTTTGTTCCTTCCCTAGCCCAAGGGCTATAAGGGCAGTACCACTGCAGCTGCAATGGGAGAGGGGCTGTGGGTTGTCTCTGGGATTTCCTCCTTAGAGAAATGCAGAGCCACCACCAACTGAAGTGTTCAGGTGGGGGCAGAATGATTAAGATGGGAGCCAAGGTTGAGAGGCCTTGAATGGTGAGGGATAACAGGGGCAGAGACATGCGTGGAAAATTGTGTGGCCACTTTTCCGTAAGGCAGCTGTGCTGTGCTGGGGGCCTATATTAGTCCTTAATCACTTCACTCCCTCCTGAGCCTGAGGGAAGTGGGGACAGGAATTGTAGAGCAGCAAAAATAATGGGCCTACCTGCTATCACTGGGAATGCAGGGCTGCTACTGGCCCAAGAGCTCAGGCAGGGCTGGGGTGGCCATATTGGAGTCCCAGGCCAGTGGGCCTTTTCTGGTGAAGTGCAGTGGGGGCAAGGCCTGTAAGTCAGTCTGCTCCTCAGGCTCCTGCATTCAGCTCCTATCTTAGAGGTGTGTGAGGGAGCCTGGCCTCCCCTGTTGCCAGAGCTGCAGCCACTGATGCTGGGATGTCCAGGGGTTCAAGGCTCCTGGGACTCCATGTATGCCTGGGATTGGTGGCTCTGCTCAGACTCCATGTAGTTCTCCATGTCAGTCTGGAGGCCCTGGTAGAGTGGGGGTTGAAGGAGCCATAGGGGATCTCCTGAGCCCAGGGTTGGACAGGTCTATGGCAGAAGTGTGGGTCCTCGGGGTTGTCACTCACTCAACGTTTCCCCACAGAGGGGAGTGTCCGTTGGCTCTGTGCCAGTCCTGGGTGGATGGCTGTCCTGTTTTGCTTTTCTCTGTTCTCCATGAGTCACATTGCTTCCTTGATGAATCCCAACGTGTCCACCTGGATGGTCCAGTTGAAGAGCTAGTGTTTTTATTTGTCACTCTTTCTCCTCTCTGTAAGTGTGGTGCACACTAGCTAGTCAGCCACCTTGTCCTGTCTTGGAAATTGCGGTTTTTAAAAGTTCTCCAGGTTTGACTCAAATTTTAAGTCTAGGTTGACAGTCATGCTTTCTAGCTGGTTCTTTGATACTAAAGTGGTAATATCGTAGAGCAGTGTTTCTTAAGCTTTAATGTGCAAAAAATCACCTGGGATCTTGTTCAAATGTAGACTCTGATTTCTTAGCTCTGCATTGGGACCCAAGATTCTACATTTTTACAAATTCCCTGGTACAGCTGATGCTGTTTCACAGACCATGCTTTCGGTACCAAGGTTCTAGAGTTCTTGGCAGAAGAGAAAAGTAAAAATTGCAAGTTTTATTTACTAACTTACTGATCTGGCTGCAATAAAAGGCAAGAATAGAAGAGACCATGACAATTTTTTTCATAACCTTTTAAGTTTCAAGCAAACCTACCCAGAGGTACATTACCAAATTTCTATCCTGGGAATGTGACCTAAACTGATCACTAACTCTTCATCTCAAACAAAGTGGGGTAAGGACGGGAGTAGTGTAGAAATATCTCTTCCCAACAATGTTTGTAGTAATAAGAGGGACTATAAGAAAAGATTAATCTCTGCCTTTTTACTATTCCTCTCACTTCTAATAAATCTGTTGCCAGCTTCTATGTTCTTTTTCTAAAATATTATCCTTCTTGTCTTGATTTCAGCTATAACCAGCTCATTTCAGTATCTCATCATCTAAAGTGATCTCTGCCTCTGGTTTCTCCTATGCCAAAATTTTCTAAACACCACGGTTAGATTCATTTTTTATAGAAGAATTCTGGTTATTTGCATCTGTATTCAAAGTTCTCCAATCGTTATATACAAAATAAAATAAAATTCCTTAGCTTGTCATATGAGACTGGTTCACTGTGTCCTCATGATGTAGGACAGGCAAGCCCCCACACCGAGGCTTAGCCTAGAGGGTTCTTGGCTTCACTCAGGAAAGAATTCAAGGGTGAGCTGGTGGTGTTAAATAGAAACTTTTATTGAAGCAACAGAGGTACTGCTCCGTGCACAGCAGGGTTACTCCATAGGCAATTTGCCCAGAGCAGCATCTCATAGGTTATGTCCCAATACTTTCAGACTTGCCATTTTATGAATATATTATATATTATTCTATTAATCTATTCATTCATTCACATGTGCATTCATTCATTTAAGAAGCATAACATTCAGACATGCAGACGAAGAGTCGTGACACAGTGTGAAATTATCTGGGAGTATCGGGAGGCTTCAAAAAGGAGGTAGTATTTGAATTGGGTCTTTCAGGAGAATAGTTTTTCAGGCGAATAAATCAATTTTGTGTCCAATGAGTAGCAAATGCAAGTTCAGAGAGGCATGAAACAGAAGGTGTTATGTTAGAAAAAAAAGTGCAAACACTTTGCGGTGTAGTTTAGGAGCCTTGGGTGGATAGTAAACTACAGTAAGTGCATTGGAAATTCAGGCTGGGAGATTGTGAATCCCCTGAGGTGTGTTTTAGATGGTGGGAAATGGAGGAGGATTTTACACTAGTGGAGTTATAATGAGACATTCGCTTGCCCACCTTTTGGCATTTGCCTTTGTTATTCCCCCTCCACAGAATTTTTTTTTCCTCTATTTTCGCTGATCAGATCAAATTCTACTCATTCTTTCATGCTTTCATCAAAATAACCTTTCTCTACTAAAGAGAATCAATCTTTCTTCTGGACTTTGGAATCAAGTTACTTAGATGACATGTGTCTCTTTGCCTAGATTTTAACATATTTAAACAGTAAATACTATGCTTTAATAATCGTTGCATCTCTTTACCCTTCAGCACCTAGCCTTTCTCCTGGCACCTGTTATCTGTTCAGTAAATAGTTGTTGAATTGAATTAAATGGGATTGGAAAAGCCATGCCATCAATTATGGCTTAAGTATTCACCATCTCCACTCTCCTTGTATTTGACTTGAGTGTTGATCAAAGGGTATTTACTGACAAAACCATGTATTCACTCCAGTGCTGTCTCCGCAGAGATTTTGCTAAAGAGCAAAGGGTTTGGAGTCAAAAGGCCTTTTGTATTACAACCAAATTGATGGCTTAATTTCCCTTGTCAAGGTTTCAAGTCCAGATGCTGAGTACCACCAGAAAGCCCAGCTTAGTCTTATGCTAGGTTAAAATGAAGGAACAAAAGGGTAAACATGGTACAAACCATTCACCTGCTTTTGCCACTATCTCTTTGGGAAACAATGATCTATGAAGTCATATATCAATCCCAAGTACACATGGCATAATAATAGTAGCTATCATTTCTAGTGTACTTATTATATTTCAGACACTGTGATAAATATAACCCGTGAAGTTTTGCACATAATATTTATAATAATCCTGCAAGGTAGATGTTATCATTTCCTTTTTATAGACAAGGAGACTGAGGCAGCAAATGGTTAAATGACATGTTCAAGGTCACTGAAACGGTACTGGTGAATGATGGAAATGGCAATTAAGCCCAGGCTTTCTGACTCCAAAGCCCAAGCAGTTAGCCATTTTGTTGTATTTTCTCAAGGAATTATGTAGGATGCTCTGTGAGTCAGGGAATGTGCAGACAGGTGCAGAGAGGGCATGAAGAGCTTCATGCCAACTAGGAGTCTTTAAATCTATGCCCCTGTTGTCATCAGCCCTCACTGATGCAATAGCACTGGGACACATAGGAGTATTTGAAAATGTTCCTATTGATCGGAAGTGAGTAATTATTACCTTCTCTATATTACAGATTCACTATCAGAAAGTAATAGCAGAAATGCTAAGCAAGATTAATAGCCGTGTTTCATTATTTTTAATGCAAACTATTGATTTTAAAGTGGTGTAAGGTATGGCAGTTTATTACAATAAAACAATAAAATAGACTATATGAAATAATTGAGAATAATCTTTTCCCTTTTTGCTGCGGCTATGGGACATAATGTGCTGTGCATGTGAATGCATTTATGGCAAGTTCTATCCAGCAATGGCAGCTTAAGCACTCTATAAAGAAGCACTTTGGAACCAGAGTATTATAAATAATCGGCAATAAAGCTGGTAAATGGGCCTTTAATTTGATTCCATTATGTCACAGATCACAAGGACCAAGGGGGCTCAGCATCAAAAACACTAACTGCTGAGCTTAACATGAAGGTAAGCATATCAGATGGCCTCAAGATGGCCTTCTCACTTTGAGATTTTCCAGAAAAGAGCTGGTCATTAGCATCTGGGTGTGGGGTAATGTCTTACTATGAGCCAGTGTATACATAGTCAAAACCACTCCCACTCCCACTGCAAAAAGAGTACTCTGAAAGGCTTCCTCACTAGGCATTGTTTCTCCTGGTAGCTCCTTGCCTTCAATTCACTTTGTCTGTTTCACAGTTAACAATAGACAAGTTCAGAAGCAATTTTCGAATGGGGTCTTAAAGGCTGCCGAAATAGTGTATGGCCTCATTGCCAGAAATAAAACATAAAGGATGAAAGAGGTGTCAGGCCAACTGTATATGCTGGGTTAATCAGAACACATCTGGAGTAGGGAGAATAGGTCTAGACCAAACTCTAAAAGCAGACTAACATTGGACACATTGAATGAAGAGATGAAGGTAAAATCATGGCAAAAGAGGAGTGGTGACTGGACTTGGGGGTTGTTGAAACTAGTGGAGACTTACAGAAACATGGGAATTGTTGGATAATATAAAGGCTGAAAGATGATTTAGCCTTGTCCTGTGAAGCTCTAGAGGAGAGAAATTTTGTGTTAGCCAGACATGGGTTTGGGTCCTATTTGCCCACTTATAGCTGTGTGACCATATGCAAGTGACATCAGGAATCACTAAGAATCACTACAGCTTGATTCCTTTTCCTGTAAAATACACATAATAATGATAGCTATTCCATAGGGTTTGAGGGGAGATTGTGGATTAAGTGAGACAGAACAGATCAAGTTCTTAGAACAATGCTTGGTAAAAAGCAAGAGTTCAATACACATTAGCTTTAAAAATAAACACCTACAATGACAGCAAAACTAAAAGGCAGATGGCACCCCCTTTTAATGTCTGAAGCAGATTTAGCTGACTTAAAAATTAGGCTTCTAGGGGCTTGAACTGGCTCTATACAATTAGCCAAAGTGTCCAGGAGATCCTGTTTGAGGGCAGAATGAGAAAGTAAGAGAATCCTTATTTTTTTTAAAGCATAATGGATTAAAACCCCATAAGTCAAATTCAGTGGAATTTAAGAGGCAGGCCAAAGACAGAGCCAAGAGGAAGGAAACCAGATAGGCAAAGGCATGGGGAGAAACTCAGAAGAAGGGATGGAAAGGAAAAGAGGCATCTAGTTCTTAAAGGCCATTCATAGGTTGTCAGTGGTTCACCTTGGTGGTTTCTGATTACATGGTAGGTAGAATGGTTGGCTTGCAGTGGTCTTGGGTTTGGAGTAAACATTAAAAAACAGATAGAAAGTGGGCATGAAGAAGAAATTCCTGATTGGAAGAAAATCTCCCATAATGGGTTTATGGAAATGAGTTGCATATTAGTTAAGAGCACAGGATCTGGAGCCAGATTGGTTGGATTCTCATCCTGACCACTGCAGTTAGACCTGCCAAATCTCTCTTTGCTTCCACTTCTTCATCTGAAAAATGGGGATAATAATAGAATCTGCCTCTTAAGGTTGTAAGAATTTAATGAAATAATGCATATAATGGTAGCTATTATTATCGTCAGAAGTCTCCAAACATGGTGTGGACTTCTATCTATCAATGAATGAGTCCAGGGTCAGGAGCTGAAAGTAAACGAGCTTTGAGAAACTTCTTCACCCATATTTCTTAGCAGTAAGGCATGCCCATTTCCCTGACATGAGAGGCCATTGTCTATTCTGCCACTCACAGAAAGAAAATTGATTAATCGAGTTTCCTTTAATCCCAAAGACACTTGGGAATGTGGTCCAAATGTAAGTATGTGGTCCAAATGTAAGTATGTGATCCAAAAGTAATCATTTGAAGGAAGTGGCAGTTTTGGATATATGTATGTGGTGATCACAGAGGTAGCTGAAACTATTGAGGACAATTTTAATCTCCTATACTGGAACAGCTTTAGATAATCTCCTTTTGGACTCTCATCTCCTTCCCAAATTTATGGAGATACTATCTGGGAGACAGGAGTTGTATTCTTTGCACCCTGGAATCCTTTTTTCATTCTATTAATAAAGGGTCTTAGATCCCATATCCTCTAGGGTTGTCTGAGAGACCATTTTTTTCCCATTGCTGTTCCCTTATTATTCTGAAATCCTTTAATTTTATAAAACAACAAATACTCAGGAATCTGGCCCAACAACTGGAGTTTGGTCTTTCACAAAGGTGGAAGCCTGAGTCTTTTACCTTTGCCACTGAGATCCCATCTGTCACCTGACTCACTATTGACAAATTCTCTTCCTTAAAACTTCTTTTAAACACCTGTGGGTCAAGTGTCACTTCTATTTATTCTCTCTCTCATAACCTCTAGTGCCAGTTGCCTTGGGTATATAACATTGCATTGTTGAGCCACAATTTTTTTATTTCTTGAGGGGTGATAGTAGTTCATTGAGCAGACTAAGAGCATGTGGGGCATACTGTGTCTCTTTTCTATGTAACAGCTACCTCCTCTTATTTAGTTCTTTTTACCACCCCCAACACCAAGCCCAAGGTGACAGAGTGTGGTGGATCTAAGTCAATGATTTTGAACCAACCCTTTGCTCTTCCAGTCTCTCTTGCAGCTAAGGATGGCCTGTAACATGGGAATATGAATAAGGAGGCACAAAGGAAAGTCTGCCAGAATGGGATTTATGGAGAACTTCTTGTTTTCTTGATGAATAGGACTCAAGGCCCATCTTTCTTTCCTACATGCTACACTGAAGATTGACTTGTAGTCCCTGGTATTATGGAGCCCCTGAACCAAAGCAAACTGTCACCTATCTGAACACTTGCAATAGGAAAAAAAACAGGCCTTTGTTTATTTAAGATATTCTTAGTCAGGGTTTGAGTCCCAAAACATTCCTAACCAATATTGGGAAGGGAGCTTAAATTTTAAGCTTAGGAAACTGAATAAGTAAAAATGAAGATGTATGAAATTGGTTAGCACGTAAAGAGAATAGTGTTAGGAAATAAATAGGCAAACCAGAGATACAATGATAGAGGGAAGTTGAACCAATTGGTAAAAACCCTACAGCAGGTATTCCCAGTGCTAGCTACACATCTGAATCACTTGGGAAGCTTTAAAAATCTGTGCATGCTCAGGTCTCTCCCCTTAAGATTCAAAGTGAATTAATTTCACTTGGTAAGATCAGGCCATCAATAGTTTTTAAAAGTTCCCAGGTGATTCAAGGGCTGAGGAATATCACCTTATAAAGTATTATATGGCCAGGCTCCAGTCTACCTATTCACCTTCACTTTTTCCTATTCTCTCCCTTGGGCAGTAGGCTCTACCCACACTGTCTGTCTTGAGTGTGCCATGAGCTTTCTCATGTTCTGCTAATGTTCCAGGCTTTACCTAGGTTATCTTTTTCAGACTCCGGAGGCCTCCCCTTACCTCTCCCTACCAATTGAAGTCAGGTGGCTGTATTAATCTGTTTTTGCGCTGCTATAAAGAAATACCTGAGACTGGGTAATTGATAAAGAAAAGAAGTTTAATTGGCTTATGGTTCAGCAGGCTGTACAGGAAGCAAAGTGGCTTCTGCTTCTGGGAAGGCCTCAGGGAACTTACCATTATGGTGGAAGGCAAAGGGGAAGCAGGCACGTCTTACGTGGCTAGAGCAAGAACAAGAGGGAGAGAGAGAGAGGGAGGGAGGGAGAGAGAGAGAGGGAGGGAGGGAGAGGGAGAGAGAGAGAAAGAGAGAGAGAGAAATTTGTTTGTTTTACAAACAAACAAATCTCAGGAGAACTCACTATCATGAGAACAGCACCCAGGGGGGTGGTGGTAAACCATTCATGAGAAACCACCCACATGATTCAATTACCTCCCACCAGGCCCCACCTCCAACAGTGGGGATCACAATTTGATATGAGATTAGGGTGGGGACGCAGATCCAAATTGTATCAGTGTTCAACTTTGTTCTTTCTTACAGTGGTGTTTGTTTCCTAACTAGATAGTTTGAATGTATTTATTTTTGTGCTCTTTATTTACCTATTTATGTATTATGAGAGCAAAGGCTGTGGCCTGCTTTGATGACTGCTATACCTTCTTTAGCATGTCTGGCATTATTTAGAAGTGAGTTCTAAATAATTATTTGTAAAGTTAACTAATAAAATAATGGCCATATGCCCAAGACTTAGTTGTATAATGGCAATTTTATAGTAACTGGAAAGAAACAGTTACATTAGTGGTTATCAAGGTGCTCTCATTTGCCTATGAAGGAAGGACTGGAGTGAAGTGGGGAAGGGAAACAAGTCAGAAGATTATTGCAGCATCATAGGAGAAAAAAAAGTGTAACCACAGAATCAGCCCAATCTGGTTCAACTTTGTGTAATAAAATGGTGAGTTGTCTTCCAGTTTCCATGAACCTCAGGTTGCAAGTTATGTAACTTTAACCTGTCCAGAGGAACCAAGCATGTAACCACAGGTGGAACCTAAGTGCTTGGACAAACATGGATTGAGTTAAGAAGTGGACACCTCACAGCGTGATCCATCCATGACCCAATAAGATTAAACTCTTGCATGACCCCCCTGCGTGATTCAGTCAGATCATGCCTACTGGCATCACCTCAAAGCTCCAATTAGATCATGCATTACCCTCTGCCTATAAAACCTGCCTCAACACCCAGCTCTGGGAGACAGATCTGAGCCTTGCTCCTCCTGTCTCCTTGCTTGGCAGCTTTAAAATAAACTTATCTCTCTACAGAAGAACTGGTGCTTTGGCGTTTGGCTTTCTGTTGTTTGTGGGCAAACAGAACCAGTTAGGTTTGGTTTGGTTATAGAAACAGAAGCCCAGATAACAAACGCACATTCAGCTTTGTGTACCCAGCACCCAGCTCTGTGCCTGGCACCTGGCAATCAAATGGATATTTGGAGAAGGAAGGAATGGAGGGCAGGATGAAGATTGAAGGAAAAGAAAGAAACTTCATATGAAACAAATTTAAATACAGCAGGAGATCTCTGGATTTTCCAAAATAAGAAAGACATAGAAAGTGTGCACAGAGGTATGATAGATTAACTATTAACTTTGCCAACTTCACAACACTTTTTGCAGACATTAAGAATTTTCTGAGAGTCCCCAGCTAGTGTATGTAGTTGAGGACAGTAGGTTAAGAGAGCTTGTGGTATTTTGCTTTCTTTATTTGTTAGTAAGGGAAGAATTTAAATGAGTATAACCTTTGATGATCTGTGATTGTAAAAATCAACCTACCAAAGTTCAGGCAGTGTCAGATGTGGAGACACACTTTCTGAACAGCTCATTTTCCCAGACCTTTCTCTGTCAAATGTCAATGCCCAAATGAGCTTGTTTGGAAGGCAAATTACATGTTACAAGCAGTCATTCCTCATAGCTGGCAACTTCTATGCCAAATAATTAAATAATGTAGCAACAGAAATGCTCTGGTCTCCAAGTCTGAACATAAGGGTATATGTGTGTAAAATTGTCCCCATAGTCCCTGAACATTAGGGGAGTTTAGGTCTTGAACCAGACATCAGTAATCATGTATGAAGAATTAATCTATAAAGACTGCTAGCTGTTGGATGTAGGGACTAAGATATTAGCACAATTTTAATAGGACAAGAGAAGAGAGATAATTTAATTCTTTCTAGAAGGGGAAAGGAGGTCAAGGCTAGGCATCAAGAGAAATTAAGTGAACAAGTAGAGCTTGGTCTGTGAAACCAAAGAGAAATTGTTTCCCGAAAGGTGTGATCATCATCCTTATCCTCATTCCCACCCTCCTCTTCCGTGTCTTCATAATAAAGCCCTCATAATTATGTCACAGTTTAATATTTGTAAAGTACAAAAGTGAACTGATCCACTCTGCAGAGCAGGTCTTGTTACCACCATTAACATATGAGGGAATGGAGACTTGGAGAAATAAACTGATGCAGGAGATATCCAGCTATTAAGGGATGAAGCCCAGAGGTGGGCTCAGGGACACTTAGCCCAGAGGGTGGGCTCAGGGACACTGTGATGTAGGAGAGGCATTAACAATGGCAGACTCCGAGAGACAGATTCAAATAACTCAGCTGTGGGGCCCTGAAGTCAATTCTCTCTCTCTCTCTCTGTCACCACCCCCTGAACACCCCCCACCCCGCCCACACACACTGATATGGTTTGGCTGTGTCCCCACTCAAATTTCATCCTGAATTCCCACATGTTGTGGGAGGGAGCCGATGGGAGGTAATTGAATCATAGGGGCAAGTCTTTCCCATGCTGTTCTCAAGATAGTGAATAAGTCTCATGAGATCTGATGATTTTAAAAACAGAAGTTCCCCTGCACAAGCTCTCTTTTTTTTTTGACTGCTGCCATCCATGTAAGATGTGACTTGCTCCTCCTTGCCTTCTGCCATGATTGTGAGGCTTCCCCAGCCACCTGGAACTGTAAGTCCGATTAAACCTCTTTCTTTTGTAAATTACCCAGTCTTGGGTATATCTTTATCAGCAGCGTGAAAATGGATTAATACACACACATGTGTAATGGGTAATATATTGTAATTTCAAATATTTTTATTCCTCTTTTCCCAACTCTTCTGTTGAGTCAGGTGCTCAAGTCTCTCACCTGGATGGCTCCAGTAGCCTTTTCACTGCTCACCCAGCCTCCAACCTGAACCCCATTCCTATCTGTCTGCTACCATGCAGTGAGAATTACCATTCTAAAATGTATACTTGATCAAGATCAAATCATGCCCTTCTATTACTCTCCCTCATTTCATAGTCAAATCCTAACGCTCCAGGCCTACTCACAAAACCATTCAGCTCTCAGCTTATCTATGTCTGAAGCCTTGCTTCTCCCAACTCCTTTCAAATTAAGGAGCCCTAGGTTCCAGTCCTTTTATGAGTTACTATGTGTAAGAATGCTTAGAATAGGGTCTGGCATGTGATAAATACTATAGAGGTGTTAGCCAGTGTATTTCTAGTTTTATTACTATTATTATTACTATTAATGTCATTATCAGCCCTCTCATTGAACTACTTGGGTTTCCCAGCAAGCATCATGTTCTCATCATCTGTGTATTTATATCTGCCTGTCTTTCTTCAGGTTAACTCTAACTCTCTTGAGAAACCTAGCTCAGATGTCATTTCCTCTGGAAAGACTTCCTTGACCTCATCCAGCTGAAGGAGGTATTTCTTATAGTCCTCTGTGTTTTCTTCATTGTCACATTTACCATATCATATCATAAATTTTATATATTTTTCCTGATCCCCACTCCTCAACAAGGCTTATGTTTTTTCCTGTTTAATCATAATATATAGTACAGTACCCTGCACACAATGCATTCTCAGTAGATGTTAGTTAATAGGTCACTTATATAGCTGAGGCAAAATGAGCAGCCACAAGTGCTTTCTTTTTGAGGTGTTTTATTTCGGGATTTTAAGTACCATATAGGCCGGGTGTGGTGGCTCTTGCCTGTAATCCCAGCACTTTGCGAGGCTGAGGCAGGAGGATGGCTTGAGGCCAGGAGGTCAAGACCAGCCTGGGCAACAAAGCAAGACTCTGTCTTTACAAAAAATAAAAAACATAGCCAGGCATGGTGGCATGTGCTTGTGGTTCGCAGCTGCTTGGGAGGATAATGAGGGCGAATTGCTTGAACCTAGGAGGTTGAGGCTGCAGTGAGCCATGTTCGTGCCACTAAACTCCAGCATGGGTGACAGAGTGAGATTCTGACTTAAAAACAATAATAATAAAATAAATAGCATATAAATAGCCTTCATTCTCTGTTCTTTTTTTGAAAACATTAATTATGGATAAACTGATTATTTATTATTCTAAATTTTTGGCCACTGTCTTTTACACTAGTTAATAAGCAAAAGTAATAAATGTCCCAGCTCTGATCCAGTGGCTTCCTGAATATAGGGGCAGGCAGGCTGGGTGGCTTGGGGAGGGACTAAAACAGAGTGGCACTAAAAAATCTCAGTGGAGCCATTCCAGTTGATTAGGCTCTGACAGTGAGGCAGAGCTACATGTGCAGTAGAGGAGAGAACTTGCATTTTCAGGACTACAGTACACACACACACACAGAAGCATACTCACGCAACCACACTCACTCGTTTATGCACTCACATATGCAGAAACATACTCACATCTACACATTCATACACACACATGGAAACACACTCACATCTGCACACTAACTCATACATGCACCAAAAAACACACAGAGAAACATATTCACATTCACTCACTCATACATGCACACACACACAGAGAAAGATATGTAAACATACTTATAAATGCACACACACAGAAACACACTTACATATACACACCCACTCATATATGCACACACAAACACACACACAGGAAAACATACTCACATATACACACTCACTCATGTATGCACACACAGAGAAATATACATATACACACTCGTACATGCACACACAAAGAAACACACATAAACATTCACTCATACATGTACATACATACACACAGAGAAACATACTCATACATGCACACAAAAACTCACACAGAGAAACATATATGTACACATTCATACATGCACACGCACACATACACACACACATTCACATCGTACTTAAAAAGTGTTTGTCCAGTTTCTGCTTTCCAAAATCCATTTCAAAAATATTTCTTGAGCCTATTCTGTTGTGTACTAGCCACTGGATTAAGAACCAGTAGTAAAAAAAAAAAATAAACCAAAGACCTATCCTCAGGGAGCTTGCCATCTTGTGGGGATATAAACTTCACATAAGTAGATAAATCTAGAGGTAACTGCTTTAAGCTCTTGATGATGAAGATGATGGTGATGATAAAATTGGTTGGTGCTCATTTTTGAATGCTTGCTAGGGACAGGCCCTGTACTAAGCACTTTATGTGAATTTTCTTATTACTATTCCTGATGATGACACGAGGTATATGTCACTAATCCTGGTTTTATAGATGGGGAAACTGAGGCTCAGAGAACTTATGTGACATTATGAAGTTTATCTGTGACCCAAAACCATGTCTATTCTCTTCAAAATTCAGGCTTAGAAGAGATGCAAGAGAAAGGAAAAGGGAAAGAAAAAAAAGAATGCAGAGGAGGGGATTAGGAGAAAAAACGAGGGCATCTTTTTTTTCATAAGGTTAGCAAGTTAGGAAATATTAGGAAATCAGAGCTGCCCTTAAATCCTATTGGTAAAGGTATATCCGGAGTATCTGTGACAATGAGCGTTGTCAGGACAAACATGGGGGGCAGGAGGAAAAACGCTGCTATCCAAGAACCCAGCCATGTGGAGAGGAGGCTTGGCTTGGCCATGTGGAGATGCCAGTGTTGCCATGCCAACAGCGATAGCACATAGGGAGATATGCACAGATATTGGCAATGGGGGTGGTTGCTGGGGCTGGCAAAAGAGTTAACACTGTAGTCAAAAGCATCTCTTAGAAACCACACCCACCCTGGGTAGGTTTTTTCTTACAAAAATATCATTAAGATCTTGGATTTCATAGCAGCTCTGTTTTTATTTTTCAGATGTAGAAACTCATAGAGTCCAGAGACTTGTCCATGGTCTGTCAATGAGTTAGTAGCAGAAAAAGGACCAGGAGCATGGGTTACCTCCATTGTGTTCTTTTCCTCTTCCTTCAGCGGGGGAGAGTTTCTCTGTTCTGTCCTGGCCTAGCACAGCCAAGACTCTCGATGACTCCCTGTGGCTCTGCCCACAGTTTCTCTCCCCAGCTTCCTCTGTTTATGGCTTTTTTGCTATGCCCGCCTGCTGGCCCCAAGAGCAGAGGCCATCAGAGAGCCTGCTGGTCACACCTGCCCAGGTTGTACCTTAGAGGTAGTGTATTGAGCTTCTGTCCCAGTGGTACTCTTGGAATGGGCCTCTGGCCAAAGCAAATGCCAGCCCTGCACTACAGGGGGACTGGCCTTCAGGGCTCTGACTAATGGGCCCTGGACATCCTCCCTCTTTCTCTGTCCATCTTCTACTTTCTTGGCAGACCAGGAAGTCCCTGGTGAGAGGATCCAGCCTTGAGCCAGTGATGCTTTGCTAGGACAATATGTTTGGAAATGATAAATCCCTTAAAAATGTATGATGGTCAAAAGTATGGACCTCAAACTATAGACTACCATGTTGTAGGGGAAGGTACTTTCCTAGACACTAAAAAAATGAATAAAATTAACTTTGCCCTTACGTTTAGAAAATAAATCTTCTATAATATATTTTAATGCAGATGATCCCTGACTTACATTGGTTCCACTTAAGATTTTTCAAGTTTATAATACTGTAGAAGTGACACACATTCAGTAGAAACTGACAAACATTCAGTAGAAACTGAGAATTTTGAAGTTTGGTTTTTTCCTAGGCTAGTAATATGTAGTAGGAGACTCTCTTGCGATGCTGGGCAGATGCAGTGAGCCCCAGCTCCCAGTCAGCCACGTGATTATGAGGGTTAACAATGAACACTCTGCAGTGTACTGTATTGCCAGATGACTTTGCCCCACTGTGGGCTAATGTAAGTGTTCTGAGCACATTTAAGGTAGGCTAGGCTGAACTATGATGTTCAGTAGGTTAGCTATATTAAATGCATTTTTTCCACTTACAAGATTTTCAAATTATGATAGATTTATCAGGACATAACCCCACTGTAAGTTTAAGAGCATGTATACTTCATCTATACTCTTTCATTTTGATTTCCTTTCACAATTAATTATAAAGCCAGTTGGATTAAATGCAGTTAAAGCCAGAAGTAATAAAACAATAATCAGAACCTAAATACAACCAGCTACCATTTATTGAGGGCTTGGTATATGACAGATATGTTATTTAAAATTTTTCATTACAGATCTAGAATAAACACATTATTCTAATTTTGCAGATAAAAAAATCAAGTCATTAACAGGTTATATAATTCACCCCAAATCATGCAATTAGTAAAAGGCAATATAGAGACTGAAACCTATATCATCTAACTTCTGAGCCTGCTCTTCTCCACGTTAATTTACAGTAGCAGTTTTCAAATTTAGGGTGCATCAGAATCACCTGGAAGGCTTGGTCACACACAAATTGCTGGACCCACACCCAGAGTTTCTGATTCAGTAGGTTGGGAGCGGGGCTGGTGAATTTGCATTTTGGAGAAGTTCCCAGGTACTGCTGGTGCTGCTGGTGAAGGAACACCTCTTTGAGAGCCACTGCCTTATAAATTCTTTAAATAACACCTTTCATTATTATGTAATTTAATCCTCACATAACATAGGTGAAATGAATTATTTGAATCCCCATTAAACAGAAGAGGAAAAAGTAGTTTGTCTAAGATCAGCCAACTAGTATGTGATGAAATGCAAATTCAAAGCAGCATGCATTTAGGGTCTGCACACGTATTGAAATATTACACTGGAGTGATTTCCATCTTTTCCTTGATTGTATTAAGCTTATCCTATCTCTGCTTTTGCTACACATAGCAGCACTTGCATTTTGCCATTTTCAATTTACAATTGTGAGACAGGAAGGTCAAAAGGCAATCACTTGTATAAACAAACTGTGATATTTAGGGATAATGGCAGGGCTGCCCACTCTGAACTGTTGGCTGGCAAGCAGTGCCACTAGGTGGTAGCTAAAAATGTCGAATGATCAGCAAATGCACAGAAGTCCAAATTCAGTTTTTTATACTGTTGAGTAAAAGTTAAGAAATGGTAGTAGAAGACTACTTCTGTTGGCTTTTGAGTCTAGATCCATCTGAGACCTAGGCATCAGCCAACTACCACTCTCTGTATGTGAGTTATTTTATGACCACATTCACAAGGCTAGCATTCACAGTTTGCACAGATAAAGTCCAGGCTGACATCTGTCTGCAACTACAGACACACCTCTCCTGTTGCATCACACTTAGTGAGAGAAAAGAAAAATGAGAAAAGGCATTAACAATTGGTAAGTACTTGTACTTGCTGTTGATCAGGAACTCCAGGTTAGTTGGTTGAAAACGGTTAAGCAACAGCATTTTTCTTTTTCTTGTTTTTCTTTTTAGCCATACGGCAGAAGGGAAGTTGTTTTGAGGTGATTTATTTTTATTTTGTTGGTGAGGAAAAGAGTAGAGAGAGCTTTACATTTTAGTTAGGCTTTAGTCTCTCAGGATTGGATTAAATGAGATCAAATGAGATCACACTTGGTAAACTGTAAAGTGTAAAGCCAGAGGGGGAGATTATGATGATGAAACACAATGGAGTAAAATGGTCAATTTTCTAGCTTTGAAGACACACAAATTGAAGTTTAAATGCCAGTTATGCTAATAGTGGTGTAATTTTGTAATGTAAATTAATCTCTTTGAGCCTTCATTTTTCAAACTGCAAAATGGAAATTATAATCCTATTTCATGAATGTAATTGTGGGGTTAAATGAGGGACTAAAATATGGTCAAGAAGAAATTGTAATCAGATATTATTTCTGGGTAATATCAGATTGGAATTTTTTTAAGTCAAAATGTACAGAAAACAATCAGAAATATGATGTATAGACCAAAATGTTTAAAGTTGCATAACAATTAGCTGACCCATTCTCATTTTGCATAAAAATAATATGTGAAAATCATGAATAAGGAAATTTATTTTTGGCAAAAATCTGGACTTAGTAAAAGTTGTAAACAATTTATAAAATAAGAAGTGATCTGATGCTAAGTATGGCTATAAACCATCAGGAAGATTTTAAGATAGGCCTGCTTAGTCAGACAAAGGGTTTCTCAGTATCTAAAGGGCAGGTTCTCAACAACAGTATAGCACACAAAACAGGGCTTAAGTAGAGAGGAATGCTAAAAAAATACTATCTGTGGCTTCTGTAAAGTGAACTGTACTATAATTTGATACATAGAAAGTTCATAAAGCTTTTTAGAGAGCTGTATCAACAATGGACCGCCAACTTGAACTAAAAGGAACTGAGATGTTTTAGGTTTGTGAAAGTTCTCTAAGCCTTCAACATCCTATAGACAGGAAATAGGCTAAATATTTTACCTCATTGTAAACAAGGTTTATTTGTTATGAAATAGTACAGATATCTCAGACAGTAAAATCAAGAGGCCCAAGGACACAGTTAAGAACTGAAGAGTAAAACAAACTGTGGAAGCACTCCCCAGGAGAAGATCTGTCAGATCCCTCCTAATTTAGGACAGGTAATATTTCTTTCATTAGAACATTATCTGTCCCTAAATTAAAGGGAACCTGACAATATTTATCCAGAATCATGACAGCAATGGCACTCCCATTTCTCATCCTTTTAAGTGGCATTGTCTTTTGTGGTTAGCTGGTCTCTATTTCACCATTGTATGTTGGGTCGATAGAGGAAGTTATTATCTTTTTAGGTCACAGGTTTTTGGGTAAAAAGGAGCAATATACAAGAAGATGTACCTGAAAAGCCTCACTCATACATGAACCTAATTTAAATAATAACATCCTAGGATCTGAGTCTGATACCTTAGTGGCATTTGTCAGTGGATTTTACAAAATCTTCAACAGAGAGCAAATAGAGAAGTTAAAATATTTCTGAATGGAGAGGATCTCCTATGGCCTCTTCTTGACGGTGCTGTGGAAGTAGATCTTGGGTGTCTTTGTATCTTGCTATAGTGACACCTCCAGTATTGAGATCTCTCGGTACTGTCTTTCCATTTAGTAGAAGTTCCTAGATGATGGGGAGTCTGCCACATTGAGCTCCTAAGGGTTTCCTTCCAGCAATTTTTAGAGCATTGCATTTCTAATTTGTGTCATGTGCTTCCCTGCTTCCTGAAATAGCAGAGTCAGAACATCAGTTTTGGGCCCTGGCTTCTCCAAGCCTTGCTCATATTTTTTTCCTTCTCCTAGAACATGCAGTCCATATTATTTACACTTATGAAAATCTTTCCCACCCACAAGAAGCTGCTGAAATATTACTTCTTTCATGGAGATTTTCTTGATTCTTTCTCCTGAACTAATAATAATTACATATAATTATCATAATAATAGCTATCATCTATTGAGCAGCTACCATGCACTAATCACTTTACCTACATTGTATAATTTAATTTTTACAACAGTCACATCAGTGCTATCCTCTTACTATTTGATCCACACATAAATTAGAAATTGTAGGATTTTACAAATGAGGAAACAGGTTCAAAGAGGTTTAGTGAACCCCAAATGTCATAAACCAAATGGCATCTGTAAGTAAAAGAAGAATGGTTCACAAACTATGTTGCTTCCAAATCAGACCTTTCTATTCTACACATACAAATCCAGCCATAACTGGGAAATGATGATATTTCTTTTCCTATGATGCTATACATTGTGAGGACTTACGGAGTTATTCTTTGGAATGAGACTGACTAGGCTAAATGCTGGGTCTTTCTCTTCCCAGCTGTTAGATCTTGGCTAAATCACTCAGTATTCCCACACTTCAGTCCTTCCCTATAAAGTAGGGATAAGAGTAAGAGCTAGCTATAGAGCCCTGGTGAATAGTAAATGTATTAACTTATGCAAAGAGCTTAAAAAGTGACTGGCACATAGTAAGAACTCGGTAAATGTTAGCTATTATTGTCTTATTCTTTTCCCTTCCCCATTTATTCTCTCCCCGTCTCTCTCTTCTCTCCTTGTGTTTTGAGTTTTTTTTTTTAAATAACAATTTGGGCTCAACTGATCAAGCTGCAAAGTAAATAAATAGCAGGTGCCTGCAGAAAACAGATGGAATTCACTATGGGCTTCTTTTTGTGTTAGCTTTGGATAAGTTTACTGTTTGCATAACTTGTTCTCTCCCTTCTCCCAAACAGCTCTGTATGGGTCTCTGTATTTGTTATTTGATTCATGAATTCTTCCCACTTTTGTTTCTGGCAAATATTCTACCTCATCTTTCCTCTCAATATTAATAACAATTGTCATTATAGAGTCTTTAATATTTGTCAGGCATTCTGCATACTTTCTTTTATATAGTACGCACAAGATTCCTAAGACAAAGGTATTCTTAGTTTTTTTATAGGTAAAGAAATTGAGATTCTGTAAAAATAATCTCTTAAATTTCTATTATAGAAATAATCTCTTAAAATTTTGCTTGTGGTTATCCAATATTTATGTGACATTTTCAAAAGGTAAGTCAGGCTTTAAATTGCTTATACAATTTTTTAGCTTCAGATACTCTCTCTTGTAGAAAATGGAGAAAATGACACTGTTCACTGAATGTCTGTGTTTAAAAAAAAACTGTAAGTCAAAAGATAACTCTGTGGCTGGGTGCAGTAGTACATGCTTGAAATCTCAGTGTTTTGGGAGGCTGAGGCAGAAGGATTGCTTGAGCCTAGGAGTTCAAGAACAGCCTGGGCAACATAGTGAGACCCCAACCTTACCAAAAATAAAATAAATTAGGTAGGCATGGTGGTGCATGCCTGTAGTCCTAGCTATTCAGGAGGCTGAGGTGAGAGGATCCCCTGAGCCCAGGAGTCTGAAGCTGCAGTGAGTTATTATGAAGCCACTGCACTCCAGCCTGGGCGACAGAGTGAGACTCTGCTCCTAATCCCCAATAAAGGATAACTTTGTGTTAGGAAATAGAATCCAGGCTAAATAATATTTGATTTATTAAATATTAAATATGATTTATTAAATGTATTGTCATCAGTAAGAGAAAAGAGTTGAGCCATTTGTGGTGAGATGTCTTCTCTTTTGCCTGGCCTTAGGAGGAAATAAACCAGTGAGTGATTAGCCTTTCACAATATGAGCACCTTGGTCCAATGTGGAGCTGCTTCTGCTCTGTTGACAGATCCAGGGGTGAAGTTACTATAACATAAAAGGTCTGAGCTCTGGTCCTACACTGGGGCTATTACATCTGGCATTGTGTTTATCTTGCCATCATGATAGTTGAGACCCAACCCTACTCTTCTAGCTCTTCTAAAAAGAGAAATGCTGAGACATTGTTTAATTTTTCCACAGAACAACTTGTTTTCATTTCTTATAGGTTCACGTTTTCCTCATAACTATAGTTTGTATTTGGCTTTGAATGTTGTGTTTATAACTCCAGGCCTGACTATAAATGTATCAGTTAGCTTTTATCCAGGGTATGCTGTAAAACAGACAACTCCACAATTTTATCTAAACATGTTTAATTCTCACTCACATTTTTTGAGTGTGGTGGCTCAACTTCAGCTTTGTTAGACTTAGCTGGGTCCCATGTGTCTTCTCATTCTGGAGCCCAGGCTGAAAGAAAAACCACTGTCTAAAATGTGCTGTTCTCATGAGGATGACCTAGTGCAAGAGGACCCAGCCAAGATCTACAGTCAAATTGAAAGCTTCTGTCCCTGTGGGAGTATTATGATTGCTCACATCCTATTTGTCATGTGATGTCACATGACAAAGCCTCAAGGCAATGGGGCAGAGAAGCATGGTAAGGGTGAGAAGGAAACAAATAATTGGGAACAGACAATAGAAACTACAATAAAGGACATTGGATTTGCCTTTTCGGGAGCCAAGCATCATCTGACTATATCTTAGTGAAAATGCTTGATAGAAATGTCCAATTCATTTAGGATAGCCCAAATTATGGCTAGGTTTTCCTAAATCAAGTGTCCATGCTTGAGCCAATCACTTCGGACTAGGAAAAGGGGATACAACTGCATTATATAAAGGGAAAAACAAGAGCTCTGGCCAGGGGCAATTTATTTAAGAAGGGTGAATGGGAAAGGCATTCAGATTCACTGCGCTTCTGATAATTAAATGTTGGCCTATTGCTTTTTTTCTCCTTATTATTAACTTCATCACTCTCATCAGCTTGATTTTTACTGCCTCTTGACCATTGCCACAGTCATTATCATGATCACCTTTATTATCTCAGTGGCTTTACCACCTTCATCACCTTTACTCTTCTTCACCACTTTATCATCTTCATCATCTGTACCAAAATTACTATCACTTTTATCTTCAGCATTGAGGTGTACATTGTAATGTTCTCTCAAACATCCACTTTTCCTCTTACCCACTGTGCAGTATCCCTACAGTTTGAGAAAAAAATCAAATTGTCCCTCAGCTCAAGGAGCTGGTAAGGATTTCGGTAATTCAACAAAGATAGTATTATCACTCTTACAGTTATTGGTTCAGGGATGAATAAGTTATCTAAGGTGGTTCAATGAGAGTCAGACTCAGAACTCTGAGAATCAGTTGGAATAAACAAATAGCTTGTCTCTCACTGGATATATATCAGGCGGTAGATAGCCCAGATTGTTACTGTAAACCACTTTATGGCTATGCAGGAAATCAACCTGAGAATGAAGCTCATGCTGAAGTAGAAAGAGGATACAGAAAAACACCAGGTGTTTTTCTTGCTGACACTGTTGCTTTACTAGATCAATCCTCACCTGAAGCTTGTGTTACCTGTCACCATTTTACACATTTGATGCAATAAATATCCTTCATTGTTTAAGCCTGATTTTTTTTCACTAAAAATTTATACAAAGTTATATATCAAACTAATGAACTTTACTATAATAACTCTATTAATGTCAACATCAGTATGTCTTAACTGCAAACATTTCTGTGACTAGCTCCACGTCTGCATCCTCATCTCTGGAAGTTCTTAATTGGAGAACAAATTGCAGATGTGAAGGAAAGAAGTACAGGAACATGGTGATGAGATACTTGTTTTCTCTTTATATCTTTGGCATTTTTTAAAAAAGCATCCTTTCTATTTTTCCTGCATCTTTTATATCATTAAACATGTTGGTTCTAAAAGCAATCTCGGGCATGCATAACACATTTTATGTTCCAAAACTAATAAAGTGATTTGATATCTAAAAAGAGTTCTTAAAAACACCCAGTACTGAACATAAAGGCAGCAAGATTGGGAAGGAAATGTGTTGAATCAGCCTCCTTTGTGACTAGGAATCCAGAAGCTTGCCTTCTAAGATGCCAATCCCAAACTTGCATGTGACCTTATATATGTTCTTTTGCCTCTCTGGACATAAATGCCTTCAGCTCTAAACTGATATGGGTAGTTCAGGGAGTCTTAGATTCTATGGCAGATTTCAAGTTTTCTAAGGAGTGGGGAAATGTACTTGAATAGATTTGGCATTTTTGGACAAGCCATACATCTAAGTTCAGTAGCTTATACATTTATAAAATAGAGGTAGAATCATAGACTGTTAGAAACAGAAAGGACTATTAAGATCACCTAAGCCAATTCCCTGACATTTGAGATAAGAAAACCAGGATCCAGAGAGGTTAAGTGACTTGCCCAAGGGCACACGGGTAATTTAATGAACATGCCCTTTGCCTAATACTTAGGATCTTAATTTTATCTGGTTTTATTTATTTATTTATTTTTGGAGATAATCCTGCCCTGTAATCTCTTCTAAAATTGAGAATTCAATATCAGCACTAGGTTTGTTTTTCTTCTTTACAAGACCATGAGCTCTTCCAAAATGGGACTGTTACTTAGTCATCTCTGCAGCACCTAACAACCTGACAATAAATTTCAGTTGAATGAATAAACAACAGTGAGAAGTGAATTCTAACCATTTCCCTGCCTCTGTAATGGTTTCCCTAAACTAGTCCAAATGATATTTCACCCTTAAAAAATCAAGTTGGAAGCACATTACAAATCTGAACCTGGGCCAGGCGCGGTGGCTCACGCCTGTTATCCTAGCACTTTGGGAGGCCAAGGTGGGTGGATTGCCTGAGCTCAGGAGTTCGAAATCAGCCTGGCTAACACGGTGAAACCCTGTCTCTACTAAAAATACAAAAAAACTTAGCCAGGCATGGGGGCGTGCCCCTGTAATCCCAGCTAATCAGGGGGCTGAGGCAGGAGAATTGCTTGAACCCGAGAGGTAGAGGTTGCAGTAAGCCAAGATTGTGCCGCTGCTCTCCAGCCTGGGCGACAGAGCGAGATTCTGCCTACACACACACACACACACACACACACACACACACACACACACACACACACAAATTTGAACCTGTATCCCAACTACCTACAAGATGCTGAGGAAAGACTAAGGAAGGGTCTCCTGAAATTACCTGCATTTCACACTACTGGTCTACTTCACCTGTCTCAAATTTGCCTTCCATTTGTGATGCATCTGTCAGGTAATCATTGATAATGGACATAAATGGTTATTTGAAAATTTCACTGTGAAAGTGTCAGGTCTGCTAGCTAATTATCTGTCAATTAGCCTTTCTTGTCCAAAGCCAGGAGGGGCAGTCCTCCATGGCCTTTGCTGACCTCCAGAAGCTGAGAGTCCAAGAGAGTTTTTTTTTTTTTTTTTTTTTTTTTTGCAATTATAAGGAGCAATGCAAATGGGAACCATCTGAAAGTGGCTCCCTGGAGTCCTTCATGTGTACTGAGATCCGTGATGGCAGGCCTCAGCTTATTCTCCTTTGAGTAACCTGTAGGGGGGTCACAGTAAGATCACATGATCACACATCAAATCCCACATCCTCCTTGAAGGAAAGGTGGAAAAGTCTGTATTCTGAGAAATCATACTTTAGGATCTCTGCAGGGAGTTAGAGATCCATCTCTTGCTCAGACGTCTCTCTGGAAGTCAAAGCTAACAGAACAAGCTGAATATGGATGAGCTTGCATCTTTGTGACCTTCTTCACCTCTTCTCCTTCTTCAGAAGCAAGCAAGGTCATGGCTGAAGAACCTGATTCTGACATAATGCCCTTTCCAGAAGCAAGGATTTCAGGAAAGCAGCTGTAGAATGGTGGACTGAGAGTCAGGAGACCTGGGTTCAGGCCTTAATCTTGCCACTTTCTGGTTGTACCACTTTCTGGTTGTGCCACTTTGTCATTCAGCATCTATTTATTCATCTCTTAGGTGAGGACAATATCTACCTCATAGAGTGGGTGCAACTGTTGTAAATATATAGATAAGATGTTTGGCTCACAGTCAGTGCTCAACAAATGGCATCTGCCATTGTTATTAGTTTAATAGCCACCAGGTTGGGAAAAAGTATTGCTAAAGACTATTAAACTCAAGAACAGTGTTTGTTTAACTTTAGGAGGTACAGAAATATCATTTGGGGAGCTTATTAAAACATAGATCCTTGACATTAGCCCCTGAGAGTCAGATTCAGAAGGATTGAATCTAAGAATTTACATTTTTACCATGAGCTCCAGGTGATTCTAATACAGGTGGTTCATGATCCATACTTTGAGTAAAATGTCATGAAGAGGAAAATGAGCAGCAAGCAGGCTTAGCAAATATTTGTTGATTCGTTGATTGGCTCATCGGGGACTCTAGCTCTCACCTGTACAGGAAACTGAATGTAGGCATCATTTTATCCCTGAAGTAATCAAGAAATCTCTCCTTGTGTCTAATTGCATGCTTGCCTACAATAACCAAAGCCCATACCTCTTAAGCAAAAATGAGAAAAACTGATCAGCAGTTCCATCATAATACTCTAGATATTTGCAGAAAGCAGTCTTGTCACCCTGTAGTCATTTCATGTCTTCACAAGACAACTCTTTTATTTGCTATAATTTCAAGTCATTACTGAGACTCAATAAATATGCCCTAATGAATAAAATACTGATAATACAAGAATAAAGATCAAAGCATATCAAAATTCAGTGGGACCTTGGAGATTTTTAACATTAATCCCTCATCTGACTGATGAGCAAATTAAGACCTACAGGTCATATCACACATTGGTGATAGGATAGAGATGTAGACCCTTGATTACTTGCATTCCATTTCAGTACTCTTGCTGCTGCATGGCATAGATTCTAATTCATTTTATGTCTGTAGGACACCTAACCTTTTCTGGGCACTGTGCTGGGCACTGTAGGGAGTGGAGAGGTGTACTGACCTAAAGGCATTAAAGCAGCTCACTGTTTGGTAGCGGAAATATAATGTTAACAGGCAGTTGAAAAACAACATAGTAATTGTGAAGCAGGAATTATTGTACCTATTTTACCGAGGTGAAAATTGAGGCCCAGAGTGGGTAAGTAACTTGACTGTGACCAATAGTATCTAAAGGAGCCTAAATTTGGAATATGGTCTTTTAATTCATTACATCAACAAATATTTATTGCAGGCTTACTATGTGCTCATCCTATGCTAGATATTTGCTGTGTACCATAAATAGGAGAATATTCACCATGCCAGCGTAATAGTCAAGCATGGAGCATAGTAAGTCAAGCTCCAGATTTCCTGGTCTACAAGGTGTCTCTTCTTTCTCCCTCTTTAAGCTAATGACCAACTGGCTTGTAGTCATACTGGGAATATCAAAAGGAAAAGAACAGTAGCTTCAGAGAACTCAGGCAAAGAAAAAGATTATGTCTTGCCTAACAAAGGTGAAGACATAATGCATGGAAAGTCAAATTGGTCTTTTCTTACTCTTGGGAAGCCCAGCTGCCAAGGCCCCTAAAGATAGATGGCCCGTCTTGAGGCTGTAATTAAATTTGCCACAATTATGTTCCCAGCAGTCAAATGCTGGGGTGTCGAAAGACAGAAACACATCCTAGTTGCCCCCACCTGCGTTAAATGTTGAATTATCTTACAGTTGATAGTTCTCTAGATTCCCCGACCTTTAAATGCTGAACACTATATGCCTGTTGAATTTTAATCAATTTATTTTTTTCAACTGTAAATGTCAGACTTCTGTACGGAATTACTTGGTGCTGCTGATGTGACAAAGACTCAAAGTTCAGTATCTGAAGTCATGGAATAGCAGAGGACCCAGCATGCATCAGGAGACATAATTTGTAGACAGCCAAATACAGAGGGAAAAGAACATTTATTTTTCATTAGCTTTCATTTAGAGGTCTAAAGTTCTGATTTTGTCCTCTTATCATCCACATTGAATACAACTATTCAGAACTGCTAATGACTTTGACCATGTCACTAAGAAAGCTGAAGAGGGAAGATGATTTATTTATAAAGTGCCTACTATATGTCTGAAAATGCAACCTCATTACATCTTCACACAAACTCTGTGGTATCATTAAAAAATTATGATTCCCATTTTATAAAAGAGGAAAGTGAGGCTCCAAGAAATTTGCTAATTACTGCAGAACTTCTAAACAGTAAAGCTGAGTTTAAATTGTGGAATTGCTGACTTCAAAACTCATGCTCTTGCCATTACATCAACTGCCCAGACCTGACTCAATATTCTTCTACCCTTTTCTTAGAATAAGAGTCAGTCTTCGAATGTGTTTAAGATGCATACAACTGGCTGGTTCTGACTACCTAATTTCCAATTATTCTTGACTTAACTGACTCAGAGACTTCACATTTTTGTATTTTGCTATTCATGGAAAGAGTTTTTATAGTATTTGTCTTCTGCTATATATATATATTTATATATGTATATATATGTATATGTGTATATATATGTATATATGTATATGTGTATATATATTTATATATGTATATATGTATATGTGTATATATATAATGCCTAGCATGTGTGTGTGTGTATATATATATGTGTATATATATATATATGTATATATATATATAATGCCTAGTATGTTCTCTACCATACAGCCACAAGTCTGATCACCAGGAAAGGTGTCTGGCACATAGTCAGTGTTTAATAAATATTAGTTGACTTTTTCTTTTTGCATTTCTCTCTCTCTTGCTTGCTTTCACTCTCTCTCCCTCCTTTTTCCCCCTCTCTCCCTCTTTTTTTTCCCTCTCTTCTCTTGCTTTGTGTCCTAGCATTTATCTCTAGGTTAAGAAAATGCCAAACCAATCTTAGAAATTCATAGATTTCCCCCTTCAGTGAGCCATTATCATCTCCCTGGCTGGCTAAATAAAGCTAACATTTAAGTCACAGAACAGGCCCCAAGGTAATAATGGAGAAGTAGGACTTCACTAATCATCCACTAGTTACACTTCTTAAGAAAGGCTGTTTGGCCAATAACCCCACACTCCTCCTATATGGCCACTTTTTGTCTACAGAACTATCTGCCCAGCAGGTTTAGCAGACAGTAAATTTTTAAGCAGGAGAAAACTTGTCCAGGGCTGTCACTGCATCCTGGCTTCATCTACCCTAAGAGGGAGGTGCTAAAGACTTGTTCAAGCAGCTAACAGCAGACAGGCTCAGTATCTTCAGTTGGCTTTTTAATCTACTGGTTTCCTGGAGGAAGACTCTGCAAATGATCCAATCTTTCTACTTTCGTTTGTTGCCACTTATTCCACATCTTCTGCTCAGAGGATAGTGAGCTCAAATACATGCAGTGGCTGAGCAGATAATATGAACGTGTACATCAGCTCCAGAGAATTAGTGAAGGGGACAACTATTTCTTAGCTTCAGCAAACTGTGCTCAAGGGGAAAACTGGCCCTGCACTTCCCTATCTTCCAACATTTCAACAGGATTCGGAAATATAGACATATATGTGAAATTTGCCAATCTTAAACATTATTCAAATGTTCTGAGATGAATGTGTGGCTGTGGAAACCTCTCTTAAGTCCTGCAATTGTCTGCAATCTGTGTTTTCTTATTCCTGCTCTTTTCTTTGTGCTGTTCCTGTGTGTAGAATGCTCGACCCTCTGGCTCCACCTACCCACACTCTAAGATGCTACCTCTAGGAAAGCTCTCCATGGCTGTAACTGACCTTTCTCTCCTTTGAGTTTCCTTGACATGTTTTATGGACTTGAATCGAATACAATACTATATAGACTTTGAGTTTCTTGGAGTTTACTCACATTTGCATTCCTCTTCTTCTCTTATCTTATATCTCTAGATATAGTACTCAATAAATGTCTCTTGAAAAAGAAGAATGAACAACTTTTTCATTCTTCACAAAAAGCTGTAATGAACAACAAGCAAACAAAAAGAAAGTGTGGTGTGATAGAGCATGAGCCTTGGAGACAAACTTTCATCTTTGGTTTCAAATTTTAAATTTTCCAGTTATCAATTATATGATCTTGGAAATACTACTTTTGTTGTCTGTGAAAGAAAGACAACATTCTCTATAATGCAAGGTTGTTGTGATGATTAAAGAAAATGAGATGCAGAGCTGGACAGATGTTTTCATTTCTCCTATTGCAGTGTTTCTCAGACATGTCTGATTATAAGAATCACTGAGCCATCTGTTATTAATCATCCTGATTCTAGGACCCACCCAATGCATATTGAATCAAAACCTCTAGAGGAATTGTCTAGAGATGTGTATTCTTATAATCAGGACAACTTGGAAAATAAAGCACACTCATTATTACTATTTCTGTATCTTCAATATCAGCTTTCTGAATTAAGGTATTTCAACCTGCTGAGGTTATCCTCACTGCTAATATCTATTTTTTTTTTAATGGAACAAGTTCTGTTTTTTTTCTGGGTCTGGCTATAAGTCTGTACCAGTAAAAACAGCCATTGGAGATTCATCAATGGGAGTCTTATTTTGGAAATTACTTATTCATTAAGATTCCATTAAAATGTTAGCTCCATAAGGGCTGGGATTTTGTCTGTTTGTTGCTACATCCCCAGAGCTTAGAACAGTGCTGAACACATAGGTATTTGGTAAATGTTCTTTAAATTAGGATCAGATAACTCATTTCACAGCACATGTGCTCCAAGAATAGCTCACATTTTGAATATCAAATTGTTTTTCCACCTCAACTCTTCCTCCCAAACACAACTGTGGTAGAACTGTGCAAAGGACACTTCAATACTCAGCTCAAAACCTGACTAGCTGAAACTCTACCAGGATGGCTTATGGTTCTATCACTGTCTTTTATCTTCTACTTAGTCACTTCCTAGAATGTCCAAGCACATGCCTTCATAACCTGTATCTAGGGATGAATAAAAAAGATGAAATACAAGTATTAATAAGGCCATTCACTGTGGCAGTCTGCCAGAAATATTTTTGATAAAAAAGTAAGGAATCCTGAATTTTTTTGTGAAAAATGGAAAGAAGTGGGAGAGATGACTCATTGCTAAACTGGTTTAAACAATAACAACAACTGTAAATTAGGACAATAAAATAACATAGCATTGACCATATATGTTGTCTTACACAGTCTAGGGGAGCAATATTATGATAATCCATGGATTAAATCAGGAGTTACCTGTAATTTGGCAATTTATCAAAAATAATTAAAGTAAAATGAGAATACCCTTTGTGAAATTAAGAGCTACCAGGTGGCCAAGACATGAGAAGCAATCAATAAACAGCAAGCTAATAAATGGGTTAATATATATAAAAAAACAACAAGAGCAACTGCTTCAGGATCAGAAAATACTGAGTATGTACCTCAATGAGATCATAGGGAAATATAATTTAAGATTTCCTAATCATTTGTAATAAAAGGACCTTTATTTCATTTTTCCAGTTTCAATATGGTTCTTTTGGTAGAATGGTCTTTTTTTCTGTTTGTTACTTATTCTATTTAAGAGTTACACACTGATGTCGTTGGTCATGTGGCTTTGATATATCTCCAAGTAGAACAGGTGGCTATGTGGCTTACTTTGGCCCATCATATTTTAGCAGGCATGCCATAAACAGAGGCTTGAAATATGCTTACTTGCTTTGCCTTGGCCTCTTGTACTTCTCTTTCCCTTCATTAGAAGAACATTCTCTGGGTAGCCCCTGGGCCCAGAATGAAACACCTCTTACGTGAACCTGAAACACAGTATGACGTAGAGGACTCCCTCTGCTAACTTTGTAGTCAACCAATAAACTAGTGAGAGATTCATGATTTTTCTGTAAACCACCAAGATTTTATGCAACATAATCACAGTAACACTTGACTACCATAGTCCCCATAAAACTGTTACTTTCGATGATGACTAGTATTGTTAAAAGTGAAGTTCATATCACGTGAATTGACTCAGCCCCTTGCATTCATGGAACCTGAATTGTAGAAAACAGTTTCATTTATAGTATCTCTGGTAAAACCTCACGTAGCTGTTTGTGACAGACTGGGCAGTATGTGTACAGAAACTAGTTGAAAACACTACATCTTAAGGACACTTGATATTACTTTGAAACAAATGGTAAATGGAAGTGGGGCCATATGGCATTATGCCTGATTATGGAAGAAATCTTTATTGCTTAGGAAAGAATAAATTAGCCTGCAGTGATTGAAAAAGCTCAAAATCTGAATAGTTTAACAAATCTCAGGTTTATTTTTCACTCGTGCAAAATCCAGGTGACCCTGCAAAGCAATTATCCTCCATGTGGTGACTCAGTGATCCAGGCTAGTGGAGGCTCCGCCGTCCTATAGCTGTGTCATCTGGAAGCACAGCCTACATGACCAATGTGGCAGGTAAAGGGAGTGCAAAAGGGTCTCATACAGACAATTGAATATTTCATTTCAGAAATAACCCACATCACTTCCCCTCACAGCTCATTGGTCAGAACTACACACATGCTCCTATCTAACTAATAACAAGACAGTAAAAAAGTATAATATTATCTTGTACTTGGAGGAGGAATAACTCCCTATGTGAGTAAACACTGGAAATGTCAACCACAAAGTCATATTGTCTATTTTATTAAATGGATAAGGTAATCAGTGAGTTGTCAATGTACAAACATTAATTGCTGTGTGGAAACCATGTGATAATCTTTAGCTGATTGATGACTGAACACAATTTCTTAAAAGTATCCTAGAGTATAACTAGTGACACATACACAGTCAATTTCTCTATTAACGTGAAAGAATATTCAGCAAGTGCTCGCTGGTACTCTGAGTAGTGGAAGCCTTCAAGAAATCACTTTCTATACCTCTGTCTGGGGTAATAAACCTGTCTAAAATAATTGGAAGCCCGCATAGAGAAGGGCACAACCTTTTGAGCCCTTTGGAGACCAGAACTGTGAAGGATATAAGGTAGAAGGATGGAGCATTTAAGTCTCTCCATAGACCTAAATGGCTTTGGGGCAGATAAAACATAACCAAATTGCTCTGTAGCCATTCACCCATTAGAAATTCTGTGCAACAGAGAACTGTGTTAAATTGAAATAAGACCCCATGTAGACATGCGATATTCCTAAGGGGGAAAAAAGAAACCAACTCAGCTCTAGAGGTCATCATCGGCAGGAGGGGGGTTGATCATGTGAATTTGTAGCCACGGCTCACAACATACGATCCAGGCAACATTTAGCTACTGTATAATGGTCTAGATTCTCCAATAAGACATCAATGCCCAAAGTCCTGAAATTGTAAACCGGGCAAAATAACCACAGGGATAATAAAACTATTTTATAGGCTTAGAAAATTAGAAAACGGTGTTTTGAAATGAGTCATGTTATACAATTTGTAGATCCATAGAGGAAGAAAAATTGGTAATAGGGAGTTAATAAGAAAGCTAGATGAAAACAGTGCTTCGTGTCTTGGGTATGATTTCATTTACAACTTCTCTATTGGGTGTAAAAAGTAAAATCTGTCTAGGAAGTAACATTGTCTAGACATGACCCCCAGAAGTGTCATTTTACTTTTGTTCTTCCTAGCAATTGGGTTAAATGTGTAACTACCCCAAGCATCCACACCTCCTGTACGTACCCTGCAGGACCACAGCTTCCATTTTCCCAGCTCAGTGCAGGGTCCTAGAGACCTGTTCATTGTGGCTTCTATAAAACTATCTGGTTTTGCTTAAAGGAACAGTGGGTGTCCTAGATGACATTGTTCTAGTGGTGAGAAAAGATTAGGTGATTCTAATATTGAGTTGAGAAACCATCGTATCCACTCAAATAAAGTAATACATGCTTCTGTTGTTACTCTTGGGAGGCAATTGCCTTCAAGGCTACGGGGTCCCTAACTATATTAGCATCACTATATTCCCTGAGGATAAATGGTATAACTCAGAAAGAGACTGCAGTGTTTGGGCCTCAAATTTTGCAGAGACTGCTAAAGTTTTCAAAGCTAGGAGTTTCTAGGAGTGTTATTCTTGAATATAACATTTTGAGGTTAATTAGAACTTGTTTCATTTGCAAGTCATCTACATCAAGTGAAAAATACATGAACCCAATGCTTTATATGCTATATGTATATTACACACAAATATATCACATGTACATGTGTGTATGTGTGTATGCATATGTGTGCATGTGTATGTATGTGTGTGTATTTGAGAGTGTGTGTGTATATATATATATATATGAATGAAAAAAATTACAACCAGTTGAAAACTTATGAATAGGGATCTCTAAGCTGCTGGAGTACAAACTCCCCATGCCTGGCCACTTAGACATTTCTGGGTTGATTGTTGTTATTTTAGTGGTCCTAAGCTGCCAGAAAACATCAGTTTTCTTCTTTAATTTACCATGGATTCTGGCCAAATAGAAGGATTTCTATGACTTGAAGAGTTGAAAAGTACTATACTTACCTTTGCTTCCAATTAGTAAGAAAAATTAAGTGCTAAAGTGTGTCAGATACTCTTGGAAAATCCTTCTCTGCAAGGTATTTTCATGGTCACAACCATTCCTTTATCCGTGGACAAAAACAGAGTTGATGTACTTTTACCTGGGGAACACAGACCATAAAATGTGAGTCATTCAAGTCTCAAGGGATAATTTATACATATCACAATAAAGGTAGGGGATAAATACTGAGAGATTCTGCCGTCTTTTTGTCTTACATCATGACATGATATATTTCACGCTTACTACTTTATCATCTTCCTATTAATTAAGAGGAGAAACCTGACCTACTTTGTAATATTTCCATTAGGGAAAAGAGGAAACCTAACTTATAGAGCCCCAGATAAAAAAGGAAAAGTAATACTTGAATAACTGGCTTGAATAACTGGATATGGCTACTGTCAGACATGTTGAGGAAGTAAAAAAGTGTAAAGCATGCACCCCAGAGGCGAACCAAAAAGCCAGAGCATATACATCCATATATGTGTATGTGTATGTATGTGTTATTGACTGTGTTTTCTTGAGTAACAAATAAAAACATTTTGTTAAAGAAACTATTTTGGTCGGGAGCGGTGGCTCACGCCTGTAATCCCAGCACTTTGGGAGGCCGAGGTGGGCGGATCACGAGGTCAGGAGATCGAGACCATCCTGGTTAACACGGTGAAACCCCGTCTCTACTAAAAATACAAAAAATTAGCCAGGCGCGGTGGCAGGCACCTGTAGTCCCAGCTACTCGGGAGGCTGAGGCAGGAGAATGGCATGAACCCAGGAGGCGGAGCTTGCAGTGAGCCGAAATCGCACCACTGCACTCCGGCCTGGGCGAAAGAGCGAAACTCTGTCTCAAAAAAAAAAAAAAAAAGAAAGAAAGAAACTATTTTGCCTTATGTGTGTTTCTTGGAGTTCGGCCACATTCACTCACTGCTCTTAAAGAGAACCCAGCACATCTTTGCTAATCCCTGAAATATCAACAGCCCCCTGGTGTTCATGGGGTTCTTGCAACTTTGCTTCTCACGTCTTCCTCTTATTGCTTTCATGTAAATTATCTATCTCATTCTCATCTTACTTACTTCTTGTAGGTTTTTCTTTCTTCCTATTATTAAATTATCTGGACCAGACATTTTTTTTTTCTTGAAGTAATATAACACTTACGAAGGGATTTGGGATCGTGAAGAAACTTAAGTCACAGCATGGCAAACTAAAATGAAATGTGCAATAAAATGTTTTAATTTGGGGGGGTGCATCACTTTCTCACTTTTTATTTCTGTCTTATGCTTTCTTCTCAGTGAGAAAGAGATGTGTAATTATCCATCTTCTTCAAACAATATAAATTCTGCATGAATTTAACATTTCAGGTAATCAAAGCCCCTTGGCCAATATACCACCATCTACATTTTCTCATTGTTTGTCTTGTCTTCAGGCTCAAAAGCCTCTGAGTGCTCTCCTAAGACCTGATCCCCAACAACGCGTGTCTGTGCACATGCATGTACACCTCCCCACACAAAATCTCCTTTCTCCTCACCTGATACCTGGTCCCCTTTATTTATTTTCTTGGGTTTACCCAGGAATCTCGATATCCTCAGTTTTTAAATGCAGAGTAGTTAAGTTCTCTTTTCATCTCACTCCAGCCAATCCACTTTATATTCCTAATCAAAGCAACAGTGGAATTAAAGGGTAAAGGCATTACTTTAAAGAGAAATAATCATGCTATTTTAGAAGCAGTTCCATGCAGTCAGTCCTGACTTTACAGAGTGGGAATAATCGACTGTGAGATTCCTGAGGGGAGGGAATGTTTTCGTTGAGTTCATTGCTATAACCCCAATTACTAGAACTTTGCCTGGCTCATAGTAAACATTCGATAAATCTTTGCTGAAAAAAATGCCAGTGTAAGGGGCTTATTCTTTGCACTTTAAAATAAAGGGCTAGAAGAATGCAAAGATTATATTGCAGAGACATTATATGGGATAGTAATGGAATTTGCAGTCTGTAATGGAGATATTTCTGGGGAAACTGAGCCTTCCTTGACCTTCTCAGAGACACTAGAGTGCTATTATCACTTGGCATATACTACTGCAATCTCCTGGTCTCTATCACTGTCCTTTAATAAAGTGGATCAGTACTTTTAACTTTTTATTACTTTGCCAGAGTGAAGGCAGCTACCACCTTCCTTGGCTCCCTCTTCAGGGTCTGTGCCTGCATTTTTCCCTTGTTCTTGAATATGCTTTTTCCTTCGCAACCATTCCCCTCTATATGGCCTGCACACACCTGAGCATACATACAGCATACACGTACACTCACACTCTGCCAAAGTCCTAGTCATTCTTAATACCTATTTTTTAATAGCTCAGCATCATTTCCTCACCAATATTTTCTTTGTCCCTGTCCTGACTAGGTAAGTCCTCCTATTTGATTATTCTTAGCAATTCACACTTCTCACTACCAGTAACTATGTATTTGTGATGTGATTTGAAAAATTCTCCTTCCCCCACCCCACCCATGAGTATAAGCCTACCATACTGCTAGGTGCTTAGTAGGATCTCAAAAATTATCCAGAGAATGAGCCAATATGAGACTCCTTGAAAGTGGTAACTGCTGTTATTCTGAGTGAAAATTATCTAGCACCAAAGCTGACATTAAAATTATGAATTAGACTGGTAGGCCAAGATGATAAAACAACAGCCAGGAACATGACAAAAACAACTCAAGAGCAAAACTTTTCACCATGCACCTCCTTTGCTAATCACAAGCACCATTTACATTTGAAAATGAGTTTGGCTGAGAACTATTGATTTTCTCTTTGCTCCACTTTGGGCTTTGCGCTGAGAGTCCTGCTCTCAAGAGGTAGAACACCCTATCCTGATTTCACTTGGCCTTGGTTTGCCTCCAGCTCAAACGTGCCTGCCTAGCTGTCAGATTTAATTAAAGGGCAAGACAATAGCAACAACAACAGAAGCAGGATAGTTGAGAGACCTTGCTTGTTCTGTAAAACAGAATGTTAAGAGGGGATTTTCAAAAGGCAAATGAGCATAGCAAAGATCCTCAGAGCAATCACTCTGCTTGACATTGGTGGAGGAGGCTCCAGGTCTTTGGTCCCCCACCTAGGATGCAGGCAGGGCAGAAGGAAAGACAGATCTGTCCCTGTGGCCTGAGAGGGTATGGCCAGAGGTCCTGGAAGACAATCAGAGACAGGCCTCTGCACAGTCAGACCCAATCTGAAATGGCAGCTGAAGGTGATAATCAGAAGGTGGTTGTGCCTATAGCCCCCTGCTCAAGTGCTTGGCCCTGGGTGAACGACATCTTGTCATTGAGGGCAGCTGACGGTGGATTATAAGAGCAGTAGAAGGTGACAGTGGAGGTGAACAAAAGTGAGGTTCCCATAACAGGTAGAAGATAGGCAATGATCCTGATGAAGAGTTACCTTTCAGAAAGATGTTTGGTCTCTTGCAAGATTTATATCTGTCCCTTCCCACCCCGAGACATACTCTCCTCTCCCACAGTTCCTCGGCATTCTCTTCTCCAAACTCAGCTCACAGGCTTTCTCTTCTTTTCCTTATTCTTGTTCAGCATCACATCCTCAAACAAATCCTCCTTATTATAAGAGAATCTACCTGTGGAGTGGGGAGAAAAACAGGGAGCAAAGTCAAAACCTTTGGTAATGGTTAGGGCAGAGGAGAGGGTAGGGAAACTATGAATTTCTGTCCCATAGCTCAGGATACCCTCTAAGAAATACATTTTTGGGCCAGGTGTGATGGCTCGCATATGTAATCCCAGCACTTTGGGAGGCTCAGGCGGGAGGATTGCTTGAGGCCAGGAGTTGGAGGCCATCTCCTTAAAAAAAAATTTAAAAATTTGCCAGATGTGGCCACTTGCATCCGTATTCCCAGCTACTTGGGAGGCTAGTGTAGGAGGATTGCTTAAGCCCACAAGTTTGAGGCTTCAGTGAGCCAAGTTTGCACCATGCACTCCAGCCTGGGCTATAAAGTGAGATCCTATCTCAAAAAACAAAACAACAACAAACACACACACGGAGTAATACCAATATTTTATTTATTTATTTATTCACCCTTTTTGAATCTAAAGGAACAGATTTATTAAGCGAGAAATACAGGATTTGAAAGCTGGTCAGTCTGATTCTAAAGTCTGTGATCTTTTATTTTTTATTTTTATTTTTTTCACATTTTATTTTAGTTTCAGGGTTACATGTGCAGGTTTGTTACAAAGATATATTGCTTGATGCTGAGGTTTAGAGTGCAAATGAATCCATCACCCAGGTAGTGAGCATAGTATCCAATATGTAGTTTTTCAACCCTTGTTCTTTCCTCCCTCCCCACTCTATTGTCCCCAGTGTCTATTGTTGCCATCTTTATGTTCATGTGTATCCAGTGTTAAGCTCCCACTTATAAGTGAGAACATGCAGTATTTGGTTTTCTTTTTCTGTATTGTTTTGCTTAGGATAATGGCTTCTAGCTGCATTCATGTTGCTGCAAAAAACATGATTTCATTATTTTTTATGGCTATGTAGTATTCCATGGTGTATATGTACCATATTGTAAGAAATTCTTACATTTTAAAAGAGGTAGGGGTTTCTTCCCTCTCTCCAAATTTTTATTTGAAAAAAATCCAATTCTAAGAATCTGAAAGAATACTGTAGTGAATACATTTATAGCCCTCACTTAAATTCACATTTGTTAACATTTTGTCACGTTTTATCTGCATATTTATGTGTATACACAAACACACAGGATTTTTTCTGAACCATTTACAAACAATTTTCAGGGCCAGGCGCGGTGGCTCACGCCTGTAATCCCAGCACTTTGGGAGGCCTAGGCGGGTGGATCATGAGGTCAGGAGATTGAGACCATGCTGGCTAACACGGTGAAACCCCATCTCTACTAAAAATACAAAAAAAATTAGCCGGGTGTGGTGGCGGGCGCCTGTAGTCCCAGCTACTTGGGAAGCTGAGGCAGGAGAATGGCGTGAACCCAGGAGGTGGAGCTTGCAGTGAGCCGAGATCGCGCCACTGCACTCCAGCCTGGGCGACAGAGGGAGACTCCGTTTCAAAAAAAAAAAAAATTCAGGCATTTATAATCTTTCAACCCTAAATACTTTAGAATATATTTCTCAAGGACAGAAACCTTGTCCTATGTAACTACACTACCATTATCACAACTAAGAAGTTTGACAGATGTAATAGCTGCCTCACCTGTAGCCCATATTCAAATTCCCCCCAGTGTTCTCCAAATGTCTTTCATAGCTCTTTTTAAAATCCTGGATATGATTAAAGGTATATTATTTCATTTTGTCTGTTTCTTTATTCTCCTTTAAAATACAATAGCCCTCTACTATACTCATGCATGCATTCATGAATATATGTTATCTATCTACCGTATTTTATGTTGTTGGCAGTTTTTGAGAATCTGGACTAGTTATCCTACAGAACATCCTCAAAGTTTGGATTTTTCTGTTGCTTCACGACAAGATTCAAGTTAAGCATTTCTGGCAAGGTCTTGTGCAATTGACATTGAATCAGATCATGAGGTACATAATGTCAGTTTATACTATTACTGACATTGCTAAATATCACTTGGTAAAGGTGATGGCCACCAGGTGTCTCCATTATAAAAGCTCTCTCTTATTCTGTAATTAAGAAGGGACCTGTGGGATGATACTTTGAAATCCCATTATATTTTGCTTTACAAGAAACTTTACCAAGTTGTTCCAACTTCTGTTATTGACCCTTTGCTTAATGAATTGTTTGATGATGATAAAATGGTAATTTTCTATTTCTATTATTCATTCTTTAATTCTATTACATATGTTAGCTGGTACTCTGTGAATAACTTTTTTTTTCTTTTTCAACGTAGGGGTGAGGAGTGTGTGTGTGTGTGTGTGTGTGTGTGTGTGTGTGTGTGTGTGTGTTGGCTTTTTGTGACTTAAAGACAAGACCCAAAAGTTTATATGAATAAATCCCACAGTACTGACCATATCCTGCTTAAAATGCCCCACATGTGGTTAGATGCTTTCCTTTATGACTGGTCTTTGATGTGGATCTCAAGCCTTCCAAGATCTCTGAATGAGCCAATTCCACAGGTGTATGTTTCTTCCTGGCTCTCCAAGCACAAGAACACCAGCAATATTGTATGAGGAATTTAGGCAATGTACACAGGAGTCCAAAAAGGGAATACTCTTGTAAACTATACACATAAAAGTCCTTGTTAGGGGGTGAGGTTAACACACTCGGGGATGGAAATAAGGCAGGAAATATTCAGGGCCAGGTTGGAATAGTGTAGTTATTTGGGATACCTTACAAACTGTCAAGTTGATAAAATTTAACTCTTAGAGCACACACTGAGTAGAACAAGAAAAATAAAGAGAAATATTAATAAACAAGAAATGAAAGTGTCAAGGTATATCAGAGACAGGTAGGAAAGGGAGCTTCCTTGTTTACTTCAGAACTCTCTGAATTTATAGTGGATTTAACACAGATTCACCTCCCCTCAACAGGGAGCTTAGCGGCCTCTCTGTGTGGAAGACCAGACTGGCTTAATGGAACCAAATGTCTGAATGGGGCAGCCTCCGTCATAGGAAATGCTGTCCACGACACTCGCACCTCCTTGTCCGGTCTCTGCGGCTCATTTCCTGTGGGTGCTGGTCTCACGTGGCATCAGCAACAAAGCTGAGACGTAATCTTTCTATTTGTACCTGGCCAGGAAGTTCCTGCAGAGATTAAAGAAGGGGGATGTGAGCGCACGTGTGGGTGGGGCGGGGCGGGGCGGGGCACAGCAGCAAGGAGGAGAGGAGAGACAAGTGTGTTTAAATCAGTGGAACAATCACTCCCAGGCTGGAGCAATTTTGAGATTAGGGCTTTTGGCTCTGCTTTATTTTACGTTTTTTTTAATAAAAAGAAACGATCTTTCTCTGATGAAAAAGTCGTGCTGCTCTATTGTAATCTCACCTCCACTCACACAGTTTCGCGCTGTTTCATTTCTGACCCACTTTCTTCACCTCCTTCGTTTGTTTCCTTCAAGAGCAGTTTTAGCTCCCAACCCCAGCCAGTGCCTTGCTTAAATTGCTTTAATCTCCAAGTGCTTCTTATATTGATTTTAAACAGTTAAGCTGCCAATCAACTTCTCTCCTTGTGCAGCAGCCGAGGGCAGAGAGATTAAAACAACAAACAAATAAGGCTGAACCTAGGAAGTTGGTTAGAATTTCCAAATGAATGTTAGCAGCTCCTCTGTCCCCTTCCTACCACAGAGGTGCAAGATTATTATGAAGAGACTAGGTATAGCTTTTTAATGTTAATAATAGCCAGCATTTAATGAACAGTTGCTCTGTGCCAGTTATCATTCTAAATACTTTATTCATTTAACTCATTTAATCTTTGCAACAATCCTATAAGGTAAGTACTATCATTATTTTAACAAAAGGGGAAACTAAGGCATAGAAAGGTTAACTGACTTGTCCAAGATCACACAACTAGTAAATGGCAGAGCACGAGTCCAAAGTCAGTCTGGCTCCAGAACATGAAATAATAACAAACAGGCACTAAGAACTCTTTTGTATTGTTACAAGTCTCTACCCAGCTGTAGCATAGCACAGGGTGAAGCAGGAATATCATCTTCCAGGAAACAGAGAGAGTTAGCTGTGGTCAAAACAGAGGTGAAAGGTCACATGCCCTTTAATCCAGTAAACATTCATCAATCCCTGATTATGTAAAAGCACTAAATTTGAGTTTGGGATTATAAAGGCAGCTAAGATGCTGTGACAGCTCACAGGAATCCCAAAGTCTAACAGATTCTAATCACAAATAATCGGTCTACGAGGGAAGATGGTGGTGGAAGAGGAAGATTAGGCAGGTATGTTATTAAGCAGTTATTCATCCCTCAAGTCATGACTCAAACCTCACCTCTTCCAGAAGGCCTTCCCTAACCACCTTCTGCTGCTTCCTTCTTATTTTATCACTCACGGTTGAACACTGCAACCATTGGAGCACTTGTTTGTCTCTTCCACTAGATCAGGGCCTTGCAGATGACATCCAGAGGGTCAAATCTAGCCCACTGCCTTTTTCATAAATAAAGTTTTATTGGAACATGCCACAATCACTTGTTTATATATTGTTTATGACTTCTCTTGAGCTGTAGCAGTAGAATTGAATAGTTGGATAGGAGACTCCGTGGCCTGTAAAGCCTAAACTATTTGTTAACTGTCTCTTTTTAGAAAAAGTTTGCTGACTCCTATACTAGACTATGAGCTTTGTTAGCGCAGAGAGCTTGGCCTTCATTTCTGAATCTGCAGTAGCCAGCACCACAGGAGCAGGGTCATTTTGGGTAAAGCTAACATCTGCTATCATTGCAACAGCATCATTTAAGCTTAGCCTGGGGTAGATTCTTACAATGACAGGTTCCTGCTAGATGGAGGAGCAGAGGGGATGCTGGAACTCCTGCCCAGCTCTTCTGTTTCCCAGTTCAGTGATGGGTGATTTAGCAAACAATTGCAGGTGTGCTGAAAGCACTCTGCAAGAACTAACACACATAAGGAAGAGAGGCTTCGGGGGCAGGCAGAAAGAAAGAAGTGGAGACAATGGAAAAATAGACAACATGTGGGGTGACTTGCCACTTTAATTTTCCTAGGAGGTGACAAACTTCTGTGACAGGTAAGTTATTTTGGTTCTTCATTAGGACTCTTATTAATATGGTGTTGGAAGTCTCTGACTGCACCTGCTGTGTTAGGGATTGTAAAGTGGTGTGTATAATACCACATCTATCTTGGGAAGGACAGAACGGGACATGGCGTGAGGGTGGGCAAGCAACAGATTGGACGGTGGGTAGAAATTACCTGCACAATTTCTGTGCTCTGAGCTGGTAATGAGCCCAGGGTGTTTGAATGAACACTCCATCCAAGCAATTGCTGGCAAGAGTGTCATCTGTCTTGAAAGAGAACATTATTGCCTGAACTGCAGCACCACGAACGAGCTCAGCTGGTCTGAACACTACTGGTGCCTTGGCCAACAATTTCCCCCACAAATGTTGTGCTGAGAACAGTGCAGAGTTGTCAATAGACTGGCTGCAACCTGCAGAGAGGCCTAGGAGTCAGGAGCCAGAGGTAAAACTGCTGGAAAGGGGCGACCTGTGATCCCTAATTTGTGTGACTAAGGAATTTCCAGAGAGAGGCAGGCTGAGCATTGTTGTTGTTGTCCTTGAAGATCTTGCTGTGTTGGGTTGCTTTTCAACTTGAATCAGAGGGCCATGAATGCTGTCAGAGCCTTTGTTTTTCCTCACATGTCGGACAGCTGAGAATCTCAGTTTCCTTGTCATGGATTAGGAGTCATTAGAACGTCAGGCTTAAAGGGCTGTTAAAGGTCATGAAATTCTACTCTTAACTGACTGTTAAAATTCAATTAGGAAGCTGTGATTGATAGTGAGCAGCTTTCATTTGAACACCTCCTTTCTTGAAGAACTGAGATCTTCCCAATGTATACCGTAATATCTTGGGCCAATTTAACTATTAGAAAGTTGTAGACAATCTGCTTCATATTGTACCAATAGCTGTCTCCTTCATGTCACAGAATGAGCCTAATCTTGCTTTCACATAATACGTCTTATGTATTTGCAGATGGCTTCCTTTCTACCCCTACCACCCACATCCTAAGTATTCTTTTCTCTGGGTTATATAATCCCATTTCCTTTAAAGTTTCCCATAGACATGGTTTTGATTTCACTTGCAATTTTAATAGAATTTTTTGAAACATGCCTCAACCTGTCTTTAGCCTTCTTTTAGCTACTATCCAGAATGAATGTAGTGATTCAATGCTCCCTTCCTCCTGCTAAATGTGCTTCTCCCACAAGGCAAAACGGATTGAGGGAGGATGACTCTCAGATATAAAAAATAATCAGTTCTCAAAGAAAAGCTCTCATACTCTTAAATTTAACTCCAAAGACGAACAAGCATTTAATGGGGATTTTAGCCACCATGGATCCCCAGCCCTATTTCAGAGGCACTCAGCCGGTCGTTGAGTCATCGAATGCCCTGGTATAGATTCTACGTTTTTTATTGTTGCTGCTGTTCTGATTAGATTTGTAAAAATTTGTTCATTACTTTTAAATTTTTTAAAGAGGCTGTTCTGGAGAAAAACAAAAGAGAAATATGAATGGTTGTAGTGAAGATGATTATCCTTCAGCCATGCTCTGCTAACACACCATTCTCCCCCAATCCAACCCCTTCTCAGTTAATACAATACTTCGAAAATGAAGAGCTAATTTTCTTGATCTGAAAACCATAGAGCTTGTGTTTTATCTTTTTCTTTATAAATTTGGGAAGAGATTTTAATCTCATAGCTAGTCAAGTGATTCCCCAACCATTTTTACGGACAAAAGACATGACATTTTACATGGGCCAGAACTTTTTTGAAAGAGCCAAGCTGTAGGAAGTCAGCAATAGAGGAATCCAAAAAAATCATAAAACCAAGACTCACTTCAAGGTGAGGAGAAGGTAAATGGTGGGTACAGCTGACCCAGGACTAGGTTGGAACGTGAGCCAAGGCTTCCTAATGGCCATCAGTTAACTTCTCCTGAAACTGAGGTCTCACTAAAATTCCTTTTTACTTTTATAGGATGGAAATATTAGAAACACAATAAATGAAAATGTGACAATTTCTATACTGTTTATATTTCCTTTTCTCCCCCTTTTACTTTTCCCTTGGCTTTTAAAATAAAATTCTCCTTGAAAATGTGAGTCTGTCTCATCTACACTGAGGGGCTATAAGGAAGGGGATGATTATCCAACATGGGAGTAAAGTATTGCAGGGGATATGAGTATTACAGGGGGCCTGTAGTGATGGTAGGAACATCCTGGAATGGGCACATGAGGCCTTGAGGCACGCTAGTGTGCTGAGCACAGCCTGTCCTACCGTATACCACAGCCCCAGGGGACAAGAGTGGTCAAGAAACCCTGCAGAAACCACAGCTAGGCCTGAACAGCTGCAAAGTCTCCCATTTTTATCCTAAAATTTTATGTGAATTGTAGATTGTACTCCATAATACCACAAGCCACAACATCTAAAATGCATTATTGCAAGACACATCATTATTTTATTTATCACTAGAAACAAAATAAAAGGCTGCAAGTTAAACTGGGGCACAGCATTGATTGTAAAATGTATTCTAAGTTCAAAGATGTTAAAACATGAATGTCTGAGGATCAATAAAATATTGGATATTGTCTAGATTTAATATAAAAACATCATTTTCCTCTTCTTCCAATCTTTAAACAGTTTAATTCAAAAAGTTGTGCCATATTTCTCCTTTGACTTTATGTGGGATGTGGAGGCACATTACCACAAACTCCCTGGGTATTCATATCCCCGTTTACATAGCAGTAATTACACCATTTCCTGGTGTCAGTGGTAGGAAGCATCTTTGGGGGTGATGGGTAAAGGGAAGGATTCTGGAACATTTTTTCAATTAAAACCCTAAAAACCCAAGATAACTGAAAACATTTGTTCAAACAAAATCTTGTACACACACTTAGAAAAAAGTAGAAACCAAGCGTTCATCAACTGATGAATGGATAAATAAAATATGTCGTAGTCCTACAATAAAATAATATTCAGCTATGAAAAACAGTAAAGTACTGATACATCCCATAACATGGATGAACTTTGAAAACACTGTGGTAAGTGAAAGAAGCCAGTCATAAAAGGTCGTATATGATGATTCAATTTATGTAAAATGTCCAGAATAGGTAAATCTATAGAGGTAGCAAGATCAGTGGTTGTCAGGAGCTGGGGGAAGTCAGGAATGGGGAGTAACCGTTTAATAGATACGAGATTTGTCTTTCGGGTGATGAGAATTTTCTGCAATTAGATACTGGTGATTATTGCACAACATTGTGAATACACTAAACATCACTAAATTGTAAATTTTAAAATGGTTAAAAAGTCAATTTTGTTATGTGAATTTTATCTCAATTAAAAATGGGTTTTTTAGGAAAAACCCTACTCAAAGGGTATTGTTTTGTTTGTAGTTTCTCCAGTTAAAAGCAGAAGCAACTGTTGGAAACAGGATTGGGAAGACATTTAACGCAGCCTACTTAGTTCCCCCTTATTCTTACTCCAACGAGTGACCTCTGAGGTTCTTCTGCAGAAGCCTGGGGCTTTGGAGAGCCAGTTTGAAACTGACTTCCTTTAAACTCTTCCGGCAAAGTGGACTCTCCCTTTGTCCCATCTTCCTTGGTGTGTGATAAGACTCTGAGTCCCTTTCTTCCAGTAATCATTTCCCTGAGCAGTGAGGAGAGTACATTGCTCCAAGTCCCCTCCTTCCTTCTCCAGTTCTTCTAGGTACTCCAGATTCAAACTGCTTCTGCACTGGCACCATGTTCCTCACATATTCTGGAGCCAAGTTTTTATACCACCCACATCCACCGTGAAAGGGCAGCCACAAGACAACAGAGAAACATTATGCTCTGCTAGAAAGATTTTTTTTCCCCAACCTTGAATGCCCTCTGGAATGCGGCACATGAACACACACATTGCACATACACACATAGGTATGTGGATTGCTCAGTCACAGGTGCTGCTTTGGTCAGTAATGTCCAGTTTTGCCTGCCTCAAGCTCAACATGTTTTAAGAGTTGCTCATGACAGACTCACTTATTCTCTCCATGTTGGGACTCTGTCTTTCTTATAAATTGATTTACCTGCCCCAGACCCCACCTCCATAGTCCTAGATTTATGGCTGATACCAGTGCCTCTGGCTCTAATCCTGGTTGTTCTGTGTCTCATGTCTGCTATTTGTGTAGCCTTTCCTCCTGGAAACTCACTCTTTTGGCTCTGCAGAGTGGCCTGGATAAGGGCAGCCAGGAGCGTCAAGCTTCACCTACACTAACTCACCAAAAAGCCTACAATAGTATTTCCTACTTCTCTCCTTATGCTATTTTCTGTATTGATGTACCCTTTCCTTCTCTTTTTCATGACAAACACACTCATGTTTTAAGGCTCAGCTCAGATCCAGAAAATGAGGCCTGAGCATATACGAAAGGACTTACCTCCCATTCCATACACATAATCATGCTACATAAAATATCATAAAAGTAAACACCCCGTCTCTACTAAAAATACAAAAAATTAGCCGGGCATGGTGGCGGGTGCCTGTAGTCCCAGCTACGCGGGAGGCTGAGGCAGGAGAATGGCGTGAACCCGGGAGGCGGAGCTTGCAGTGAGCTGCGATCGCGCCACTGCATTCCAGCCTGGGCAGCAGAGCGAGACTGCGTCTCAAAAAAAAAAAAAAAAAAAAAGTAAACAATACGCAGCCAATCTGAAAGCATAGAAAGGGAGATCTTCACTAGCTGGACATGGTGATGTGCACCTGTTGTCCCCAGCTACTTGGAAAGCTGAGGTGGGAGGATCACTTGAGCCCAGGAGTTTGAGGCTGCAGTGAGCTATGATTGTGCCAGGGTGACAGAGCAAGACTTGACTCAAAAATAATAAATGCATAAATAAATGAATAAACGGAAAGGGAGTGTGGAAATGCCAGCATTGAAGGGGGACCTTAAGTTGGAGCAGAGAAGTGAGACTGATTCAAAACCTGTCACAGAAGTGGGAAAAGATTATGTATGAATCTGAGTCATTTTTACCTGGGGGAACCGGAACCCTGAACAAAGAAGGATGGCTCAAAGAATATCCCAGCTATGCAATGGGGACTCTACCACCAGTCCCCAACTTCCAGGACCGTAAGTTGAACCTTGTGAGTAACAAGAATCATTGGCTTAAGACAAATATACCTGTGAAATTCAAGTTCACATAACCTTTAGGATGTTAAGTCTCCAAGATGAAACATTAATAATAAAAATATTAGGCTCCAGGTTTGTGAAATCTATAGGAATGCTTCTATAATATAGAACACAAAATATAACTATAAACCTTTACTGAAATGACTTTCTGGTAAAAATTAAGCATCACACAAAGAACAAACCACAATGAATAATCAGCATAGGAAGCAAGTGGAAGAACCAATGCTTTATGAATTGGATAATTGTAAAATCCAAAAGATGTTGTAAAGTAAGTATATTTAAAATGGTAAAAGAGATAGATGGATGTAAGAATATATTAGTCAAGAACAACAGAATATATAGAAAGATTAGAAGTATTTTTTTAAAAAATGAATAGAAACTCTAGAAATTAACGGAGTTGTAGACATTACAAACCATGGATGGACAATACAGTCAAATGGAGGAGAAGATAATTCTTGAACTGGAATATAGCTCCGAAGAAATCAACGAGAATGCAGTTCAATGATACAAAGAGATGAAAGATAAAATTAGACCTACAGAATAACATAAAAATATCCTGCATGCACCTATTCGAGAGAATGTTATTCCAGGGGAGAGTGATGTTCATAGACAAACAGACATTTTTTTCCGGTTTTAAAAAATGGATCAAACAACCTATATAGTCCTGGCAAGACAAATAAACACAAGTCCATACCCAAGATATCTTATATCGATAGGATAGAATATCAAAGAGAAATTCTTAAAAGGTACAAGAAAGGAAAGTGAGATCATCAACAAAGGGATGACTGTTAGCCTGACAACTGTCAACCTAACATTTTACACTTAGGTTAAACCATAATTTGGAAGTAAAATTTACATGAAAACATTTGCAGACAGGAAGCAGACTTGTTAACTCACTGGCCTCTTCAAAAGGACTATAAAAGGGTGAACTGAAGTAAAAAGGAAACTGAAGGTAAATAAACAGTGTGGGATAAAAGAGATGACATTGAGTAAATATTATTAAATTAAGTACAGTTAATGTTAAATAAGTATAAACTTCGAATGTATGCATAAATGTGTGTATATACGCATATGCACATACAATAATGGAAAGGTTAAAAAGAGTAGAAATAAAATACTTTCCAATTACATAGAAGATACAAAAAGGGATTTCATAGTTAGAGGGTCCTATGCACTTCATGGTATTCACATAGAAAATAGAAATGCAGATTAATTTTAAACCTTATTAAATATAGTATGCATGTTAAAATTAAAGAATATTCTCTAAATTAATCCAAATGGAATGTATAATTTACAATTAAAAATGAGGAAATAAAGATAACTTTATCAATCTAGTAGAAGGCATATAAGAAGTTTAAAAGAAGCCAAAATAAGGCACAGTAATAGAATGCAACCTGGCAACGGAAATGAATGTCTAATCTGTGTGTATTGAGGTGGATAGGTCACAAAAACATAACAATCAGAGTAAAAGAGAAAGTGGGCAAAGTTTATATATGGTGTTAACTTACATAACTCTGCTAACACATGAAAACATGCCATTCTCGTGGATATGTACAAATACAGAAACATGATTGTGAAGTGCTTACACCATTACCAGGGTAGGAATTGGTTCCAAAGATTGAAAAAGAAAAGTATAGAATTAAAAAGAGCCACAAAAATGTTTTCTACCATATTGGTAATCTTTAATTCTGTGTAAGTTTGGAAGCATCTGTGAAAAACTGTTGACATTAGTTAAATCTAATTAGGGAATATGTGAATGTTTTATTATATTGTATTATCCTGATACTTTTCTATAAAATTGAAACATACCTAGAAAGAAGATTCTACTTAGGATACCTCTCTGTCTCTAAACAGTGTCTGATATCTCTTTTCTGTCTCGTAGCACCATGCACTTAACTTTGGACAGTGCCTATCAGACGGCTTTGGTGGTATTTTGGGGAAGCAGAGCCTGAGACAGGGGTTTGGGTTCATGTGATTTATAGAGGGAAAGCTCTTCAGTAAAAACCTGTAATGGAGGAAGTTAAGTCGGTTAAGATAGGGGAAAGAGCCAACCACAGACATGATCTGAGGCAGAGTCTAGCCTTAGCTTGATCCACAGGGATAAGACTCTGGAGCAAAAAACCACAGCACAGGGTTTTCTCCTTTGAAGTAAGATGCCTGCCGTTTGTTTATTAGTATCCATTTGGCTGTGGGCTGCCCCCTAGTGGAGGTGAGTGGGTCTGAGAAGCCAAGTACAGTTCTCCCAAGAAGGGAGTGGGGGCGGCTGGGAACTCAAAACAGTAGTCAACACTCAGAACAGCTAGACCTTTGATGCATGGACCCTGCAAAGGCCATCTGGGTAGGGCAATAATCAACTTCTACCACACCTGTATCATTCTTATACATTCATGTACCTCTCTAATGCACTTTCTCTACTCTTCTGGACCCCAAGTTCCTTAAATCTGGGGCCAGGTAGAACAAATCAGGGTTGATCAGGTCCTACTCAGCTTTTTTTTTTTTTTTTTACCTCCAGGAGTAGCACAGTGTTTCATACATGATAATCTACATGTTTAGTGACCTGAAATAAGCAGGAAGAAAATGACTCTGCAATACTAAAAAGGGAATGTCAATAGGAAAAAGGCCTAAAGTCTATTTTTACTTCTGCATTCCTGAGGTTGTTGGTGGAAGGCTGACTTTTTTTTTCCTATTTTTTTTTTTTATTTTTAAAATTGACATAGAAAATGGCATGTATTTATCAGGCACAATATGATGTTTTGAGGTATTTATCATCAGGGAAATGTAAGTTAAAACCACAATGAGATATCACCTCACTCCTGCTACAATGTCTATTATCAGAAAGACAAAAGATCTTCATGTTGGTGAGGATGTGGAAAAAAGGGAAACCTTGTGCATTGTTGGTGAAAATGTAAATTATTATAGCCACTATGGAAAACATGATGGAGACTTCTCAAAAAATTGAAAATAGAACTACCATATGATCCAGCAATCCCACTACCAGGTATTTATCCAAAGCAAATGAAATCAGCATGTTGAAGAGATATTTGTTCTTCCACATCTATTGAAACATTGTGCACAATAGCCAAGATATGGAAGCAATTTAAGTGTCCATCAAAAGATGAGTAGCTAAAAATATATATATATAGCATCTATATGCAATGGAATACTGACTTGTTGACAACCTGATAAAGATATGTGCATGCATGCATCCATTCATCAAGCATTTATTCAGCACCTACTATGTACTAGGCACTGGAGTTTAAAAGCTGTATATATTATGCTTATGTCCTCAAAGAAGTTACATTACATTCAAATGAATAAGACATCTGATTTTTACCAACTTATATCTATTGAGGGCTCAGCTTCTAGAACCTGTGAGAGCTACCATGCTGAATAATTGATGCTACCCGCCCATAAGCCCTTAGATTCAGAAAAGGAAATGGGCATACATGCAAAAAAATTCTGATACTTGATAAACTGTTACATGTAAAATAAACTGAATTCAACAATGTGACATATGTTCAGTGCATGATGTAATTTGTTCATCCATTCAGCTATTCATTTGTTCACTTCTTGTTTGATCAAATATTTAATAAGGGCCTATTGCATACTAAACACCAGAAGTACTTGGTATAAAGTATTGGATAAGGCAACATAATTCATACATTTACAGCTTATAGACTAACAGGAAAGACAAATATTCTAGAGATACTCATAAGTAAATATATAATGACAAGCTGCAATAACCCTATGAATGAAGAAAACCAAGTATCATGAAGCAAGATAATGGGCAAGACCCTGAGTTGGCTTAAGGAGTTATCAAAAGCATCTCAAATTTACCTTTTTTGTTTGTTATGAATGAAAAAATAGGATAAGCAAGTAAAGAGAGAGAGAAAGAGTATTCCACATGAGGGGAAAAGAATCACAACGTTTCTGATGTTGGCTTGCATTTCCCACTGCAGTACAGAAAATTGGAAAATGGCTGGAGTGAGATCTCAAGGGCCAGATCATGCTTTACTTTGCAGGTCTCATTAAGATATTTGAATTTTATTCCAAATATTAAAGGAGGCCACCAGGAAGTTCAAGCATAGGAGTGACTTGGACTGATTTGTGCTTTTAAAAGGATTCGTCTATTAAAGTGGAGAATGGGTTAGAGAAAAACAAGACTGGGATGAGAAAAAAAGACTGTTGTCCAGTAGTCAAATGAGAGTGGCTTAAAGTAGGCAGGAGAGATTTAACATATATGTTGAGGGTTGAGTGGATAGACAAAGCTGGGAGATGGATTGAAGATGAGGCATGAAGAAGAAGAAGTATAAGAATAATTTCAGATTTGGGGGCTTAAGCAACCGGGAAGATGAAAGAACTATTAGCTGAGATGGAGAAGAATGGAGCAGAGATTAATTCTGCCTAATAGAAGGCCCTTTGGGGTATCCCAAGAAGGTCCCTTGGGATAGGGAATATCTGGACAGGAGTTTGAAAGGAGAACATTTAAAAAGGTTAATATGGGAAAAGGGTGGTTGTTCTAGGCAGAGAGAACAATGTGAACAAAAGCCTGAGGATGCAAGAGTGCATGGCTCGGAGAATGGCAGTAAGAGTATGGCATTGCATATGCAAAGTTGCACAGTGTGGGGATGTTGTTTTCAGCATACAAGATTGAAAAGTTAAGTAGACATGAGGAATCAAAGTATTTGAAATTAATCCTGTATAAAAGATAAATGTTGAAGGTTTTGAGGCAGTGGAATAACATGTTCAGACCTGTTTTGTTGTTGTTGTTGTTGTTGTTGTTTAGGAAGATCTTCAGAATTTCTGGAGTTCTGTAAGAGAGATAAAATAGTCAGTGGTGGAGAAAGAGACATTTTGGGAAAATTGAAATATATGCAGTCTTTCTTTTTTTAGCAACTCTAACAGATCTGTTTAAGAATATGAGCATACATTATGTATAATTTGGGTTGTTTTTAAAAAGATCATGTTTGTTATATATAGAGCTGCTAAGGCCTGGGCTACTCTTGAAATAGATTTTATTTGCCCATTAAGATGAAGGTGGGGTACCGAGGGCTACCCACAGGTCAATATATTGCCTTGTCAAATCTGTCATTTCCAACCTGAATTTTCATACCTCTTTTATAATTGAAAAAGGCAAAGCTGGTTTTGCTTTTGTTTGTGGGTGGACTGCTGTTTTGACCATTAAGGTGTGCTTTGACCAAAAAAGCAAATTAAGAAAAATGCAGCTGGGAAATTATGGGACAGTACACACTATTCATGGTGTGGAATTATAAAAACATATATGTATACATATGTATAAATAGTGTTTCTATTTTTGCTTCATCTGTACCTTATATATGTGTTTTTTAAAAATCAAAGAAATGTCTTAGGCCAGGAGTCAGTAAACTCTCTGTAAAAACCAAGATAATAAACATTTTTAGGCTTTGTGGGCTATATGGTCTCTGTCACAACCACTCAACTCTGCCTTGTAGTGCAAAGCTGCCATAGACAATATATAACCAAATGAATATGATTGTGTTCCAATTAACTTTATTTACAAAAACAGGTGCTGAGTCACAGTTTGCTAACCCTTGTCTGAGACTCCCTAAGCTGAAAATATAATAAGGGTTCATTTTGGCTACCCTTAAATATCTACCTCTGTGTTTGTATAACATACAGAGTTCATACAGCATTGTTATATCTGTTTATCACTTACAAAGCTTGCTCAGTTTAATCTATTCATGTGCAATAGAATCAGTCCCCAATAAAACTAAGCCCCAGGTATGGCAGCCCTTTGTTTTAATCAAAGTTATACAAATTTGTTACCAAACTTTATTTTTGTTCATCCCAGTTTTGATTTGTCTTGAGTGTATTTATTTATTTATTTATTGAGACAGAGTCTTGCTCTGTCACCCAGGCTGGAGGGCAGTGGCGTGATCTTGGCTCACTGCAGTCTCCACCTCCCATGTTCAAGTCATTCTCCTGCCTCAGCCTCCCGAGTAGCTGGAATTACAGGTGTGCACCACCATGTCAAGCTAATCTTTATATTTTTAGTAGAGAGGGGTTTCACCATGTTGGCCAGGCTGGTCTCAAACTCCTGACCTCAAGCCATCCACCTGCCTTGGCCTCCCAAAGTCCTGGGATTATAGGCAAAAGCTACTGCGCCTGGCCTGTCTTGAGTGTTTTTAAACTTTCTGTGTGATAATTACTAAACTAACCTCCTCAGATCAAATTATCACTCACCCTACAACAGGAAGGAAAGAAAAAAGCAGCAGCAGGAAGAGGAAAATGAGAACAAGGAGGAAGACTTGATGAAGATAAAAGGAGGAGGCACTACTTTTTAAATTTTTTTGGTTAGAAATCATGGTCCAACCTACAGAAGGGAGAAAATATTTGCAAACTATGCATCCAACAGTGTTCTAATATCTAGAGTCTATAAGGAACTTAAACAAAACAAGAAGCATAAAACAAACAACTGCATTAAAAAGTGGGCAAAAGACATGAACAGGCACTTCTCAAAAGAAAACATATATGAAACCAACAAACATGAAAAACTGGTTAGTATCACTAATCATCAGAGAAATGCAAATCAAAACCACAGTGAGATATCATCTCATACCAGTCAGAATGGCTACTATTAAATAGTCCAAAATTAATAGTTGCTAGTGAGACTGCAGAGAAGAGGGAATGCCTATACATTGTTGGTGGGAAAGTAAATTAGTTCAGCCACTGTGGAAAGCAGTTTGGAGATTTCTCAATGAACAAAACAGAAGTACCATTTGACCCAGCGATTTCATTACTGAGTATATATCTGAAGGAAAATACATTGTTCTACCAAACAGACACATGCACTCATATATTTATTACAGCGCTGTTCACAATAGTAAATACATGAAATCAATCTAAGTGCCCATCAATGATGGAATGAAAAAAGAAAATTTGGTGCCTATACACCATGGACTACTCTGCAGCCATAAAAAAGAATGAAATCATGTCTTTGCAGCAACACAGATGCAGTTGGAAGTCATCATCCTAAGCAAACTAAAACAGAAACAGAAAACCAAATACCACATGTTTTCTCTTATAAGTGGGAGCCAAACATTGGGTACTGATAGACACGCAGATGTCAACAATAGACACTGAAGACTAATAGAGCGAAGAGGAGGGAAATGGGGCAAGAGTTGAAACATTAACTGTTGGGTACGATGCTCACTATCTGGGCGATGGGATCATTTGTATCCCAAAACTCAGCATCACATAATGTACCGATGTAACAAACCTGCATATATATCCCCTGAATCAAAAATAAAAATGAAAATTATTTAAAAAAAGAACTCATGGTCCAGGCTGTGTGCCAAAATTTTGCAAATATTATTAATTCCCTCACCAAAACCATACAGTTACTATCACCATTTAAATATTGACAAGAAGACTTTTAGGTGTGGTTTCTTTACAAGCAGTCACTAGGACAAAGATGTGAATGCAAACAGTTTATCTAAGAGGCAATCCCAGGAAATAATGTGAAGGAATTAGCAAGAGGCCAAAGAAAGGGAAGAAATAATAGATGTGTTATTGAGGGGGCCACTGACACTAAATTTTTCTGGGGACCTTTTTAGAGACTGTGAAGAACACACATTGTAACTGTCCAACTGAGGATCAAAGAGACTGGAGTATTTCACCATCCACTCCCATCCCTTATGAGTTAAGTTTGCTCCTGGGTCATTAACTCCTTGCATTTTCCATTCAGCTCTATAGGTGGGCTGATATCATTCATGTAACCAGAGAACACCGTTAGGGAGAGACAAAGAGATACTGAGGGTAGAAAACTGATGGTTATGTATAGGAATTGTCCCCTAACCTTTCAGATGACCTCTGGCATGGGCCAAGGTGATGCAAATGGGGTACCAGCCGTATATGCTACAGACACTGACACCAAAGTCTCCAATGCCTGATGCTATATTTCCTGTCTCATATCCATTATTTATTCCTGCTTTGTTCTCACTCAACACTGTTATCATTTAGTCCTAAAGCTAAGGGAAAGCTGGAGTCAATCTCCAGGAGGGCCTTTAATAATTCTTCTAGTTTTCCCAGGAGCTTTCTTTTCCCAGTATGTCAGAGACCACTCTTAACACAAAGACACTGGTTTGTGTCCAGTCTGGCATGGTAAATGTTAGTGGCAAAGAAATTAAAGCTAAGTAGTTACAGTCCACTAAATCACTCCCAGCCTGCTGCTTACCTTCATGGAATACAGATGCAAGATTTACTAGGTAGCAAACATCAGCAGATACTGTGGCTCACAAGTCAAATGATGGCTATTTTAACAGCAATGGGAAATTTTCTTTGTTTGGAACCTTGGAAGTAGACACCCAGGCATGGGGAAAAACATTTAGAAAAAAAATTAAGTGCTTTATAAAGTGTTAGTATAAATTAAAAAAAATAACTGACTACTTTTTTTTTTTAAACATACCTTTCCTCTCTGTGCTTTACATCCATCTTCCAGAGTAGGAGTCAGCAGGGGACTGATTTATTTATAGCATGTGGGCTAACATATGGGAAAAGCATAAGGCCTTGTTTCTATGTTCCTCCAGAGGGCAGATCCAGAACTGGGGGTGGGGAAGTGCAGGGAGGAGAAGCTCCAATAAATGATTGAACCCAATATAAGGAAAAACTTTCCAGCAGTTAGCACTCTCAAACACTAAAGCTTTACTGCCTCGTGAAGCAGTGAGCTCCCTACTAATGAAGGTGCAAGATTTTCATTTGTTGTGATCAGAATAGTGGAAGCTATGGCATTGGATGAAAGCTGAGAAGAGATGACCCTTGAAATAATGATCTCTGAAGTCCAATAGCCTGTGCTCAATCTTGGCTCTGTTAATGTGAATCACTCTGATCTTTATTCTCTAATCTGTAAAATGGGAATAATGACAGTATATGTTCACAGGATTGCTTCGTGAATTTCCTAAGATAATGCATGTAAAAGGTCTCACCATAGTAATCATTTAACTGATATGTTGTTGTTATCAAGGAGCTCACAAGGGAGGGCTTTGCATAGAAATTCTCTCAGCAAACACACTCTGAGTACTATCTTTATTTTAGGATTGTGCCGGACACTGAAATTCAGAAATGGATACACTGGGTTCTTTTCCACAAAGATCTCCCAGGGTGCATGTGTTTGTGTACAGGGATGTCCTAAGGGCTTGTTAGTCCAGGGAGACCTCCTGGCCTGGGTCTCAGGAAGCAGTCCATCTGGCTGAATCCCAGCAACTCTTCCTGGGAGACAGTATGTCTTATGGGTAAGGGAAATAGGAGAGCCACATGATTCCATGCTATTTCTAGATGGGTAACAGACACAGTGAACTCCAGAGGAATGCAGGTAATCAGGGAAATATATCCCAAATGTTTTTTTCCAGGACAATTAAAACGGGTGCTAAAATCAGCTTTACAGGTAAAAAGAAGTCTCAAAAACTTTGTCAGTGTGCATGGGGTTAGCTTTTTTCAGAATTAGGAACACAATCATTAAAAAAAAGAAGCAAAGAACTACAATTTATTGAGCACCTACTAAATACCAGGCATTGCCCTAGATGCTTTCTGTGCACTGCAATACTTAATCTGTTCAATAGCCTTGTGAAATAAGTACTACTATTATTATCATAACCATTTTGTAGAAGAAGAAGAAAAAAAACAGGCCTGAAGAGAATAAATTACTCACCTGGGATCACAAGGTACACAGTTGGAGAGACTCCCAGGCTAATTATTTGCCCAGGAAGGAAAGACTGATGGAGAAACAGTCATTTGCTAGCCATTCTCCCTAAGCCAGAAACGGTACTGGCTGTAGCTTCTGGGCTTTATGAGGACAGCTGAGCATTCTGGACCTGAGAGCTGCTGCTGACTTGCTTTTGCTGCCTGTGGTTCCCTGTCTGTAATCTGGAACCATATGTGTCTACAAAACTACTTTGAGATAAATAATAAAAATGGGGAATGGGAAAAGAGGTGGCAGTTGCCATGGAAACACAGGAGTCTTTGTATGACTTGATTTGGGGCAGTGACATTCATAAAGGTGTGTGAAATGGGAGCATTTTCCTGTGACACCATGTGGAAGCGGGAAGATTACAGGTGAGACCTCCAATTCAAAGCAGTAGCCGGTGGACCCGGGTGGAGGCATAGAAATAGCCCAGGATTCGGCCGGGCGCGGTGGCTCACGCCTGTAATCCCAGTACTTTGGGAGGCCGAGGTGGGCGGATCACAAGGTCAAGAGATGGAGATCATCGTGGACGACATGGTGAAACCCTGTCTCTACTAAAAACACAAAAATTAGCTGGGCGTGGTGTCGTGAGCCTGTAGTCCCAGCTACTTAGGAGGCTGAGGCAGGAGAAGCGTTTGAACCCGGGAGGCGGAGGTTGCAGTGAGCCGAGATCCCGCCATTGCGCTCTAGCCTGGGCAACAAGAGAAAAACTCCATCTCAAACATAAAAAAAAAAAAGAGAGAGAGAGAGAAATAGCCCGGGATTCATAGATCCAAATTCGATGTTATTTTCTAGCTGTGTGATCTTGGAGAAGTCATTTAACTTATCTTGATTTCAACTTTCTTTTGAGTATCAATGTCAACTTCCTAGGATTGCTATAAATATTAAATGAGCTAATGATGGAATGTGCCAGATATCAAGTAAAACATTTCAGGTGATTAACAATATCTGACTCTGTATGACTTTGGACTTATTATTCTACCTGTCTCAATTGAGGTTTATCCAACATAAAAAAATGGGCCAGAACTCAGCTCTATTTTTCTGACTTGGCAGCTGAGTTAAGGTGGGAAGAGTAACCTCTGCCAACTTCAGCTGAGTCTGACCTTGTGGAAAATCAAACAAACAGAATTGTTTTCTAAATCCCTACAGGGAGAAGCATGTGTAGGGGTCATTCTTGCTCTGTCAACTATTGGATTTCTTTCCTGGACATTTAAAAAATATATTTCACTCGTAAAACAAAACTCATTGGTGTCCAACAGAAAAGAAGGGGGCACAAAGAGGCTGTTACTCTCCTCTCCTTTATTATGAATGCTTATCCAGCCCTGCTGATGAGAAAGCCGTGTATAGGTGTTAGAAGGTTAGCAGCTGCAACAGTATGATACCTAGGGTCTCCCAGAATATTCTGGCCCCAGCCTTGTAAACAGGAGCTGCTCCAAAATGGAGTCTGGATGCAGACAGGAGAAAAGGACATTATGGTTGTATGGTAGAGTTTCTTTGTGTGGCCTAATGGTCTTAAATGCATTGATTGATATTTGACAGCTGCTCAGATCTTTCACACTTCTACCTAACCATCTCCTACCACTTCCTCGCTCTCTGAAAATAAAAGCAAACATAAAATGGTCTTGTTAATATAAAATCAATGAGCTGTCAGCAGATATATAATAGAGAAACTATCTTGAACATGTGAGCGATGACCATGCCACTCTTTTTCCCAAAGCTGTGTGGTCTTGGAAACGTGACTAATCCTTGGAGTCTCTGGTTTTTTTCCACTATAAAATGAGGGTGATGCTGCCTACTTTGAAAGGTCATTATGAGTATAGAGACTTCCCACCAATTATGAATCAATAAATATATGTTAGACATTATTCTAATGGCTGAGAAGCAGTGGTGCAAAAGACAAAATTATTGTCCCTAAGAAGCCTATATTCTTGTAGGGAAGTTGGACAATAAAAACATAAGCAAATACAAATTTGAGCTCCTAAGAGAAGTTCTGCAGGAGATAAACAGTCATGTGATACAGAACGATGAGGACTGTCCCTTTAGTTAAATGGTTACAGAAAGCCTTTAAGAAGATGCTATTTGGGTTGAGAAGGTATAGACTCTGTAAATAACGGAGAGAAGGACATTGTTGGGAGAAGGAATAATTAGAAATGCCAGAAAGTGGGAAGAAAATTTGGAATACTTGAGTTTTTGCTAGAAGGAAGAGAGTAAAGAAAAAGCTGGAGAGAGACGAGAGATCTTACAGCTTTAGCAAGAGAAAGTGATTGCCTGACTGCCTGTCAGCTCCAACACTAAAAGCTCAGCGAAGAGCATTCTTGTTCGAGTTTGGGTGTGGTGTGCATCTCTAAATCAGTTAACCATAGCCAAAGGGTCAGGTTTATATCAAAAAATATAGTTCCATTGGGAATCTTATGGATGAAGTAAGGGAAGAATGTAGTTCCCAGAACAAAAGGACAGCGCTGTTTCCGGAAATTAAGGGAGAGCAGCTGGTGATTAAAATGAGAGTCACTTGCTACACCAGGTTCTTGGGTCCAGAGAAATTTGATTTTATGGCTGCCTCTTGAGGTAGGTTGGGCAGATAATCCTATCTCCATTTTAGGATAGAAGAATCATGCTTCAGAGGCTGCAGAATCTTGTCCAAAGTTGCATAGGTTAAAGGAGGCCCAGCAAGACAGGAGATCAGTTTTCAGATGTACGTCTTAAGACACTTTCCTTCTCTAATTTTTATTCATTTACATATTTATTGAATATTTACTATGTTCTAATAGCTGTTGTCTTCCAAAGGGATTCTGTGTTCAAAGGATTTTGAAAAAACTAAACTACTGTCTTCTGGCGATTCTTAAATTATGTTAACATAAATAAACAAATCTCTTGAAGCATAGCATTTATTAAATGTCTTCGACCACTGAACTTGCTTTCTTCTATGAGAAATGTTAATCTAAATTTCTTTTAGTTATCCTTTATTCATTTGAAAATTATATGTCAGACACTTACTGTAAAGCATAAAGGAAAGAACAAGGAGATGAAATCAGAAGTCTTGTTTAAATCCAACTTCTGCTGCATGATCTTAGGCAAATCACCTATTATCAGCACACTGGCTTCCTATATCATTATCTATAAAATGATGAGGGTTAGGCCAAATAATAAAATCTCTTCCTGCTCTGATAGTCAGTAATTATGTTTTTATTCTCCAATGCTGCAAAAGTTACAGACAAGAAGAAATATGACTCTTGACTTTAAGGAATTTATGCTTCATTTGCAAAAGGAGGATGTGTGCGCGTGTGTGCATGCATGCACGCAGCACGCACACACACGGGTTCCAGATAGTAAATGTATGATTATACAGTCCTAATTATATGCAACCTTGCTCATCTCAAGTAAGAGTAAGGATAATGTTGTTTGTTTGTTCTATGAGGAGCACGGTGACACAGAAAGGTTAAACCATTTTCCCGAGGTCACACTATATTTAATTGTAATTGCTAGTGCCATATGTGTCCACAGAAGTTTGGGGCACCAACAAGTTAAACCATCCATTAGCATAGAATTTATGTTGTTTGGAAGAATGCAAAAATGAACAAAATAACAATTAATCTTTTCATAACAATTTACAGTTTACAAAGAGATTTGCTTGGACACATTACACCCATTTTACCCAGCCTCATATGTATATTGTTATGGGAGAAGATGTTGACACTATTGAAAGGAACAAGGTGGGCTTATCTCCAGCATGAATATCTTTTGGAGTCTTGACTCAGGAAATGACTTCTTTGAGATATTTTCCTCTCCCTGGACATGTGGGGTTTCCTTCACCTAGCTCTCAAATGTATTATGGGGAATATTGCCTTCACAAAGATCTGGAGGTTGGTAGACGTTGTTCCATCCAGGAGACCCTGCTAACAACCCAGCCGCATAAGCTAGATTGTGAGTCCTAACTCTTACACATGCACCAGGGCTGAGATATCTGCTGATGGTCAGCAGGTTATGGCCTATATATTTGAGTAGATAGAAAGCTATAGTCAGAGGGTTTAAACAATTTGTCCAAAGCTACGGAGTGGACCACTTCTATCTCATTGCATAGACCACTATTTCCATTTTTCTGCTTTCATTGGCTAGAAACTTTGCATTCCTAGATCTGAAAGTTGAGCAGGGTTGATCTCCTTTCTATACTGAAATTTAAATATCTCAAACCAGAGTGGGAGATTAGATACCCCCTCTGTTTTCCTTCTTACACTCATAATCTGAATATTTTTGCTCTCAGTTTTATTTTGGTAGTTGGGATATTTGAGACGGAAAGGGAATAAAGTATATTAAAGGCATAACTCATCTTAGTAAATGCTTGGCAAGTCACTCACTTGGCATTTGTTCCTTGATGTCAGGACATAAAATACAAAAACACCTTAGCTACTAACTTTATCCTCTACCCTTAGTCTCCTGTAAAAATGATTCTCATATAACTATCTGCAAAATGAATACTACACAGAAGACAGCTTCTCTGGAAGCCAAACATCTTTGGTTCCTGCAATTCAAGGGCAATGGAGTCTTGCTTGATTTACTACTTTGAACCTGAATTTTGAAGTCTGTGAAATAGGAATAATTTTGATATTTTGATAATCAATTGCTGTTGCAAAGATCAGCAAAATAACAGTTGAATGCACATTTGAATCTTCCAGGAGAGATGTATACATGAGGAAATATTGCTATAAGGATGACTATTATATGAATAGTGTTCAAAGAAAATGTTCATACAAGAGCTAAAATTTTGTCTTAACGAGATAAAGAAAGCATTGTTCTTAAAAGTCAAATACCAAAGTACAGACAGTGACTTGTTGTACAGAATTCTTCATTGTTATTGTAATTGTTGAGATGAAATTTGACCTGTGTTCAAGAGAGAATGTAACTAGACATTGGAGTCAGGATGTGCAGAAGACAGCAAACAGCAAAGCAGAGTGATGCAAAGGAGAGAAAATAAACAATAGACAAATCAGGATTGCATAGATCAGCCTCCAGGTGAATCAAATCCTTTCACCAGCAACTTCCATGTCATATCTGGGTAAACATACATTGTCAGTTGTCAAGGCCATGTGTGCTCCCCCAGCTTGTCTAGTGTATGCCAGTCACAGCTTCTAAGCTCTGACAATGGGGAAGAGTTTAATGGTAATATTCAAATGTTGCTATTGTATGCAAGCATTGTGAGCAATCCTACGGCAGCCAGAGGCAAGGCTCAGTGAGCACTCTCCAACTGGGACAGGATGCTAAATCCCTGCCACACACATACATACAAATGCTGGCATTTTGCAATTGTTTGAATTTTACCATTTTTGATACTCCAAAGAAAGCACTCCATCCAACTTTAGTATTTCATATGACAGCACATATGGACTCTAGGACAGTTGTTGATTTTTCTGAATAAGTGGCCTTGGGCAAGTCATTGTACTTTTCTGAATGTGTTTTCCTTCTTTACAAAGATAATTCTGTCTTATCTCAAAGAGTTATTATTAATCAAAACCTCTTGAAAAAGAGGTTGGTGACTTGCTAAGGCCAATCAATAAGACAGTGTCCAAGTCAACTTTGAAATTAGAAATTTTGGCAGCCAGTTTAATACGCTTTTCACTGTTTCTTCTAGGGGACAGTGTGAACCAAGTAAAAGTCCCAGAATGCAGAAAAGCCTGTACTTTTCTGTCAAAATGATAGTTAGGTATCCTTTGATGAGTCCCTTCTATGCCCACCAGATTAGTGGAACTAAAAGGTTTTATGCCAAATTGACTGCTAAAGTTGAGGCCAGAATACCCATCACACAAAATAAAGCTGAAAAACATAAGCTTCCAACTGCCCCTACAGGTTATGATTTCTACAATGCTGCACATGTAGGGAGGAAAGAGGAAACAGACATAGCCTTACAATCAAGAAATAGACAAAGCCCCTACTGACTTGATTCCACGTTGGAAGAACTTCTAAATTAATGCTTTTCAGGTTCTCTGTGTTGAAAGAATAGAGTACATTTTTCATCACAGACATTTTTTTTGGAAAGTAAAATTAAAGTAATTGAAAAATGAAATAAAAGCACATGCAAACTATAAGGACAAATATTGTTGTGTTAGATTTGACAGAAATAAAATGACTTTGTCAAATTGATATAAAAGTTGCAAGAACCTTTGTCTAAATTTCTATGCTTATCTCACCATAGATTGAAAACAGTTAGTGGATCAACCCCAGTCTGTGGACCACATTTTTAATAGTACTGCTCTATGTCACTGCAAAGTAGATGCCCGTCACCAACTTTCTGGACTAGGAGCCCTGGAGAAATGGGTGCAAGTAATTTCAAGACCATTAACATGCTGTATGATTTACATATGCTGTGTTTATTGTTGGTTTCCTCCCTCTGGAATGTAAGCTCCATGCAGGCAGGGGTTTTTGCATGTTTTAGGAACTAGATATCCCTAGAGTTTAGAATAGGGGCTGGTGCATAGTAGCCACTCAAAGAATACATGAATATAAGTGCATGGATTACACAAGGAGGGATGAGAGAAGAGATAGATAGGAAAACAAAAAGCAAAGCAAAATATATACACACACAGGCCCTTTCTCATACAAGAAGAGCTAATACTAAGCAAATTAGCTGATAAAATCAATAATCAAAATATAAAGTCACCATGAATTAAATTAATTCTGTTTTGACCAAGATTTATAATAAGAATACCTAAGTTGACCACAGAGAAAAATACATGAATCACAGGCAGATATTAGAAAACCAGCAAAAGAAAATTCAAAAGTTTAAAAATGAATAATTAATTATTTAAATAAAAACTATAAATAGTGGAATAAGCCCCAGTTAAAAAACAGTAAAAAAGAAAAATAACTTGGAATAGAATAATAAGGTCCTCATCCAAAATTCTCCACATAGAAACAACTAAGAAAAATAAAAGGAAGTGGATACCAAAGATAGTTTGAGAAGCTCCAATTTAGGCCCTGTAGGAGTTGCAGAATACTCAATGAACAAAAAGGAAGGAGAAATATTTAAAAAGGTAATTTTTGGCTTTTTCCAGAACTGAAGAAACAAAGTTTCACAGATCAAAAATTTTACACACAATTGATTATAATGAATCAACACCTACTCATTGAGTAAAACCGTAGAACAAGGGCAAAAATATTGTCTTAAAAATTACCAAAGAAAAAACATACAGTGGCCAGAGTGGAACAGAATATAGACTGACAAGAGATTGTTTTTCCCCTTTGGTAATGAAACTGAGGCAGGAGAATATGGTCTGGGACAGGGAATATAAGGCCGATTCACACTGACTTCCTAGAACTAAATCAAATGGAAACACTTCAGCTATGACAGGAAATATTCTCTCTATTTACATAGGGCCTACACCGAGTAAATGACTTTATAACTTTACTTCATCCTCTTCATTTACATAGGGCATACACCAAGTAACCAATGGACCAAGTAACCCCTAGTGGGTATTTAAACCCCCACAAATTCTGTAACAGGGTCCTTGAGCCCCTATGCTCGTGCCCACTCCCACTCTGTGGAGAGTAGTTTGATTTTCAATAAATCTCTGCTTTTGTTGCTTCATTCTTTCCTTGCTTTGTTTGTGCATTTTGTCCAATTCACTGTTCAAGATGCCAAGAACCTGGACACCCTCCACCAGTAACAAACCGCCATTAAAAAATTATAACTGAGATGGTAAAAGAGAGCTAACCCAACCAAACTCCATCTTGCTTCTAACCTCCAGGCTGTCCTTGTTCAATCCTGAGCATAGGCTGAACTAACTTTGAGAGGAGCTTAGTTTATGGTTTAGCTTTGAAACAAAGATGATAACAGCCCTTTCCCGAAACAAACCCACTTCTCTGGGGACTAGACTGCCTTTGTGGGACTAACGAATTAGCCAAAAGATTAGAAATTATGGTTTAGGAGTCATGCAGCAGGAGACTATAAGATTCTAATCTTCCGCAAATTGCTTGTGGGGATAATATCACCATTGTAAAGCCTGTGTTTGAGATATTTTGCAGACTCTGTACTTGATGGATCAGCTGGCACCACCCAGATTGATAAACTAGCTCATCTAATCTTGAGGCCCCCACCCAGGAACTGACTCAGTGCAAGAGGACAGCTTCGATTCCCTATAATCTCACCTTTGACCTGAACAATTAGCACTCCAACTGACTCACTGGCCCTTCATCCACCAAATTATCCTTAAAAACTCTGAGCCTCGAATGCTCAGAGATACTGATTTGAGTAATAATAAAACCCTGGTTTCCCACACAGCCGGCTCTGTGTGAATTAGTTTTTCTCTGTTGCAATTTTCCTGTCTTGATAAATCAGCTCTATGTGGGGGCAAGGTAAACCTGTTGGGTGGTTACAATAACAGTAGTGCCCAAAGACCTAGAGGTAAATATCTCACTGTATTGAAGGAAGGCCTTTTATATCTAGCTAAACTATTAGTCATGTTTAAAGGCAAGATAAACTATTTTTTTTTTAGAATGCAAAGACTAAGTGAGCTTAACAATTTTAGTCTATTGCTGAAACAAGTAAAACACATTTCAAAAAAGAAGAAATGTGAACCTCGAATGAAGATGTAAGATACAAGAAGCAATGGCAAAAGATTTTAAAAAGGCGAATGTCTGTGAGCACAGAAGTTAATAAAATATCAGTAAATTTAATTAGCTTTTGAATGTAAAATTAATAATAATGTTTATGTGACAAATGTAAAACAAAGTCTAAACAATAAGTATAATAGTGGGGACTCATGTGTAGTGGCAAATCATGTTTATTCACATAGCTGATAATTCCTAAAATATCAGAAGGGAACAGTAAACATAAAAAATATATCAGTCAACGAGGAATCAAAAGAAGAAAGGAAAAAATGATGACAGAAATAAGCCTAACTATATCTGTAATCCCAACTAAAGTGAATAAAATTTTCCATTATAAGAATATTATCTGACTGAATTTTAAAAATCCAGTTACAATGTTTCATAAAGAGATTCACTTAATACAAAAATCACATGAAAAGTCTGAAAAGAAAATGACATACTATGCGAATACTAAACCAATGAAAATGAGGCAATAATCTAGGGAGAAAATAATTCATACCAGCAAAATGAAATCCAAGACAAAAACATTACTAGAGATAAAGAAATATATTATTTAATAACAACATTTTAAAAAACACTCACCAAAGTGAATATAAAATATAGATGCACTTAACAACATATCCTTAAAATAGAAAAGCAAAATTTGTATCATTTTCAAAATTGGGAAACACTATTGTAAGTGGGAAATTTTTAAATATCTTTATTGGAACCTGATAGAATACATAGACAAAAATAGTAAACAAATTTAACCAGCTTTATTATATATGTGTGTACATATTCCCGTATATGCACACTATATTCAAAAATTGATCATATAATTTTTAGAAAATACAAAAAGTACACATATATTTACAACATACATAGACATTTATAATATATGCAGTCATCAAGAATATAAAATATTTTAAAGACTTGATATTGGCTGGGTGCGGTGGCTCAGGACTGTAATCCCAGTACTTTGGGAGGCCGAGGCGGGTGAATCATGAGGTCAGGAGTTTGAGACCAGGCTGGCCAACATAGTGAAATACTAAAAATACAAAAATTAGCCAGTCATGGTGGCGCGCTCCTGTAGTCCCAGTTACTCGGGAGACTGAGGCAGCAGAATCACTTGAACCCAGGAGGTGGAGGTTGTGGTGAGCCGAGGTCCGAGCCACTGCACTCCAGCCTGGGTGACAGAGCAAGACTCCATCTCAAAAAAAAAAAAAAAAAAAAAAAGAGATTTGATATTAAATAGACTGCATTTTTTATTTACAGTGCAATTAATTTAGACATTGGCAATAAAACAGTATAAGTGTTTTGTTACTTTTCATCTGTTAACTATGCTAAAGAAAAATGTTTTGGGGGGCAGTGGTTTTCTCATGGACTGAACATTGGAATCACATGGGGAGGGAGGCTATAATAAATACTGATCCCTGGATTTCATCCGCAGGGATTCTAAGGAAATTGGTCTCTGGGATATTTAACCTGGGGATTGAAATTTTTAAAAGTTCTCCAGGTGAGTCTAATATGCAGTTCAAGCTGCACTCCACTGATTGAGGGTCTAGCAATATTTCTACCACGTAAGTGTTACAGCCTTTAAAGATGAAATCAGAAAGACAAATGCTTTTGCTTCTGTTCAAGAGTTATCAAGGAGATACAATCTTCATTGAAAACATAGAGGCTGGTGATGTAATCAGCACAGCAGCTGTCAAAGTGCCTTCAGTCACTGTGACCAAATTCCTCCATCTGTCCCTTATTTCCTTGGTGGATAATCAAACACACATCTTAATTGACCCTTATACAGAAGGCATCTAACTGTGAGCCGCTGTGGTCTCCATTTGTGAAGGGGTCTGAGTCAATCATTTTGCTCATCCTCTCATGGGAAATGAAAATAGCAGACACACTGAAGCATATCTCTCTGGTCTAATCAGAAGGCCAGATGTGACCAGGCATAACGTTCCCCCTGAAGATGAGTGAAGTGAAGGGATATCCAAATGTTCTGGAGTTGGACAAATGCAAAGATTGTTGACTGAGATTTTCAGTAATAGAATTCTCTATGGTTTGATAAATTGCAAGTAATATAATATATGAATATGTGGGTTTTGAAATTAGACAGATTGGGAATGAGTCCCAGCTCAGTTAGTAATCAGCTATGTGACCATAGGCCTATCACTTTTTTTGTGACATTTAAATGAGATAATGTAGAAAAAGTGCTTACCTCGGTGCCTGACACATAATAATTGTGTGGTACGTGGTATTCATTATTATTGTTACTGTTATTTTTCAGTACTATTCCAAAAATACATTCCGTTTGGGTCATCTTGGCTTTCAGTTTTTGAAAGTTAACACATTCTTTCTTTCATAAGAGGGGGTATAGGATGGGCCAGGAACCATGAGACGTATCTTAGAAAGGACAAATATAAAAATTTAAGTCCAGAGAGGGAGAGAGACTTTTAATACTGAAATGCCTCAGCAAAATCTATTTCCAGGTTTCTATGGGCCATGATCTTCCTTAAAAAATAGTCACTTCAACTGTACAAGATACTCTAAAGCATCAGGGTGGCAATTGGTAGATGATACCTTATTCATACGTTACCTTAACCAAAGGACTAGAAAAGCATTTAAACTTATAGCAGTTCAGAGCATTGAAGCAAAAAGCTACAATGCCATTTGTTCCCTGAAATTTATGTTCCCTTCCCCCACCAAGATGTGGACAGACACCTACACATTCTCTTACTCCATCCTCTGACATTACAACCTAGATACTGAGACATCATAATTTGCAGGTTTAATATGGGGTTAATATGTGATACTCTTCTTATAATCTATCCATTTCTAAGACTCCATTCTAAGTCTTCTTTCCTACTTTTGTTCAAAGCATCGTCTTTCCTCATTCATAAATGCACAAGATAAATTGTTTTCCTCTGCTCCCCATGAAGGCTTATCATTCATTGAATAACATCTCTTAATTGCACAATAAGTATTTGTTGAGTAGCTACTATGTACACCATGCTATAAGTTAGGGGTATGGAAAGCAAAATAGAGTCTCTTATCCCAAGAAGGCAGAATTTAGATTGACAAGTGGAAGAATGTTGGAAACAGGTGATGATGGGAATGCAGAGGACAGGAACCTAACCCAAACTAGAGGCAGGGAAAGCTTCCAGAGATTAGGTAAAGTTGGCTTTGAGCTGAGAGATGGGGAAGAATTAACTAAGTGAAGAGAAGGAGGGTGTCCCAAACAGAAGAAATAGGTTTTCAGAGGCCCAGGGAAGAGGGCAATGAAGCTGATTTTTCAGCAGGGGGCCTGCTATGAAGTTCATTTGAAGCAAAGTTAAGGTATTTAGGCATATCTCTGAAAACAATGAAACTCCATTATAGCTATGCTGTCCAGAATGGTGGCCACTAGAGTCACGTAACTATTGAGCACTTGAACATTGTCTAATTGAAATGTACTGACACTGTAAAATACACATTGGATTTCAGAGACTTAGTACTAAAAAATATTTCAGTAGTAATTTTATTGATTACATGTAAATGATATTTTAATGTATTGTGTTAAAACTATTATTAAAATTAATCTACCTGTTTTTCTTTACTATTTAAAAGAAACTAGCTACTAGAAGAATTAAAATTGCATATGTGGCTTGCATTGGTGGTTTATGTTCTATTTCTTTAGACTTCATTGGAGGCTTTTGAAAAAGAATATATGACCAGATTTAACAATATTATTCAGAGATGGATTTTCGTTAATATAATAAATAGACTCTTTAATAGAAACATTAAACACTAAAAGCACTTCCATTAAAGTTGGAAACAAAAAAATCCACCATCAACAAACCCAAAACCAAAATTCTTTCAATTATTATTTAATATTTGTAACAGAAGGTGCTAGACAATGTCATGGGACAAGACAAAGAATCTAAGCTATAAACATTGGAAAAGAATATAATAGAGATAAGATGATCTCTATTACAGATAATATAATTATACACTTGGAAAACCTAAGAGAATAATGTGAAAACTATCTCAACTAATTAGAGAATTCAATAAAGTTGATGAGCACAATTTTAATATACTGAAATCAATAACTTTCATAAAAACAAATAAACATTTAGAAAATGCAATGAAAGAAAAGACTTTATTTACAATAACAACAAATAAAAATGCCAAAGATCTGTATGAAGGGAAACTAAAATACTCCAAACGGCCTGAACAGCTGAAAAGACAGATCATGTTATTGAATAGGAAAACTCAATATTTTTAATTAAACTTTTTATTTTGAGATAACTGTAGATTCACATACGGTTGTAAAAAATAATACACAGTGATCCCAGGTATCCTTTACCCAGTTTCCCTCAATAGTAATGTATTGCAAAACTATAGTACAATATCACAAACAAGAAATTGACATTGCTACACTCAAGACACAGGACATTTCCATAACCACAAAAGTCTCTCTCATGTTGTTCTTTTACAGTCATATCTACTTCCATTCCACTTTCCTGTCTCTTTAACCCTTTGGCAATCACTAATATGTTCTTCATTTCTATAATTTTGTCATTTTGAGAAATTTACAAAAATAAAAATATATAGTATGTAACCTTTTGGCGTGGGAATTTCACTCAGCCTAAGTATCCAAAGATTCATCCAGAAATGTGTACATCAATAATTTATTCTTTTATACTGCTAAGTTGTGTTTCATAAACTATGGTCTGAATATTGGTGTCCCCCCTCCAAATTCATATATTTGAACCTAAAACCCAATGTGATAATATTAAGAGGCAGGGCCTTTGGGACCTGATTAAGTCATGAGGGCTTCACTCCCACAAATGAGATTAGTGGCCTTTTATTAGAGGCTCAAGAGAGCTCTCTTGCCCTTTACACCATGTGAAGAGACAGAAGGTGCCATCTGTGAGGAACAGACCCTCATCAGACAGTGGATCTGCTAGTACCTTGATTTTAGACTTGGCAGCCTCTAGAACTGTGAGAAATAAATTTTTATTGCTTAGAAATTACCTAAACTAAGGTATTTTGTTACAGCAGCTCTAATGAGCTAAGACAGAGGTTAGGACTGAAAAGTGGGGTGCTGCTATGATAAATACCTAAAAGCGGCTTTGAAACATGGTGATGGATAATGGCCAGGAGAGTTTTAGTGTACATTGCATGAAAGAAGCCTTAAGGTTGATTCTGGTGAGAATCCAGAAAGAGAGAGCTGCAGAGAAAGTTTCATTCTTCATAGACATTGTTTAAGAGGTTGTGATCAGAATGTTGGTAGAAATATAGATGGTAAAGTACATTCTGACGAGATGTCAGAAGAAAGTGAGGAATGTGTAATTGGAAACTGGAAGAAATGTGATCCTTGTTATAAAGTGAGAAAGAAGTTGGTAGAATTTTGCTAATGTCTAGTACTTTGTAGAATGTAGAAATTGTGAGCAATGAAATAGCATATTTGGTGTAAGAAATTTTTAAGCAAAGTGTTGAGAATATGGCATAGCTTCTCTTGACTGCTTATAGTAAAATGTGAGAAGAGAGAAATAAAGATGCGATTTATCATCAAAAAGGGAAGCATAACTTAAAGATGTGAAAAATTTTCAGCCGGGCCATGTGGTAAAGAATGAAAAGCATGTTCAGGTGAGAATACCAAGGATGTGGCCAGGAGATCATTTGAGAAGATTAGTGTGGATAGATGGAGGCCTAGTGCTATTCGTCAAGACAATGGAAGCATTAACCTTGTAGGCATTTTGAAGATCTCTAGGGGTACTTTGTACACAAGTTCAGAATGCCAAAGCCTTATAAACAGAACAATTTGAAGGCTCTGCTTCTTGCATTCCAGTGCAGCATTCCTTGGCCATCCTAGCTGTGGCTCAAGCAGGCCCAAATGTCGCTTGGAACACCCCTCCAGAAAGCACAGGCTGTAAACATTGGTGGTGCCAGTGTGGTGCTGTCTCCACCAGGGTACAGAGTGTATGCATTATGAGGGCATAGCTACCTCCACCTGGATTTCAAAGGATGCCCCAGAAAGACTTGAGGCCCAGGCTGAGAGCTGCCATAGGGATGGGTCACTAAAGAAAGCCCCAGCTAAGGCAATGTCCAGTGAAGCTGTGGAGATGGGGCCGTGCCAGAGACCCCAGACTGGCAGAGCCACTGGCATGCAACTCCAGCCTTGGAGAGCCACAGGCACAAGACTTAACTATGGGATCTGCAGTGTGAGCTATGCTGAACAAAGTCATGGAGACAGGGCTCCCTGGAGCCTTGAGGGCCCAACCCCCAACACAGTGTGTTTAGAAGGCAAGACTTTGGGTCAAAGAAGATTATTCTGGAGTCTTAAGATTCAACATTTTTTCTGTTGGGTTTTGGCCTTGGTTGAGACCTATTACCCCTTTCTTCTCTATTATGTCTCCTTTTTGGAATGAGAATGTCTATACGCGATTTGTCACACCATTGTAGTTTGTAAACACACACCATATTTGATTTCACAGGTTCACAGATGGAGAGCAATTTGCTTCAGAATAAATTGTACCTTGAGACACACTCATAACTTATTTAGATGATATTTAGATGAGACTGTGGATTTTGAAATTTTGAGTTGTTGCTGGAACAATACTTGTTGAAGCTATTAGGATGGAGTGAATACAATTTGCATGAAAGGAGGACATAAATTTCAGGGGCATGCATGGACTGCCATGGTCTGAATGTTGGTGTCTTTCCAGATTTGTGTGTTTGAACCTAATACCCAATGTAATAGCATTAAGAGTTGCAGCTTTGGAGACATGATTAAGTCATGAGGACTCTACCGTCTTGAATGGAATTAGTGCCCTTGTAAAAGAGACTCAAGGGAGTTCCCTTGCCTCTTTTGCCAGGTGAGGATACATAGGAGGTACTGTCTATGAAGAACAGGCCCTCACCAGATATCAAATCTATGGGCACGTTGATCTTGGATTTCCCAACTCTAGAACTGTGAGCAATACATTTCGATTGTTTACAAATTACCCAGTCTAAAGTACAGTCAAGCACCAAATACATTTTTATCAATAACAGACTGCATATATGATGGTGGTTCCCTAAGTTTGTATCATATTTTTACTGTATCTTTTTTATATTTAGATATGTTTAGATACACAAAGGCTTACTATTGTGCTACAATTGTCTACAGTATTCAACACAGTAGTATACTGTACAAGTGCGTATCCTAGGAGCAATAGGCTATACCATATACCCTAGGTGTGTAGTAGCTATACCATCTAGGTTTGTGTAAATACACTGTATATTTGCACAACTAAATCACCTAACCATGGATTTCTCAGAACAGATCTCCACCATTAAGTGATGCATAACTGTGTTTTGTTACAGCAACCCAAATGGACTAAGACTTCATAGTACAGCTGTGCCATAGTTTGTTTAACCATTCACTCATGATAGACATCTGGTTTGTTTCCAGTTTTAGGCTATTATGAATAAAGCTGCTACAAACTTTTGTTTATCGGTTTTTGTGTGATTGTAATTCTTATTTACCTAGGATAAATGTCCAGGAGTACAATTGTTGAGTCTTTTAATTGTTTCATGTGTAGGTTTTTAAAACACTGTAGAAATACTTTCCAGAGTGATTGTCCCATTTTACGTTCCCACAAGCAAAGTGTGAAATGACCCAATTTCTTCACATCCTCATCAACATTTGTGATTGTTGCTACTTTTTATTTTATCTATTCTGGTAGGAGTGTCGAGATATTATATTGTGGTTTTAATTTTGAAGTTCCCTAATGCCTAATGGTGCACATTTTTTCATGTGTTTATTGTTCATCTGCATATTCTCTTTGGTGAAATATCTGTCTAAATCGTTTACCTATTTTCTAATTAGATGTGTTTTTTCTGTTCAGCTGTGAGAGCTCTTTATATATTCCAGAAACTAGTTTTTTTGTTGAATATGTGATTTGCAAATATTTTCACTGAGTTTTTAGGTTGTCTTTTTGCCCTTTAATAGGGTCTTTTGCAGAAAAAGTTTTAAATTTTGATGAAGTCCAATTTATCAAGTTTTCCTTTTATGGATCATACTGTTGGTATTAAGATTAAAAATCTCTTCATTTAGCTCTAGGTGTTCCATGAATTTTAAAGATCTTTTATCAGGTGTCTTTACAGTTGTATAAGAACTCTGCTTAACCTCAGATCAAAAAGATATTCTGTTTTTTAAAAAAGATTTATAGTTTTACAATTTACATTTAAATCCCGTGGTCCATTTTGAGCTTTTTTAAAGGTGTGTGTGGTTCTTCTTCCCCTTCCTCCTCTTTTCTTCTTCTTCATCTACATCTTCTTCATCTTCTTTCTCTTCATCTTTGTTTTGTCTTTTTTTTTTTTGCCCATGGATGTCCAATGGCTCTAGTATTATTTATTGAAAAGTCTATCCTTTCTCCAATGTATTGCTTTTGCACCTTTGTAAAAAATCAACTATCCATATTTTTGTGGGTTTATTTCTCAGTTCTTTATTCTGTTCCATTGATCTATGCATCAAACTCTTCACTACCATTATGCATTTGTAATTACTGTGTGTATATAATAAATCTTGAAATCAAGTAGACTGATTTATTTTACTTTATGCTTCATTTTTCAATTTTTTGTTATTCTAGTTCTTTTGCTCTTTCATATAAATTTTGAAATAATCTTGCCAATATCTACAAAGAATCAGTCTGAGATTTTGATAAAAATTGTATTACACCTGTATATCAAACTGGGGAGAACTGATATCCTTAATATGTTGAGTCTCCCAATTTATGAACATGGTAACTTATTTAGATCTTCTTTGATTTCCTTTATTAGTATTTTATGGCTTTCAGTATGTAAGTTCTGTACTATTTTTGTTAAATTTACACCAAAGTGTATTATTTGATGAGTAATTTTGAATGGCACTGTATTTTAAATTTTGATCTCCATGTATTCATTTATAATATAAGAAAACACAATTGAATTTTCTATGTTTGTCTTTTGTCCGGTAAATATGCTGAACATTTATTTATTAGTTCTATAAATTTGTTGTTGTTGTTGTAGACTCCTTGGATTTTCTATGTCCATAAATATGTCATATGTAAATCCAGAAAATTTTACTGTCCTTTTTGGGTAGGTTTGTTGGTGACAGATTCTATTTTCCTTTATTTGAAAATAGCTTGATTTTACCTCAATTTTTAAAGGATATTTTTCTGGATATAGAACACCGGTTGGCAATTTTTTCTTTCAGAATTTCAAAAATATTGTGGCACTTATTCCCGGCCTTCATAGTCTGTGATGAGAAATCTGCTGCAATTCAAGTTATTTCTCCTCTACAGGTAAGGTGATGTTACTTTTATTGTTATGAGAAAGTTTTACAATACAATTCCCACCCCCCCGCCCCCACCCAGAAGTTTTACTATATACTTCTTTGGGTGGATTTCTTGGCTTTTATCCTGTTTGGAATCTGCTCAGCTTTTTGGATCTGTTGAAAGTCTACTTAAAACTATACTGAGACAATAGTTCCACTTTTCAGATTATCTAAGATCCAGAAGTCTGACTATATACTTTATTGATGAGGATGTATGGAAAGAGGCAATCTTGCACATTGCTGGTAGGATTCTAATTTGGTAAAAACTCTCTAGGGGACAATTTGAAAGTATACATTTAAATTATAAATGCACGTACACATTAGCAACAATTCCACATTTAGTAATTTATTGTATAAAGGTTAAAAAAATTGTGTTGCAGCACTGATTGTAAAAGCAGAGGATTACCAGCCGCCCCTGTTTACTAATAAGTGACTTGCTAAATACATAGATGTCTTGCATATAATGGAATATTAAGTAAGTAGCCATAAAAAGGAATAGAAAATCTTTTCACATACAGGTATGAAATTATCTGTAAGTTATAGTGGTAGACAAAAGTAAGGAATAGTGTGAATAGTGTTCCATTATTTGTGAAAAAGATGAACAGAAATACCTACATGTATTTGCTTATATATGAATAAAATTCTGCTGCAGGGCATATACAGGAGATGAGAACATTGATCCCCTTTGATATAGAGAGCTGGGTTTCTGAGGAATGGGGTATTTGTATTTTGAACCATGTGCATGTGCGCGTGGTTTATGTACTCAAGAAACACACTTAAGAGTCTTCATGCAAATGTTGCCATATGTTAGTATGCCTCAATAAAAACTTTTCATCCAGAGGAAAGGGAGTCTGACAAGAATATTAGAAGGAGAGAGAAGAATATGGGCAAAGCTAGGGAGTAAGATAATTTTGCTAGCAAGAGTAATTGAAAAGTGAGAAGTCTAGCAATATGGTGAATTGTTCAAATATGCATGCTGTTGTTTTAGGCAAACAAAAAACATATACTAATTTGATTATTCCCTAGCTAGAAGAACATGGGCTGGTTTCTTCACTTGTCTGAGCTTTAGTTTTCACATGTGTAAAATGGTAATAATAAAACTGATACCATGCTGTGAGGAATGACTGAATAGGTTGGTGTATGCACAACATATATACAGTGTGTGGCACAGGAGGGGTATTCATTAAGGTATGGTTTTTATTAGCTTTCTTTCTTTCCTGTATTTATAAAAATACATACATTAAAATAAAACCTTACTTTATGAAAAGTAGGCTTATATTATAGAACCATAAAAATTGTTGCAAATGATGGTCTCAATTTAAAATAGTATGCAAATGTTGGTCTTAATTTAAAATATTATGAAAACCTTTTATGTCAGAGCATACAACATTATCTCAGTTTTTAATTTGTATTTTGCTTTTACTTTTTTAACTTTTATTTAAGGTTTAGGCATACATGTGCAGGTTTATTACATAGGTAAATTGCATGTCACAGGGGTTTGGTGTGCAGAGTATTTCATCACCTGAATAGTAAGTCTAGTACTCAATAGGTAGTTTTTTGATCCTCTCCCAGCTCCCATTCTCTGCCCTCAACTAGGTCCCAGTGTTTGTTTTCCCCTTCTTTATGTCCATGTGTACTCAATGTTTAGCTCCCATTTATAAGTGTATTTAGTTTTTTAAATGAGTGAGTACATATCCTTTGTGTACAAGTACTGTGATTTATGTCATTATTCTCCCAGAAGGGACATTTAGATTGTTTCTAATAATAATAAAGTTGAGTGAATATCTTTGACTTACATTTCTTTGTGCTTATCCTACAGGATATTTTCATACATTATATTACTATTATTTCTATATAAGTGGTCAGGAAGTTTGGTTAATGAATGGATTTCCTCTTATATGTCAACAAAGCTTCTCACAACTTACTGCCTTTCATTTCAAGGTGAACCTAATTGGAGGTATTCCTCTGTGGGACGAGAGCTCCAAAATCACCAGTGCAACCCCAGTGGAGGGTCCTGGTCCCTGCTATTTCTCTAATCACTCACTCTAGCTTGATGAATGTTGAAGGGAGATAGATGCCTGCTGGCTGAATAATTTCTACAGAGCTATAATGGTAGGTTATTTTTAAGTGAGCAAAACTTGGGCAGCATATTTTGATAACGAGGAGGCGAGTAGAGTAACGAGCAGAGTTCAGGGTATGAAATTATGATAAAGATAATTGCTTTAGAGAAGAATGACTGGGAGAGTAAGTAACAAGCAATGTTGGACATGGAATGACCCCAGGTACAGTAGAAAGAGCATGGGAACACAGCGTTCAGAAAGACTTTCAGAGGTCATCCATCCTTTCCCTCCCTCTCGGTAGAATTACAGACTGTTAGAGTGAAAAGGAGTCTGGATATCTCCAGGTCCGTGTCCATCTGTAGGAGTTTATGTGATCCACGGATATAATCTCAGGAGGTCAAAGAGTGTGGGAATCTTTTATTTGGAAGAGTTTTAAACACACAAAAAAACCCAAACAGACAAAAACATAACAGAATAATATGGCAAACAACCATCTACTCAGCTGCTTAGAATTAACAAATTTTTAAATTTTATTACTTTTCCTTACACACAAGAAATAAAACACTCAAGATAAAATTGAAGACTTTGTACTTCTCAGATCTCCTCATTCTTTTAGTCCACTAGAATGTTATATATGTGAGTGTGTGTGGGTGTATGTGTATTTGTATGTAGTTAGTTGGTTAGTTCTTTAGATAGTCTCCAAAAATGGCTGCCATCAATTCTTTCCGTTTTTGCATACTCACGACACCAGTTATTTCAAGAGGTGGAGATTATATCTCCTCCCCTTGAATCTGGGCTTCTGACATCCACTGACCAATAGAATACAAAATAAGTGACCCCAGGCCTTAAGAAGTCTGGAAGCATCTGATTTCTCCCTCTAGAAAGCCAGCTGTCATGTAAGAAGGCCAGCTACCCTAAGATCACTATTTAGAGAGGAAGCCCACGCTAGCCACGTGAAATGGCCATCTGGAAGAACTCTGAGGCTCCAGATATGTAAACAAAGTTTTCTTGAAACTTCCAGCCCAGACCATCTGCCAGCTGAATTCAGCTGAATGAGAGACCTCATTCAATTCTATGATATATGCATAAATATTTATACCTATAAAAATATTAATAGTGTCTAAGCCAAAAGCTGCTTCCACTAATGGTCAAATGAACCTCTATGAGACTGGCCCTCCCATGAATAACAACAATAAACAATGGACAGAATATTTTTTAAAAACCCAACAAACAACTATCTGAAGGCGATGGAGAGTAACCCAATATAGGCGTATTCTGGAGGAGGCATCAACACATGGAAAAAACTGAAGTTGTCTTTTTCATTGCTTATCTTAGCATAAGGGCAAGCCCTAGTCTGCACTATGCAAGGGAGCTAAAACTACTGGAATGTCTACAGCCTGGCTGGTTTTAAAAACAGAGGTCAGAATTGGCTAGGTGCGGTGGCTCACGCCTGTAATCCCAGCACTTTGGGAGGCCGAGGCGGGCGGATCATGATGTCAGGAGATCGAGACCAGCCTGACCAACTTAGTGAAACCCGGTCTCTACTAAAAATACAAAAATTAGCCAGGCATGGTGGCATGTGCCTGTAATCCCAGCTACTCAGGAGGCTGAGGCAGGAGAATTGCTTGAACCCGGGAGGCGGAGGTTGCAGTGAGCTGAGATCACGCCACTGCACTCCAGCCTGAGCAACAGAGTGGGACTCTGTCTCAAAAAAAACAAAAAACAGAGGTCAGAATTTAGAGCAATCACAGTTGCTCGCAAGTGAGGGGCAGATCTTAGAAAGGACAGAGCCAGATATGGAGAGCCCAAATTATGTCTACAGATTCTGCCCTAATATCTGTCTGACCATTCAATTACTCATGTGTAGAGTCCAAGTACGAGGACTATGGCTAAAATAATCAAACTGAAATTTGAGCTGCTGTCCAAGAGTAAGAGTTTGCATTTTGCTCCCAACGAACTTAACTTCTATTAAAACAAACACATAAAAATCCACCCTCCTTAGAAGAATTAAACAGAATCTTCTATCTTCATAGCATAACATTTACAATATTCAGAAGACAACCATAGGTTACTCGATGAATGAAAGAACAGGACTGTGAGACTAATCCTCAAGAGAATAACGACTATACTTGCAGCAGAAGCTAATATTTAATGAGTGGTTTCTATGTTCCAGGCCATTTTCTTCATACTTTTACATGAGTTATGTAAATCTTCATGGCAATGCTATTATGTCAATACAATTATTTTATCGATCACTATGGAGTCAAGACAACAGAAACTAGTTTAGGGATTTCAGGTGAAGAGGTGTTAAATATACAGAATTGAGCTACACAATAGTTAGAAGAACTGAAAGATCAAAATAATAATAATAACAACAACAATAATAAAAGGTTATCCAGAAACAAAGAGCTGACTGATGTCTCTACTGCCCTAACACTGCCTCACTAGGTCATCTGCTGCTGCTATTGCAAGAGTTGGCTATTGTACACCTACTACAGGGTCTGCTACTGAAGTCATATACACCGACAGAAGTACCTCCTCACCTGCCACTGCCAGCATTATTACTACTGTAGGAGTGCATCTTAGTGAGCTGCCACCACTGAGGCTGGAGTCAAAAGAAGAATGGCTATTCCTTTCTTCTGCATTACAATCTTGCAGAAGTACTTCCCATTGGTAGAACCTACACTGAAATGCTACTGGCAAGTGTTACAGGCATGTAATTAACAATTGTCTAGGCCTGGTAATCCAGGGAAGAATTTATAAAGAGAAAGATGTTGTGAATTTGAACAGGCAATATTCAGTATAATTACTATTGTCATTTTACATTTGAAGAAACAGAAACACAGAAGTTTAGGGTGCTTTCCCAAAATGACACATCAGAATATAGAGGCCAGTATTTGAACTCAGGAAGGTTGACTCCAGACACTATATACTTAATCAAATGGACAATAACCTTGTTTTAAATTTTTCACAATTATAAACAAAGCCACAGAGGATATATGTGCATCTGGGTTTACATGCTGATTATAATTTTGGTGGTGACCTAAAAATAATTAATGTTGTCAATCCTTAGATTTTGTAAATTACTACCTTATAGCTGAAGCTACCATCTAATTTCACAGCCCATGTTTCATTTGTTTTTCATAATCATGTCAATGCCAGATTATGATGCCAAAGTGACAGAATTTAACTTTCAATACATTGGTAAGCAAGACTGACAGCATGTAACTTGCATGTTTTAATGTAAAAATGATAATACTTATTCTTCATCTGCCATTGCATTCTTCATTACTTTAGTGTTTATAATGTCAAAACTATTCTTTTTTAGCAATGGGTTGTAACCAAAGATATTTTCATGGATTAGGAAATTAATTTATTTACTTAGTTGATAAATGAAGAATTTAATTTGACATCATGAAAATGATTCAGTGAAAGGGATATCACACTATCTTAAATGTTGCAGGCTAATGAGAAAACTGTACTGCCAAACACTTCATAATAAACGGCACACTTGAGAGCCAAATGAAGTCCAAATGACCTCATCACAAACTATAGGGACAAACAGTCCTTGGCAGTTTGGAAAAGAAAAGTGGTGAAATAATTGAGTAATAAGAAGGCACACGATAGTATTCCTAAAACAAAGCAAAGAAAAACAGAACACAGGATGTGTCTTTGCATTTACTGCCATATTTAACTTTTGAGCAAAATTGCAGCATAGCTCTCTTCATTGTTCATATTATCTAATATGAGTTTAGCAATACATTTGTAAGATATTATGAAGAATGTATGTACACATAAGGAAATAAATGTATATAAAATAAATATGCACACACATTTAGTGTCCTATTGTAAGGTGTTATTGTGAGATTGGTTATGCATAGTAATCAATAGATTCCAAAATTTTATATATTAATTCAATAATTATTCATTTTTAATTTATGTTACAATCCAAAGTGAGTGGTTTTATGATAGGGAGCTAACCTCCATGTCATACTTCAGTCAGTTTTCTATCTTGAGACTCTGCCATTCTCTGGCCCTCATCAACACTGTCATTAGTGTCCAGCAAAAAGATGAAAAAATATGAAAGAACTACTGGGATACTATGTGAAGGTGAAACACATCATTTTCATTCACGTGCCTTGAAGACTAAACAGAATGGGTAGTCTTATTTGTCTAAAAAGAGAATAGAGTTTGGGATGCCAGAGCTACTTGAAATTAAAAAGGGGAAGTATTGGAAGAGAATGAACAACAGAGAAAGGAGTTCCAATACGTGAGTGTTAAGTGTCCCCCAAGCCTTGCTGGCTTTTGAGTTGTGCACCAATAGGGTGAGAATCTAAATAGTCTACAGGCAAAACTGCAGCTGGAAGCCCTAAGTTTCTGAGCAGAGGCTTTAATTACTCTCCACCTCATGGTAGACAGAGTTTTCAGTGCAGGTCTAGGTATGTAAAAGGAAATTGAGAAAAACGTTGAGCTTTAGTTGAGATGATGCCATAGAACAAAATACAGGCCTCAGAATTAAGGAATTTGTCCTAGGAGTCAGGAAAAAAATAAAAGCAGCCATTTTTCCAAGGCCCACATCTAAGCCTCCAAGATCAGGTGATCTGCCAGTAATTTAACTGCCTGTCAGAATAAAACTTAACACTCTATAGAGAAAGATAACAGAATCCAGAATCCCTTATAATTTATCATCCACAATCTCCAGATATATAAAATAATTATAAGACATTATGCTAAACATGACAATGTGAGTGATCTGTAGTCAATAAAAAGAGTCAGTCAACAGAAACAGTTCTATTGATACCCAACATATTGGAACTAGCAGACAAGGACTATAAAAGATATATGATAAATATGTTGTTCTATTGATACTCAACATACTGGAACTAGCAGACAAGAACTATAAAAGATATATTATAAATATATTTAAAAACACTTTCAGAAAAACTTTAATACAATTGTGAAAAGTTGTGGAATTTTATGAAAGATATTAAAACAGCAACAAAAAAACTAATTAATATCCTAGAGCTGAGAAATAAAATAGATATATGGTATCTGAAATTAAAACTAAAATTGGTCAGGCGCGGTGGCTCATGCCTGTAACCCCAGTACTTTGGGAGGCTGACATGGGTGGATCACCTGAGGTCAGGAGTTCGAGACCAGCCTGGCCAACATGGTGAAACCCCATCTCTACTAATAATACAAAAATTAGCTGGTTGTGGTGGCACATACCTGTAATCCCAGCTACCTGGGAGTCTGAGGCGGGAGGATCACTTGAACTCGGGAGGCGGAGGTTGCAGTGAGCTGAGATCATACCACTTCACTCCAGCCTGGGCAACAAGAGTGAAACTCCATCTCAAAAAAAAAAAAAAAAATAGAAAAAGAAAAAAAATTGGATGCGTTAGTAGTAGATTTAAAATGAACAAACAAACAAACATCAAATGGGCCCTCCATAACCTGAGATACACTATCAAGTGACTAGCATATGTTAATTGGAGCTCCAAAAATGAAATAAAATAAAATAAAATAAAATAAAAAGAGAATGAATAAGGCAGGTAAAAATATAAAGAAATATTAGTCAAAAACATTCCATATTTAATTAGAAGTAGTAATTCATAGATTCAAAAAGTTCTGAAAACTGCATGTAGAAAAACATGAAAAAAATACATGTAAGTGCATCATATTTAACCTACTAAAAGCCAAAGGTAAAGAAAATAAACTTAATAGCAGACAGAGAAAATAATTTATATCAAATATGGGGAATGTTGGCTGAATTCTTATAAGAAATAGTGCAAGATAGAAGTCAATGTAATGACACCTCTAATGTGCTGATAAAAACAATAACAAAATAACTGTTAACTAGAATTATTTATATAACAGAATATTATCTTAAAATTTAAGGTGTATTAAAGACATTTTCAGATGAACAAAAGTCAAGGACATTTTTTCTACTCCAAAAAATTGTTTAGACTGAAGGAAAATTCTAACTGATAAAAAGTCAGATGTACAGAGAGCAATGAAGAACACTGAAAATGGTAAATATGTAGATATATACATGTAAACATATCTTTCTCTTTTTCATAAATTACCTAGAATTCAATCTGACAGTTTAAAGCAAAAGTTATAACAATGTATTTGGGTTTTCATCATATGTGGAAATAAAATATATAACAAAAGAAGAATAGGAAGGAATATAAATAAAAGTATACTATAGTAAAGTTCTTACACTATGTATGTAACAATACAATATTAATTCAAAATATATTTTGGATAAATTAAGATTAGATATTTTAATCATCAGAGTAATAAGTAAAACATAAATAAATAAAAAATAAAATAGGCATACGTTTAAAAAATATGATAGAAAGGGAATGGGAAAGTAACTGTGCTTGATAAATACCAAAGAATAATGGAAATAAGTAAGATAGAAACAAAGAATAGGGGGTATAAATAGAAAGTAAACAGCAAGATGGTAGTTTTAAATCCAATCATATTAATAATTACACTAAATGTAAATGGAGTAAACATTTTGATTAAAATGGAGATTTTCACACTGAATTTTTTAAAATGGTTTTTAAGCGTATGCTGTTTACAAGAGACACAATTTATTAAGATGTAGCGAAGTTCAAAGTAAAAGAATGGAAAATAGACTGTGTGCGAACTCTAAACCAGGGAAAATTGCTATTGTTATTTTAACATCAAACAAAGTAGACCTCAAGACAAGAAGTATTTCTAGAGGTAAAGAGGAACATTTCAAGAGTAAAGTGACGATTGCCAAGAAGACACAATGACCTACAAGTGTATTTCCCTGATACGAGAGTTTGAAAATACATTGACAAATATATAGGGAGAAGAGACCAGAATTGTAGTTGGAGATTTTAACAGTATTTTCTGAGTATCTGATAGAACAACTACTCAACAAGTAAGCTATAGAGTATTTCAACACACTATCAACAAGTTCGAATCAATTGACAATAGCAGAATATATATTTTGTTCAAGTGCATATGACATTTTCACCAAAATAGAGCATATATTATATTATAAAAGTCCCATTTACAAGGCAGCCTCTCATGTCAAGAAATTCTCCCTATCCAACCTTATGTTCCGTATTCTAGATCCAATACTCTCACATTTCTATCCTATGTCTTTTACCAATTCTTGCCAATTATATTCAGGGTCTTGACATCGTTTTGCTGTGTCTAGCTAATCCCTCCAAGAAGAAACCGCTTTCCTAGCTCCAGCTATAATTAGAGCCAAATTTAGTTACTAGTCTGGAGGCAATAAAGGAAGTGAGAAGAATTTGAAGGTGACAGGCATAGTCTTGCAAGACATGTAACTCAGGTGAGATCTTTGCTTGCTCTCCTGGAAAAGAGAGACAGCGGGTCTTTCCTAGCAAGAGGTGGGCTATTTCGCCTAGCCTGGAGGGTTCAGGGAAATCTGCCAGTACAAAATTCTTTGGCTTGAGATTCAGCCAAATGCTTCCATTTTCCTTCTCAGGGCCCTGACTCTGGAAACTTGTCAAGGTTGGACATTTACTCTTCTTTATTGTTCTGCCGCCTTTGTAATTAAACCCTCCTCTGATTTGCAATATTGTCTGCCCTGTGGCTAAAGGGCTAAAGCCCTTTGCTGACATTCTTAAAGTCTTCTGGTTTTGTGATGCATATTGAGTTGATAGTTGGCTGATCCTTGCCTGATATTTTCTTTGCCAAGGCTACCAGTGAAGTTAATAAAAGCCAGTCAATTCATAATCCTTATAGTTATCATCTCCCTATATAGTTCAAGTGTCATAGGTTCTGTATAACCTAGTGGTGACCTACCCCACGTACCTCATTTGAATGCACTTCAAGTAAAATTCTGGGTACTTGTGATGTTCCTGCAAACCATCCCATTCCAGTCACCACTAGCAATAGATTCTTATTGCCATCTCATTGGTTACCACTTCAGCTCCAAAATCCCATCCTGAGAGTACAGTTTCTAGGGCCACTTCCAGTAACAATTATCTACCCCTATATTCTCTGTAAAAGTGGAACTAGGGACCAAAGCTTGCATCTAGGAAATTTACTTAGAGATCTGAGGAGGTAGGAGTAAGACTGAGGAAAATAAAATAAGAATGGAGAGAGATACAATAAAGGGATAGATTAGAAAGTTGACTATTGCTGTAGATAACTGTATTTGGTCCCCGTGAGAATGCCTGAGAAGCTGTACAGAATACACTTCCAAATTGCCTGCCTGAAGGACAAATGGGAAACTTGTTTTCAGTGTTATAGCTGATGCATGATAGTGAGAGTCCCACATAGGTACTGGTGTAGGATTCCAAAAATGGGGAATATTTTACTTACAAAATGCCCAGATTATGTAGTCCTTTCAAGTCCAAGTCAGAGACCCAACATAATAAGGGGTCACTGAATATCTTAAGCTGAAGAATAAAACTGTAAAATATGTTTTCTTTTAACTTATAATGCAGAAAATGTCATGTTTCTTATTAGAAGATTTGTGGCCTTTTCTTCAATTCTAGAAAATGTCAGCAATTCTCTTTTCAAGCATTGGTTCTCCATCATTTTTCTGTTTTTATTCCAGAAATTATATTGAAAATCCTCATTTTATTTTATGTACCTCATAATTACTTTTGTCTGCCTTATATTACTACCCTGCTATATTCTGAACAACATCTTCAGATCTATCTCTAGTCCAGTGATGTTCTCTTCAGTTGTATCTAACCTGTGGCGTATGCTATATTTTGTGCAAAGGGCCTGAAAAAAACAAAAAATCAAGCATATGATGTAGACTGAAACTCACAGACAAAGAGGTCAGCAGCCTGCAGAGAGGGGTTATTTAGTTAGAGTACAGCTGGATGCACTATGTGCCTGTGCTCCAGGAGAAGGTTCTTTCCCTGCCCCTTTTAATATCTTAGCTTGGGATTCCTGCATTATGAGAGTAGTGTAAATTCAGATGCCATTCTTGCAAATGAACATATGTAGGGCAGGATTGATGCCCCTGCCCCCATGAGACTCTTTTTTAAAATTATTTTGCAATCTGAATCTCTGACCAGAGACCAATTTTGGGGCAACTTTTTAGACTACTGGTTGGGATTTGTTTTAGTCTTCTTTCATGAAGCAGAGTTTACTTTTTCAGTCACAGTTTTATACAGCGTCTCAATTTCAACTTTTTATTTTGCCTCTTGTAAAAAAAGGTATTTTTCTCCCCTGAAAAGATAGTAAAGCCATATTCTTAATCACAAAGAATAAAAGTTTGGATTAAATATTACTACTGTCCTCTTTGGTGTTCCCGATAAAATTTGTCATTGTTCTTTGTGTCTGGAATTTAAGAATCTCCTTTTAATTTTAGCTTTTTTTCTTAGGGTGTATGTGGTTTTAACTGCCAATATGACAGAACTAAAAAAAATCATACATCAGGGCAAACATTAAATGGGGCACTATGTCAGGTAAGTAAGGATGGATTGGTGGTGTAGGGCAAATCTAAACTCAGCAAGTAGGTAAAAATAGATGATATGGTTTGAATTTGTGTCCCCACCAAATCTCATGTCGAACTGTAATCCCCAGTATTGGAAGAGGGACCTGGTGGGAAGTGATTGGCTCACGGGGGTGGATTTCCCCCTTGCTGTTCTTGTAATAGTTAGTGAGTTTTCAAGAGATGTGGTTGTTTAAAAGTGTGTAGCACCTCCCCCTTTGCTCTCTTCCTCCTGTTCCAGACATGTAAGATGTGCCTCCTTCCTCTTCACCTTTCGCCATGACTGTAAGTTTCCTGAGGCCTCCCCAGCCATGCTTCCTGTACAACCTGCAGAATAATGAGCCAATGAAACCTCTTTTCTGTAGAAGTTACCCAGTCTCAGGTAGTTCTTTATAGCAATGTGAGAATGGACTAAATACAATAGGTAAGAAAAAATAACTGCCATCTAGTGAAAATATATCATCACCTAGGCTCTGTGCTGAATACATGTTTTGCATTCTTGCAATACCCTGTAAGGTAAGAATCATTATGCAAATTTTAGAAATGATGAAACTGCCCGAGATCACAAAGCCAGTAGGTAGTAGAGCTGATCTACAAATCCTGTTTTCCATGACTCTAAAGTCAATTTGTATGACACAGAACCACCTTCCACCAGTGATAAGTTAAAAAAAAGACCTACGCTAAGGATGATGGAGGAAGGAGAAGGCATCTGTGACGTATTTTGAAGCATAAAGAATTGGTGAGACAGGGAGAAGTCTTATAACTAAAATGACTGATGAAGGAGAGGAAAAGAAGCTAGGAAAAGCAGAGGAAGGAGAAAAATGGGGATAAACATTTTTTCAGAATAAAACCCTTCTTCTAAGTTGTAGTCCCTCCCCAACACCCACTCCTGAGTTGTTTGAGATGTGACCTTCACCCTGTTTGGGACCCAACTTCCTCATCCATACATAATATGAGGGATGATGGAGTCCAGGTCAAAACCAATATCCTTCTCAGACCAGGCTGCCAAATTCCCCGTGGCCAAAAACACACAGCAAGACCTTGTCGATTCTGTATCAGCAGGAGAAGAAAGGTGGAGAAACCACCTCAAGCCAAACTCGTTAACAGTTGTTTCATTAATCACAGTTTGTGTTTCAAATCTAAAGACAATCTGTCCAATTAACATTAAAGCTCTGGCAGCCATGAAGAGACCTTTAGGAAAAGGCAATTTGACACAATTGCTAATCATGTTCACATTTAGGAAAGTGGCTCCCAAACATAACATTCTCCTGGTGACAGCTGGAGACCTCATCAAAGGAGGAACACAGGCTTCACGCACCTCCACCATTTGACCCATTTTCTTCATCCAGCATTTTCACCTTGGACGCCTGTTACGTTCCAGCTGTCTTAGCAGGATCAGTCTTTCAGAGCCTGCTGCGGTCATCCACACTACTGTGCTCTTGCCCACTGAACCCACAGCCTATGTGCCTTCTCAATTTTATCGTGGCCTAGTCCAGTTCCTCCATATTACTTTCCTAGTAATGGTTATTTCAACAAATAATGCTCGTGATGTGTTGAGACTTGGTTTGAATGCCACTTCAATCAATTATTAACTTAGGTATGTTTTATGCTTTTATTTTCAAGTAATACATGTTCACAGCCAAACTCTTCATACAGTACAAAGGCTTCTACAGTGAAGCCTAAATCTCTCTCTCTTCCTAACTTCTAGATTCCTCATTGAATGCAATCTCAGTTACCAACACCTCGTCTTTTCTTCCAAAGATGCCTATACAAGTGTATAAATGAATGAATAAATGAATAAATAAGCAAAAAAACTTTTCCTGGCACATAAATAGTAATATATATGCACACTATTTTACACCTGGATGAACAATGTATCTTGGAGATTGTTTCATATCAGTACACATAGTGTTTACCACAGTTTTTATAACCTTGGACAAACAAATCGACTTCTCTGAACCTCAATGTCATCATATGTGAAGTGGCATAATAAAAGAAAAATCAATCCTAACTCCTCTGCGTCTACTCTGAGTTCATACCTGCTTCCTGGGTACATAGCACTTATGTCACTTTGTGGTAATTTTCTGTTACTACTTTCTGCAATGCTGGCTACCAATTATGGATATTTGTGGAGTGAATGATTATCTGTGTAAGGAATACTGTG